>NC_000002.12:163739618-164989618 GCF_000001405.40 Homo sapiens
ATGTGCTTTACCTAAGTGATGGGAGAGGAAAGGAAAGGAAAAAAAATCAGTGGAGGCAGAAGGTAGACAGCGGGTAGAAAAGATGAGGGAGATGTAGGTCACAAGATGCTTTAAGGAAAGAAGTTTGGAGGGCTATCATGTATAGTTTTTCATAAAATGCTAAACGCAATTCAATTTAATTTTTCAAATATTGTTTTTTAGTTTTGAACTTAAATGTTAAATATTTTAATAAAACATTAAACTAATAATATATTCTTCCAAACTCCTGGGTTTCAAAACACATTCTAGAACTTAGTAGCTGTTTATGAAACTAGACTTTTTCTTTCATATTACTCACAAAAATCTGAGGTAGTTCTTACAATAATGCAAATTAGTGACAAGATAATTTTTTAATGCTTCCATAAAATTGCAGTATAAGGGTCATGATTTTCACTTCAATAAAGTTACTAAGAAGTCCTTATGTACCACCCTTTCCCCTAAAAAAAAAAAAAGAAAAAAAGAAAGAAAAAAAACCACAAAAGCTAGTGAAGATCATGACCTCATTGAGTAAAATTACTCAATTTGCTCAGAATGACACTCAAATGCAGGTACTGTCAAAGGATATTAGTGTGGTTCATACATCTCCTCAGTGATCTAGCTCTACAGTAGAGACAAACTGGAAAATCCTGTGATGGGTTCACTTAAGATGTTTTGCTTTCTTCTATTAACCTGAGTATTACATTTTTAAATTCACATATATTTATAGTGTGTGTATATTTGCTGGAACTTTTGCCTGATTTTGCATGGTTCTCAATTTCATTTAGAAAGTATTCAATGCTTAATATAATTAAAAGTACTACACTACAAATTGCAGAGGATTTGAAGAAAAGTGACCTTAACATTTTATGGATGAAGCCAGATAAATATAGCCCAAAGTGAATGATAGAAAGTGCAGTTATAAAGGAGTTCTGTCTAGAGGAAATTGTGAGTTCTTTTGTGAAGGACAGGACAGTTTTTCTAGACTTTGTCACAGCAATCTATTCTTTTTTTTTTTTTTAATTTTTATTTGTTGCAGAGAACAGATATCACTCTGTTGCCCAAGGTGGTTTCAAACTTCTAGACCGCAGTGATCCTCCTGATTTGGCCTCCCAAAGTGCTGGGATTGCAGAAGTGAGCCCCCACACTTGGCCTTCTCATAGCAATTGTTATGCACCAATAAAACAGACCACTTATAGTTTGCATAAACTGTGCTGTTTTTCCTCTCTATGCCTTGCTTGACAGTGTGCCCCCTGCCTGAATTGACTTTTCCTCTCCGCTTCTGTGGGCGAACTCCCTTAAGACACTCAGCACTTAGCTCCTCCAACCCACACCCCAACCTTCCTAGAGGCACTTAAGTATCTTTCCCCTGTTTGGACTCTATTTCTCTTTCTCTCTTTGTACCCTCACATCATTTTAAGGGTGTTCATGTCTTTCACTCCTGCATTAGATTTTGAGCTTCTTGAGGGCAGGCAATTATCTTCCATCTTTGTTTTTCCTCCATGCCTAAATTAATTGGGATAATTCAACATACATGCTTACTGGGGAAATTAATGAATTGACAAGTAGAGGAAATAGATATGAGCAAAGACAAATTGAAAGGAAACTGTAGAAGTATTTGCCCAAAATAGCATATAATCTAGTTTGGTTGACCCTTTGCTTTCCACAGGCACAGAATGGGAAATAAGGATGGAAATGAGAATTGGGGATGTATTGCAGAGGAACTTCACTGAGTCCCAGCCTGAGAGGTTTTCATTTCAGTAGGCAGTTAACAGAAAGTGCTGGAAGGTTTGTAAGAAAGCGATTTATGTGGGCTGAACCCTGCTTTAAGAAGATAGAGCTAAAAGACCTGAAAATGGGGAGACCAGGAGGGAAGTTATTGCAATGGTCTAGCATTTTCTAGTCCCCCAAACTGTGAGTCCTTCTTGTAGGTTTGGTGATATGCTTCCTTGCCTTTTTTATAGATGATCTGTTTGTATTGATTGCTCAATTCTGCACGTTCATTTTGTAATATTACAAAATGTCAGTGTGTTTAAAGGCATTCATTTAATGTCAAAGATATAAAAAGGGACAATACGTTGAAATTGAATTTTTTCCCTCTACCTGAACATGGTCTTTCTACTCACGCTGCCTCTCTCTCCCCACTACCACCCCCACTTTACAATTAGTTCCACTCAGACCGTGCTTTCAAGCTTAGAAGATATTTCATTTTCAAGAGAAGTAATGCCTGAAGATAAAGAAAGTTCCTCCCTGGAGTATGTTTGAACAAGCAAAATAAGCAAAGTGAATTTGGTTTTTATAAACTGAATAAAAATATAGATGCACATTTCCTTCATTTAAAGTATATTAAAGTATTAAAGTTTCCTAAACAGGGCTTTTAATTCATTTAAAACAGCATTAGGTTAGGTGGGCTGTTGGTGCTTTGAATTAATGTGCAAGCTGTTAATCTCCGTAGACCTGGATTTAAAATTAGACAAAGCAATAATTAGTTTGGCACCATCATTTCACTACCCAGAGGGTAATAATGTAGGTCATAAAATACTACAGCCTGGCACAAGTTTTTTTCTTTCTTTCTTTCTTTTTTTTTTTTTTTTTTTTTTTACAAACAAGGATCTAGTAATAGGTAGTGTGAAAAAAACCATATATATATGTGTGTGTTTGTGTGTGTGTGTATACATATATAAAGTGATTGCCACTGGGAAGTACAATGGCTTAGCTTTTCATATATGTTCCACTATTCCTAAAGAGACCTAAATTCATAAATTCTTATCAGGTTTTCCCTGTTTAAGGTGAGTCTTTTCCTTTCTAAGAGATACAAAGAAATCTTCACGGTTTCTCCTCTCAGTAGCTGTTTTCTTCTCCTGTAATATTTTCTCATACGACATTTATACATTGAGTCATAGAATTAAGATTATAATTTGTACCATGCTCTTTTTTTTTTTTTTTGCTATAGTTATTCTCCCTACCAGTTTGCCATTTTGTTAAATTATAAGCATGGTGTACTGTAAATATTTTTTAACATGTAAAAGTGTTGCATTCAAGTAAGTGCTTACCATACGTATTTTGATTTGTTTTCATGGCAAACGACTACTGGCAATATCAATAATTCAAGAATAGAAACAATGAAAATACAGATGAATTGCATTTGGATACTTCTTCCTGTCAATCATCCTTGCCAGATTCCTATTTGAACATTCTGAAAATGAGGAAGACATCAGGTCTAGCCTTAAGTATGAGTAATAGTTTTCTATTTCCTTACACTGCTCACCCCAACTGAGCTTTTAAAGCACAGGTATCTTGGGTGTCTCTATATAGCTTAATATTTCAAGTATGGAAATAATATTTTAATATTGAATTGAAAATGTATTTCATACAATATGCATGTGCAGACTTTCCATTTTACATAAAGCAATATGCAAGCACCTGTTTGTATCTATGGAGAGTGTTCAATGTATCAGATGAGTACATTCACAAATCATTTAAGTTGAGCTTTTCAAGTGATGTGAGCCACTGATGCAAACTTGCTAATGATAATTATAGAACTGATGCTGATTTAGTCATTTCAAAAAAGCCACGGAGGCATAATTAGTGTCTGAATGGCCTCAATATTGCATTATTAGGAGGCTAGGGTGAAACTTGAAATGAGAACATCAAGGCTGATAACAGAAAAGAAAACATGAAATACATACATAATTCATTCTGAGATATTATAAAGGTTTATAACTAGAAACAATAATTTGCAGAAAGCATCTCATGTACTGGAGCCAACTGCAATCATTTGGTCAACCTGTTAAAGATCAAATAGTATATTCTTAGCTATTCTCAGTGGTGTCTTTGTAATAAAGTAGCAGCAAACAGACACTGTTTGCTTCTGGTCACTTTTAAAGAATGTTCAGTTTATCAGTAGGGACTTTAATCTCAACCTTAATAGAGTACAAAAGCAGCCTTGTACCTGTGCTTCTCTCCTTAAGGCCACAAGCCATGCGGGTTTTTTTATTATTATTATTTAAAACAAGAAAAATAAAATTCTCCTTTTGAGAACACTAAATACTGTGTTTTTTTCCAAGAAAGTAATATCCATTCACTTTCTCTTTTTTGATGCTTTTCTTCTCTCCTTCTTGCTGATACATAGATGCTCCACCACAGTTCACAGCCATCACAGGAGTGAAGACATCCACAATATATTTGAAGGATCCCCTGCCTTGGACCCCTGCCAGGTCTACCATTATCAAGTGACCTGATGTTGGTTGACTTGAGCCTTATAACTGAAAAGTTCTCCTTTTTTGTACTCTTTCCTATTAGTTGGCAACAGATAGGAATAATGACTCTCAACCTAAATTAAACAAACAAATAGATTGCAGTGTTAGGCGTCCATCCTCATTAGCATAGGTTTACAGGTAATCAGAAAAAGGCATATTTAAGTACAATCTGTCTGCTATCTAACATGCCCTGCTGAACAGAAAACCAAATACTATATGTAGTCAGTTATAAGTAGGAGCTAAACATGGGGAACTCATGGACATAAATATGGCAATAATAGATGCAGGGGACTATAAGAGGAGGAGGACGGGAAAGGGGCAAGGTTGAAAAACTAAATGTTAGGGACTATGCTCACTACCTGGGTGACAGCATCATTTGTATCCCAAACCTCAGCATCATGAAATATAACCATGTAACAAACCTGCACATGTAGCTCCTGAATCTAAAATGAAAGTTGAAATTATGAAATAAATAAATAAAAATAAGTGCCCTGCTTCGAGTGTGTTTATTATTATCATTTCCAAAAGTGACAAGGTCTGGGCTGTATCACCTCTGAGAAATCTGGCTGCACTTTCTAAATATTATCTTTTTTTTTTTTCCATGTGGAGTCATACGCACAGGTGTCATACTCACAACAATCAGATTTCCAACTATCTGGGTAAAGAGAGGTGAAGAGAGCCTCAGGTATTGAGAAAGGCAGTTATACAGGTACAGAAAAATAAATCCCTAGATCCACACAGAATTACCAAGTGGATCAACTGTGTTTTAGGAGTCCATACTATATTGTGATCTCCCAAGTATCACAGCCAATTAATTTTTAAAAACCAAGTTAATTTATTTACTACTGTTTCTCCACCTCCCCAAAACAACTGGTAAACACCAAATGTTAATTATGTCCTTTGTAAACCAAGAGGCAGTGACTTGCAGTCCCATAGTGAGACTGGTGGAAACACCAGAAGGTTGGATTTGTTTTGTTTCATTTTGTATTTTCTGGTCAGAAGATATGACAAGAAGTAACACAATTCTTTTTCATTTCCATACTCATAAATGCAGTAGCCAAATTCGTGGCTTTCATTAAGGATGCTTTTGGTTGCAAGTAAGAGAAGGAGAAACTAACAGTAGCTCAAGAACTAAGGGGTTTATTTATCTCTCAATAAAAATATAAGGGTAGGGAAGTTCCTGGGTTTCTTTTCTACTATCTTGAATATTTTGGTGATTTTTACTCCACATTATGGGTGCAACAGCTTCAAACATCACATGAGACAAGACTACATCCAATGGAAGAAGAGGAGTGTTGTCTTGCTCTATGTCTCTTTTTTTGTAAGGGAAACCATTATCCAGAAGCCATCAGGGGATTTATTCTCACCCTTGTTGGGTCACATTTTTAAACTGTGATGGCAAGGGGAGTGAGACCACCAAGACTGGCCTGATGAATACTGGGAAAGGGATCACCTATTAGTAAGCACACAAATATATTTGACGAAAGAAGGGACAGAGGTGGTGGAAGTGGTAGTGGTGGAGTTTGCAGAATGGCTGTGTAGAATCATTATTATGCATAATACCAGGAATTCCATTTTTGCCATGGTTGTTGTGAATGTTACCCTCTGGAATTGTTGCACCACACCATGAAAATGATTGTACCATTCGACTTGCATCTGAGTAACAAATAGAGCCTATCAGAATACTCATAATACTTTTTAGCCCACTGTCTAGCTCTGAGCTTTTTTAATAATCTAATTTATATCTTAATTTTGAGAACCTACTTTGCATGTTTCTGTGGCTCATAGCATAGCTATGAGCCCATCATTTCAGAAGCAATCAGGACCTTGGGATGTGGAAACTATTACTCTCAAAATTGATTAAAGTGTTTAAATGCTTCCAATTTAAGCAAATCATAGAGACTCTGGCCACATATAATAGTAAAATAAATATTTCAACATAAACTTTCAAAAAATTAAAATAATAAATCATTTGAACTGGCATATATGGTAGACACAATAATGAATGACTAAATGAATGAATGGAGTTAAGTCTACCTGAAGAAGAAACAGCTAAAGAGGAAAAAGCAAGGTATTTCCTGATACTCCAGCTAGCCATTTTTAGCTCCTTGGAGATAAGAAATAATATTTTAAAATGCAGCAGAAAGGATATGGTATAGGCAATGTTGCACCAGAAAAGAACTGAAATATTGGGCCATGTTACCAGGCTCAGTTATTGATTCTGGAAATTTTAAATAAAGACTTAACTTTACCTGTGATGATACTGAACTTAAACTTATAAAATGTCACATCACTGTATTGATAAGACAGTGATAAAAAATTATGGCAGCTTTCACTTCAAATCATTTTTATAGGGCCATTGCCAATGTTTACCTTCTAGAAGGAAAGGACGAAGAGGAGGAGGTACGGGAGGAGAGTCATATAAATCATGAATAATTTAAAATGTATGTATAGAAACATGGCTTCAACTTTAATAAACATCTACCTATAAATATTGTTTTAAAAATAGAAATCATTCTTTTAATTACCATAACTATACTGCTTAAAGCTACACAGTTGCACAGCATGCTCATGTCAGCCCTTGTTTAATGAAGGCTATTTGTACCTCTTCTGACAGAGCAATAACTTTCTTTCCTTATTCTCCCTTCCATCTATCACAGAAGCATCCTTGATGTTTGCCATAGTTAAACATGCATTATATCTACTCTTGTCATTATAATATTGTCTATATTGTTGGCTATGTGTCACAATGAATAGAGTATCTGAGGACAAAAAAATATAAACACCAACTTTAGCTCTCCAGCAGCTGTTAGTAGTCAAAACAGAAACCTAGATAGTTCAAGGTCCTCTCAGTTTTTTTTTTTTTTAGTTCTCAGTCTTCTTTGGAGACACATTCAGTTAATTTTGGAATCTCCTCTTACCATTCTTTTCTTTTGATGGGTACTCTAGATCCTGTTTTTGACAAGAAGGCTTGTGGTTCACAGCCATATTCTGTCTTCACTGAGGTGTAACTCACTTGGCTCAGGCATGGCGCTTGAACTTCTGTCTCAGATACATGTGCAGTAGGTATCCATGGTCCTACCATGTGGGTCTTCAGCTTGTATGATCCAAAATGCATCCAGTCAGCGTGTCCCGTGGATACGAATGCATGTTTATCCTAGTCCAATGAAATTCTTTCAGCCTTTCTGCATCCCTCTTAGGAGCTTCATAATCTTTTGGATATTTTTCCACACCATGCTCGGTGTCTGACCTCAGAGAATCTGTCATCAGATCTAATCCTGAAGGCATCTTACTAACTCATTGTTTCTATTCCCAAGTGGCATTATAATTAACACAGGCTTCTTTAAAAAGAGAGGATGGGGAAGAGGGCAACCCATACTTATGGCTAAGCCTTATTCTTCCCCTCTCCTTTGTGTCCAAGTCTCTCCTTCCACCACTGTCTCCTATTTGTTTTCATAACTCCAATCTGAATGAGATTTTTTTCTTTTCTTTAAAAAAACCATAAACTTAAGGGGTACAGTTGCAGTTATGTTACATGGATATATTACATAGTTGTAAAGTCTGGGCTTTAGGTGTAACAATCACTCAAATAGTGTACATTGTACCCATTAAGTCATTTTTTCAGCCCTCACTCACCTCCCAACCCTCCCAGCCTTCTGAGTCTCCAATATCTATTATTCCACAGTCTACATCCATCTGTACACATTATTTAACTCCTACTGATATGTGAGAACATGTGGTATGTGACTGTTTCTGAGTTGTTTCACTTTTCTCTGTATTCCAAAAATCATCTTTTACTTTATCCTTTATTCTTTCCAACAGCGTTATTTTTGGTATAAACTGTGCTTTACATCCTTAGGGCTTTTAATTTTTCATTTTCAAACAATTTTCTCTCTATATCCTTTGTACTTCTTTTCTTGTTTTTTAAAGTTATTTGTCTTTATGAATAGAACTCAAAGTTGAGATTTTGACTCTTTTTCCTTAGCCATTTAAATCCTCCCCTGGAAGATGATTCCATATGGACTGATATGGTCACGGTAATAGATGCACAGAAAATGCAGGGGATGTCCAGGGAAAGAAATATCAGTTAATATCTCAAAATATGATTCTATTAACCTACCATAATAGCCCATGGGATTGAAAAAAATCTTTAGAGAGAAACATATCAAATCCTAAAAGAACCAAGTACTAATTGCTCTCACACATTTTGCCTGCATAATATTTAGAACCAATTGTTGAAAGATAGTTCAGTTAAAGAGCAGTATTGAACATAACAACAAACATCTCCATTATGATTTTTCCATTTTCTGCTGATTATTTAGGTGTTTGTATTTGCAACATCCTAAAAGTAATCTTTATGGATGAGAAACTAAAATTTGTTGTGGGTCATCCATTGAGTGCGCTTTTTACCTAATTTATTTCACACAATTTTGAGGAAAAACTTATCATCTCAATTTTCAGGTAAGGAAACTGAGTCTCAAAGAGGATAGATAGCTTGCAGTAAGGACAGAAATCTAGTAAGTTGTAGAGGTAGGAATTCTACCCAGTTCTATCTTGCTGCAAAGTCCTTGCACTTCTTATTATGCAGTGCACCTGCCCCTCTCACTTCTAGTGGTCCTTTTGCTTTACTGAGCTTCACTCTAGTATGTTCATACCTAGAATTAGTGTGATGATGGTGAGGAAATTGCTCAATACTTTTCAGACCTGTCCAGGCAAAATTTCCCATCCTAATCAGATCTGAAGTTACTCACTCATCCTGTAAAGCCAAGCTGAAACATGGTGGTGCAATAGAGTTCCTGTTTATTGTTCAGTTTAACTGGTAGATCTTGACTACCTTTTTAAAAAAATGTCAACCTTTTATTAAGTTGATGAGGGTGAGGGAACACAAAGACCAAAGGTCTATTATTTAATATTTTATTCTTGGTTTGGGCTATGATTCAAAATATGTAATTTTTTTTATTTTTTATTTTTAGTTAATTTTTGTTTGTTTGTTTTTTGAGATAGGACCTCCCTCTGTCACCCAGGCTGGAGTGCAGTGGCGTTATCTCGGCTCACTGCAGGCTTGACCCAGGCTCATGTGATCCACTCACCTCAGCCTCCCAAGTAGCTGGGACTACAGGCACACACCCCTATGCCTGGCTAATTTTCGTATTTTATTTTGGTAGAGACTGGGCTTTGCCATGTTGCCCTGGCTGGTCTCAAACTCCTGGGCTCAAGTGATCCACCAGCCTCAGCCACCCAAATTTTGAGTATTAGGTTTTCACTTTTGTTTCTTTGGTTAAACTAAAAATGATAACCTTGAGGGGGACTTAGACTTCTTTCATAGATGGTTTTTCTGTTCCTTCTTCTACTTTCTTTTCCCTTTTCTCCCTAAAACTGACATTCTCTTAAACCATAGTCATCCTGTTCAAAAAATAACAATATGCAATGTGGAATTAATTCAGGGTGAGGTTAAAATTGAAGCAGAATTACATATGTATATATAATGTATTCAAATATAATATACATATTCAAAGATTGTTTATAAGATATTTGGTAACTTTAATATGCTTTATAAAAATGGAAATTACTCTTTCTCCATCAAAATGAAGTGGAATTATAGAACTTAATCCTTGCAGATAAATAATAACATTGGAAGGGATGTTTACATTTTTTAAGGCAACATCTCCCAAAGTGTGGTCTCGACCCTATATTTTAGATTAATCTGGAGAGGTTACAGGATCCTTTTCCAGACCAAATGAATCAGAATCTTTGAGGAGAATACTGGAATCTACTTTTAACATGACCTGTGATGATTCTTTATCAGACTTAAGTTTGACTGCTTCTCCCCTGTGGCATACATAGGTCTAGACCACCTCACCCTCAAGTGAGAATCACACTTACCAAATTCCAAGTAGCTTGAATCCATTTATACTTGGGGTATCCTCCTTCCTTCCTTCCTTCCTTCCTTCCTTCCTTCCTTCCTTCCTTCCTTCCTTCCTTCCTTCTTTCCTGTATGGATATATGAATTGATACCTATATAGATGTGAGAGACAGAGAGAGAGAGAGAGAGAAAGAAAGAAAGGGAAAAGAAAAGAAAAGAAAAGAAGTGAGAGAATCCATTATCTGAAAGCAAGTAAAACAATCATAATCTCTCCTTCCTGAAGCTTGATGTTCTCTTGCCCTAAGTTGAATACAGATGTATCCTCCATAGTCTTACACCCAGCAACACTTTTAGTCATAGCTAAGCCTGTCTTTCTTTATGGAGACCTTCCTTGTCTTGATGGCTCTTCTTTTAATCTCTTACTTTTCTCTCATGATCTTTTTGTCCCTCTTTTAATAAATAGCTACAGGGTATACAGAACTATAACATGCATCTGGCCATCATGAAGAGACCTACTGATTTCAACATTTTATCTTTTATCAGGGCATTTCATAATTGGTTTTGAAACTCTGTTTTCTCATTATTATCTGCTTTGATATCTACACCCTTTAATCTGCCCTCATCCATAGCTAGTTATGGATTCCACGGCTGCTGGAGATGGAGATCACCTATGTGATGATCTTTGGACCTCTCAGAGTGTAACCCCTTTTTACTCCAACACACACAGATGCATATATAATTCTGAAAAAAATATCAGTGGTCCTCCAAGTGTCAAGGAAACAGCTTAGAAATTACCCCATGAAATCTTCACAAATCACCAAATACAAAGGCGTTGTCTTTTTTATGACTTGTGCTCCCCTACATTGCCATAAAACACTGTATATTAGTATATTTCCTAGTTTCTATCTTACCTCACCCTTCAAACACCTTGAGGACCGAAATGATTTTTTTTAATTACATCATTGGATTCCAAAACAATTCCTGACCCACAGTAGATACTCATTAAATCTCTTGAATAAAAGATTAAAATAAAGTAATTAAAGATTAAAAATAAAGCAAATTTATATTGCTATAGTTACAACTATTATTCCTTGAGGATGAGGACTTACTTATGAATATTATAGGTGTTCAATACATTTTTGATGAATGAATTGTAAACCAATAAATAAACAATATTTTCAGCAAGGTAACTAAATTTAGTTTACCATGAGGACCATCATATTCTATTAGACATATCAACTTTATTAAAAATATAAGTTTATACACATTCACATCTCTATATATTCTCATAATGCTTTATTATGAAACATCTTACACTTAATTTCCTTCTTTTTAAGCTTAGAAGAAAGAACATATTCTATGTATAAATGGCCGCCTACTAAATACTATTCACTAGGATTTTACTACAATGTGGATTTTGGTTTCTAATGTGTCTGTACACAGAGCTATGTTTATGTAGGTTTTTGATCTTGTTTCTTTTTAGAGACGGAGTCTCGCTATATTGCCCAAGATGTAGCGCAGTGGCTATTCACAGGCATGAACGTCACACTCTATAGGCTTGTACTCCTGGGTTCAAGCAATCTTTCTGCCTCTGTCTCTCAACTAACTGGGACTAAAGTTGCATACCACCACACCTGGTCATGTAGTTTTTCATAACATATTTGTATATACATAAGTGTATATACTTACCCATGAAAAATAAATATATATACAGCCATATTGTTTTCCAGAATGTATGTGTTTTTATAAATAGGTGAAAGAGAGAAAAAATTATGTCTTTTTCAGGAACAAATATAAGCAAATAGACATATTTCTTCATTAATATCAAAATGAAGTTTTTTCTAGAATTATTATGCAATTAGCTATAAGAATTAATGTTGTAGGATCATTATTAACATATTTATATTGTCAATTTTTTTCACCTTTTTCTTTTCCTTGTCTTCTAATTTCTTCTTTGGTTTTTCTTCTTTAACCTTACCTTAGCCTCTCTTCTTACTACTCTTACTCTTGAAACAACTCAAATATAAGCATAAAAAGCCTATTGTGAAGGAAAAATGACTGAATCATGTGTCTCCAGTGAGGCAACATGTAAACAGCTCTAGTCAAAAGATGCTTGCTAGGATTCAGAGGAGAACATGTGTTTACCATATCTTCTTTGTTATATTCTGAGCCAGATGAGTCAATAGAGGTACCATATCTACATCTACAGAAAATGCAATCCTGTCTCAACAGTTGAAACTTCTTGTTTGTCTGAGCCACATGCTACTGGAGATTTGATTGATCACAAGTAAATAAAGGTATGAAGCTTCCTAACATTGGAAAATGCATTTGGGAATTTCCACCTAACATTCACTTCCTCCATGGCAGATGCCTGTCTTTGAGCTTAGGTTAAAATGCCAGGATTTTATTCTAGAGGATCGTACCTTAATTCCTCTTCGTAACCAATAAACAGAAATGCGTCAAGGGTTTCAGCCAGTAACAGCAGTTTCTTCTCTGTATTTGCTACCCTATGTCAACATGTCAACTAACGTGATCTCCCCTAATGATCTCCCCTAATGGAATAGATGCAAGGTATGATTTGGTACGTTTTGACTTAGACGGATCTGCTCACTGTAGAAAAAGAAAAGCTGCTTGCTTTATTTTGCAGGTTATTACTCTAAGGCTTGGAATGCTTGGCATCTGTGTGCTCCTTAAATTGTCTTATTACCTTGTGAATGGGCACCACGCCATGCTAGCAGATGGTCATATGGAATGCCAGAAACCTGGGCTGTGTATCATTTTTGAGTATTAGTGCCTAGAAATCAATGACATTTTAAATGCAGCTATTGGGCTTGAATCATACCTGGAGAGAACATTAATACACTTCGGGGCTTGTCAAATAATAGACAGTACTCCAGTATACTGAAGGTGAAGATACTTTGAGAAGGATGAATATAGATCCTGTATCTCTTACTCTCTTGATCTTTCTATCACAGTCAGGATGTAGTATTTTATTACTGGGATTTTTTTTTTTCTAAGAAACACATAGGGTTCTGTCTCAGGTGGCAAGACACAAGAGAAATGGTATGGGTTTTGGTGACCACGCATAAATTACTTAACCTCTCTGAACTTGTTTCATCATGTATATGATGTAAATTGAAGTAATAAATTATATAATGTTAGGTATTTGTTTATGTATCTCACAGAGTTATTGTGCAAATGAAATGTGACACTGGCTAAGAAAGTGTTCTGTGAATTGTACTGTACTATTTAAATGATAGTTGTGAGCCTTTCTTTTTTCTTTGACCTTTCAGGAGTCGAGTTAACTTTTGTATCACTAATTGCAGTTCTGAGGAAGAGAACGTCAAGATTAAGTTTGGGCATCAGAAGTTCTTGCCACTAAGCTGCTCACAAGAGGTTAATAATGAGTTCTACCGCATCAAAATTATTTGTTTCCTATAATGGAAAAGGAAAAATCTTCATGCTATCTCCACTGGGCAGAAAGCAGGAGGGCAATTTGTACACCACATCTATACTACCCAAGAGAAGAGGAGAGTGAAGAAATTTTTTGGTGAATTTAGGCATTATAGACAGCTGATCTAGACTACTTCAGTTCCAAAGTGAAATTCTGTGTATAAATTATTCAGAACGACTCCCTATCCAGATCAGTGCCAGTTGAACATATATATGCTCATCCCTTTGCTTCATATTGGTTTCAGCCTTTTAGGCCCAGGAGATTTCTGACATTGTTCCATTTTACTTAGACTCAAATAAGGTTAAAAACCAAATACATGAAAAATAAAAAGAAGTCTGAAAGTATTTTTACTTTTTTGTTTAATGTAATGTGTTCTGTGGATTAACATAGATGGGAATGGTACAACTTGGATCATAGATGCTAATAGAAAGCATGAAACAATTGCCTCTACCAGGCTCTACTATCTAAAGTTGAGAGAATTTGACCCTGGATTCTCAGCTCTATTTCAGAAAATGCTTTGGTGATTACTCTAGACTAGATTTGTCCCCTTCCTTTTCTGCCAACAAGCCTGTTTTATGTACATTGAGTGAGTGGGAAGAGATGAAAAATACAATGAAAGGCCTCCTCCACAAAGCTCTGTGAGTATGTCATAATATAAAAAGCTGATTTCTTCTTATTAGTGTAGCTTATCTCAGTGTAGTCCAAAACGTGACAAATGACACTGAGAAACTGGCACATACTTGAGTATTTTTTTTTTAAATAAACCTCCTAACACGTCAGAATCTTACATTGCTCATTGTTTTTCTTTCCAAGATTTTTCTCATTTTTATTTTATATAGTAGTTTAAAACTATGTTGATTTGTTTCAGCTTTAGAAATGCTCATATCCTGAGGCAAGTAGGAGTTGGGGAAAAAATCCATATGTAAGCCCACCCTTTTTTTAAAACAATAAAAAAAGTAAATTTTAAGTTGATAAACTACCACTGGCTAATCTAAAACTAGGAAATCCAAATGGTGATTATGTTCCAATGAAATTATTTCTGAAATTCATTATCTTTCTTTAAAAAATGTTTCAACAATATTTTTAGAAAAATATTCATTAGGGTAATAGGTCGAATTTCATATTAAAACAGTACAGCTCCCCTTTTAGATAACTAATTAGGCTGAAGAATAAAAATGATATTAATTATTGAAATAATGTTAACTTCTTAAGTTTAGGGAAATTTTAAATATGCTTAAAGTGAAACAACACTGATTAATGTTTTTGAAGTATTATTATGATGGGAATAAAAGTCAATTAGATTAAAGCCATACTAGTAAGGGTGGTATAAATGAAAGTGACATCAGGTATCAATTTACTGTCTGGCTTGACATATGAGTTGTCTTTTTACCACTAAGAGTCCTCTCAGGGAAGCACAACAACAACAAAGTGATTTAAAAGGGTTTAAATATGCCCAATTCTCTCATACAATCTGAGCAATGAGCTTTTTATGTGTCAGAATACTTATGAAATGCTAGAAAACTGCAGATCTACTGGAAGAAAAAAAATCATCTGTTTCTTTCTGTAAGCCTCTTGCCCTCCCATTTAGCTGTTTTGACATGAACTACGTATTGACATAATCATTACCAATATCTTTCTAACTGCTCTAATAACAAATTCTTGTTTTTTAAAAATGTCTCCACTGGTGGGTTAGTGCTGGTGATTAGAATAGCATAAATGAATCTAGACTTAGTAATAGTATACTATAATTTCATTGTAAATATTGAGTCTTATATTTCCATATAGAAGATGAGACTGTCTGTACTGTTCTAAGCAGTAGATGAACTCCTGACACTTCTTTATCAACCCGTGACTAGTAATTTCATACTATTCCAAAATGAATCATTTTTAAGAAGTCTCTTTTTGTTAGTATAACACAGGACACAGTATTCCTGCGTCATATGTATATATGCAGGCTGGAATGAAAATATTAGCAAATGATGTTTGCAGAGTGTTTTAGGGCTTGCAAAACTTGTTCATCTACCCTATTCTAACTTAAGGTTCAAGGGAGATAGGTGATTTGTCTAAGATCCCACAGCTCATGGTATAGAGTGGATTTGATGTCTGTGACCTCAAATTCTAGGCTGATTCAAATGCTAAACCATTTCCCCCCAGAGTGTTCAAAGGTATGGCCTTTGGGGATAGTTGATCTGGGTTTGAATCTCAACCCTTGAATTAACCTTGGACAAATTATTAAATATCTTAGTCCCTGTCAACTGGAAAAAATGCTCCTTAACACCTTTTGAGTTGTGAGGATTAAATAAAGCAATGCTGATATTGCTCCTAACACAGGACCTGGCACATTGTGATCAATCAATAAATATTGATTATTTCTTACGTGTACATTCTTGTGCCCATTTATGTTTACTAGTAGTCATTTGTGTATTTGTGCGTTTTGACTTTCCTCAAGTCTTAACTTGTTCCTCAAGTTTCCCAAGGGAAATGACTTACAATTTTTTGTATTCTCTGTAGAGGATAGAAAAATGCTCTTAGAATGAATGTGGAAGTGAATGATACTAGAAAAAGCTTTAGGGATCAATGCTGAAATGAACGAAACCAAAATGTTTCAATATGGCACTTAATGAAACTATTGAAGGTAATTGGAGCCCGTTATTATGTATCTATTCTAGAGAACATGAATATCTAAAAATCTGATATTTTTCACTTATAGTTCAATTAGCAGTAATGCCTTCTGAGTTATGATGCCAATACTTTAAGTTAGTTTATTCAATGATGCAGAAACTCCCTGACTTCACATGTAATCATTTTGGTGTTTGCATATCTAGGTTTTTCATATGTTTTAGCAGTTCCCTCAGGCAAACATTTGTATTTACCATTTGAACTACAATATTAATATGTAAATGAGTTTACCAAATAGCCAAAGTTCTCGTTATTGACCTTTAGAATATTGTTACATATCTAGTCATTAGCATATAATCAACAACAATGTATACAAATCTTGGACTTGCTTTTTTGAAAGACTTTATGTCATATAGGAAGTAAGCAACAACAACAACAAAAAACTTTCTGTAAGCATATAAAGCCATCCCACCTGGAGGTGGAAGAGAAAATCAACACAGTAAGGATGTGTATGTAGCAAATACACAAATAGGACAAGTGGTGTAAAATGCTAAGTCCACTTGGTTGAATTGCAATACATGCATAGCATGTTTGGGGCAGTTATTGCATTTATCTTCTTTTTTGCTAAATAGGAGAGTATAGTCATTATCTCTTAAGAGTTTATCAATCTCATTGCTTCTTCTGCACCTCAGGTCACATTCCGTTGCTGTGGGGAGGGTTGTGATGTCATAGAGAATCATCACCTCAGCTGAGGTACAAACAGCAGGAGCTGGCCCACTCGTAGGCAACCAAGAGCTTCTTTGCAGACAAATGTTCTTGGCCATAACAACACTAAGAATATGGCAATAAATGGCTATGATCTTCTCAAACTTTCTCTTACTGCTCTTTTTTTTTTTTTGCAAAAAGAAAAAAATGAGATTAGTACAAAGTTATTAAGTAAAATACAATGGCTCTGATGTAAGTCTAACTCTCCAGGAGGCCAGCCTCCTGGTTGCCTCCAGAATCACCAGGCATCATTCCAAAATCTGAACACTAAAATCAACAGATCGTGAAGGAGGCCAGTTTGAGTAAGATTCATCCGAGTAGGAAGCACCAGTTTTAGGGTCCTGACTGAGGTCCAGACCAGGCTAGCTTCCAGGACCTTGCCGGTGGGCAAGAGAGTGCCCTGAAACCCTCTGACTGGGACTTCAGAGCCAGCACTCTTTTACCCACTGATAAAATAGGGAACTCCAGGGCATACTAGTATACCTCAAACCATATTCATTTATCTGAGGGAGTGTTAGACTTCTAGAGGATTAATCTCTTGGTTGTCTCCTAACCAAAAGAGTCCCTGATTTACCACACCTTGGGAAACATTGTGCACATGGACAGTTCTTCATGTTCTACAGGTGAAGATTTCTTACACAGACGCATATACAGATACACAGATATACAAATAAACGTATAATTTAAAAAACACTGGTTTTAGCTTAGTTATATAATTTACTGAGAACATGTGCTCTGTGCGAGATCCTAGGGTGACTGCAAAAGAGGAATATGACACAAGGCTTGCCTTCAACTAGATTATATATAATCAATGACAGGATCAGAGATTTCCAGAAGTAGGATCATCTAGTCCAACTCTCTCATTTTATAGATGAAGAGACCGAGGCTTAGAAAGGCTGAATATCATACAAAGTACTAGCATATGTAAGCCCCAGTCTCTAATAATTGTAACAATAACTTCGATGACTTGGATAACGACCACTACCACAGTTTCTCTAATCTTTACTACATGCAAACCCACTGCCAAGTGACTTGCATGCATTATCTCATTTAATGACCCACTGAGGCCGGTTATCAAGATCCCAATTTTATGAGTAAGTACCTTGTCTGAGGTCACACAGCTAGCAAATGGCACAGTCGAATTCAAATTCAGTGCTGACTGACTGGACATTCTATGGAAACCAGGGAGATTTCTACACATATTGTGCCTTTCCTTACATGCTTGTGATAAAAGAAACAAAAGTGAGAGTCAGTGTATAACAAAATGTTAAGTAAAATATAATCAAGTGCCAAAGCAAAGGTAGAAATAAGGATGTTATGAGTGGTCAGAAAGAGGACAGGTCTGGCTTGTGCCTGCAGAAAGGGAATGTGAGCAATGTTGCAGAGGGAGTACTGAGCATGGTGAAGGGGGAGAGGTGTGAGGAGCTAAGGCTTCCTGAAAGAGGAGTGCAGCTGGAGGGCAAGAATGCAGGGATTAATGAGGGTCTTTAGCATAGTCAAGATGAGACACCACTTTTTATAGTTACTGTAACGACTTCAGATTTGCTGTCTTTTTAAAATTGAGGCACAAATCTTTTCAACTGGCAGTCTAACTTCTCTTAATTTATATATTAATTCAGTAATTCAGAGAAGCAAGACACTACGAAACGTTCATCTAGAATGTAGTACCTCTTATGGTCTCTCTCCTAGGCTCTGCCTACACAGACTGCTTTGGATGGACATTTCTGCATTTGCTTTTGAGAACTATGTAATTATGCATTGATCTTGGGAGGGAATTTTAAAAAGCAAGTGTGGTATTTAGGCAGCTTTGGAAGAGGAAAAAAAGCAAAGAAATATAATTATACACTGTGCGTGTTGGCTTACACCTATAATCCAGCACTTTGAAAGTCTGAGTTGGGGGGATTGTCAGGAGTTCAAGACCAGCCTGGGCAACATAGTGAGACCTCATCTCTTCCAAAAATTAAAAAAAAAAAGAAATTAGCCAGGCATGGTGGTGCACTCCTGCAGTCTCACCTACTCAGGAGGCTAAAGAGGGAGGAGGATTGCTTGAGCCCAGGAGTTCAAGGCTGCAAGGAGCTATGATCTCACCACTGCACTCCAGCCTGGGTGACAGAGCCAGACCATGTCAAAAAATTTTAAAGAAAGAAAAACAAGAAAAAACAGGAAAAGTAACTGTGAGGGAGAATTAAGTTTAATTTTTCCATTCATCTTAGAAGTTTGTGCCTGTGTAACTTCCCTACCATACCCACTGTAGAGGAAACACTAACAGTATTGGAAATAAATATTAGCATTGTTTTGCTCGAATTAAAACAAAACAACAAAAAAACCTCATAATCTCTGAAAAAATTGAGCACATTTGCTGTATTGAATAGGAAACCCAAATATACAGCTCTTTAGCATCAGCTTAAAATAATACCTTAAGCAGGGAAGGCTTCCTTGTCTCTTCTTAAGCTATCTGACTAGTTTGAGCACTTGTGTGGTCAATAAAATCATAACACTGAGAAAACTGTTTTCTGAAGCTTGTGTTATTTTTACAACTGTTGGAAGTGGTGAGCTGTAATGACTCTTGTTGTTACCTTAATGGGCATTACTATGTATTTCAGCAAGTCAACTACTTCTGGTTTATCCCGTTGGTCCTGTTACTGTTCACCTGAAGGCAACATAAACTCAAAATAAGGTAGAGTGACTTGGCTCTCGAATTCCTTCCAAGAATCAAAAGAGGAGGTTTGGGGTTGCCTTTAGAACAGAAGCTAACCTTGCAATTGACTACTTGACCATCCAATTATATGTAATATGGCTCCAGTTTCAGCATTAAATTGCATATTTAGTGGTACATACATGACAGAAGGCTCATTTAGTTAATATCTATGTTTTTTTTGTCTTAAAAGGCATTTTCTTTCTTCAGAGAAGGAGCCCTTATTAAGTGGAGGAAGGTGATTTGATGCTCTTCACTGTCAGGATGTTCAAATGATGAAAACATTATCTTTGATATGCTCCGCTGGAAACGTCTTGTATGTGGAGGAGAGACGCATATCCCTGGAGAAAGTTGTCCTGTATTATAGAGCAGGTACACAAGGCAGGGATGAAGGCACTTCAGCGAAAATCTCCTTTTAGTCCCACATTAATATGCTTGGACTTTAGCCTGATGCTTCTCAAACAGGATAGATATTGCCCCTTGCTTAGATGCTGCTACTGACAGGCCACAGGCTAGAGGGTGATTCTTGCTGGACTCTGCAGTTTTCCTGCTTTCCTTGTTTGACAGAATCCAATTCTCCTGACCTTCAGGACATGGAGCAGAACTCATTGCTTCCACCTGGCCTACCCAAGTAAGTAAAGTTATGCTCCTAGAATACCGCTGCCATGGTTAGTTTAATTTTAATTTATTGCAGAGATGGTTTTATGCATATGACTTTATAACTGTGCACGCACCCTGAGACCTCTGAAGGTCAAATAAATAATAAATGCTCATTAAGAGCTTGATGGTTGTGCTGAAATTGGCCAACAAAGGTGTCATTGGTGATACTTTTATGTGGACAAATAGCATCTAAGTCAAGTAGGATCTAGTATTAAACTATTATAGTATTTGGCTTTACAGCCTCAGGAAATTATGTGCCAGCCATGCCTATTCAATCTTTAAAATAATGGTACAGTTTAAAACTAGGAATTACTTGCTGTTTAATCTACTTTCCTTTTAAACCATTGGATTTTTTTCTGGCTTGTTCTTTGGTGTTTGCGTGTGTGTGTGTGCACGCATGTGTGTTTACACTGGGGAAGGGAAGTGGAAGTGGAAAGGGGGGAGAGAAAGAATATTAAGTTGTCACATTTTCAAATGTCTCCGCCAGCTTTCAGAGGTTGCAGAAGGAAACCCTGATTTTTACCTATGCATGAGGTATGGAAAGAGCTTTCAAGGTGACCCCAGGATGCAGCTGTAGAATTCTTGCAATGAAAATCCTGGCATCCAGATGTTTTGTGTTCACGCCACCATCTCTGACATGTTGTCCCTTTCTCCATATCCCTCTGGCTATTGGGGCTAGGTATATCTCCCTTTCTGGGGACCTAGCTTTGCAGCAAGGAGAAAGCATTTAGTGTGCCCAATGCCTCCTACCTGAAAAATGCTGAATAACTGCCCCTTTGAATATGAATAAAATTTAATTTTCTGAAAGAAAAAAGCATAAAAATCTGTCAATTTTGATGAATAGCACTCATATAATCTTATTAGACAGCATAACCTAAGAACGAGGTAGGAAATATTACTTCACAAACTTCAGTGCTATTCTATGTTCTAAGTCTGTTCTCCTTTCCATTGACTTATTAGATATATTTATGACCTAATTACATACATACATTCTATTTCTTATTCTCAACATATTTATAACTATGAAAGGAAATATAAATTTGGAGTTTATCCTGTTTGTTTAATTGGCTTAAAAGTAATCATAATCTTTTGGGAATCTTAGTTTTCCTAGAAAATAGAAACAGATCCTAGCTATCGATTTTAATACCTTGGAATTATTCTTAGCTGAGAAAGGTAACAACCACAGATTATTTTATTCTCTATTTCTTAGACGCATAAGGCTTACCTTCCTATTTTAAGAAATTTGTTCATGTCAAAAACTAAATTCAAAGGGAGACATTCTGACATTTGAAAACTCCCTCTAATTCCTAAATTAAATCCTTGGTTTTCATTCTACTTCAGAGCCAGTTTTGAATTGAGTCTGCAATGGCAGAGAAAATAAAGTGTGAAAAAGACATGGAAAAACAAGAGGGCACACCCCGAAAGTTGTTTATCTTCCTCCTCCTTCCCCTGAATTTCTTCCCAGTGAATTGGGTACGTCCCTTCCACATATTGTTGGCATAAGTTTTGATCCATCCAAAATTCTCTTCTTATTTTTGGTGCCTTTGAGTTTTCCTCGATGTGGATAAATTTAATTCACTTTTCTATGTACCCCAAAGACCACCATTACCCTGATTTGCATTATTGACTTTCCTTATAAATCCTACAGGCTAAACACACACACAAAAAGAAGAGGAATTATTTTAGTCTTGTCACTTCTATCTGGCCCTTCTTCCTTTAAACTAGCTGGAACAATGCATAATATAATATGCATAATAATCAGCATATAATTGCTAAAAAAGTGATCTTTTATCCAAATTTCAGCCACATTTTGAGGTATTGTTTTAGACTCATTGGATTACCAATATCTAGACAAGCACATCCAGGCTGAGCAAATGCAAAGTCAAAAATAAATACAAACCACCATTCACTGAGAGTATTCAGAGTGCCAGGCATTCTGCCTGTTTTTTTTTTTACACGCATTACCTCATTTACTCCTCATGATTACTACATGAGAGAAGTATTGGTATTCACCCAGTTGACAGACTAGGAAACTGAGACTCACAGAGTAGCCAGCCTAGGGTGGGTAGAGAGCTTGAGATTTACCCCAATTCTGTCTGACACAAAGTGTGTGCTCTAAACCGCAGAGCTTCAACATGTGTAAATCACGTTAATTTCTAAATAGTGAAAAGGGATGATATATATTAACAGCAAGAAACATTTTTTTTTTCTTCCAAAGGAAAATGAGGGTAAAAAACTGCAATGTTAAAGGGATAGGGAACTGTATATTTCTGCCAGGCAATCCCTCTCCTGTGAATTTAGATCCAATCCACTATCAATATTTTCTGGCAATATTTCTTTCCTTTTACCGCTACATCATTCATAATGTTCAGTGTTTCCAGAACTACAACATGCCAATCCTTACCATGCTTTCTCAGCACTATCTGTATTTTAAATTACTGGAACTGTTGCAGCCAATCACATTAGAAGACAGGACACTGTTATGAATTCCAGGCAAAATGTGAAGGGGGTAAAAACCCCGAGCACTCCACATAACCATTTCCCAGATGTTTGTTAGACTTGTGTATTTTCTCTAACTCACATGCAAACAGAGAGACCCTGAAAAAATCTGCCTTTTTCTTTTTGTATTGACTAAGTTCTAGTAAAAAAATGTTTTCTTGACAAAAAAATACTATTGAGTGGTTGCAGTTCAATCTCTAATATATTTATTTGTAGCTTCTCTGAAATGTGTACCCTTTTGTGTAGGAATTTTGACTTGATTGCTTTTTTTAAGCAACATGGCTCTGTACTGCTTCTTAGACCCAGAGACTTTAAAAATACCCTAAAATGAAGCAAGAGAAAAACTTCAAGGAAAGCATTTGGCATTAAAAAGTAAAATGGGAGTAGGAAATATTCTCCTTTAGAAGAGCTTAGATTTATTTAGGATTCCTAATGCAACTTCCTATAGATGGATATTCCTTTAAAAGGATTCAAATTCCTTTCTGAGTATTAATTTCCTCATTTATAAGTTGTGATAATATTCCTTCCATGCTTATGTTATGAGCTACTGATGGCAAATGGCTGAGAAAATCACTTTAAAGTTAGAAAATTCTAAATATACTATAACAATGTAAAATAAATTATATAAATAGGTATAAGAGATTCTCCATATGCAAGTGAGGTATTGCTGCTGCAATTGGCCTTTTGGACATTCTGGGTTTTGGACAGAGAATCCACAAACAAAATTTTAAAAAAGGGAGAGGTGGAGGGGTTGCCAAGGAACACACTGAACATATATGCAATCATTCAATGTTTTTGACAATGAGATAAGTGTTATATCGGGGAGACTGTTTAACTACCATAATTTTTGACGTCAGAATAGTCAAATATTTTCCTGAATCTTTAATAGGGTCTAGCACAGTGTCTGGAATATCAAAAGTGTTCAATAAATATCTACTAATTTGACAAATTCTCTCTCTTTTAGTGATTATCTTTTTTGAGAAAGGGAATGAAACATGCTTTCTGGAGCCTACAGTTAGTAAGCTGCCAACACAGAGCCACATGTTTAGAGTCAGACAGGCTTGGGCTTGATTGAGCTGTGTGACTGGGGTTAAGGGACAAAATGTCTTTGATACTCACTTTCCTCACCGGTAAAATGGGAAGAAGTGATAACTATATTACAGTGTTTTTATATTAATTAAATTGGATAAAGCACTTAAACTGTTTAGTGCAGTTGAGGCACATAACAATTGCCCACTAAAATGTAGCTACTATGATTCCTGGTAGTTGTAGTTTTCTTAGGGGTATTTCCTCAGCAGTTTAACATATTGAGATTACTCTTTTAACAAAACAGATGTTTTACTATATGAAATCTGTAGCTACATGTTTATATTATTTATGTGTCATATTAATTGAAAATGTTTATTGGATCCATTCTCATTTTCACCCAAATTATTTGGCTGTCAAATAAATAGATATTTTATATCTGTCTATCTATCCATCTATCTCTCTGTCTACTTTTTTCTCTTTCTTCATTCTTTCTCTCTTTCCTTTCCTTCTACCTTCCATTCTCCTTTCTTCCTTTTTCTTCCTTTCTCTCCTGTCCACAAATAGAAGAAAGTGTCCCTTGAGAATTAACATTATTAAATGTTCTATTATTATAATGTTCTTGTTTGGCCACTGCCTGAAAATATTGAGTGCTCTCACTAAATAAGCTGTTGGACAATTTTCAAAGTAATTATTGTAGAGTCTAGACTTTCCTATTTCCTCCCACCCCCCACATCCCTGTAACCATCTATATTTTTCCCAGTACATTTGTGGCACAACAGGTGGCTATTATTTTTTACTTTACTGCGTCTCTACTGGTAAAGATTTCATTGCTGCTGTGACAACAGTTGGAGGGGGTCATCACCTTATGAACTATCACCTGGATATCTGCTTAGTCTCAGGTAACAACCTGGGAGTAAGGTAATGAACAACTTCGTTATCCTTTTTTCTCCCCAAACGTGAGAAGAAAAGAGAATAAAATGTATTGTATTCTTTTCATTTCCTAGGGCTGCTGTAACACAGTATCACAAACTGGGTGGCTTAAAACAACTGTAATTCATTGTCTCACAGTTCTGGAGGCCATAAGTCCCAAATCAATGTCAACGGGGCGGTACTACAACTTGGAGGGGAGAATCCAGCCCTGCTCTTGGTAGCTTCTGGTGATCATGGCAATTTTTGGTGTTCCTCGACTTGTAAATGCATCATTCCATCTCTGTCTCTGTTGCCACATGGCTGTCTTCTTCCTGTGTGTGTCTTCTGCTCTTTATAAGAACAACATTACATTGGATTAAAGGTCCACCCTACTCCAGTATGACCTCATCTTAACTACATCTGCCAAGTTCTTATTTACAAATAAAGTCACATTCTGAGGTATTGGGGGTTAGGACTGCAGCATATTTATGGGAGGATGCAATTCAACCCATAATGTGTATATGAGAATGTTTGTTCCAAATAGAATAATTTTTCTTGTAATTCTAGCCAAAGTCAGAATCAATCTGACAGAGTTGTTATGTACAGGTAAGGAAGAGGGAATTACAGAATCACTCAGCCAACAGACATTTTTTGAGCACTTAATGTGTGCTACTATGTAGAATGTTCTTTAAGTATCAGATAATCTATCTTCACAGAGTTCACAATTGAATTAAAGGATTTAGGATATTTTATATCTATCTATCTATCTATCTATCATCTATCTATCTATCTATCTATCTATCTATCTATCTATCTATCTATCTATCTACAAGTAGAGAAACATTTTCTCACCTCAAAACAGAATCAACAACCCAGAAGTAAACAAAAATATCTTTGGTCAGCCCAAAGTGAAGTTTCATAATCTACATACTAAATACATGTAGTTGCCTTGTAGAAAAGTAGTTCAATACTAGTCTACTGACTCCTACGTAACACAAATTCTAACAGTTGCAGTCATTTGATTTTCAGTCTACCACAGATTATGCAGGCATACTGAGAGCAGTGAGAATGACAACTGAAAACCTGACAACAAAAAAAGGGAGGTGAAGGAAAAAATAAGAAGAGAAATAAAAACTTGTTGCTTTCTTGGATGACTGAGTAGAGATAATCCTGTCTGCTTCATCACATTCTGTGAACTTGATGCATTAGAGGACAGCATCTAATCATTGATATTCAATGTAATTGTCCCAAGGTATTAAGAAATATTTGATTCTGATCGATATATTCTATTCATTAAAGCAGACAGACTTACAACACATTTTAGGTTTTGCTCCAAAATTAGTTAAAAACATTAAAGGATAAAACACAAACTATTTACAAAACTCAATAATCTGCAATGATACATGAACATTTTGGTTAGACGTATAAATGAGTAGCATATACATGTTTAGGATTCCAATGCAGAGGAGGGGGATAAAACTCTGGGTTGGAACAGTCATAGATAAAGTAAAAACACTAATATCCAACCTTGCTTCTCCTTAGCACTTAGAAACAAAACTGACTGTGACTATGCTTCATAATTATGTAAATCTAGTGAAATACGCTCCAGCACCCTTCCCATCCCCAGTTGTCCACATGGCAAGCCCAGTTATAGCTGATTCTGTGGACTTAAGAGCCTAGAATGGATCGAGAGCTGACCAGGCAGTTCAACTTTCCTCTTGGTCACATTGCAGAATTTCTAAGAGAGGCATTATAAACACAGATGCCTTCAGGCATCTAACAAGTAATATAAATGAGTCAGCTATGCCAGGTATAAGGTATTATTTGGAGACAATTTGGGACAGAATATGCTCCCTAAAAGCATTATCATTCATATTTTCTTTATCATCTGCTCTTATTGAATCATCTAGTGTGAAACTGAATTCAAATCTAGAGCTCCAGTTCGTAGCCTTGGTTTCTAGCATCAACCCATCCAGCTCCAGACCCAAAAGGGGTTTGGCTTTTTCTGACTTTTGCCTGCTATCATTCTCTTTGATCTATCTTCACCCAGTGGGCTAGGTGTTCTGGAAGTGAGAAGTGAAAGAATATCCACTTGTACAATGCTTTGCAAAAGATGCTTTTAGGAACATTAATCCTGTGAGATATACCGGAAAAATAGAACATGGCGATCAAATAATTTTGGGAAACAATACATTCTATACACCTCTCAAATGTTCACAATACACTCACAATCCACATTCACGTATTACAGGTAGAGAAGTCCTTCAGTAAAGAAAATGGTTTAACTCAATATATTGTTTGATTCAATATTCATCACACTTAGTTGGTTACTAGACTCTCCACTTGCTTTAAAATTACATCACAAAGAACTTATGTTTCATGGAACGTGCTCTGGGAAATGCTAAGTTAGAGACATTACCTCTTATGGAACCCTATGCTAAACTATACAAGTAAGAAAGGTAGAATTAACTCTTAAACATGCAAAGAGTTTACATAACTTTTTATGTGTTGAAAGTGTACTACTTGGTTGCTCTTGAGTTCCCATACAGCAAGAGAATGTCCACCAACAACGTCCCACTTTGTCCCTTCAATAAATGCTGGGGGAAAAGCTTTGTTCCCTTTCTCTATCCAATTATTCACTCCTTCTCCAGAAGGAAGAGTAACTTTTCTGATTTGGCCGTATCTTAGTTAAGTTGGGTCAGCTTACACTGATGCCCACATCTGGAAACAGGCTATACTGTCTTTCTCTCTTTTGGAACACTTGCTGTAACAAACAGAGTATCTCTGTCCTTTTCCTTCTTCCATGTTGGATATTTAGTAGGGCAGGGCTTGATTTTGGCAGAAGGGAAATTCTACCTCTTCTCTAGTTCAGCTTTATTAGGCAGCTCCCTATATTAAGCAATACAGCCGACCTGCACCTTGCCCCATGTGATTGAATTCTTCGTGTGCATTCTTGATCGGCCACTGCTTAGAAGTAAAGAGAGGCCAGTGGTAGGATTCAGGCAGCAACTGCACTTACAGCCTTTAAAATGGTGCACAAAAAAACAGTCAACTCTGCTAACGCATTGCCCAGGAGCATCAGACAACCATGTGAGCATCAGAGCCTCTGTGTGTACTGTTGACCATTCTGGACAAAGAGAGAGGAGAGACACAGAAAATGACATTTATCAAGGAGACCACCTTATTTCTTTAGTCTTTTTTTTTTTTTTTGAAAAATATGACCTTCAAAAATCAGTTTATAAAAGGTCCTTTGCATCTCAGACTATAATTTTTTGAGGAAATGATGTAACAGGTTGCTGTTTCTAATCTTGAGAATATTTGGTTTGGGATATATTTCAAATGTTGATGTTAGTCTGATATGAAAATGCCTGTTAGTGCTCAAAATCCAGGACAAAGGTTATTTCCACCAAGCTCAATAGAAAGTAATAAATAATTCTGAAATATTGTTTTAAAATAGGAATATGAAATATTATAACTCGTCAAGCCTTCAAGTCTATGTTGGCTTATTATTGCCAACCCAGCAGGTGAAACAAAGGCTCGTGCCTGTGGCTGAGCATCCAGCTGTCTGGATAGGTCCACTCCTACTCACCAAGCCTTGTTCTCAAGAGCTTCAGCCCATTCTCTCAAAAACTTTTATTCTATGCTGATGCAACTTAATTATACTAATTCTCTCTGCTTCATGATTATGCTAATAAAGAGTCTCTGTCTTGTCCACCGTATTTGCAATATCTAGAACTGTGATAAAAAATGCATTTCTGATAATACAATGAGATTATATGGAAGCACTACTAAAGCTAATCTAGCTATGAGGCAAGGCCATCATTAATCTGAATTCATAGGACACAGGGTGAGGGTTTATTTCTATAAAAATAATCGTGTCTTGGGGTTCAATCTAGAGTGCAAAGAAAATATAGGCTGTTGGCACCTGCCTCACTACTTCGCAAATGATCTTGTAGAAGTGAAATGCAGAACTCTTTATTGTGCACTTTGTAGTGCATTTATTTTTATTTTTTTTTTCCATTGTGAACATTTTATCGTTTGTCCTTGCAGCATTTTTAAATACCATCCCTATATTCTTTCCCTTGGCAAATTGACAAAAGAAAAAAATGTATATTTCAGCTGTAGTATCCTATAGCCACTTCTTGCATTCATAAATAAAACCATTATCTTAAGTTATGTAGTCTAATAGCAACTGCAGCACACGTGGTTGTTACAGCAAATGACATTTATAAATGTAGATTATCTTTTTTCTTTGAGTTTTTATTAAAGCAGCTGACACAAAATCAGAGTAACTGAGTCAGTTTGTTTTGTCAGAAAAAAAGGAAATATAATAAAAGTCTGAGTGTATAATCATTTTTAAAATTCTTTGTTCATAGTGGAAGTTTACTTTTTCCACTTGTCTATCCCCAAGTCTATAATGTCACTTCCAGAGAGAAGCAGGAGTCACGTGTTTTGGAAGGATCAGCACCTTCACTGCATACCTTTATCACCTGCTAAGATGCTTTATTGACTCAAAATGTGATAAGGCAGCAATGTTTTTTAAACCTTCTATTAAAATAAAACATTACATTATAAAAGCGAAGAACAGCATCTTTTGACTGTCTCATTTCAAAAGGTATGTTGCTAAGGATTGTCCCACTTAACCAGTGTGCACCAAGGTTTATGCCCTTTCAGTGCCCTGATACTCCAAGCTCGGGAAGTTTCAGTTTCAATCCTAGCATTGGCAGACAAATTGGGGATCATAAACCCTGGTATACAACAATGGTTTTCTAGATCAGTAGGAGACACCGAAGACAAGAAACAGAGAAAGAGGAGAGGGGTGGATTCACCTTTTTGTAATCCACAGGCCTTTCTGATGCCCTTACAGGATTTTTGAGTGCATTTCTGCCAGTATCAGCAATGGTGAAGTTCACCTTCACTAAAATCTAATTCCAGCACTAACTGGCAGGCCAGCACTAGTGAAAATAACATTCCGGTTTCCTCCATGACCTCAGTCCCGACATGATAACGGGAGCCCTCAACAACTCATTTCTGGCTTGGAATTCTTGATGGTTTATTTAGTTTGACTGACTGTCGGAGATTGCCATTATGAATACAGTTGCTAGGGAAGGCCTGTGGTAGTGCTGTTTGGCTTTTAAAGGGGTCAGGATTTTGTAAGATCTCAAATAACACTTATGGCTTAATGTCTGCAAACAATGCAGCATTTAACATTTACTATGCATGAAGAGGATCATAGTTCATCATTTATTATTCAAAAATTATGTAAAATATTTTTATGATGGAATATGAAGAATGTGTTCCAAATATTCATGTATATAAACAACACATAACAAATTTACCTTAAAACATCAATATGTAATCAAAGAGGTATTTAAAGTTCTGTGACATGGAGCCAAATTTAAACATTTCAAAATTCAGACATTTAATCGCATATTTTTCAAGCAGATTAAACTGAGGTCTGGTTCTCTTCAATAAAGCGAACATTTATTTCTTTATCCCAGGAGAGTTACATTTTTAATGGTAGAAAAAGGCTTGGTGCTTGGTTTGTCAGAATTTAAACATACAAATCTCTCAATTAAAAATTTAATTGCCTGCTCTATCTTCTCATTTTACATGTTCAACAAAATGTTTCGGTTTCTTATAAAACAAGGTGATTATGAACATTGGTTTCCGGAGCCTATTAACAATTTCCACTATAGTCCAAATAAAGATGGTGTGAGCAGCATGGCTAATATGATTTGTTTTCTTCATTGTAATTTGAATCTTGAAACTTTTCTCAACTAGGAGAGTAGATTTCAATAGAATATGAGAGCCAAATAATTTGGGTGAAAATGAGAATGGATCCAATAAAAATTTTCAATTAATATGATACATAAATAATACAAACATGTAGCTACACATTTCATATAGTAAGACATCTGTTTTGTTAAAAGAGTAACCTCAGTGTGTTAAACTACGGCAAATTTGAGAGGGAACCGACAAATGACGATCAAGAGCCTTAAATCCGTTTATAGACTTGATCCATTTGTTTTGGAAATGAATCATTTCCACATATTTTAATTGTGCATGGTAACTAATAGTACATCCTGAAAAAGTGATATATTCTTCATAATATTTAACCTTATTGTAACTCACATTAAATCTTTCTAGGAAGGGGTAACAATCTAGCTTCATATAAAAATTACAAAGATCATGAGTTAATGAAATAAATCTCTCCCCCATCTCTTTTCGTCTGCCTTTTCTCCTTTGCACCTGCTTGTTATCTTCATTTTGTATTGTCCTTATTGCTTACTTCTCTTAGAACTGTATATTTTACCACATTTATGTGCTTAATAAATATGTATTAAATACCAATTACATACAAGCATATTGTTGGATGCTACAAAAAAGTTCTTCTCTTATTAAAATTTTTTACTTTCTCAAAATAGCAAAGAGGTAGATCCAGCACTGGAAATCAGATCTTTGAACTCTATTAGCCCTTAATATGAGGTAATTTTATTTTATAAACAAGATTAAAACTTCCACTTAAATGGAATATTTCATGTTTTGACTTAAGAGTCTTGTTTGCTCTCACATTTATAAGGTTTGAATTATTGGCTGCCATTGACTTTAATTAAACTCATTATGGACTCACATGTCTGGCACTTGTTAGAGAGGGAAAAAAAATTTTAAAGTAAGCCCAGTGACTTAATACAAGCTCTCTCAGCAAACAGCCTTAATAAGCCATGCTGGGCCTCAACTCAGCTAGCAATGTGCTACTTGACCCTGGTCAATGTTTTTTATGCTAAAAGAAATGTGTGTTCATCTTCCTTATTCTTCAGTAAAGGATATACTCTGTTCAAGTGAATGCCTTCGGTGACTTGGTTTGAATGGATGTGCGGGCAAAATAATTTTCTTATTATTTCCTTTGTGTGGGATGGGCTCTTGACTAAGGTAAGGAGTGAGAAACAGTACTAGCTAATTGGGTCCTTGTTATTCCATATCACTATCTAAACATTCAGTTAGGAAAGGAAAATATCAGCCATACAGATGCTCTGATGGCAGTGTGCCACACACCCCATGTCTGGAGTCATACAGATGGCTAACTGAATATTTTGGATTCACATGGGTGTTCTGCGTTGTGTAGACAATGTTACTGGGACACTTAAAAGAAAATACCCCATGTTCAAAATCTTTAATGATCTAAGTTGTGGATCTTAGTTATTTTTTTAATTAAAAAATGTATTTAGGTATTTCTTGATTTGTTATTCTAGGTTCATCACTTCACAAATGGTAAAACAGAGACCTGAACAAAGCGAAAGAATTACCCAAGGGCTCTGACTAGGAAGTGAGAAAAAGTGATCTCAAACTCAGATGACTTGCAAGTAAGGATCTTTTTACCATACCTTACTACGTCTATGAATACTTCAAGCATCAGAATACCTGTTTGCTTAGTGTGACACTGACTAAATACTCCAGGAATTCCCAGCCCTTCCCATTTGCCATGGTGGACCAGAGAGAAGAGAAAGCAACACGCAATTGTATTAGGTTGGTACAAAATTGTGGTTTTTGCCTTTAAAAGTAATGGAAAAAGTTGCTATTACTTTTGCACCAACCAAATACGTCTCTTTATAGTTTTTAAAACTCGTTTACTTGAGGAAATCTCATTCATTTGTTTATTCCTGCATATTTATTCAACAACTTGTTTCTAAGACTTTTTCCACCAGTGTCCTGCTCTTCTATCTCCATTAGATATCCAATCGTGTTCCTTATTCCCTCCCATCTCATTTATCAAATCTCAGATCCCGTAATTCTGGTTTGTTCTACGAAGCATAAATGATGTCTTTAATTTTCTCCAAGCCTAAAGAAAAGAATGAGAAATACGATGAGTTCAGAGCCTGGTGTAGAACTACATGTATAGGATAAGATATTTAATGATCATTAGTTCCATGAGTTTCCTGGCTGCAAACTCTGATTATCCTCTCCTCCCCGCAGAAATCAAAAGGGTAATATGTTTACTTTAGAGATTCAGTGGGGAACATAGGGTCATAAATTTGCATTGAGTCTTATGGTGGTTGGGGGAAAGCAGCAGTTAGGAATGACAGTAATGGAGAATCAATAGTTCTTAAAGCAAAAGAAAAAGAGGGGTGTGTGTGTGTGTGTGTGTGTGTGTGTGTGTGTGTGTTGGGGAGGAAGGGCAAATGAACCTAAAGGTAGGAAAATTATATATGTATTTTGTTGTTGTTGTTGTTTTTGAGATGGAGTTTTCCTCTCGTTGCCCAGGCTGGAGTGCAATGGCATGACCTTGGCTCACTGTGAACTCTGCCTCCCGGGTTCAAGCAATTCTCCTGCCTCAGCCTCCTGACTAGTTGGAATTACAGGCACCTGCCACCAGGTCCAGCTATTTATTTTATTTTATTTTATTTTATTTTATTTTATTTTATTTTATTTTATTTTATTTTATTTTATTTTATTTTTGGTATTTTTAGTAGAGACAGGGTTTCACCATGTTGGCCAGGCTGGACTTGAACTCCTGACCACAGGTGATCCACCCGTCTCGGCCTCCCAAAGTGCTGGGATTACAGGCGTGAGCCACCGTGCCCAGCCAGAAAGCTATACTAGTGGTGACTGAGGACAGAATAATGGCAAAGGAGGTGGTAAGAAGTGTCTTCACCAAAAGATCAGTACACCAGCCTACAGAAGACCCCATAGTATCTTGGAACTAAGAGAAATTCTATTCTTACTGCCTGTGGGAGGCATACATTATCAAAGTCTCAACTTGGAATTTTGAATGCATTTTGCCATAGAATATTGTAAGTTGTTAAACTCGTCAGTGTTATTTACATAATACATCAAGTAAATGATAGATTACTAAAGCATTGATTCTTTGGGAATATGTGTTTTAAATTCTTAGTAGGGAATAACAAATTGGCTTTTGGAACACAAGCTATTCCTAAGTAGGAGAGGGCCTTCCTTAGATTGTAGTGTCATGTCTAATTGTAGTGTGTAGACATCTTGAATCGCTATTCAATTAACACAAACACCATGGTGTAAAAGATCAGCAGGGATTTAATCATTAAGGAAAAGTTGATATTTAACATGGTACTAGACTTCGATCAAAATTGAACTTTGTTTCTTTAGTATGAAAGAGGGTAAACAGAAAGTAACATTTATTAAATGCCTACCGTTTTTAGGCTTTATGCTAAATGCTTACAGCTTAATTATCTTGGCTAATTCTCATAACAGTCAAGAGAAGTGGGCATTATTTTCTCCATTTACAGGTGAGAGAACTGAGTCTCAGTAAGATTTAGAAATTTACCAGGATGGGCAACATGTCAAAACCCCATCTCTATGAAACAAACAAACAAACAAACAAAAACACACACACACACACACACACACACACACAAAATTAGTCAGGCATAGTGCTGTGTGACTGTAGTCTCAGCTACTCGGGAGACTGAGGTGGGAGGATCGCTGGAGACTGACAGGTCGAGGCTGCAGTGAGCCATGATTGCACCACTGCACACTAGCCAGGGAAACAAAGCAAGACCCTGGCTCAAAAAAAAAAAAAAATTCAAAAAATTGCAATGATTGAAGTGAGGATTCATTCCTAAATTTTATTTGTTCGTTTACTTGTTTGAACTCCACTATATAGAGTGATTTAACAACTTGTTTATTATTGCAGCCCCTTCCTTCCTGGGTCTTTCTCTTCACCAACTCTATCACAAAGGAATCAAATTGGCTTTTTCCAGTTTCCCAAAGTCAATGGCCAATTAGATCATCATAAAGTGAACCTGATTTGCTCTTAAGTTTATCAGATTTAACCAAAGATTTAAAACAAAGTTATTAAGAAATGTTTAGATTAGCATAGTATGTTGCAGCCAAAATTCATAAGAAAAGTGAAAAATAAAATATCTAGGTGTTTCAAAATATCTAAATTTTTTGCATTTTGTTTTAATATTTGTTGACATTTGACATAATCTGTACATACTACTCCACTAAGAGCAAAATAAGAAGTATCACATGGGTAAAATTAGACATTTCATTTTATGGAAGGATTTTATAGCTGTCTAATATTCCTCATTTAAATGAGAAAACTTGTCATACTATACACTTCTTGCCATTGTCAGATATCAAATAACTGCCCAAAGCCATACTAGCCACTGTAGTCTGGACTATGATAAATCTATGCAGTTGTAATAAAGTGTAATTAATGTTAAACTTGAATTGAATTTATTTTCATATAATCTATATCAATGATCTTTGGGGGTAAGATGTATAGTATTTGAATACTTACTTTGAGCACTGGGTACTCAATAGGGCAGAGAAAAGGTATTTATTCCACCCTTAAACAGCATTTCTATGCTTGTGCCAGTTGTCATTTTTATCGCACAAAATTTTAGTATTAGGAATGAGATGTAACTTTTGTCATTATTTTATCTGTCATATGATAAATTTCAAATGTTCTTAACTTCAAACCCTGTTGGAAACTCTCAGTAAACTATAGCAAAAGCCATTTACCTGGGTGTTTTTTAAAGGGAAAAGAAAGAGAAGTTCAACAGCATATTCGACTAAAAAGTTTAATAACACCATGATCTAATAGGAAACCAACAGGTTACACTGGGCCAACGACATATTTGAAAGTACAAGTAAGAAAAATGAGTCAGGCCTAGATAATGTGCAGTAGCAGATCTCTTGGACAACTACACTTGGATTACCATGCTTCAGTGTTCATGACTAAAGCCTTCAGTTCCAAATTGTGTAATCCCACACCATATTTTCCTAGCCCTCTCCATTTTTCTGGACATGGAATATATCATTTCTGACCCTTCCCCAGAGCCCCCTCCAATAACTCCTCCTTTTCATCACAATTAATGTCCACAATTAATGTCCACATCAGAAGTTTTAAGATTTCAAGTTTTAGGTCAGAAAGAAGAATTATTTCAGCTAAAGAATTTTTAAAAAGTTTCTTTCTAGAGAGATGCTCCAGAGGCACCATCTAAAATCAAGCAACTGGAAATGCAATCTTAGATGCATCATTAGAACAAATATAGCTCCTATCATTTTATGGATGAATCAGACTTCCCCCTCTCACTAATCTAATCAAAAAGCATCTTTTTTTGTGTGTGTGGCCTCCCACACATTTGCCATCTAGTGTGAAAATGAGTCAACTGGAGAATGCATTTAGTGTGCTCTTTTGAAGGAAATGTTCTTGCCTACGAGAAGAACTAAGCAACAAGAAAAATAGTCTTTATTCACTCATCATATTTAATATTTTAGGTCCAGTAGGTCCTCTGATATATGTCAATTTCTCTCTTCTTTGACAGCCTTCTTATTTGCAAAGTGTTATGTACTTTGTATTCATTCAGCAACACGTTCATTGTTCATACCTTTCCACCAGAGAATTCTAATATTTATGCAGTGTTTTTCATCATTTCAATTTGTAAAAGTTCCTAGCTGAATTAAGAATATATCAAGTTATGAATCTTTTGAGGCCTAGAAAACAGATAGGAGATGCTGTTTCTCTTTCTGCTATTCTTTGTTTGTCAAATCACTTTAATGTTGACCATGAGGCCTCTGTGACTTTGTTTATCTTTTCCACCTGTACTATCCCCTTTTTGTAACAAAGGAGATAGGATGTGTCACCATATTGTAAGTGTCATTCCTGAAAATAATGACTTATTGGTACATCTGACAATGATGTTACAAGGCTTCATACAGCAGCCAATTCAATTTAAACTAAACTGATTTCTCTAGATGTCACCTCTCCATGTAAGGAACCCAGTTATTTTAGTAGAAAACTTTAATAACAAACAAACAGATACAACAGAGAAGAAAATGGAACGATGAGGTCACAAATATGTATATATTGTTGCTCTCAAATATATTCTTTAGAGATTAATTTGCCTTTTATTTAAAAAGTTTCAAAGTGGGGCCAGTCGCAGTGGCTCATGCTTATATTCCTAACACTTTTGGAGGCCGAGGTGGGTGGATCGCTTGAGCCCAGGAGTTCAAGACCAGCCTGGGCAACATGGCAAAATCCCATCTTTACAAAAATTACAAACGTTAGCTGGGAGTGGTGGCGTGTGCCTATAGTCCCAGCTACTTGGGAGGCTGAGGTGGGAGGATTGCTTGAACCCAGGAGGCAGAGGTTGCAGTGAGGTGTGATCATGCCACTGCACTCCAGCCTGGGTGACAGAGTAAGTACTCTGTCTCAAAAAAAAAAAAGTTTCAAAGGGTGGTAATCTTTGAAATCCTCTGATATTTTATTTTATTTATTTTTTTTTTTTTAAGGTAGAAATGGGGTCTCACATGTTGCCTAGGCTAGAGTGCAGCGGCTCAATCACAGCTCACTGCAGCCTTGACTTACCAGCCTCAAGTGGTCCTCCTGCCTCAGCCTCTTCAGTAGCTAGGACTACAGACATGCCACCATGACTAGCTAATTAAAACAATTTTTTTTTTTTTTGGTAGAGATAGGGCCTCACCATGTTGCCCAGGTTGGTCTCAAATTCCTGTGCTCAAGCAATCCTCCTGCTTTGGCCTCCCAAAGTGCTGGGATTATAGGCATGAGCCACCACACTTGGCTTGATATGTTCTTTTTATGATAATTTAAACCCTTGGATTTAATTTAGGGATTCTGGGATTGATTCTAAAATTCTTTATAAGTGCCTGAATATCCATGTCCTCAAAAATGTAAGTAAATTTTTAAATTTTAATTTTGACAAATTCTTCATTACTTGTAGACTATCATTTATTATTTACGGTTGGGATTGTATTTACTAAAGAATACCATTTATTTTTGTTTCTCATTCATACAACTTGGCCAGGGGCAGATGCAATCTTACCTTTTTTTTTTTTCCAGTGTACATGCTTCTTTATTCAATGACATATCAAAATATCTGGTCTGTAGTAAGTATACATAGAAAAGACTCCCATAGCCTTGCTCTTCCAACCCTAGTCAAATATTCATGTCAAAATTTGACATCTCTGTCAAGTCTAAAGAAGGAAGAAACCAACATGTATTGAGAATTTACTCCATATTGGGTCTTTCCCATTCAATGTCTTATTTAATCTTCACATGCTAACGTGTGGATATTATTTTCTCAGTTTTGGAAATGAGACTCAGATAGGTTAAGAAACTTACTCAAGTCATCCCTCCTAACATTTTCAGAGCCAAATTTGCCCATCTTTCCTTTCTCCAAGTATTGGCTACCATAACACACCATATTCATTTCCAAATGATTTCTTGCGTTCTGAATCATGAAGACATATGGTGTGAATATACAAATACTTATGCTATAATACTTAATTTTTTGTTAATTAATCTCCTCTTTCTCACTGTCAAAGTTAGGCAATCTCAGACTTTCTAATACTTAATGTTAGACTTGCCTTTTAGAATACTGTGATTTTAGCACCTCAGACTGCTGAAAATACTGTTCAACAGTCATTTCACGTTGAACTGGGTAGGTGCTTGGGATATCACTTCAAAGTATGGAATGTGGAATCATAGCATCAAAAAGGCCCTTAGGAATCTAACGACCTTTTGGGATCTCCAACTCCCAAATCTTGGTTTATCAGTGGGATCAGAGTGATCTCTTTAAAACTGCTTAGGTTATGTCACTCTTACTCAAAAGCCAACCAAAGCATCCCATCTCCCTCAGAGGCGAATCCAATGTGCATACAAGGTTCTAGAAATCCCTGCCTTACCTGCTCCCTTGCAACCATTGCCACATTGGCCTTCTTGATGTTTCTTGAACAAGGCAGACACATTCCAAGCAGTGCCCTTCGAATCGCCTATTTTCTTTGCTTAGAGCATTCTTTCCTACACTGGTAGGGCTTACTTTCTCATCTCTTTCAGGTATTTACTTAAATGTGATCACTGATATAAGGCCTTTCCTCACTGCATTACTTAAAATTGCAAACTCTCGCCCCTCACGTGCCATGGATCTTAGTTGCTTCCTCTCCCTTCATTTGCACTCAATACACTCAGTATCCTGTATATTTATTTGCTTATTTTTCTACCTCCCCCTAGTAAAACATAAGCTCCATGAAGAGCTGAAAATTTTATCTCTTTTGTACTAAGGTCTCCGCAGCACTTGGAACAGTGCCTGGCACATGGTTAGTAGCCAGCAGGTATTTGCTAAATGAATGTAAATTCCAAGACATCTTACTCATAAAGAATGCCACACTGAGTTTAATGAAAGGTCTTAGGAAATTTTCTTAAATGGAATATTCCAAGCTTGCTAGTGTGAAAAGGCAAAGACAAATTTAATCTGAGTCATCTCTGTATTGGCAAGTGAACTTTTTCCAAATAAGCCACTTGAGCAAAACTCAGTGTTATTCTAAAATAAAAGATGCTGGCAAAAAACTAAAAATAGAACTACCATATGATCCAGCAATCCCACTTATGGGGATACATCCAAAGGAAATGAAATCAGTATGTTCATTGCAGCATTATTCACAATAGTGAAGTCAATAAATGAAACAACTTAAGTGTTCATCAACAGATGAATGAATATAGAAATTTTGACTATATATATGCACGTGTGTGTATGTGTGTGTGTATATACATACATAAAATGTATAAACAATGAAATATTATTAAGTCTTAGAAAAGAAGGAAATTCTCCCACTTGGGACTACATGGATGAAATTAGAAGATATTAAGCTAAGTGAAACATGCTAAGCACAGAAAGACAAATATCACATGATACCACTTATTGTGGAATATTAAAAAAAAAGTCAGACCTAGAAAAACAGAGAGTAAAATGGTGGTGGCCAGGGGCTGAAGGGTGGGGGAAATAGGGAGCTGTTGGTCAAAGGGTACAAACATTCAGTTATGAGATGAATAAGTTCTAGAGATCTAATGTAAAACATGGTGACTATAGTTAATAATAATATATTGTATATGTGAAATTTGCTATGAGAGGTGATGGATACGTTAATTATCTTGATGGTGGGAATCATTTCACAATGCAAACTTGTGTCAAAACACTACATTATACCTTAATATAGATACAATATTTTTATTTATCAATCATACATCGATAAAGCTGAAAAAACTTTTTAAAAGATATTAGTACATAGATCTGATATATTCTGTTCCATGCATGAGGAGAGGGTGACTACTGTTGTCACATATATAAATTCCATATAATCCCTTCAAGTCTTTGCAGCTTTCTTTGGTTGATATTTCTTCTATCTAATAACACTCTGAGGGTAAAACAAAATTTAAAAGCGTCTATGAAGTAAACTTGGACCAATCGTCTTTTACTTCTTCTTAGTATGGCTGACAAGTTCTGCATAATGAACCTCTTTCATTCAACCTTCTCCTGATTTCATCACCGTATACTGGAAAGGGTGGTTTTGGCACTATGGATTGGATTTGGAGTGAGGTGGGAAGAAATGAGATAGTTTTGATTAAAAGTGAAATAATACGACTTATTCTTTGTCCTCATGTGAGATATGTGACTCCACAACTACTAGACTTTCTTTTGTGAAGAAATGCACAGAAATAAATTCTGTCTATGTGTCTCTTGAAAAGTAAGGTCTATATATATGTTTCTTACAGTTTTTGCTGCAGAGTAACCACTAATTTCTATTATATTACTGAGGAATAGGATTGTGGCAAAGGGATGGGAGTAGCTGTTGAAAGGTTTTTACTTTTTACTTCGAACTGTGCAATAAAAAATGTTAAAGTAACATAAGCTCAATTTTTTGTTCATAAAAAGCTAATTTGGAAAAAATCCATATGTTCCGTTAAAGCATATTCTGTACATGTGAGTAACAGTGCTGCGGCCTTGACTTCGCTCAATAAATATTTGCTTGATTGAGTAAACAAATGCATGAATGACTTTTTAATTCCTACAAATTATAAAGGAAAGGAACAAAAATGAAACTGTTTCATGGAATTCTGAAAAAGATTACAGTAGCTGAAAACAAAGAACGTGGCCTAGGTAAAGTGTCCCAGAGATCAGAGAAAGCCTGGACTCCTTCCAAAGTCAGACCAGGAATGCCAAAACACCTGCAGGGCAAGAACAGGTCAGAGTTTAGGCTTGAAGCCAAGAGGCTCTAGGCAGGAGCAGAGCCTCAGTTGGGCAGTGGCCACAGGCAAGACCCTGGGGCTTACAGGTAAAGTTGGAAGACCTAAGCCGGGTAGGGGCCAACAATCAAGCCTCACATGTAAAAACTGGTGGCAGAATAAAGGAAAAGTGTGAAATTCCTGGATTCAAGATCTGATTATATTTAATCACTTTGGTAATTTTGAGATGAGGTATACCAAAGAATCCCTTTGTGATATTTTGGGGAATGTGTAAACTTTTAGGAAAATGTACTTTGTTGTTACTTCCAGTGTAGACTTTCTCTGCCTCAGTTAAAATCAACAAATATTTAGCCATCTGCCATATAAACATCTTTGTATTCACTGTCTTCCATTGATATAATATTACTTTTCTAGGCAACATTTCCTCATCAAAATCAGGGTGTAGACGATGTGAGACAGCAGAGAGTCCCTTTACCTCCTGACAGTAACATACAGTAAGCTGTGCTCACAGCTTTTCATGAGGTTGTGGAAGTTCCAAAATGCCACTGAGAGCATTGCTCTTCTCTCTCATAGGATTGACTATGAACTTCACCTTTGATTGGACGTGTAAATACCTGGGCAATCCATAAGATAATGCTAGAGATTTTTGCTGCATAGTAGCATGAAGCTCTAGCTGCTGATGCCCTGTTAGTGTTGGTGTGTATTAGTGTGCATATGAGCGTGTATTTGTGGTAGGAATGTGGTAAGACTAATCAAGAAAACTTTCAGTTCAAACATTTGTCTTGTGGCCAATTATAGTGCAAGAAAAGGCAAAGGAATGGAATTGTTCAAACGTGTAGAATTCTAGAATGATAAGAGAAATCTACCAATTAAACTAGTATTATCTCTAGAAGGTTACCTTAGCAGGTAGAGTTTCTTGGTCAGGCAGGAAGATACGGGGATGTTTCTTTAGTTTCTCCATGCCTGTAATGCTCTGTAGATCCTGTGTCATTTATGCTGTGTCTTAGGAAAGATGTTTCAGATAGTTATATAAATGGGTTTACTTGTTTGTGTGATATATGAAGAAGCCTTTTGGGAATCCGAGCAGGATTTGTTCCTAAAGCAAGACTCCTATATCCTAGAATCTCCATTTTCAACTTTGCAACTGTTTTCTACAAACTAGTTCATTCCTTGTATGTTCTAACTTCCTCACATAGACAGAACTAAGGGTCTCGCAAATGCTCAGAATCCAATGGCATCATATATAACTTGGACTAGATGATGGTACATTTAGGTGGATTTGTACAAATGGAATGCTTAGACTTAAAGGATGAGAATTAATGGATTGATAACACTTACTGAGAAGATCTTATGGTACACCATGATGGCTTTTGGCAGATTTTCAGATACCATAAAGCAGAGTGAGAGCAAATATATTTCACATCAAATCAGAAACGTCTCAAATCAGAGAGTCTAATATAATATATTTGAATTTATAAGGTTACATAATACCATACATAGAAAATACAGGGACATTAAAACACCTCACAAATACAACTATATGTATTTATCGAAGATATATACCTATCCAAGAATTTATATCAAATAAATTTGAGTGGGTGCCTGTAGGAAAGAGTGTGAATGGGAATCCCTAGATAAATGAACATTAATACAATAAACTAAACCAAAAGAATGGCATTGTAGGGTTTAATGAAGAATATAAACATCAAAACTTTTGCACATGTGTTCCCAAGGGAAAAGAGATAGAAAAAGAAAAATAAATGAATTTACTAGTACTTAATATTAACCCCAAAAAGATGTCCCCTCTCATCATTCATTTTCTACATCATACTGGGAATTATAACTAATATAAGACAAAAATGTAGTATAAAAATAAATTGATTGGGAAGGAAGATTTAAAACTGTGTTTGTTCACAGACAACATGATTTCTATGTAGAAACTGAATATTCCTTCTTATTTCTTTTATCATTGTTGTCATTCATTTCACGTACATATAAGCATACATAAGTATGTGTATATATATGCGTAATTTAATATATATTTTCTATTATTATTTATCTTGGATCAATAATGGGAAAAGTAAAATTCTAATTTTATATTTAAAAAATCTAGCTAAATCACTTTGGGGTTTTAGTTGTTTGTAGCTTGGGCTATCAGTGTGTGTGGCTGCCAAAAAATGCTATCTCTTGCTACATGAAAGGAAGCATAATGACCAGAAGAGGAGAGATGGTAGGATACTCTACTCATAAATCACACCCTGGTAATAATCATCAGTCTGGTTGCCAAAGTTTAAGGATGTTGACGGTACTTCTTCAATGAAGAAAACCATGTCACAGGAGGAAGCACAATATAACCAAAAAGACTATGAATCAATCCACAACTCAGGTGGACCAAAAAAAGTACTTTCTTTTTTTTTTTTGTTAATTTTTAATTTATGTGGGAACATAGTAGGTATATATATTTATAGGGTGCATGAGATATTTTGATCCAGGCACACAATGCATATTAATCACATCAGGGTAAATCAGGTACCTATCACCTCAAGCATTTATCCTTTCATTGTGTTACAAACAATCCAATTATATTCTTTTAGTTATTTTAAAAGATACAATAAATTATTGTTGACTGTAGTCACCCCATTGTGCTATCAAATACTAGATCTTATTCATTCTATCTAACTACATTTTTGTACCCATTAACCATCTCCACCCCCTGCACTATCCTTCTGGTAACCATTGTTCTACTGTCTATCTCCAGTACTTTCTTAATCACCTGTAATAACATAATTTCTGCCTTTTAGCCTCTGCTCTATTGAGTTTATGAAAAAAGAATGCAGCCCAACTAAGGATGCTGCCTCCTCCTCAAGTTATCATTCAATTCTGGAATCTTGGGCATTGCCTTTGTATCGAGGATGAGGGGCTGCAGTTTTCAGTCATCAATCCCACAGGTAAATGATGACACAATCATTGTATACATGTGCCCTTTCGGCTGGGCTACACTCCATGGGGTAAGGAAACTGTGGGTGAAGCTAATCCTGGGCTTAACTCCCTGATGAACCACTCAAATATCTCTGCTTGGCATTTGGCTGTCTCACATTCAGTCTTAGTAGGAAGTGGAGTAGAGGTCCCCTCTACTCTTGGAAGCCATGAAGTTGTTGCTCTCTCTTTCTTCTTCTCCCCCAGGGTCTGGGAAATATTTTCTTACTATGGGGAAAATCTTTTTTCCCTTGTATTCTTCAATACCTTAACTTAAATTCCTCTGAAGCCTTAGACTTTTGAAAAACAAAGCCACAATGATTTCTAAGTTCTATTTTGCCATATCCCTTTCACAAATTGATACAAATATTTCCTTGAATGAGAAAGGGAAAGATAAGAAATATAAGCCAAAACAAAGCAAAAATGACAAAACCAAAAAAAAAAAAAAAAAAAGAGATTGTATTTTCCAGCCAGATAGGAAAGAACTTTTTAATCACAAACCTATTCAATTATATAGTGGACTGCCATGGGTATGAATTTTCATCAGCAGGTATGTTTCCCAGGATTCATTTTAGTGATGTTGTAGAGTTGTTTTAAGTATTAGATGGGAGATTGAATGAGATGACCTCAGTGTTCCTTCTCCATGCAAGAGCCTGGGAAATGATAATCCCACATTCTACCTCTTTAAGTGTTAAAATGGTGGAACATGATAACTGAGAGGTTATAAAGTAACCAATAAAAGAAGGAAATATTTACATTCAAAATATGAAAGGTGACAGGAAAGCCTGGCACATGGTAGGTGATCAATAGATTAAGATTTATTATTTTTTTAAAAAACAATTTATCTCATTGAAAAAAATAAAATCATGTATTATCATAAATACAGGTAAGTACAAAGCATGACCTCCCAAACCATAGCCTATTTTTAGGACAATGAAATTTGATGACTCCTCAACTATCCATGTCAGGTTGTAAGCTGGAAAATGAAAACCTACTACCTCTTAAAATAAAAATAAAATTTCTATCACAAATATCTTGACACATAAACTATATTAACTTTTTTTGCTTTCTTTTCATTTTTAGGTGATATCCTTCAAAATAACCACAAATATTTTTCTCCAGATTCTTTAAATAATACATATGTGCCTATGATTCAATGCACTTTGTAAAAATAAAAAGTATACAATTGATAGCTATAATTTTTCAGTGACTACAAATTTAAGATCACCCCTGAATATGAATCTGATCTAGTTTTTCTGTTCCACCCCACTCTGCAAGGAGTGTTACTTGCCATACAGAAAAAGTAAGCCAGCAAGCAAGCATGCTTGATGCTCTAACAAAAAATTTGTAAATGGCCTAATGCTTCATTTTTGAATATTATATTTGTTGCTGTTGATAGGACCCAGAGGGCAAAAGGAAAATAACTGAGGTGGTGATTAAATGTCCAGCTATCATCTGCCATATTTTCCAAAACTGGTAGATAATGATGGGTGTGATGCTTCTTTTTTTTTTTCTTTTTTTTTTTTGTTTGAGACGAAGTCTTGCTCTTGTCGCCCAGGCTGGAGTGCAAAGGCGCAATCTCAGCTCACTGCAAGCTCTGCCTCCCAGGTTCAAGCAATTCTCCTGCCTCAGTCTCCCGAGTAGCTGGGATTACAGGCACCCGCCACCACGCCCGGCTAATTTTTGTATTTTTGTAGAGACGGGGTTCTGCTATGTTGGCCAGGCTGGTCTTGAACTCCTGACCTCAGGTGATCCGCCCACCTTGGCCTCCCTTAGTTTTGGGATTACAGGTCTGAGGCACAGCACCTGGCCTGTGATGGTTACTTTTATGTGTCAGCTTGACTGTGCCATGGGATGGCTATATATTTGGTCAAACATGATTCTGAATGTTTATGTGAGGGTGTGTTTCGATGAGATAAACTCAGGTGAGTAGACTGAGTACAGCAGATTACCCTCCCTAATGTGGGTGGGCCTCATCCAATCAGTTGAAGGCTTGAATAGAACAAAAAAGCTGAGCCTCTCCGGAGGAAGACTGAATTCTTTTGTGACCACCTTCAAACTAGGACATTGTTTTTTTCTGCCTTTGGACTCAACCTGAAACACAGCACTTCTTAGGTCTTGAGCCTGTCAGCCTTTGGACTAGAGCCACACCAACAGCTCTCCTGGTGCGTAAGCCTGTGGACTCTGAATGGATTTATACCATCACCATCCAGGGTCTCTAGTTTACTGACTGCAGTTCTTGAGACTTGTCAGTATCCATAACCTCACAAACTAATCCCTTATAATAAACTTCTTCTGTCTATGCATACTTTCTGTTGGGTCTGTTTCTCTGCAGAACCCTGACTAATACAGGGAATGGGTCCCTAGGAGTCTGAACATTGCTTTATATTCTCTGAATAAGCTGATCATTAACTAGCTTTGTTACCCAAAGAGGTAAGCTACTGTATTTTCTCTTCAATCTTTTGTGTATGGTTTTACTTGCCGCTAAAAGAGTGATGATTTTCTCCACTGAGTTCCTGTTAGAGTGGCACTAGTCTTAAGTGTGACTAGAAATGGCATTGCAGGGCATATCCAGTGTTCCTAACTTTGCCTTGCTAAGCTACTTTGAATTAAGCTGTGTAAGAAAAATGAAATTAAAAAGATTTTTGAAATATCTTTTGATTGAGAAATAAGAAATTGAGAAATATGAAAACCAACCTCGTAACTACTTTCTGTCATTTTTCCTCCCAAAATCTGTTCAGTGAAAACTTATGTCCTTTTCTGTTTGCTAGGCTTTTTTTTTTTTTTTTTTTTTTTTGAGATGGAGTCTTGCTCTCTCACCCAGGCTGGAGTGCAGTGGTGTGATCTCAGCTCACTGCAACTTCCACTTCCCGCGTTCAAGAGATTCTCCTGCCTCAGCCTCCTGGGTAGCTGAGATTACAGGCATGTGCCACCACGCCCGGCTAATTTTTGTATTTTTAGTAGAGATGGGGTTTCACTATATTGGTGAGGCTGGTCTTGAACTCCTGACCTCGTGATCCACCCACCTCAGCCTCCCAAAGTGCTGGCATTACAGGTGTGAGCCACTCACCCGGCCCAACTGAGATAGGCTTTTCTTATAGGTCTTTTGCATCCAGAGAGTTCTTGTGAGGCAGAAAAGCTAAGGGATGTGAGTGAAATGTGCTTTGAATAACTTTATCCTGATGACAAAGGGAATACAAGATGAAGCATTACCTTTTTAAAAAGTCACTTTCCTAAATTCGTTTATTTATTCATTCATCTAACAAATATAGATTGAGCACCTACTATGTGAAAGGCATTATTCTTAGCACGAGGGACACAACAGTGAAGAAAAAATGGCAATAATGTCTGCCCTGTGGAGCTTACATTATGGTGGGGCAAAAATGACAATAAAAAAAATCAGTTAGTTAAATATACGGTATTGAGATACAACCATCTTTACAATTGGAACATTTTCCCTTAAATTTAGCCTTGTTAGTTATTATGTATAATTTTAGCATAGCTGTTTATTACAAGCTTTCTTTTTCTTTCTGTTCTTAAATAATCTTGCCACTCAATTCTATTCCATCCTATTTAAATTCGCAGGAATCCATTGACTTCTCAGAGAGTTAGGTCCCATAATAGGTGCTATGAGATTTATGAAAAAACCAAGAAAGTGATATGTTCTCTGCCTTCAGAGAACTTTCAATCAATGGGAAGTTAGGCTTTGCAGAATAGCATGTACACCAGACAAAATATTCTGAAGTAATATGAGCTCGGAGGAGCTTGAAAGGATGAACACAAATGCCTACCATGTAAAGGAAGTTGCCATCAGAGTTTACATTGATCAGCCTTAAAGTTCTAGAATGAAAGATTCTGGAATAAAGAAAGGAGACTATATCAAGACGTAAGTAAAAGAAACAACAAAAGGTGTGAATGACTATTGTATATTGGGGAGGAGGGAGAAATCTAACTAGTAATTTATAGTGCATTATCAGGGTAAGCCTGGACTAAGGAGAAATTGAACTTCTGAGAGTTTTGAATTCAAGCTGAACATGTTGAGTTTGACTCAACATATTTCCAAGAACTTATTTTGACAAAACCCTTGGGGCTCCTCTAATTGTGTGTGTGTTCGCAGTGGTGTAAGTGGAAAAGACAACTTACACACAGACTCAAAGGGCTTTTTCTATTCTCTCACTCAACAACAATCAACACAGAAGATGTCTGTGGCCAAATGTGTGGGGGTTCCTCCCCACACACCAAGCAAGCAATCAGTTCTGCAGTGGACACCAGCTGGTATCCTCCAATTCAATTAAACTCTGAGGCTATCTACCTGAAGATCTAGCATCAGAAACCACAGGTAGAGGGCCAGTTCCACAAGACTGGCCCCTCCTTCCTATGCATCGCAAGTCTGGGCCTCCAGAACTTCTTACCAAATGGCTACAAGTTGGGATTCTCATAATCCCCTCTTTCGAGTTCGATTAATTTGCTACATAGGCTCGTAGAACTCAGGGAAACCCTTACTTAGGTCTACCCATTTATTACCAAGATTATTTTAAAGGATATAAATAAACAGCCAGGTGAAGAGATACATAGGGCCACATTTGGAAGTATTCCTAGCACAGGAGCTTCTGTGCCCAAGGAGCTGGGATATGCCACTCTCCTGACACGTGGATAAATTATTGTTCACCTTCCAGTAGCCTCCACATGTTCAGCTATCCAGAGGCTCTCCAAACCCTCTTGAATTTTTATGGAGGCTTCATTACGAGGCATGATTGGTGAAATAATTGGTTACTGGTGATAAATGTAACTTTAGTCCCTCTACCCTCCCTAGATGTTGGGTCATGGGGCTGAGTCCCAAGCCTCTAATCCTGCCTTGGTCATTCAGGTGACAAGCCCCCATCCCGATGCCACCTAGGGGCTGCCAGCTGTCAGTCAATCATGATCATACACAAAGACATTGCCATGGAGGTTCTAAGGATTTTAGGAGTTATATGCCAGGAAATAGAGTGATAGACCAACTATATATTTCAAAATATCACAAATGGGGAGTAAGTTGAAGGGTTTTATTAAATGTTTGTCAAGGAAAGAAAATTAGCATAAAAAATTGCCTTAGAATTGGACTTCAGTTTCAAGTGAGAAAATTGATATTTATGAATTAATATGCCTTTCCCACATCCTCCAGCCAAATTTTGAATTCAAGATCTTAATAGTAGTTCAATGGAATTGACCCAAGGGAGCAGCCTAAGGGCTCAAAGAGAATAACTCAAGGAATATGGTCTGCTCAACCAAATTTACCTTGAATTCAGCAAGCATTTGTTGAGCACCTCTTCTATACTTATATTTCACTGAGTGCTATGAGATAAAAAAGATAAAATGTAACAATTGGCTCTTGCTTCATTCATTATTCAACATATATTTACCGAGCAACTTCTATGTGCTAAAGACTACTATTCTATTAGGCCTTGAAAGTATCTTGTGATGTTTGCTTAATAAGTATCCTTTGCAGATAATCATACTCTGACTTCCCATCCCTATTTCAGAATTTTAGGTACCATATGAAACAGAATCAGATTTTGCCATTTATATTTAGGTTGAACAAATAACATCAGAAACCAGTGCTTCTGCCAATGAAGCCAAAATAAACTTAGCTCCACTACAAATCATACCTGAGGGTCTTGCTTTGGAGAGTGATACGTCTCTGCCTTTTTCCTGAGAGGCTACTTTTCTGGCATCTCACCACTGTTTACTTTAAGTTTATTCATTGTGGACACAGAGACAGTTAAATGAATTTCACAATTCTTCTAAAAGCTGAAAAGATGTCAAATCTTAGCTTTTAAGTATAATGTTTTCCATAAGAAATAAGGGATGTAAAGGACCTCTTCAAGGAGAACTCAAACCACTGCTCGACGAAATAAAAGAGGACACAAACAAATGGAAGAACATTCCATGCTCATGGATAGGAGGAATCAATATCATGAAAATGGCCATACTGCCCAAGGTAATTTATAGATTCAATGCCATCCCCATCAAGCTACCAATGACTTTCTTCACAGAATTGGAAAAAACTACTTTAAAGTTCATATGGAACCAAAAAAGAGCCCACATTGCCAGGATAATCCTAAGTCAAAAGAACAAAGCTGGAGGCATCACACTACCTGACTTCAAACTATACTACAAGGCTACAGTAACCAAAACAGCATGCTACTGGTACCAAAACAGAGATATAGACCAATGAAACAGAACAGAGCCCTCAGAAATAATACCACACATCTGCAACCATCTGATCTTTGACAAACCTGACAAAAACAAGAAATGGGGAAAGGATTCCCTATTTAATAAATGGTGCTGGAAAAACTGGCTAGCCATATGTAGAAAGCTGAAACTGGACCCCTTCCTTACACCTTATACAAAAATTAATTCAAGATGGATTAAAGACCTAAATGTTAGACCTAAAACCATAAAAACCCTAGAAGAAAACCTAGGCAATACCATTCAGGACATAGGCATGGGCAAGGACTTCATGACTAAAATACCAAAAGCAATGGCAACAAAAGCCAAAATAGACAAATGGGATCTAATTAAACTAAAGAGCTTCTGCACAGCAAAAGAAACTACCATCAGAGTGAACAGGCAACCTACAGAATGGGAGAAAATTTTTGCAATCTACCCATCTGACAAAGAGCTCATATCCAGAATCTACAAAGAACTTAAACAAATTTACAAGAAAAAAATCAAACAACCCCATCAAAAAGTGGATGAAGGATATGAACAAACACTTCTCCAAAGAAGACATTTATGCCGCCAAAAGACACATGAAAAAATGCTCATCATCACTGGCCATCAGAGAAATGCAAATCAAAACCACAATGAGATACCATCTCACACCAGTTAGAATGCGATCATTAAAAAGTCAGGAAACCACAGGTGCTGGAGAGGATGTGGAGAAATAGGAACACTTTTACACTGTTGGTGGGACTGTAAACTAGTTCAACCATTGTGGAAGTCAGTGTGGAGATTCCTCAAGGATCTAGGACTAGAAATACCATTTGACCCAGCCATCCCATTACTGGGTATATACCCAAAGGATTATAAATCATGCTGCTATAAAGGCACATGCACATGTATGTTTATTGCAGCACTGTTCACAATAGCAAAGACTTGGAACCAACCCAAATATCTATCAATGACAGACTGGATTAAGAAAATGTGGCACATATATACCACGGAATACTATGCAGCCATAAAAAAGGATGAGTTCATGTCCTTTGTAGGGACATGGATGAAGCTGGAAACCATCATTCTGAGCAAACTATCGCAAGGACAGAAAACCAAACACCGCATGTTCTCACTCATAGGTGGGAACTGAACAATGAGAACACTTGGACACAGGGTGGGGAACATCACACACTGGGGCCAGTCGTGGGGTTGGGGGAAGGAGGAGGTATAGCATTAGGAGATATACCTAATGTAAATGACAAGTTAATGGGTGCAGCTCATCAACATGGCACATGTATACACATGTAACAAACCTGCATGTTGTGTACATGTACCCTAGAACTTAAAGTATAAAAAAAGAGAAAAGAAATGTCGTCTTATGTATGTCAAAATTGTAATGAATATACAACCAAAGGAACAAAAGAAAGCGTTGAGAGAATAGTAGAAGACTTACAAATGCTAATTGTGAAGGTGAAAGGTAGTGGAATTGGAGAAGGAATAAGATGAATTTGACTGGTAGATTTTCTCTATACATACTGAATATATGCTGAATTAAAATTTAATCAATGTCTACTACACTTACCGTCTACTAGATCTTGTGTTAGGTACTTTCTTATATATTATCTTTTTAAATTCTTCCAGGAAACTTGTGAAGTAATTTAGTACTATATTTATTTTGTAGTTGCAGAGAAATACACATTTAAAAAGTTAACTGAGTCACACAACTAGTTACTGGCAGTAGTTTGGTGGTAAGAACACAGCTGTCCTGTCACAATGACTGTAGAATGAAAATTTTAAGAAAGTAAAGATAAACCTGAGATTTCAGTATACTTCATTATAATAAGGAAGGAATTCACAGCTGCACAAACTGTCTGAACACATTGTTTTACTGTTACCATGTATTTTAATTGAAGCTATACTGCATTAATTGAAAATTGATTCTGTGAAAACCATACGATTGATCTGTATCATCCTAAACCTAAGTGAAAAGCCAAATAGAGAGGAATTAGCTATGTAAAATATTTATGTTGTCATAAAGAGCATTTAACATATCTGGCCCGGTAATCTGTTCAGTTAGAGGCGGTCAAAGTATTTGCTAATGATTGACTTTGTATCAGGTAAAATAATATGGCAAGTCTCCTACTACAAAAAAAAAAAAAAATCTTGAGGCAACAGTAATTCAGTGTTTTCTTGGACTTCCTATTATTGATTGTGCAACAGTGAAAATACCTTTCTTTGCCATTCTCAGGCAGTTGAGGTAAAGGTAAAAGAATTTTAAGGCTAAAACTGACTACCCAGGGCAATAGCTGCTTAGCCAAATAATTTATAGGGAACATGTAATGGTTTCCAGGAGTGACATGCGTCATCTTCCCACATGAAACTATGTAGAATGTAATTTTACAGCTGGGTAAATTCTCAAGGCAGGACACAAAGATCTGGCTGTGGGATGCCCATTAATGTCAGAAGGAGTCCAGGGGCTCTATTCCTCATGCCCCTCTTATAGAATGCACCAGTGTCAGCCTGCTGTGAGAGGAGTCTATTCGTTTTCTGGAAATTCTGAAGGCCAATGTTAACCAATATCATGTTGTGGATGTTTATATGACTTTACATTGATTCTTAGGATTGTCTGTGGATAATCACAATGTGAAAATGAGGAAGTCATGCATTTTCATTTAAATTTTTAAATTTAAATTTTAGATTTTTGTGGGTACATAGTAGTTGTATATATTTTGGGTGTAGTTGTATATATTTTTGGGGTACATCATACATTTTCACCCAATATAATTCTAGACTTTTTTTATTATGAAAAGGCCACTGTCAACAAATGTAATATTATGTGAAATAGAAGTCATATAATAGAAAATCTTTGCAAATCAAGAAAAAATATTGCAATGTGGTGATTTGTAATTATAATACTTACAAAATCATGATCAATGTGGTTTCAGTCCTATAACAGCATTATATTAATAGTTAAGAAAGCAAAGTCCATGTGATAATGGATAATCCCAGTATCTCAAGTCTTTACTTCTATCTCTTCCACACGAGGAAAGTGGCACATAAGTACTTGCAATATTTGTTAAAATGCCTGGTTTTCTTTTCTTAAAATTTATTATCCTTACATTCTTAAGCAAGTTCTAAACTGCTGCTCTCTAAATGTTCCCCACCTACTCTTGAATATTTTGTGTCGCATTTACTTTCTTTCCATTCTCCTTCAAAAAGTCTTAGAAACAGCCTGGTGAGGCTAAATCTGCATTGGAGAGACGTGTTGAGCAGGTAACTGAGGAGGCTGTGCCATGATCCTCTTCATAAGAAGGTAAACACAATGTAGTTATTGACTCAGAATCAATAGCGTATAATATCAGATTTTAAGAAGCACCTTTTGGATATCCATTCATTTACTTACTTCTACAATATGTACTTTTTTATTATTTTATCATTATAATTTAAGTTGTAGGGTACATGTCCAACAATATGTACTTTTTAAAGTGCCCACCAAGTACAATGGATGACAGAGGATAAAAAAAAAAATAATATACGAGATACAGTTTCAGCCATCACAGAGGAGTTAAACATCTAGATGATAGAAATGTTCTATATTTCTCTGTAACATTCATTAGTATACTGTGTTATAGTAGCCACTAGCCACATGTAGTTATTGAGCACCTGAAATGTGGCCAGTGTAACTGAATAATTTAGTTTCAAATAAAGTTTAATTTTAGTTAATTTACATTTACATTTGAATAGTCACAAATTTAAATTTGAATAGCTACCATATTGGGCAGAGCAAATTTGAAAAATCCAAAAAGTTCAGCTTGTGATGTTAAGTACCAAGAATTTCAAAATGGAGTTAATGCTATGAGATGAGTGCAAACAATATTCTTTAAGGCTCAGTGAGGTGAAATATCTCCACTGAGAAAAATTTAAAACGAATATTTAATGTAGATTTGAAAGATGTAGGCAGTGTCATTGACGTAGAACAATTAATTTTATGGAGAAGTTTAAGGGAAACACCTGCTACATATCAGATATTTTAGACACATGCTTTTATTTAATTCCCATAGCTGGGAAATGTTGTCACCACTGAATAATTGATGGATTTGGAGCTGCAATGTTAATGACCATACCCAGGTTCACCTGGCTAGTAAATGGAGACTAGGTTTGAACTCAGGTCTTCCTAACTCCAGATCTCAGGTGTGTTCTACTTTGCTAGGCTGAAGAGGGAGTGAGAAGAGAATCAAATGTGATTTAAGGGTACAAAACAGGATAACATGAAGGGTGGTGGTGCCATGACCAGAAGTGGCTTAGTCAGGCAGAGAGTTAGTTTGGAGTCACTAAAGGGATATATAAACTAGTTAGAGGGGAAGAGAACAATGAAGATTTGAGATTTGGAAGGCAACTGCCAGTTCTGATAATTTTCATTGGAGTGGTGTTTGGGTCTTCAAAGGAGAGAATGTATCCACAAGGTAAGGGGCTTACAATAAAATTCTGGGAAATATGTCCCTTTTTCAGGCCTAGAAAGGGAAGAAGAGCCAATAAAAGCATCAGTGAAGTGGTTAGAGATTTAGGAAGAATTCTATCAAGGTGGTGGTCACTAGTGTCAAATACTACACAAAGAACAAAGATGGTGATGAGGAAATCATTAGTTTCCTGATGGGAAGCTTAGTGACCTTGAAGAGAGACAGAACATGACGACTTAGGAACCCTCAACTTTCTTTAAAATTTGTACTTTCCAAAGGCCTTCTCAATGTTTCTGGGCCTTTGCTCTCATACATACCAGCTGTTTTTTCAAAATTCTTAGACAAGTTCTGAGTCCTTTAAAAAGAAAACCTTGCAGTTTTCACGAGGTTGTATAACTATTTTCCTCCTTATCTCTAAAACCCAGTTCTCTGCCTGGGACTTAGCATCCCTTAATAAACATTAGTAGGATGCATAATGAGACTAGAGAATTGGATATTTTTTCATGCCTATTTTAGTATTTTGGTTATTTTCATTAATATTAGATTATTCATTAATTATTGAACTCCTAGGCACTAAGTATTATTGGTAATACAAAGCAAATCTAACAATGTGAGATCTTATCCTGTTCCCAAAGAATTTGTAGTCTATGTGGAGGAGAGGATGAGACAAATGCACCCAAGATTGTTAAGTACTACATTGCATGAAACACAGCACTGAGAGCCATTCAGCATGCAGTGGCCAGCCAAACTAGTTTTTTAAGACATTGAGCAACTTTCCCCCATAGTGAACTTTCCTGGCACCTGTCCTCTTTCTTGGGAGCCCAGGAAATCCCCATATTCCAGCAATTGAATGAGTAAGGGCTGGCAAACAAGGGCCTGTAGAACCCTGTCCTTGCAGTAGAGCCAGTGTTCATTCTTGATTGTATGGGTTTCCTGCCATCTCAATTGCTGAATATTTTGAATATCACCCTTGGAAGTGCATATTATAAAGACTATATTATAAAGATTATCTGAATAAAGTCTTAGAAAATCAGGTAAAACAAATGACTCAGGAAGTAGGGGTCATGTTAATTTCTTTCGGTAAAAGTGATTATTAATTGTAGATTAATCACATATTAATAACAGATAGCTAAGTGCACCTAAATTTGATATTGTAATATTTGGAGTATAGCATGCAACTGCTCAGTACACAATGGATTGCTAGTCTAGCCCTGACTTTGCTGTTGTTGGGGCTCAGAAACCAATACCCCAAAATATGATGCTTTGTATATGCCAAACTGAAGAAGAGGCCTCAAGGTCTCTATGCTGTCCCCTCTGCCCCATCACCATCTCTCCTTAAGCACAGGTAAAATTGTTCTCTTGAGTTCCCTTATCTGTCTAAAGTTCAGACTTCCCAAAGAAGAAAACAATTATCTCTGGTTTCTTCCCTGAGTTTTCATTGATTGAACCCATATCTTAGGAAGGAAGACAGAAGTGTATCAACACACCTGGAGAGACTTTTGTCATAAACCGTTAACCGCTCTATGGGCCCAACATAGACTTTTGCTCCAGACCACTGACGTCCCTTAAACATCATTTATGATTCCCCTAAAATCATCCACACATCCCCATCTCCTCTTCCTCTAAGAAGTAGGGTATGAGGGTCTCTGTACCGCACTGGAAACTGCGTAATGACTCTTTTTCTCCCCATGCACTTGGTAGTAATACGTTTGCAAAGCCTTTTCTCTTACTAATCTGCCTCAGTGTGAGTCGATTATGCAGTTAACCTTCAGAGGGTGAAGGGGAAGTTCCTTTGGCCGCAACACTCTTAATTAGCTTTATGCCCTTGGTTAAGTCACTTTACCTCCTAGGTTTATTTTATTTGTTTGTGAAATAAATTGCCTGAAAAATTATTTCAGTTAGAATGATTTTGGCTGCAGGTATCAGATGCATTTTATTCAACTGGCGCAGGAACTAATGGCTCATAGCATACAAAAAGAAGTCTACTGGCAAGGCACTCTTCAGGCAGGATAAATGAAGACCCTGGCTCCATCTCTTCAAAATTCTCTTGGCTCTACCCTCTCTAGGTGTGGACTTCATTCTCAATGCTAGTGGAATAAGTGGGACATTGCTTTCTTGCTTTCTTGTGTCTTGTTCTTTTTTTTCTTTTTCTTTTTTTTTTTTTTTTTTTTTTGAGACGGAGTCTCGCTGTGTCGCCCAGGCTGGAGTGCAGTGTGCCATGTCGGCTCACTGCAAGCTCCACCTCCCGGGTTCACGCCATTCTCCTGTCTCAGCCTCCCGAGTAGCTGGGACTACAGGCACCCGCCACCACGCCCGGCTAATTTTTTGTATTTTTAGTAGAGACGGGGTTTCACTGTGTTAGCCAGGATGATCTCGATCTTCTGACCTCGTGATCCACCCGCCACGGCTTCCCAAAGTGCTGGGATTACAGGCGTGAGCCACCGCGCCCGGCCTCTTATGTCTTTTTTAAGAATGAAGAGTACCCCTAATAGTGCTAATGGTTCCAGGGTTCATGAGAGTAACTTCCATATGAACTAAATTGCATTGTTCTGATTTTTGTTTCATCAACAACCTGCGGAGTGCTGAGAAGAGTCCCTGGTAGATAGAGCATTTGATGTGGCTGCTACTGAGGGGGTCTGGTGCACATCGGGAGAAATTCAGCTGTTAGAATTCCAGACAGGTAGACCTGTTGGCACGCACTGCAAAATAAGTAAGCTGTTCTCAGCCAGTCACACTGGCCCACTGTATTCCCAAAGAAGGACAAATTCAGAGAAGATTAGTGAAGGTGTTAAGGAAGTGAGGAAAAGAAATCAGCTGACTAGCCAATACTGTTTCCTTAGTTTCTTTCCCCTGGACATTGTGATTGTACTTGTTGGTTTGTGTCCTGACTACTGCCTGATTTATTTCTGACCTTAACCTGTGTCTTATCATCTTAGATTTATGGAAAAGTTATCTCATTAACTAAAATACTGACTTTCCAATCAAGCTTCAGATCCTCAATTATTATCTGCAGCTGGTAATGAATGCATATGCCAGCTCAGGCTTAAATGAGCTCCTCTCATCCCTGCCGGATGAATTCAGTGGCAAGCACAAAGCAGTTGCTCAGTAAAGGCTTCTTGAGCTGATACTCTCTCTCCCACCAGAATATGTCTACATCCTCTATCAGATGTGCACCCTTGTGAGTGTGCCCTATTCAGCTTGTTACAGACACATGGATATTTGAACAGTTTTTCACAGGATATATTTCAGTTTCAGAACAAATGTTTTACTATGCAGTAATTGAAGGTTCTTTCCGTTTTTTATTATTGTCCTGAAAATCTGATTATTGACTATTGACTTCACTATAGACCACAAATTTATAGTTGAAAAAAGAATTATTATATTGTAAAGTAAGGGAAAAAGGACTTCTAAACTATCCTGGAAAGAGCCAGCCTCATATGGCCCTTGGATGGCTTTCAAATCTTGAAATATTTTTCCTCATTTTCTCCCTTGTTTTGGATTGAGGGTTTTGTTTGTTTGTTTTGTTATAATTCCATATATGTCTTGTGCTGGCTTATTAGCTATATTTCTTTTTTTTTTTAAAGATTGCTTTAGTGTATGTAGTATGCATCTTTAACTTATCACAATTTACCCTCAATTAATATGATACTGCAATTTCTCTCTTCCAAGGCTTTGTGCTATTGTCATACATTTTATTCCCACATATGTTATAAAAGCAAGAGTATATTGTTATTCATTTTGCTTTTAACAGTGAATTACTTTTTGTAATTTAAAAGTTAAGAAACAATCTCTTTCTTATTTACCTACATATTAACACTGTTTTTGTGCTTTCTATTTCTTAGTGCTTATCCAGATTTTCACCTGCTATCATTTTGACTCTGCCTAAGGGACTTTCTTCAATATTCCTGGTAACGCAGACTTAGTCATAATGAATTTTCTTGGTGTTCACTGTCAGAGAAAATTCCTTATTTCACCCTTATTCTTGAAAAGTATTTTCATGGTATATGGAATTCTACACTGAAATGTGTCTTTTATTTTTTCCGTTCTTCAAATATACTCATTTGCTGTCTTCTGGATTGAATTGTTTTTAACAAGAAATCTGCTGTCATTCTTATTTTTGTTCCTTTGTATATAATTTGTCTTTTTTTTTTGGTGGCTTTTCAGAATTTTATTTTTATTGCTTGTTATAAACCATTTAATTGTGATATGTGTCAGTATAGTTTTGCTCCTGGTTCTTGTGCTTCAGATTTGTAGAGCTTTGAGAGTCTGTAGGTCTGTACATTTTCTCAAAATTGAAAAATTTTGGCCGTTACATTGTCAAATATTTTTTCTGTCCTCCCCTTTTGGTGACTCCAGTTATATTTATGTCCCATGGCTCACTGCTGTTCTATTGTTTCCCAGTATTTTATATCTGTTGGTCATATTGAATAGTTTCTTTTTTGCGTGTTCATTTACTAATCTTTTCTCCTGCATTGTCTAATCTGTTGTTAATTATATCCAGTTAAATTTTTGCCAGGTATTGCATTTTTTGTCTCTAGAAATTTTGCCTTTTTGATACCATTAACATCTCTACTTAACATTCTCACTCTTTATTATCTTGAATACATGGAATATAGTTATAATAACTGTTCTAATGTCCTTATATACTAAATGTATCATCTGTATCATTTCTGGGTGTGTGCCTTTTGAGTGATTTTTCTCCTTACCATGAGTTGTATTTTCCTGTTTTTTGTTTTGTTTTGTTTTCTTTCATGTCAGGTCAGTTTTGATTGGATGACAGACATGAATTTTATCTTGTTGGGAGCTAGATATATTTTTATTGCTATAAATAATTGAGCTTTGCTCAGTACTTCAGTAAGTTACTTGGAAGCATCTTGATTCTGTTAAGGCTTACTTTTGAATTTTGCTAGGTGGGATCAGAGCTGCCTTTAGTCCAGGGCTAATTTTTCCCCAGTACCACGGCTATGCCTTTTTATGTACCCCACTTATGAATTATGAGGCTTTTGCATTTTCTTCACGGGAATATGAACTAATTTCAGTCCTATATTAATTCCAAGGATTTTCCCCTCTGCTACTTTTGCTTAGTTTCATTCCCTATGTTGGGCAGTTTCTTCACATGCCTGGGCTGATCAGTACTCAATTGAAGGCTGAAGGAGGACCCTCTGCATCTCTCTCTCTCTCTCTCTCTCTCTCTCTCTCTCTCTCTCTCTCTCGCTCTTGGTCTTTCCTTTCTGGTATTCTGCCCTGTGAACTCTAGCCTCTTTGGATTTCCGTCTCCTCCATTCTGGATACTACTGGGCATCATCTGGCTCTCCTCTCCCTGTGCCGCAGCCTGCAAACTCTGTCAAGGCAGTGAGCTAGAGCAATCACAGGGTTCACCTTGATTCCTGTCTCTTGGTGATCACTTTTCTGTGCTGCCTGATATCCAATGTCCAAAACTGTTGTTACCAAACAACATCATACAATATACCCAGGTAACAAACCTACACATGTACCCTCAAGTCTAAAATAAAAATGAAAAAAAAAATCCCCAAACCAAAATCTATTTTTTCATATACATTGTTGGATTATTATTATTTTTTCAGTTGGAGGGTAAATCTGGTGCCTGTTACTCATCTTGGGAGAAGCATAAATTGTTGAATTGTTTCTTGATATGTAAGGTCTGGTCATAAACAGCTATTTGTTTCCATTGAAAAATCTAAATCCCAGTCCCCTTTTATTCTGATAAGTGCTTCGGAATAATTTTTAAATATAAACTTGCCAAAACAGTTAGTACTTTCCATTTGCTATTTCAAGCCTTCATGGCTCTATTCTTTTCCTCTGTATATGCTTTTTTCCTTGTTAATCGACACCAGCTAATCACACTTGGCTTTCCAGTTTAAAGCTATCTTGCTCCTTTGTGTATGTATGTGTTTTGGCTCAAGTGCTTTTTAACCACTTTCACCTCCTGCAAGTTCCTCAACAAAGCCCCACAGGCAAAGTGTTTTCATACTTTATACCTACTACTTCCAAATGGCGCTTGTCATCAGGTCATTCTTTCTTCCCACAAGATCATTTCTCTGTAAGTGTAGGTACACTCTTCTAGGAATTGTAATTTGCACATTACAATGCATTGAAACAATCCAGGACTCCTTTTCTGATTCCCTATTCAGAATTTCACTGGATCTGAGTGTGCTGTTAAGTGGGCCCTGCTATATTATGTAGCAAGTGACAAAATATCTTTAAACATCTTGTCAGATTAATAAGCTTTTGTGGGGCAAACCCTCTTCATTATAAAGTCAGGCTTCTCTATCACAGACTAAGATTTCTTAGCATTTTCCCTCTGATCTGAGAAGAAATAGTTCGATAAAAGTGGCACATAATGCCACTTTTGACAAAATACATACTGCCTGTGCAATAATATTGTCCTATGTGGATCTGACTTGAGTAATCCCATTCCTTTCTATATTTCTGTCTCTTTAAAACTTGCTCTCCATACCCCCCATTTGTCAGTTAAATTGGGTTAGGAACTCGTGCAGACTCTTCTCTAGCTGGAGTAAGAAAAAAATATTTTGTTAAGATGTTAGGCAGTACTAAATATAGTTATCATTATTGTGGCCTTTATATATACATTATAATTTTGTCACAAGCTCCATGTAATATCTAGAAATTCCCTTAAAATAAAAACTAGTGAGTGTGTTATGAAATTACAGCCAGGACAGATGGCCAGATCCTGTCATTGGAAATAAAAGTAATGTTATAAGTGTATAACTCCATTGGGGAAATTGAGTACCATAATAAAGTAGACTTCCACTTTCTGCAATGAAATTCAATGACTGTTGAGGAGTTTAGGGTTTAGAAAATTGAAAAATGAAACCTTTGGTTTTTTGCCGCTGTTTGATGATGTGTAGCAAGTCCCTTTATGGACTGAGGCTAACATCCAAATAGTAACAAGCTTGCAGTGAATAGAGCCCACAGAGGATAAGCTACTAAATCCTGCAATAAAAGCTGTGTGATTTACAGTAAATTCCAGAGGGCTGACAGCACCACAGCTGAGGGCATAAACACTTCTTTCATGGCTGAAGCTTCAGTCAGCTCTGTCTGCTGTGAAGTACAATCGAGCAGCGAGGCATGCTGCTTACCAGCAATGACTTTGATAAATAACTAGGAAGTCCCACTGTTGGCTTAAAACTAGAAGTTGTTCAGTTGCAATTCTGCATTTGTCCTGCTTTAATGGGTATGGAAGTGGCTTTAGCTGTAATCTGTCAGTGATTGATTAGGCCTTGCTGAATCCCCTCTGCACTCCGTTTTCAGCTCCCTGCTTTCCACAGTTAAAACAAAATTGGTACATATGTGACTGCCCTCTTATGAGGAAAGTAAACACTTTTAATTCTGCTCAAGTGAGTATGAATTAAATGGCCCCAACTGATAAATTGGTGACAGAACAACAAATCTTAACAGCCAAGAAATGGTATGCTACACGCAAAGACATTTGGGATCATATGTAGTTTTCATTTGCTGCTGGCAGAGTGGGTTGTAGTTAAAAGTTCCAATCACAGTCATTTATTTTATGCACACACAAAAAAGCCAAGGAGGAAGTAGGCCACTGTTCTAATCATAGAAGTATTGAGTTATCAGGCTTAATCCCAGACCCACTCATAATCACTCTGCCTGTCTAAATTAGGCGTGCTATTAAACAAGTGCATGAATTCCACAACACAGAAGAGAGAATATTGGAGCAGTGCTTGTAGCTATAATTAGGGCAGAGGTATTTACACATTTATTTTAGGAGGTTAATTTCCCATCACACCTGGCTGAAATATAATATGTGTGGGCCTACCAGATGAGAAGGGTGTTTTTTGTTGTTGTTTCAAATAACACTTTGAATCAATTGGTTAATTTTACACTTGAGCAAAGGTGCATAAAAGTGATTATAATTAAATTCAGAAATAATTCACATCATTTAATATTAGTAGGAAAAAACAAATCTCAATTTATACCAGTGTAAATCTCAGGTGCCACGGCCAAACTTCAAACTGAAACAATGTGGCCCACCATGAGATGCACAAAGTAAATGGAAGGGCAAACACCAATCAAAAAACAGACTGTGCAATACTTTCCAGGAGGTATGGAAAAGTAATACAAGTGGAAATTATTTATTTTAATTCCATGAGCTACAGGATCCTTGCAAAAATGGGCGTTTCATGGAGGAGACAGCAAGAGGAGGAAGAGGAAAGGAGGAAGATGTTTCTCTGTATCATTCATTTCACAGATTTATAAGCAATTGATCAACAGTTGCATTAGAAAGTGGCATTGCTCATGGCAACCCAGTGACTTTCCATGTGCAGTAGCGCTAGGGAAGAACTCAGCAGCTCGATAGAGTCATATTGCTAAAAACCAGAATGAACTGCATTTGTAGATGCAAATTTATATCTCTAGTATGTTATTACTTGAACAATAGTGAGTCATGTCTAATAATAACTATAACAAGCCAGACGTACTGCAATAATGTAGCTTCCACCTTCACCAGATCCAGCAGGAGAAAAAATGGTTTGGAAATCAGGCTGCCCATCTATATATGTCATTTTATCTGTTCCTCAAGAACTGCTGAGGGCAGGAAACTTGCATTTTGACACAGGCACATCAATGCTTACATAAAGTGAACAACAGCTGAAAACGTATTTTTTCCCTTTAACAGTTCACCTTGCATGAAGAGGAGCTTTGACTTTGTGGGGAAGTTCATGCCCTTTACTTTAGATTATTTATGGTTTCTTACTTCACTGGGTGATAATCAACATAAGGCATATTTCTCATGTTTGGAGCTCACACTCTTCAATGCAGTATGTGGGAAGATAACATCAGACAAGAACACTTTCCTTGTTTCCTTTTCCTGGCTGCAGTATATGACTTGATTTTAATTTAGCCATTTCAATCTTTTTAACCAATTAAGCCTGATTCTTCATTCCAGAAACTGTCTGCTCCCTGTTGCATGCACTGAATAGTTCCAAAAGAATTATAAGGACAAATTATGGTTGCCATGAACTTCTCTTGCCATGTCAGAGAACTGAGAAATAAAGCGTGACAGAGGATAACATCAGATTAGCTTGAACATGCTGGAGAAATGATTGGTGTAAGTTTTTCCCTAGATGTAGAAAGCACTATGCTTCAGCATCTAGTGAGATTTGCATACCTGAGGAACTGCAGTTCAAATAGCACAGTGTGCGGTAAATCAGGAATAACTAGTTAAGAAATTCAGTTGGTAGCTATTTTCCTCATCCTTTTTTATACTTACAATTTCATCCCCGTTGATCTGAACTGCTGTTAGTAGGTACTGATATAATCAAAAGCTTAGGTCACATTTGCATATTATCCTGTTAAACATTGGTCTACTTCTTTAAGGTAAGTGTACTTATTTCTTTAAAAGGCGCAAAGCTCTTTTCTTTTCCCATTTAAAATGATAGTACAATTATTGGTTATTTATATCAGACTACATTCGAATATTTTCCACCAGTCTTTATGTATATTTACTGGGTAGCATACTATCTTGATGTTTTGCTCAGTCTGTAAAAGAGGGTTGTTTCTGGCTCAAGGTTCTTGTCTCTAAAAGAGAATGCACAAGTAGAGATGAATGCAATGCAAACATTTTGTCCTATTTGCTAGTTCAGCAAGAAATAATCTCTAATTCTAATATTTGCATTTTTCTTTTTCTTTTTTCTCTTCTTTTTGTCCCTTCTGATACCACCTCTTTTCTTCCTCTTCCTTTTCCTCCTCCTCCTTATTTTCAATGGTTTTAAGTATCTCAGAAAGGACAAAGGCTTGATAGAAATCTTGTCTTTTCTCCTGATTCAAGACAATCAGAATCTTACGGAAAACTGCCAAGTGCTATAGCCAGTGAGCAGATACTGTCCGGTATAATTCCAAGCTCCACATTTTACCTCAAAGTGATCAGGTGGCAAAATTGGGAATATGGAAACTGAAGAAAATTCTGGATATACCTAATTAGGCCATCTAAAAAACTCATGCATTCAGACAAATGTAATTTATGTTTTTTAATTGTAACACAAGTAATTTTTCTTAAATTTACAGCCATTTTAACACACATAAGCATAGTCACAAATATAATTTTTCTTAATATTCCTTCAAGAAATTGCACATTGAGTGAACAAGTTTTTTTTTTTTAATTTCATCTGTGGAAGAAGAAAGTGATGCAAAAGTGAATATATTGACAGATAGCAATGCCCAACAATATTACTTATAAAGAATGTTGTAGTCAATGGCAAGATAATGGTGTTTTGGTTTGAAGTCTGTCACTAAGATTTAAAAACATTTAATTCTGGGCATCTCTAGACCTTTGGTTTCTTATCTGTGAAATGAATAAGGTGTAAATTATGAGATACATAAGATCTTCCTCACTTAAAAATTCTATGACTTCCTTGTTTGTAATTAGTAGTTTAGAAGCACATATAGTTTTGTAACATAGAAACTTTAAAATTTAAGACACTGCAATTTTAATTTTTGATCTAGAATTAGAGAAGGGTATCTGGTACTGAAAGAAAGCTTCAAGTCTCCCCTGAGATCCTTCTCCAGACACTTGATGAGCCTCATAAATGCCTCAGAACTCGACTGCTTTCATTTCTCTTGTGGCTTCTGTAGCATTAAATACTCAGCTTTGTCTCACTGGGCTTAGAGAACTCTCTTAGGCCATGAAAAGGCAAAAGTTTCAAGGACCCATGATATCCTATATGACATCTTAGTATGTTTCACTTCACTCTAGGAAAAATGCAAGTTAAGCAACTGGAAATTTTGGGTTGGTGTGGCTGAAAAGTAATAACTCTCAGCACCTCAAATTATAGATGCTGAACAGTGCACAGAAATATATACCAAATGAGTGAAATAGAACATAGCATATTTAATTTACATCCATCCAAACCTTGAGTCTGTTAGCTACCAACAGTAGTAGGTGGTAGGAAGATATCACCAATACATGGAATGATAGAACATAATTTTAATATCATATAACAATTAAAAACATTTTTTTAAAAAAATAGATGACTATGACCCAATCCTGAAAAGTACTGGTGATAACTGCCACATTGTTTAATTGATTTTACTTTTCAAAAGTTAATTCCTTTACTTTTTATTATTAGTCATGTATTGCAGCATTAAAATTACATAAAGGTGAGGATAACACATGATCTTTATATGTCATCTTATTAAAATGAAGCTATTTTTAATACTTTTAAGAGGCCTATCAGAAAACACAATTTATATCCTCAAAGTACATTTTGTCAGTTTCAAGTATAATTTTTGCATTCATATTCTTTTATGAATTTTAATGGAGACACTTAAATTGTAATTATTCCTCTCAGCTCAAATGCAGGTAACAAATGGAATTCAATCAGTGTTTGCGCATAATGACCATCATTAAGAGAGAAATAATAATGACATTCTCTCTGCATTAAACTTGCAGACTCTTTACACAATGATCTGAATCCCATTATTGATCTCCATGGAGATATGCAATTGTCACCTATTCTGCATAATATCTGAATGTTAAATACATTTGTTTGGAACAAATATTTTAATGAATACAGTCAGTTCCACTTAATTAACTATCTGATAACTGAATATTTTTACTTAGTAATTCAACTTGGAACATCAAAATTGTTCTATTTTTTATTCAAATGCACTTGAGATTAGTCAGAGATATTCATTTGAATGTTCATAAAATGTATGTGGAGTTTAAAATTCCCCTTGGCTTTCTTTAAAGTACATCCATTAGAGGGACAGTGGAGAGGTATTTTTCATCTGTTTGAAATAATTTTTCCCCTCACTGTTGTTTAAAATAACCCCTTAGAAGCTGCCTTGTAAAATGTGTTTTCTGACCAAAATCCTTCTGCCATCTAACTTCTTTTTATCATAGGATTGCTCATAAGAATGCCACTATTCACATTAATATACATATATACATTTTTAATATGGGCATTTGGTTTAGGGGAAAATGTGAATACATTTTTAATATAGGCATTTGGTTTAGGGAAAAATGTGAATAAAATATTGAATTCAATTATGCAGAAGCATCTAGGAAAGCCATAATTGGTGAACATCTGACCTATTGTCCTTCAAGAAAAAGAAACCAAGGTAATCTTTGTAATAATAGTACTAATAAATACTACAGATGATGATTAGATTAATTTTGCCATGGGAGAAGTAACACAGGCCAGCATTGACACTGTGTCTTTAGGTACTGTTATGTCAATCAATTCCACAAATATTTGCTGAGCGTCCACCCCAAGTCCAGCATTGCACTTGGCAGTGATGAAACCATAATGAGATACCAGGCCTGGCCTCAAGAAGCTCACCATCTAGATGAGAAGTTATATACTCATGCAACAAGTTTTGACACAGGTGACAAATGCTAATGATTTGAAAAAAGTGCCATAGGAGCATAATTGTGGGAGTGAATAATCAGACCAAGAGAGATCATGCAGTTTTCAGAGAGATGGCAAATTTGAGCTGTGTCTTAAAAGATCAACAGAATTTTTTCAGGCTCAAAATATGGGTAAAAGCCTTCAGAATAAAGGAATTTGCATGAAAAAAATCTCAGAGTTGCATGAACAAAACATGAGATGTGGATCTTTTTGAGGACAGAAAGTGTCGGTTCAGTTCAGAGTCTGGGTTGCATAGTAAGCAGTGTGGGGCAATGAGACGACAAAGGTTACTCTGATAACTACAACTTATTAAGCATTTTCTAGGTGCTAGCAGCTTGGGGTACAACTCATGTTCTTGCTATAATCCCATACTGTATCATTTAGATAGATATTATACAAAAGTTGTATTTAGAGATCAGAGAATTGCCTCACGTCAGTTAGCCAATATGTGGTGGAACTGGAATTTTAGGCCAGAGTGGAGTTGAAATGAGATTGGAAGACCCTTGAATTTCTTGCTAAGGAAATTGGAGAAACATTGAAGGATTTTCTGAAAGAGAATGGCATGATCAGATGAATAATTTAGAAAAAGTTTGGGTCATAATGTAGGAGGCAAATTAGAAGCAAGGAGATTTGAGGAAAATCTGCAATTATGAGGCTGTTTCACTAATTCAGGTGAATTCCTAAGTATTAATAGTAGCGTGACAATGAGAACAGAAAGAGAACACATTCAGCTGATTTCTTGGGGTAAGAGCACTAGGATTTGGTTGCAGTTTGGGCAACTGAGTAGAAAAAAATGTTGCTAGGGGAGAAAAGAAGAATTCTATCTTCTATATCACAGGAGATGAAGTAAGGTTATACTAAAACGGTATTAGTTCCACAGATTGAAACTACGTTAATTAAAAAATACTTCAGTTTTATTTCTGGTAGGTCCTAGAACAATCCAGCAAGAGTATAGTTTTCCTTCATATTAGCTTCCATTCAGTGTCCTTTCTTTCTGGTTTCCCATTGCTCCTCAGTATCTAGACCACTCGTGTGAAAGGAAGCAATCTGTTTAATTCATACATATATACTAGTGACTCAAAATGTTCTTCCAATGCTACTAAGAGGTAAGAAGATTGCTTCATGGAAGGCAATACTCAAAGCAAAGATTTTTAAAAACTCACTTTTATATTAATTTCTTGAATGTCAAGAGTTCTCCAGATTCTTGGGATATAAAAATCTTTAGACACTGGATATTTTGCATCTGGGGCAGACTTGAATCCTTGCCAGCCAGAATGTTGACTGCTAGGCAGGATAATTTTGTCCTCCTTCAAAGATGTCCATGACTTAATCTCTGGATGCTGTGAATATGTTATGTTTAATGGCAAAAAGAACTTTGCAGATGGAATTGAGGTTATGGACCTGAAAATGGGAAGATTATTCTGAATTGTCTGGGTGGAACTAATGTAATAACATGAGTCCTTAAAAGTGGAGAGGAAGGCAGGACAGTCAGTCAGACAGGGGCAGTGGCAAAATAGGCAGGAGAGATTCAAAATATGAGTGGGATTTAACCCGCTGTTGCCAGCTTTGCATAGTGGGGAAGATGACTGGAGCCAAAGAATGAATGACCTCAATAAGCTGGCAACTGCCTTTATCCGACAGGAAATGGGGACCTTGGTCCTACAGCTGCGAGGAACTACTTTCTGCCAACTACGTGAATGAGCAAGGAAACAGATTCTCCCCTTCTCCATCTGACCTACAGACCTGCAACATCATGACCTTTAGTTAAGTGGATAAGCTTGTGGTAGTTTTTTATTGTAATAATAGAAAATGAATACAAATGGGAATAAAAATAATGTTTACCTTATAAAGATATAGAGAGTATTACATACAGTCATGCGTCACTTAATGTCAGGCATACGCTCTGAGAAATGTGTCCTTAGGTTATGATATGGTTTGGATCTGTGTCCTCGCTCAAATCTCATGTTGAAATGTAATCTCCAATGTTGGAGGAAGGGCCTGGCAGGAGGTGATTAGATCATGAGCCGGATTTTTTATGAATGGTTTAGTACCATCCCCTTGGTACTCTCCTTGCAATAGTGAGTGAGTTCTTGAGAGATCTGATCATTTAAAAATGTGTGGCACCCCAAATACCCTCTTGCTCCTCCTCTGGCCATGTGATGCGCCTGCTACTCTTTTGCCTTCTGTCATGACTTTAAGTTTCCTAAGCCCTCCCCAGAAGCTGGGCAGCTGCCAGCAGCATGTTTCTTATAGAGCTTGTAGAACTGTGAGCCAATTAAACCTCTTTCTCTATAAATTGCCCAGTCTCAGGTATTTCTTTAAAGCAATGTGAGAATGAACTAATACAGGAGATTTCACCCTTGTGTGAACATAATAGAGTGTACTTATAGAAACCCAGATGGTATAGCCCACTACACACCTGGGCTATATGGTATAGCCTATTGCTCGTAGGCTACAAACCTGTACAACATGTTATGTACCGAGTACTGTAGGCAGTTGTAACACAATGACAAGTATTTGTGTATCTAAACATATCCAAATGTAAAAAAGTATAGTAAAAATATGGTGTTATAATCTCATGGGACGACATTGTATATGTGGTCCATTACTGAGGGAAACCTCGTAATGCAGTGCATGACTGTATGATAACATATGTACTTTGATGCTTAGAAAACACTAAAAACAATTAGCTATAACTTTTGTCATTACAGGGCTGATTTTAAATTTAGTCCTTGGTCTGCAGAAGATATTTCTATTCTACCAAGAGTGTCCTGGAGTATGCCAGTCCTCCTTTGTGTCCATGGCCTACTGCCATCAGTTTCAGAAAGATAGCTATGAACCCCAGCCTAATTTTAAGGCAGACTTCCAAGTCTTTATATCTTTTTGGGATTTACCTTCCCTATGACTAATACTGGGAACGCAATGAAGTCTAATTCCTTAAAGAAAAGGCACAAATTCTGCTCCTTACCACTCCTTCTCCCAATAAAATGCAACATCCTCAGAGATACCTAATATAACTCATGTCATTAAAGAGAACACTTCACACCTTAGCCAAAGAACATCTAAATTCAGATCAATGATTCGCTCATCATTTCTCCCAAGGAAAAATGGGGTTAACGTTTGCTTTATACTCTGACAAAAAAGGTCTAATTCTGGTGTTCAGCGGAGAGAGGCCATGTGATTCCTCCCATGTTATTTTGCTGCCCAGGCTTTATTCCTCTTACTGAAGCAATTACATCACATTTTTGCTTTGTAGAAGCCATCTGTGGTTGATGCGATTGGTGCCCAGGACATGACTGCTTGCATATTACCATTTCAATGCAGGATGGCTCAACTTCTAACTGCCAGCATCTATGTCTCTTCCTGAGGAGCTTCCTCTGGTCTCTAGAGTTTCTTCTGTCTGTACATTGGTCAGGGTGGAAGTGCTGAAGAATTAATTTCCTCAGGAATTTGTCTCAATCAATGACTGATAAGAAATGGAGCATAAACTTTCAAGTTCTCTTAGGTGAGATCATCAGTTTCCCCAGTAAAATTAGGTTCTAGTTAACAATAGTGGCAACTTGCTAGATTAGTTGCCACTTACTGACTGCCTTCCCTTCCTGTCTACTTTCTTCACTCGCCCATTGGTGTTTCCTTAGATTCCCTTCCAAATTCGCTATTTGCATTTGAATCTCTGTCTCAGGATTAGCTTCTGGAGGAAACTCTAAAAAGATGCCAACCTTTCTTCACTTTTGGAAAATGTGCTTTGGTTGAAGATGACTGCATTTATGGGTCCAAGGATGGAGCATGTAACACACGTAAGACTATCTGTGTATTCTATTTTCCGTCCTCACCTGAACTCTGCCCTGTGATCGCTTTAAAGATAAGAAAATGACCTTGTCAGAGCCAGTGGTTACAGACATGAATCTGTACTCCAGTGAATAAATATTTTGAAGTAGTGCTGTGTTCTAGATTCTTAAGAAATATTGGATTGAAAACAAAATGATGTATGTAGCACTTCTTCTGCAGTCTTGCTATCCAGGAGAGAGATAATGATTAAACAATTTCAAATAAAATATATAATTAGAATTGTGATAAGTACCCTTTCCGAAAAAGAGTACATTGTTATTTTTAAATGAGTGTATCTTTCAGCCTTTAGCAGTCTATTAAGACACTAAAAACTCAGAAGTTTTAGGTATGGTAATTCATCTGGTTAATATATTATTACTATAATAATAAAAAAAGGATCTAGTACCAACATAATTTTCCACCATAGTTCTCATTTCTGACTGTGCAGACTAAGAAATACAGATCACAAAATATAATAGTCACATCTAGTGGTAAAGTTGACTATCAGTTATGTGAATATCCATCTGCTAAAAATTTCATTGTTAAGGCCAGGCACGGTGGCTCACACCTGTAATCCCAGCACTTTGGGTGGCCGAGGCGGGCGGATCACGAGGTCAGGAGATCGAGACCATCTTGGCTAACACGATGAAACCCCGTCTCTACTAAAAATACAAAAAATTAGCCAGGTGTGGTGGCAGGCGCCTGTAGTCCCAGCTACTCGGGAGGCTGAGGCAGGAGAATGGCGTGAACCCAGGAGGCGGAGCTTGTAGTGAGCCGAGATTGCACCACTGCACTCCAGCCTGGGTGACAGAGCAAGACTCTGTCTCAAAAAAAATAAAATAAAATAAAAAATAAAAAATTTCATCGTCAGCCCATGCTAAGCATTGGTTATACCTGTCACAAAACATAGGAAATGATGATGGAAACAGTTTTATTGAATATACTTTTAATCAATAATGAATAATTGATTAAATAAGTGAAAATTATGAAAACTGAAGAGAAAAAGTGACCATGTCATCCTGTAGACACTGCTTTTAAAAAAAAAAAATAAGGTGTACACATTGTCAGGTGACTATTCTATGTTTAAGGAAGGCAGACTTTATCATTTCAGAGAAAAGGTCCCAAGCCCAAAGCCTCTAAGGGGGAGGTAATTCAGTCTGGTTGGGAAACACTCTCAAGAATAAAATTCTGACTTTATCTACAACACAAGTGGTTCCAGTAAGCAATAAACAGAGGGAACAATTGAAGATACCAGTGAAGTTGCCTAGCGGAGTAGCTCCAAAGAACTCAGATTTTAAAAGCACATATAGAATAAGTGGAAGTTAAGACAGAGAATGAATATGAAAGAGTGGCACAAAACTGCCAGAGTAGAGTCTAGGAGATTAAAGCCCAGAATAACTTCAAATTGTTAAAAATATTAAGAATAGCAAAACAGTTCTTTTTAAAAGTTGGTTTGGAATAAGCAAAACAAGAAACATGAATGTATGTATTCATATATCTTTTACAATGTATCAGGCAGCTTTTGCTAGGTGATGCTGCATAACAAATAATATGGTCCCCCCTCTCCCTTTTCCCAAAACATTTTATGTTGGTTGTGGATTGACTGGGGTTCTATGCCACTCCATATGTCTTGTCTTTGTTATCCCAGGGTCCAGGGTAAGGGAGCAGCTGCTATCCTAGTCTCCTTGCACAGCCAAAAAAAAAAAAAAAAAAAAAACCACAAAAAAGCAAAACAAAACAAAAACATAAAACAAACAACATGCCGAATTACACTAGGATTCACCACAAGCAGAGCTCGAGACAAATGCTTTCATGCAGGGAAATTATTTGATATCCATATCAATCCAAAATTTGAAATAAGAAATTTGGTAGCTAATCTCTACTCACATTTCCACACACTGTAATGGCTGCTAATGCCAAAATTCTTACAAATGCATATCACTTTTTCTTTCCAATACCTAAATGTTGCAGTTTCCTATCCTGATTAGTCAGTTTACTAACTGACCAACTTTTGTCTTGCGTCTGTGATTTTGTGCAGCATTTTACAAAAGTCTATGTCAGAAATACCTTCTGCCATAAATAATGACATGACAATGAACAACAACCAGTATTAAAACGTTTTTAAAACAGAACTTGTTATATATAAAGAGGTAATTAAAAGGGTACATGAAAAGGTAAGTATTTACATTTTGATATTTAGTATGTAAAATTATAGAGTTTCTTATTTGTTATTGTTTGTTTTTGTTTGTTTGTTGAGATGGGATCTTGCTTTGTTGCCCAGGCTGGAGTGCAGTGGCATGATCATAGCTCACTGCAGCCTCAAACTCCTGGGATCTTACCATCTTCCTGTCTTAGCCTACCAAGTACCTGGGACTTCAGGCATGTGTCCCCACACTCGGCCAATTAAAAACTTTTTTTTTTTTTTTCGGTAGAGATGGGGTTTCCCGTATGTTGACCAGGCTGCTCTTGCAATCTGCCTGCCTTAGTCTCCCAAAGTGCTGGGATTATAGACATGAACCACCATGCCTGGCCCCTAAAATTATAGTTTTAACATTGTTTAGATTCTTTCTTTCACCTTTAATCCTTCTCATGTTGCCTCACAGCCTATGATACTACATTATCAATGTGAGACCTGATGACACTCTTTGAGAAATTTCCTTTCCTGTTGCATTCTCATTCTTTCTCTCTCTCTCTCTCTCTCTCTCTCTCTCTCTGTCTGTCTGTCTAATGTCTTCTGGGTTCCTTCTAACTTCTCTGGAAACTGGCTACATGAATAGGCAACTATTTATCAGGAGCAAGTACATGCCACCAAGACCTGAACATTCCTGAATGCTTACTTATTGCTCAGGAGAAATGGGTAAATTCCCAAACCATGTTCTCAGCAGGCCAAGGCATTAGATTTGCTTAAAGTTCATATCTATAGGTCTCTGAAGATGTTGTTTCATGCTGTCTTCTGTCTGGTATTTTGAAGAAAAAAATCTAAGTCTCCTGGAAACCTAAACTTCATCAGAATATCTTAGTGTTAGTCACATTTGCTAAATATTACTTGGCTCCCAGAAAGGTGAACAGTCCACGAACTGAATTCCTTCAATTCAGGAATATTTTGTTGATTGTATCTTTGTATATTTGTTCCATAACAGGTGTTCTGTTATCTTTTTAAAAAATGCTTGTATTTGTTTGATCTGCTTTGTGTATCCTACCATCTACTTTGTTTCTGATTGTTTAGATTCTTTTTTTTTTTTTTTTTTTTGCATTTCAGATAAACATGGGTTCAGGTTTCTGCTGGGTTTATTGTTTGTTATTACTTCTGATGTCCTTTGAAATCCTTACATTTTGACATTAGTCCCCTTTTCCTTTTAATGCATTTTCTTACCATCTCATATCCTATATATTATTTTGTAGAGTCCATATATTTTTTAAATCCTTCAAAGTGAAAAGTAGTTTCTGCTTACAATAACGTTCAATTTCAATGATGAATGATTAGAAATGACCCCAAATGAATACTATTCTATATTTTTATTGAAATATAAAACCCATACTTAATATTTTAATAAAAATTATTAAATATGTCCTTTATGTCTATCTTTAGCTTATTATATTGCTGTATTTACTTGGAAATTTTTTATTAGCCTCATACCTCCCCTCCCCTCCCCTCCCTTCTGCTTCCCTTCTGTCTTTCCTTTCCCATCTCATTCTTTAACCCAGGCTGAAGTGCAGTGGTGCAATCATGACTCAATGCAGGCTCGACTTCTTGGGCTCAAGCAATCCTCCCACCTTAGACTCCCAAGTAACTGGGACTACAGGTGTGCACCACTATGCCCAGCTAATTTTTTCCAAACAATTTTTAATTTTTAGTAGAGACGGAGTCTTTCTATATTGTCCAGGCTGGTCTCAAACTCCTGGGCTCTAGCTATCCACTTGTCTCTGCCTCTTAAAGTGCTGGGATTATAGGTGTGAGCCATTGTGCCTTTTTTTGTTTTTGTTTTTTAAACTTTTCCTCTGTTCCTGTCATTGAATATACATATATGCATGTATTATTATTATTTACTCAACAACTTAGTGAATCTTGTTTTTCTGCTGTCTTTAATTAACGGTGTGATCCTCCTCCTCCTTTACTGCTCTTGTATTTTAACCTGAAAGTATATTTATTCATTGAGTAACCTGAAGAAATTTCGACAATTCTGGAATAACACAAAATTAAAGTTTGAGAAATTTGTTTTAGTTTGATTATCTCTTAGAAAGCATATAGTAGAATATTGATTTAAAAATACATTTGACAAATCTCTACTTTTTGAGTGGTTATGTCATTTACAATTAATGTAATTATTGATATATTGGTTTAAATTTATTTTCTTACCATTTGTTTCCTACTTCCCCCAATTGTTTTTATTCCTTATCCCTCCTTGCCTGCCTTCTTTTGGAGTAGTATGTTTTATGATTCCATTTTTTATTTCTATTATTGGCTGGTTGTCTATGCCATTTGGACTTTGTAGGTGGTTTCTCTAGAGTTTAACTCATCACAGTCTACATTCAAGCAATATTATTGAATGTATACTGTAAGAATTTTATAGTTGTATTATTCAATATCTGCCTCCCGTCTTTTGTACTACTATCCTACATTTTACTTCTTCAAATGTTAGAATCCTCAATATGCACTGTTACTATTATCCTTTAAATATCAGGTAACTTTGAAGAAATTAAAAATTGAGATAAATTCTGTTTACCCACATATTTACCATTTCTAAGTTCTTTTCTGATATCATCATATTTCTGCTTAAATAATTCCTTTTAACATTTCCTATAGAACAGTTCATTTGGCAATGAATCTATCAGCTTTTGTTTTCCTGGAAAAAAAACTCTTTTATTTTTCCTTCATTGTTGAGAGATGTTTTTATTGAGCCTAGAATTCTGGGTTGGCATATTTTTTTCATTTGACACTTTATATTTAAAGTGCCATTCCATTGTCTTCTTTCCTGTATGTTTTCTATTAAGAAGTACGCTATAATTCTTATTTTTGTTATTTATGTAATGTGCATTATTTTCCTCTGGCTGCCTTTAAGATTTTCTCTTTATCAATGATTTTCATCATGTTGATCATAACATACATTAGTGTGGGTCTATCTATCTATCTGTCTATCTATCTATCTATCTATCTGTCATCATCCATTTATTTATTTTTCTTGGGGTTGGTTGAGAATCTTATATCTGTAGGCTTATAGTATTTGTCAAATTTGAAAAAAAACTTTAGCTATTTCCTGAAAGTTTGAGCTCCATCTCTGTCCTCTGTTCTTGAGAGGTCCAATTATATATATGCTAGACTCCTTGATATTATCACAAAACTTGTTAATGCTTTATTTTTGGCTATGTTTTTGTGCTTTTTAATTTTAATTTTTCCATTTTTAAGAACAGGGTTTCACTATGTTGCCCAGGCAGGTCTCAAACCTGAGCTCATGCTATCCTCCTGTCTCTGCCTCCCTAAGAGCGAGCTGGGATTACAGGCATGAGCCACCACTTCCAGCTACATTTTTAGTGCTTTTTTTAAAAAAATAGTTTTATTTCTATGTCTTCCAATTCACTGACCTTTTCTTTTCTAGTATCTAACCTACTCTGAAACCCATTCAGTGTATTTTTCTTTTTAATTTAATTTTTCTATTTTTTTTTAATTATTATTATACTTTAAGTTTTAGGGTACATGTGCACATTGTGCAGGTTAGTTACATATGTATACATGTGCCATGCTGGTGTGCTGCACCCACTAACTCCTCATCTAGCATTAGGTATATCTCCCAATGCTATCCCTCCCCCCTCCCCCCACCCCACAACAGTCCCCAGAGTGGGATGTTCCCCTTCCTGTGTCCATGTGTTCTCATTGTTCAATTCCCACCTATGAGTGAGAATATGCGGTGTTTGGTTTTTGGTTCTTGCGATAGTTTACTGAGAATGATGATTTCCAGTTTCATCCATGTCCCTACAAAGGACGTGAACTCATCATTTTTTATGGCTGCATAGTATTCCATGGTGTATATGTGCCACATTTTCTTAATCCAGTCTATCACTGTTGGACATTTGGGTTGGTTCCAAGTCTTTGCTATTGTGAATAATGCCGCAATAAACATAGGTGTGCATGTGTCTTTATAGCAGCATGATTTATAGTCCTTTGGGTATATATCCAGTAATGGGATGGCTGGGTCAAATGGTATTTCTAGTTCTAGATCCCTGAGGAATCGCCACACTGACTTCCACAATGGTTGAACTAGTTTACAGTCCCACCAACAGTGTAAAAGTGTTCCTATTTCTCCACATCCTCTCCAGAACCTGTTGTTTCCTGACTTTTTAATGATTGCCATTCTAACTGGTGTGAGATGATATCTCATTGTGGTTTTCATTTGCATTTCTCTGATGGCCAGTGATGGTGAGCATTTTTTCATGTGTTTTTTGGCTACATAAATGTCTTCTTTTGAGAAGTGTCTGTTCATGTCCTTCACCCACTTTTTGATGGGGTTGTTTGTTTTTTTCTTGTAAATTTGTTGGAGTTCATTGTAGATTCTGGATATTAGCCCTTTGTCAGATGAGTAAGTTGCGAAAATTTTCTCCCATTTTGTAGGTTGCCTGATCACTCTGGTGGTAGTTTCTTTTGCTGTGCAGAAGCTCTTTAGTTTAATGAGATCCCATTTGTCAATTTTTGCTTTTGTTGCCATTGCTTTTGGTGTTTTAGACATGAAGTCCTTGCCCATGCCTATGTCCTGAATGGTAATGCCTAGGTTTTCTTCTAGGGTTTTTATGGTTTTAGGTCTAACGTTTAAGTCTTTAATCCATCTTGAATTGATTTTTATATAAGGTGTAAGGAAGGGATCCAGTTTCAGCTTTCTACATATGGCTAGCCAGTTTTCCCAGCACCATTTACTAAAAAGGGAATCCTTTCCCCATTGCTTGTTTTTGTCAGGTTTGTCAAAGATCAGATAGTTGTAGCTATACGGCGTTATTTCTGAGGGCTCTGTTCTGTTCCATTGATCTATATCTCTGTTTTGATACCAGTACCATGCTGTTTTGGTTACTGTAGCCTTGCAGTATAGTTTGAAGTCAGGTAGTGTGATGCCTCCAGCTTGTGTTTCGCTATGTTGCCCAGGCAGGTCTCAAACCTGAGCTCATGCTATCCTCCTGTCTCTGCCTCCCTAAGAGCGAGCTGGGATTACAGGCACGAGCCACCACTCCTGGCTACTTTTTTAGTGCTTTTTAAAAAAAATAGTTATATTTCTATGTCTTCCAATTCACTGACCTTTTCTTTTCTAGTATCTAAGCTACTCTGAAACCCATTCAGTGTATTTTTCACTTCAGATACTGATTTTTTTCTATCTAGAGGTTGCATATACTTTCCATTTTCCTTCTCAGTATGTTTATGTTGGTTTTCATGCCTTTGAGCATATTTGTAAGCTGTGTAAGAGCTATTTTCTACTATGGTCTCTTAATTCCATCATGGCTATTATTTGGGATCCATTTGTAGTTTTTTTTTCTCCTAGTCATATTTTTCTGCTTCTTTGTATACCTAGTAATTTTGGTTTCTATGCTAAAAATGATAAAGTTTACATTGTCATGCACTGTATCTTAAGAGTGTTGTCTTTTGTTCTGGCATACAGATAAGTAACTCTTGATTAAATCTTTGTCCCTTTGAAGTTTACTTTTAAGCTTTGTTACGGCAGGTTTAGAAGAGCTTTTTGTAGAGAGCTTATTTAGCTCTACTACTTAAATGTGATCTTTCTGAAAACTACAATTTGCCTTTTGTTTTGTTTTCTTTTCAGTTTGCATTTTGTATTTTAAGATTTTTCTGCTCTGGCTGTTTGGAACAAAATAATTCCTACATATGTTTGAACTCTGGAAATTGTTCATCCTACTACTTTTTACCGGTTTTCATTGGTCTTTTCCCAGACTCAGGAAATTTTTTTTCCCCAAAAATTGATAGGTCAACTAAAGCCTCAGGGAGATTTTCCTGCAGTTCCCCCAGGTTTTTTTTCTGTTTATTTCCTAATGCTTTACTACTCTTCCCTATAAAATTTCAATGTCTTGAGCTCCCTGAACTCAGGCTACTATCTTCCCAACTTCCTGCCCTTTCACTTTTCAGGCTTTATTTCAGTTTATTTCAGTTTTTTCCCCCTGTGCTATAGCATGAAAACTGGCTCCAGGAAGTAAGCTGGGGCAATCATAAAGATTGTCTAATTTGTTTTCCTTCTTTAAGGAATCTCAACCCTGTGCTGCCTATTGCTTTCTGTCTAGAAGTTATATACCTATATCTATCTATTTATCTATCTATATATTTTCTAGTTTTCTAGTTATTTGTGGGATGGAGAAAGTGGAAGTGTGTGTTTATTCTCTATGTTTGTTACAACTTCTGTTCAGCAGTAATCCATGGAGTTTTTCTGTGTGTTCTAATCATATTCTGGATGTATCATGTGACTCTACCTAATCTTTTTCCCGAAATTTTTACCTTTGTTTTTATCATGGTGAACTCTTCCCACTAGCAAGAAGTCCCTTCATTCCTAGATGGCATCTCTACTTTGGAGTGAACTGATAAAAGGTACTATTAGAGAAAATAAAAATCAAGCAAACATGAAGTTCATGGACATTTGTTTGATGGGACATATATCTCATCTCATTATTTTTTACAACACCTGTGTATACCATCACTAGGCACACAACCAGGCACTGCATAAAGCAACGAAGCTCTAGGTCCATACTGCAAAAGGTGCTTCCAGTACATTTATGTCCTTCTTTCCTGCATATCTCCTTACCTCTAATATTTGTCCTCTGATCTCTCACCTGGTCAAATGAATAGATTTCTTCTAGCCTAGTATTAAACCTTTGAAATGATGTAGCGTCACAAGTGTCACAGTCCTTGTTTGTCCTAGGGCCATTTTGTGCCTCCACCCTTCCTTTTGCCAAGAAAACACATTTTAGTTAATATGAACAATTTCCCAGAATCTACTTTAGTAACTTGCATTTAAAGTACATTGCTCTTTTGTGGAACTGAGGTTGTGTCTGTTTCTAGTATAGTCCTACCAGTTGGTACAACAGTATGTTATGTGCCAAAATTTTAGGTAGTCTTTGAAATTGGGTTTGCCCTCTTTACTAATATCAGAGCTAAAATTAATGGAAATTGTGTTTTTATTTCTGAGAAGTTTGCTAATTTTCTAGGAGAAATGTTACAGAGTTACTTTTGAAGATATTAAAATGACTTGCAAATGAGCTTACTAAACACCTACTCCTTAACTTCAATGGAAACTGAAAAATGTCAGAAAACTAAATAAGAGCAAAGGTTATTTTTGTTTTAAAAATTCCTGACAAAATGTTAGTAAAGAGAAAAAGTACACTGACATTACTAAGAAAAGTTCTAGTAGAGTTGATCAAATATATTTTTATAGATGATTAGACCAATGTAAGAATTCTTACAAGAAAGAATGGCTTTAAAAATGTAATTTGGGCTATCCTCATAAATTTTCTTTAAAAAGTTTATTAAATTAGAAAGCCAAGCAAATATTAAAAGTGTAACACATCTAGATCAAATTTAGCAAGTCTTATGATATTCCCATGGAAAAAAAAGAAAAATATGGATTTAAAATAACATATAAAGACTCATAGCGGTTTGAATGACTGTACTCAAAATTTAATGACTAAAGAGTAAATGTCAACATAGAGGAAGATAAAAAATGACATATTATAGCATTCTGTACAGGGCTTTGGTGTGTCAGTGAATTATATGAGAACATATGTAGCATATTTATTGTATTTCTAGATTTTAAAAAGTTGAATATAATGGTAAATATTTTTTCATGTCAGAATCATGGTCTATAAAAATCTTGGGAACCTGGAACAACAGACTGCAAAATACAACATTCAGCAATGGAAGTGCCAGATGTGGCTACATAGCAACACACCTAATTAATGGTGTTATAGATGACTATTAGTTCAATATTAGATAATAGTGTGAATGTTCAAAAACTTATTGTAGTTATAGATACCACTGTTTTGATAGATGTATAGCATTAACAACACACAGTCTCTGAGTGTGTGTCAACTGATAGTATTGCTTTGTTTTATGAAGGCATGAAGTGTTCTAGAGTAGTGTAGACGTTTGAAGGATTTGGCAATGAGAGATCTGGCCAATCAAGAACAGCACAGAATGAGCAAAAAGATGAGTGGATGGAAATCTTACAAGCAACAGCTAATTAAGTAAAGAAGAAGAAGAGAAAAACTGATCATCGAAAACCTGGCAAGGAGAAGACCCATATATCTTCAAATTCTTAAAGAACTATTACATAGATGGGCACTCTATGTAGATCAAGATAACAGAACTGATAATATCAAAGAGAAGTTAGACATCAAGTCTTAGGGAAAAGCTTATAATCTTATAAACTGAGAGCTTAAAAGTTTACAAACTGAGATGCTCAATAAGAGTGAATCCTGGTTCTTTCTTGTTTATTCGTGTAACCTCCTGAGCACTGGGGAATGGTGAGCTTCTAAAGTTTCTCACTCCTATAGATAATTCAGGAATTTTAAAGTTGTATCAGATGAACTATGAGATTCCTTCAACTAAGATATCCTTTTAGTGAATCTAAACTCAAAACATTTCTTCCTGCAAGACATCTCCTCACGTGGCCTTTACATACTGCTCTTGTACTTAATATGATCCACACAAGAGTGTGACTCTTGAAATCTCATCCATTTTCTTCTACCTATATTTTGCTCATTTTTCAAATCCAAACTCTAAATCTTCTTCCTTTATAAAGCATTCCTTTACTACTTGAGCCGCTACTGAATTCTCTTAGTCTGCCACTCTTACTGGGTGTAGCACTCCACTACTAATGACTTTCATTAGCTATGCCTGTTTTCTGTGATATTTAGCTCCACAGCAATTATCACCATCCGACATACTATAGATTTTAGATATTTATTTTGCTTATTATACAGCCACACTATAATTATTTATTTATTTTAATTTTTGTGGGTATATAGTGGGTGTATATATTTATGGGGTACATGAGATGTTTTGATACAGCCACGCAATGTGAAACAGGCACATTGTGGAGAATGGGGTAACCATCCTTCTATTCTTTCTGTCCATGAACTCAATTGTTTTGATTTTTAAAACTCACAAATAAGTGAGAATATGCAATGTTTGTCTTTCTGTGTCTGGCTTATTTCACTTAACATAATGATCTCTGGTTCCATCCATGTTGTTGCAAATGAATGGATCTCAATATTTTTTATGGCTGAGTAATACCCCATTGTGTATATATATACCCCATTTTCTTTATCTATTTATTTATCTGTTGATGGACACTTAGGTTGCTTCCAAATCTTAGCTATTGTGAACAGTGCTGCAACAAACAGGATTGCAAATACCTGTTCAATATACTGATTTCCTTTCTTTTGGGTATGTACCCAACAGTATGATTGTTGGATCATATGGTAGCTCAATTTTTAGTTTTTGTGGAAACTCCAAACTGTTCTCCATAGTGGTTGTACTAATTTACATTTCCACCAACAGCATACAAGAGTTCGCTTTTCTCCACATCCTTGTCAGCATTTGTTATTGACTGTCTTTTGGATGTAAGCCATTTTAACTGGGGTGAGATGGTATCACATTGTAGTTCTGCTTTGCAATTCTCTGATGGTCAGTGATGTTGAGCACATTTTCATATGCCTCTTTGGCATTTGTATGTCTTCTTTTGAGAAATGTCTATTCAAATCTTTTACCCATTTATTGATCAGATTACTCTGTTTTTTCCTATAGAGTTGTTTGAACTCTTTATGTATTCTGGTTATTAATTAATCCTATGTCAGATGGACAGTTTGTCAATATTTTCTCCCATTCTGTGGGTTATCTCTTTATTTTGTTGATGGTATCCTTTGCTGTGCAGAAGCTTTTTAATTCAATGTGATCCCATTTGTTTATTTTTACTTTGATTGTGGGGTTATTGCTCAAGAAATCTTTGCCAAGACCAAAGTCCTGTAGATTTTCCCCAATGTTTTCTTGTAGTAGTTTTATAGTCTGAGGTCTTATATTTAAGTCTTTAATCCATTTTTTTTTGCTTTTTTTTATATATGGCAAGAGACAGGAGTCTAATTTCATTCTTCTGCCTATGAATATCCAGTTTTCCCAGCACCATTTATTGGAGAGACTGCCTTTTCCCCAGTGTATGTTCCTGGCACTTTTGTCAAAAATGAGTCCACTCTAAGTGTGTAGATTTGTTTCTGGGTTCTCTATTCTGTTTCAATGGTCTGTGTGTCTGTTTTTATGCCAGCATCACACTGTCATGGTTACAATAGCTCTGTAGTATAACTTGAAGTAAAGTAATGTGATTCCTCTAGTTTTGTTCTTTTTGCTTATTAGCTTTGGGTCTTTTGTGGTTCCATATGCATTTTAAGATTGTTTTTTCTATATCTGTGAAGAATGTCATTGGTATTTTGATAAAGATTGCATTGAATCTGTAGATTGCTTTTGATAGTATGGACATTTTAACAATATTGATTCTTCCAATCCAGAAACATGGAATATTTTTTCATTTTTTGGTGTCCTATTTCTTTCATCAGTGTTTTTTAGTTTTCATTGTAGAAATCTTTCACTTCTTTGGTTAAGTTATTTCCCAGGTATTTAATTTTTTTGTGTGGCTATTGTAAATGGGATTACTTTTTAAATTTTCCTTTTCACTTTGTTCACTGTTGCATGTGGAAATGCTACTGATTTTTGTATGTTGATTTTGTGTCCTGCAACTTTACTGAATTTGTTAATCAGTTCTAACAGTTTTCTTGTGGAGTCTTTAGGGTTTTCCAAATATAAGATCATATCATCCGCAAACAAGGAAAATTTGGCTTCTTCTTTCCAATTTGGATGCCTTTTATTTCGTTCTCTTGTCTGATTGCTCTAGCTAAGACTTCCAGTACTATGTTGACTAATACTGGTGACAGTTGTCATCCTTGTCATGTTCCAGATCTTAAAGGGAAGGCTTTCAGTTTTTCCCCATTCAGTATTATATTAGCTGTGGATCTGTCATATATTAATTTTATTATGTTGAGGTACATTCCTTCTATATACAGTTTTCTGAGGGCTTTTGTTATGCAGGGATGTTGAATTTTATCAAATGCTTTTCAGCATCAATTTAAATGATCTTATGGTTTTTTTCCTTTATTCTGCTGATACAATGTATCACGTTGGTTTGCATATGTTGAACCTTCTTGCATCCCAGGGATAAATCCCACTTGGTCCTGATGAATGATCTTTCAAATGTATTGTTTAATTCAGTTTGCTTATATTTTGTTGAAGATTTTTACATCAATATTTATCAGAAATATTGGCCTGTAGTTTTCTTTTTTTGACTGTCTTTGTATGGTTTCGATATCAGGGTAGTCCTAGCCTTGTAGAAAGAGTTTGGAAATACTCCCTCTTCTTCTATTTTCTGGAGTAGTTTGAGTAGGATTGGTATTAGTTATTTAAATATTTGGTAGAATTCAGGAGAGAAGCCATTTGGCCCTGAGCTTTTCTTTACTGGGAGATTTTTTATTATGGCTTCAATCTCATTACTTATTATTGGTCTTTTCGTTGGTCTTTTCAGGTTTTGGATTTCTTCCTGGTTCATTCTTGGTAGGTTGTATGATATGTGTCTAGGAATTTGTCCATTTCTTCTAGGTTTTCCAATTTATTGGCATATAGTTGCTCATGGTAGCTACTAATGAGCCTTTGACTTTCTACAGTATCAGTTTGTAATGTCTCCGTTTTCATTTATGATTTTATTTTATTCTTTCTTTCTTTCTTTTTTTTTAGAAGAAGTGTCACTCTGTTGCCAGGCTGGAGTGCAGTGGTGCAACCTCAGCTAACTGCAACCTATACCTCCCGGATTCAAGCAATTCTCCTGCCTCAGCCTCCTGAGTAGCTGGGACTACAGGCACACGCCACCATGCCCAGCTAATTTTTGTATTTTTAGTAGAGACAGGGTTTCACCATGTTGGCTAGGATGACCTTGATCTCTTGTCCTCATGATCCGCCCCCCTCAGCCTCCCAAAGTGCTGGGATTACAGGTGTGAGTCACCGCGCCCAGCCATGTTTATTTTCTTCTACTAATTTTGGGTTTCGTTTGCTCTTGCTTTTCTTATTCTTTAAGATGCATCACTAGACTGTTCATTTGAGGCTTTTCCTCTATTTTGATATTGGCGCTTATCATTATAAACTTCCCTGTTAGTACTGCTTTTCCTGTATTCCATAAATTTTGGAATCTTTTGTTTCTATTATCATTTGTTTCTAGAAATTTTTCAATTTCCTTCTTAATTTTTTCATTGATCCACTGGTTATTCAAGAACATATTTATTAATTTCCACATGTTTGTATAGTTTGCATAACTATACAAATAGTTTTATTCCATTGTGGTCACAGAAGATGCTTGATAATATTTCAATTTTTTGAATGTTTCAAGACTTGGTTTGTGATCTAACATATGGTCTATCATTGAGAATGATTCATGTGCTGAGGACAAGAATGTGTATTCTGTTGCTCTTGGATGAAATGTTCTATAAATATCTATTAGACCCATTTGTTTTATAGTGCAGATTAAATCTATTTATTTTGTTGTTGTTGATTTTCTGTCTGGAAGATCTATCCAATGCTAAAAGTGGGGTACTGAAGTCTCCAACTATTATTGTATTGGGGCCTATCTCTCTCTATAGCTCTAATAATATTTCTTTTATATATCTGGGTGCTCCACTGTTGGATGCACGTATATTTAAAATTGTTATATCTTCCTGCTGAATTGACTGCTTTTTCATTGTATAGTGACATTGTTTGTGTCTTATAATTTTTGTCTTGAAATCCATTCTGTCCACTATAAATATAGCTACTCTTGTTCTTTTTTGGTTTCCATTGGCATGGAATATCTTTTTCCATCCCTTTATTTTCAGCCTATATGTGTCTTTATAGGTGAAGTGCATTTCCTGTAGGCAACAGATCAATGAGTCCTGTTTATTCATCCATTCAGCCAGGCTATGTCTTTTGATAAGATAGTTTAGTCTATTTACATTCAATGTTATTACTGATAAGTAAGGACTGACTACTGCCATTTTGTTATTCGTTTTCTGGTCTTCTCTTCCTTCCTTCTTTCCTTCCTGTCTTCCTCTAGTGAAGGTGGAAGGTGGAAATCATATCATCATATCATCATAAATCATATCATCTCTCATGATATGATTTAGTTTCTTGATTTTATTTTTTTGATATCCATTGTATATTTTTTGATTTGAGGCTACCATGAGGCTTGAGAGTACTACCTTATAATCCAATGCTATAATTTGTTAATAACACAATGCTATTTGCATAATCAAATGAGCAAGCAAAAGGAAAACTAATAAAAAGTTTTTGCCTCAAATTTGTCCCCCTGCTTTTGATATTGTTGTTGTTTCTATTTATATTTTATTGTACTGACTATGTCTTGAAAAGTTGTTGTAGTTATTATTTTTGATTGGTTCATTGTTTAGTTTTTCTACTTAGGATACGAGTTGTTTACACATTACAGTTACAGTGTTATAATATTCTGTGTTTTTCTGTGTGTCTACTGTTACCAGTGAGTTTTCTACCTTTAGGTGACTACTTATTGGTCATTAATGTCCTTTTCTTTCTGATTGAAATACTGCGTTTAGAATTTCTTATATGATAGGTCTGGTATTGATAAAATCCCTCAGCTTTTCTTTGTCTGAGAAAGTATTTCTCCTTCATGTTTGAAGACTATACAGATATACTGTTCTAGGGTAAAAGACTAGAAGACTAACAGATATACTGTTCTAGGGTAAAAGTTTTTTTTTCCCTTTTTTCCTCTTCAGCAATATAAATAGGTCATGCCACTCTCTGCCAGCCTACAAAGTTTCCACTGAAAAGTCTTCTGCCAGACATATTGTCACTCCACTGTATGTTATTTGTTTGCTTTCTCTTGATGATTTTAGGACCTTTGGGGGTTTGATTATTAAATTATTTGAGGTAGTCTTCTTTCAGTTAAATCTGTTCAGTGTTCTGTAATCCTGTTGTACTTGGACATAGGTATCTTTCTCTAAGTTTGGGAAGTCTCTGTTATTATCACTTTAAATAAACTTTCTATTTCTATCTCTTTCTTTACATTCTCTTTAAGGTCAGTAGCTCTTAAATTTTCCCTTTTGAGGCTATTTCCTAGATCTTGTAGGCATGATTTATTGTTTTGCATTCTTTTGTCTCCTCTGACTGTGTATTTTCTGTGTATGTGTGTGTGTGTTTGTGTCTGCATATTTTCAAATAGCCTGTCTTCAAGCTCACTAATTCTTTCTTCTGCTTGACCCATTCTATTAAAAGACTCTAAGGCATTTTTCAGTATGCCAACTGCATTTATCAGCTCCAGAATTTCTGCTTGATTCTTTTTAACAATTCCAATCTATTGATTAGAGTTATGAATTCCTTCTCTGTGTTATTTTGAATTTAAGCTTCCTCAACACAGCTATTTTGAATTCTCAGTCTGAGAGGCCACACATCTCTGTTACTTCAGGATTAGTCCCTGTTGCCTTATTTATTTTCTTTGGTGAGGTCATGTTTTCCTGGATAGTGTTGATGCTTATAGATGTCCTTCACTGTCTGTTCATTGAAGAGTTAGGTATTTATTGAAGTCTTCACTGTCTGGGCTTATTTGTAGCCATCCTTCTTGGGAAGGCTTTCCAGATATTTGAAAGGACTTAGGTGTATTGATTTAAGCTCTATCTGCTGTAGAGCACACCTGAAGCCCAATAATGTCGTGCTTGCAAACTCCTAAAGGTACTGCCTTGATGATCTTGGAAAAGATCCAAGAGAATTCTCTGGATTACTAGGCAGACACTCTTGTTCTCTTCTCTTACTTTCTCCCAGACATACAGAGTCTCTTTCTCTGTCTCTGTTCTGATCCACCTAAATTTGGGGTGGATTGACACAAGTCCCCCTGCAGCCACCACCACTATGACTAGGCTGGGTCAGATCTGAAGCCAGCACAGCACTAAGTCTTGCCCAAGGCCTTCTGTAACCACTTCCTGGCTGCTGTCAATGTTTCCTCAAGGCCCCAACTCTCTACCATCAGCAGGTAGCAAAGCCAGTTAGGCTTATTTCTTTCCTTCAGAGTAGTGAGGTCTCCCAGGTCCCATGTGGGTCCAGAAGTACCATCCAAGGGTCAGGAACTAGAGTAAAAAACCAAAAAAGTTTACCCAATATTCTACTGTATTTTGGCTGAATTCACAAACAAACTACAAGATACAGTCCTTCTCACTCTTTTTCCCCTTTCCAAGGACAGAGGAGTCTCACCCTGTATCTTCCATGACCCCAGGCCACAAGAAGTACATCTAGACTACCATGGATGTTACCTTAAGGCCCAGGGTCTCTTAAGTCAGCTTCCAGTGAATGCTGCCTAGCCTGGTACTTACCCTTTAGGAAGGTGGACTCCCTTCTGGCCCAGGACAGGTCCAAAAATGCCATCAAAGAGTCACATCCTGGAATCAGGGACACTCAAGAGCCTGCTTATTGCTCTGTATTAGTTCGTTTTCACACTGCTGATAAAGACATACCTGAGACTGGGCAATTTACAAAAGAAAGAGGTTTATTGGAATTACAGTTACGCGTGCCTGGAGAGGCCTCACAAGCACAGTGGATGGTGAAAGTCACACCTCACATGGAGGCAGACAAGAGAAGAGAGCTTGTGAAGGGAACTCCTCTTTTTAAAACCATCAGATCTCATAAGACTTATTCACTATCACAAGAACAGCACAGGAAAGACTTACCCTATGATTCAATAACCTTCCACCAGGTCCCTCCCACAACATGTGGGAATTCAAGATGAGATTTGGGTGAGGACGCAGTCAAACCATATCTTTCTGCACCTGGCCCCTCTCAAATCTGATGTCCTCACATTTCAGAACAAATCATGCCTTCCCAACTGTCCCCCAAAGTCTTAATTCATTTCAGCATTAACTCAAAAGTCCACAGCTCAAAGTCTCACCTGAGACAAGGCAAGTCCCTTTCACCTATGAGCCTGTAAAATCAAAAGAAAGTTAGTTACTTCCTAGATACAATGGGGCTACTGGCATTGGGTAAATACAGACATTCCAAAAGGGAGAAATTGGCCAAAGCAAAGGGGTTACATGCCCCATGCAAGTCCAAAGTCCAGCATGGCAGTCATATCTTAAAGTTCCAAAATGATCTCTTTGACTCCATGTCTCACATCCAGGTTATGCTGATGCAAGAGATGGGCTCCCATGGCCTTGGGCAGTGGCTTTGCAGGTTAAAGGCTCCCTCCTGGCTACTTTCACGGGCTGGTGTTGAGTGTCTGAGGCTTTTCCAGGTGCACAGTGTAAACTGCAGGTGCATCCACCATTGTGGGGTCTGGAGGATGATGGCCCTCTTCTCACAGCTCCACTAGGTGGTGCCCCAGTAGGGACTCTCTGTGGGGCCTCAGACCACACGTTTCCCTTCTGCACTGCCCTAGCAGAGGTTCCCCATGAGGGACCCACCCCTTCAGCAAACATCTGCCTGGGCATCCAGATGTTTCCATAAATCTCTGAAATCTAGGCAGAGGTTCTGAAACCTCAATTCTTGACTTCTGTGCATCCTCAGGCTCAATACCACATGGAAGCTGCGAAGGTTCAGGGTTTCCACCCTCTGAAGCAACAGCCAGAGCTGTACTTTGGCCCCTTTTAGTCATGGCTGTAGCAGCTGGAATGCACGGCACCAAGTCTCCAGGCTGCACACAGCAGAGGGATCCTGGGCTGGGCCCATGAAAACCATTTTTTTCCTCCTAAACCTCCAGGCCTGTGATGGGAGGGGCTGCCACAAAGGTCTCTGACATGGCCTGGAGACATTTTCCCCATCGTCTTGGTGATTAACATTCAGCTCCTCATTACTTATGCAAATTTCTGCAGCCAGCTTGAATTTCTCCTCAGAAAATGGATTTTCTTTTCTATTGCATTACCAGGCTGCAAATTTTCCAAACTTTTGTGCTCTGTTTCCCTTTTAAAACTGAATGCCTTAAACAGCACCCAAGTCACCTCTTGAATGCTTTGCTGCTTAAAAATTTATTCCACCAGATACCCTAAGTCATCTCTCTCAAGTTCATAGTTCCACAAAACTCTAGGGCAGGGGCAAAATGCCACCAGTCTCTTTGCTAAAATATAACAAGAGTCACCTTTCCTCTAGTTCCTTACAAGTTCCTCATCTCCATCTGAGACCACTTCAGCCTGGATTTCATTGTCCACAACACTATCTACATTTTGGTCAAAGCCATTCAACAAGTCTCTAGAGGTTCCAATCTTTCCCACATTTTCCTGTCTTCTTATGAGCCCTCCAAACTGTTCCAACCCCTGCCTGTTACCCAGTTCCAAACTCACTTCCACATTTTCAGGTATCTTTACAGCAGTGCCCCACTCTACTGGTACAATTTACTATATTAGTCTGTTTTCACACTACTGATAAAGACATACCTGATGCTGGGCAATTTACAAAACAAAGAGGTTTATAGGACTTACAGTTCCACATGGCTGGGAAGGTCTCACAATCATGGTGGAAAGTAAAAGTCACGTCTCATATGGCGGCAGACAAGAGAAGAGAACTTGTGCAGGGAAATTCCCCTTTTTAAAACCATCATTATCTCATGAGACTTATTCACTATCACAAGAACAGCATGGGAAAGATTTGTCCCCATGATTCAATTACCTCCCACTGTGTCCCTCCCACAACATATGTGAATTCAAGATGAGATTTGGATGGGGTCACAGCCAAACCATATCAGTGCTTCCATCCCACTGTGGCTGTGCTGGTAGCTAAAGTGCAAGACAAAGTCCTGTTTACTTTTCCCTCTGCTTTTCTCAAGAAGGAAGAGTTTTGTCCTGTAGCCACTACAGCTGGTAATGTTCTGAGTCTCACCTGTAGCCAGCAAGTCTCAGAGACTCACCCAAGGCCCTTGATGTAGTACTTGGGTATTGCTGCTGGTTATTCAGGAATCAAGGGATTTCAGTTAGCAGGTGATAAATGCTGCCAGGACTGGGTCCTTTCCTTCAAGGCAATGTGTTCCCTTCTAGCATAAGGTGTGTCTAGAAATGTTGTCCTGGAGGTAGGTCCTGGAAGGGGGGACCTTACAATTCTGACCAGTGCTCCATCCTGCTTTGGCTGAGTTGGTATTCTAGATGCAACACAAAGTAATCCCTACTCTTCCCTCTCCTCTCCTCAAGCAGAAGGAAGGGGTCTCTTTTGGACCCATGACCTGTGCAGGCTGGGGTTAGTGGAAGGGTGATGCCAGCCCTCCTTTGGCTGCCCTAGCTGGTGTCTCAGTAGGTCGCATGCCCCCAAAGTCCACCATTTCTGGGCCTAGTTCAGCATTAGGGCTTGACTAAGAGTTGCATTTCTTATGGCCTACACTGTCTTTCAAGTTTACTTGGAGACACAGAATGCTGTAGCCTTCAGTGGCAGGGCTTGCGGGCACTCACGTTCTGACCTATGGGATCAGTGATTGCCCTCTGGCTAGGACTGGTTTAAATTATCCCTCCATGGGCTTGCATCAGCTGAGTTTGATCTGGTTTTCCTTCCTGCTATAACAGGCCAGCACTGAGTTCACTGCCTCACAATTGCTGTGCTCTCCCTCCCTAATGCCCGGAGATACTCTGCACATCATGCCTCTGCTGGGAGTGGGCAGGGGGTTTGACAGGGGTGGTAGATGCCATTGGTGATTCAGGACTGTTTTTTCTATCTCTTCAGAGTATTTTCCAGTGATATGAAGTTAAAATCAGGTATACCAGTGCTCACCTGATTTTTGGTTCCCATGAAGGTGTTTTTCTGTGTAGATAGTTGTTAACTTGGTGTCCTTGTGGGATGGATGACTGGTGGAGCTTTCTCCTCCCCCATGTTGCTCCACCTCCCTCCATGTTAGAATATAAGCCATGCAAAAGCAGGTACCTTAGTTTCCTGGGTGGCTTGAAAGAAGAGAAAGCTGTTTTCTCAGAGTTCTGCAGGCCAGAAATCCAGAATCAAGGTGTGGTACAGTTGGTTTTCTCTGGAGGCTCTGAGGAAGAATTGGTTCCATGACTCTGTCATAGCTTCTGCTTGCTGCTGACAGTTTTTGGCATTCTTTGGTTTGGGGCTTTGCCTTTGTCTTCATGTGGCTTTCTTGTATCTGTGTCTTTGTGTCATCTCTTCTGTCTCTTAAAAGGACATTCTTAAGAAAGCCATAAATAATTGTATTTAGGGCTCACCCTAATCCAGGATGATCTCATCTTGAAGTCCTTGCGGTATTTACATCTTCAAAGACCCTTATTACAAGTAAGTTACACACTTATTCAGGGTGGACTTACCTTTCACAGGTTACAATTCAACTCACTACTGAAGGTAGAATTTTCCTGTTGTTTTCACTGCTGCATCCCGAGCACCTGGACCAGAGCCTAGAATGTAGTAAATTCTCAGCAAATATTTGTTGAATGGAGGCACTGATGGCCTAAAACATGCCAGACACTGAACTAGGCACTGAGAGCATTGCAATTTAACTATTCCCTATTCCCTAAGTATAATCGATCTTTTCTTCTCAACTCACATGTAAGTTCTTTGAGAGCAAAAATTCTGTCATGATGTTTGTATATTTTGGATTTCTTTCTTTCTTTTTTTTTTTTTTTTTTTTTTTTTTTGAGATTGAGTCTCGCTCTGTCACCCAGGCTACAGTGCAGTGGCGCGATCTCGGCTCACTGCAAGCTCCGCCTCCCGGGTTCGTGCCATTCTCCCGCCTCAGCCTCTGGAGTAGCTGGGACTACAGGCGACAGCCACCACGCCTGGCTAATTTTGTTTTTGTAGTTTTAGTAGAGATGGGGTTTCACCGTGTTAGCCAGGATGGTCTCAATCTCCTGACCTCGTGATCCGCCCGCCTCGGCCTCCCAAAGTGCTGGGATTACAGGCATGAGCCACCGCACCCGGCCATATTTTGGATTTCTTAAATCAATTTTGTGTATATAGCTGGTGATACACAAATAATAGATATATGAATGGGTAAGAGATTCGTTTGGGATCACTGTTGATTTGGTTTATCTTGCCTCGCAAGCAACCTGTTCATCCTTCCTTCCCTGCTTGGTTTCTTCTTTTTGGAAGATTCACTCTTTCCAAAAGAGGATGGCATTTTTATGTCCCAGAAAACTATTTTTTATTCGAGAGCATATTACAAAATCTTATATATAAATGCTATTATCTTTAACTGTATTCTATTCATGCTTTCTGCTATTTATATGCCAAAAACTTGTAATAATTTGAATGGGCAAAATCAAAAATTAGAAAAAAAGAAGATAGGTCAGAGCCTTTTACAAATGATTTATTCCTTTTTCCCCATAAATGTTTGATTAAAATGCCAAAGACCTTAATTTGTCTATTTTAATTCACATCAAAAAAGCATTCCCCAAATTGCCTATTTCCTGTGTGATCTCCGTAAATCAGGAAAAGTATTCAGGTCTTCCACTGTGAATGTTACATAGAATTGATAGAACAACCTCTTTTTTGTTATGTGGTACTCAACTCACTCACCATTTAGTTACTTAATTAAACAATAAATTTAGAGTCAAGGAATATGTTTAGAATGAAGATTCACTCACATATTTTCAGAACAAAATTTAACAACCCACATGCTCCTGAACAAAATCTCACTGGTGAAAAAGAGGTAGGAAATGGTTTATAGAATTTGATGTCTGCTGTCTTATGTTCATTTTTTTGCTTTTTAAGTTATTTTATGCCTGGAATATGCAATTAAAGGATTTTTTTTGACCTTTATATACATTATAAATATTAGAAAACATATATAAAAATATACATTATAGTCCTTCTCTCTACACCACTAGCAACCACTCCCACTCACTTACTTAAACTAGAACATCATATACGACATTTTCAGATGAAAACCTTAGGTCCAGGAGACTTAACTCTTTTGCTAGTGCCTAAACACACACACACACACACACACGCACACACACACTCTGACACACATGCTAAGTTACTGATTTAATAGCAGAAAAATTGCATCTTTATACAGAAGTGAAATTATGTAAAAATGGACTATCCAATTCTACAATGGCAACTATCATATATGAAATGGCTCTATCATATACTAAACACTCAGTATTCAAAAACAAAACAACTAAGGAGTTTACTCAATTGAAAAAGATCTGTGAGAAAAAAAAGAACCTATTATAGACTGACTGATTGGTTACCAGGGTCACAGGCCTGAGTTGTAGCAAAGTCTTATAGCTTCAAGAATGGCATCCAGCTGCTTTCTTCGGTATGGGTGTCATTATTTTTAGCAAAAGAAACCTTTTCACCCTTGGTCACGTCAAAGCACAAAGAATTCCATAAATCAGTGCCAGGCTTGTTTTTAGTCCTAAATACCTGACCATATATATATTTAGGTCATGTAAATTTTATTGCCTTGTGTTCAGAGTAAGAATTTAGAAGATTCAAGTGGACTTTTAAAATGCAAAAAAACAAAAACAAACAAAAAACACTCTTTTCTGCTTTTCTCTGTCCTAAAATTTCTTTTAGTTTAGGCAATGAAATTAGACTAGTCAGTTTAATTCTTATTGCTAGTCAGTTTCTCCTCTTAGATTCCAGGGAACAAGCCCAAGCTACAAAATTTCTACTGAAAACACTGTAAGAAGTGCTTAAAACCAGACTCTAAAAAGCATATAAAAAGAAACTTTATCACAAGCTTTATAAATTTAAAAAAGACTAATTATGTTTTCCTTAATTCTGAAAGCATGTCCTTTTGTCATTGAGAAATATTTGAAATTCCTCAATAATCTTGGGTTCACAAATGGAAACATTTGGTTGTATTTGGTTCACGAGCTTACAGGAGCCTGTCTGCTTTTAGTTCTGTGTAATTAGAATGTACAGATTTGACATCAAATGTGCTATACTGTAGGTACAACAAAAAGAACTCAAAACAAATGTGCAAAAGGTTGGATGCAATTTAGACCATAATGTTCTAGAAGTAGAGTGAGAAAAAATTAACAAGCCATGTGAAATTCCTTGCATCTATAAAACAGATAAACACACTAACCAGCATTTAGGACTTGGCAATGATCTCATTCTGACCAATACAGAAGGCCTGGTTAAGAGAATCAGATCCCAAACTTCACATTAATGGTAATTATTTACCCTGTTCCCAGATCAGTTTAGCTGGATGATTTCCAATTTGCATGTGACTATGTCCTGTCTAGTCATACAAAATTCATACTAAATTGATGAGCTATGAATTAATTGGTGAACAAAACTGACTGAACTGACCAAACCATTTAGATATATATTAAAAGAATGTAAGAAACTAACAAATAAACATACAAGGAAAAAATACTGAAAACTTTCTAAATAAGTAGCTCATGTTTCAACCTTTCTCTAACCTCAAAGTTATTAATTATGTGGGCAAAATAAAGATTTATTTTCTCAATCAACATAGCTGTTCATGGCTGATACCCCTCTAACAATACACAGATTAACAAAAGAAAAATATACAAATTAATTTAATATAAGTTTAACTTGATGAGATTCCTTTAGAAAGGAAGAGGCAAGGAAACAGAGGAACTGGTGTATTTTTATGCTAATTTTGATGAAGAAATAGATAGTTATGAAGAAATATGAGAGGAGGACAAAAGTGATATGATCAAATGATAATAAACTAAGGGAAATTTAGCAAGGCCTGTTTGTTCAGATTCTTTGTAATATCTTTGTATATGATAAAGATGTTCACTACTTAACTAAGATAATGAAAGAAGAGATTAATGTGTGGATTACCGGGACCAACAAAATAAGCATTGCCCAATGTAGAGGACTCACTAGAAAAGGAAACTAGGCATTACAAAGAAGCAAGTGGAACAGAGAGTAAAAAGTAAATTCTCCTAATTATTTTGGTTATTTTGTGATATATGTCTGACAATTTGATTGCAGAGTTACATTCTCTTTCATAAGTAAAAATGAATGTGTAATTATTTTACATCGATTTAACTTATTATAAAATTTAAGAACTAAAACAAAAACAAATAAACAAAAGAAAACAACAAAAAATATGTTCACTTCTTACCAATATAGTAAGGGTGCCTCTGGAATGAAAGTTTTTTTTTCCTTTTTTTTTCTGAGACAGATTCTCACTCTGTCACCCATGCTGGAGTGTAGTGGTGCTATCTCGGCTCACTGCATCCTCCGCCTCCTGGGTTCAAGCAATTCTTCTGCCTCAGCCTTCCGAGTAGCTGGGACTACAGGCACATGCCACCATGCCAGGCTAATTTTTGTATTTTTAGTAGAGATGGGGTTTCACCATATTGGTCAGGCTTGTCTCGAACCCCTGACCTTGTGATCCACCCACCTCGGCCTCCCAAAGTGCTGGGATTACAGGTGTGAGCCACCGCACCCGACCACCTTCAGGGAAGAAGGCTGAAGAGAATGTGAGAGTGATCCTCCTGGTTCTGCTGTCTTCTCCTATGCCAAGGTGCCTTATTTTGGGGTAACTTGTCCTGAACCCCATCAGTTACATGTACAAATTATAGCTTTTTGCATAAAGCCCTAGAGACCTAATTTTTTACAAGACCCAATGTAAAAAATTATGTTATATGCAGATAAAAGAATGACAAAGAAAGGAGAAGAAAGGAAAAATTTTAGTTTAAAAATATTTCTGAACTATTGAATGGTTTATTAACTCTCATTGTAGTAAAAGCTACAATATTTGAGACTATCCTCCAAGGCAGGTTTCTTAAACAAAGTCCATTTTTTTACTAAAGGATTGAGAATTTAGCTTTGGAATTGAGAGGACAATTTGAGAAAAATGTTTTCTGGTGATATTTCAGGAGAAAATATGGGTCAGAAAAATGTGGGAACTGATATTCACAGTGAAAATTATCAACACTTCAATCTAGCACCCACATGTTATTTTTCTCAGATACCCATGTGTGTTCTTTTGAAAACTCTCCATTTCATGAACAAAGTAAGAGTTGTGTTTATATTTCAATGCTTTATTCCTGCTTTTATGTGTTAAATGTATATGACATCATGGCTGGGTGTGTCACTATTCCAATACTTAATGACTGCCTGTGATAACTGTGAGAATTTCATTCTTATGGAAGCCACATTGCCATCACTTTCCTAATACAGATGAGCCACATGTAAGCAGGAGGGCATTTTCTATAAAACTTCAGTATTAGATATTTATATACTGAGAAAGACAGAGAAAGGCAAATAAGTGGATTCTTAATTTTAACTTTAAAACCTAATACATTAGACCAGTTATCCTCAGGTAACTATATGTGTAAGTGGACATAGGATTTGAAAATGAAAAATAGACAAAAGTAAATCAACAAAAGATTGTAAACACGGAAGAAGAAAGTATTTTGGAGCATCAGAGCAGTCATGGGAGGCAGTGCAGGCACCACACAAAGAGGACTTATGCCTCATATAGTATCAGAAGCTCAATGAAGGCTAAAGTACAAATTTAAACAAAGTTAATTCAACTGGAATCTACCTTCTTTCTGGGCTTTTCCTCTTCAATTCTGGTCTCTTTTAACAAATTGCTTTTTGGAGCTGAACTGAGCCTATGTCATTATTCTCAACACACATGGTTATGGTGCTCTTCCAGGGTCCAATAATTATGTCTAAGGGGATATATGGGAAAATGTCCCAAGTTCTGGAAGCTACAGTTCTGCTGAAGAAGTTTAACTGAAATCCTGCCTAAGATGTATTGAAAAGTAATTTCACCAGTGGAAGCAGAAAACTGCATCTGTATTAATTAGACCAGGCTGATCTGAGGCAAGATATTCTCAGTACTAACTGATATAAACAACTTAAACATGCTGGCAGAATGACTTCAGATGGGAAAGAAAACTCCAAAAGATGAATTTTTAAAAGTTTAACACTTGATTGGGATGAATCGAATTGTTCTGTATCTTTTTTGCTTTATTATTGAGATGGTTTTTAAAGCAATAACATCTAGTATTTCTCTCTGATTATAAGAACATTAATAATCATTTTAATACCTTACAATGAAAATAGAGAAAATCGAAAAGCAAAAAACTAACCACCCCACCCAAAAATTTATAACTTCAATATCTAGAGAAAAACACCCTTAGTATTTTCATGTTCAGCCTTCTTTCAAATACGATGTATTTCTATACTTTAAGAAATTATTTGGGAAGTCTTATAACACGCTTTTTTACTTAATATATTTTGAACATTTTTCCATATCTTTAACTGTTCTTATAAAATGTGATTTTAAAATAACCACATGCATTTACTCCTGTGAACCCAACAATTTATTTACTCAATCCATCATTGATGGGAGTTTTGGTTGTTCCATTGTTCCTTTTTTGCAATCGTAAATAACATTCTTACTTAAAACTATTTACGTACATGTTAGGTTAAAATCAGATTTCTGATTTCAGGTGTGTGTAATTTTAAAGGCCTTTAAAAGGGGGCTAGTTGTTTTCCAGAAATCTTGAATGAACTTAAGTCTACACTAGAATGGTGTATACCTGTCTGTTTCTCCAACCTGATGGAAACATTGGATAATACCCTATAAATATTTTTTTAAAGAAGTTTTGCTCATTTGGTAGGGAAATATGGCATTGTATACCTGTTTTAAATTGCATTCCTTTTATTAGTAGAACAGTTTGAATATTTAAAAAATGTATTGATTAATCATTTGCATTTTTTCTTTGCAAGTTCGTATTTATTTGCCTAATTTCCTAATGAAATTTTTGCTTTCTTCTTTGTTTACTTGCCTGAGATTTTGTCATACAATTGAAAATACATTTTCTTATTATTTTTATGTTTCTCTTACTTCTGCTTGTGGTATTTTTTGATGTTTGCAAGTTCATGTGTATATGTGTTAATGTAGTCAAAACTATCAATGTTTTCCTTTATTTCTTCCTCTTCCTTTATACCTAGAAAGTTTTTTTCACCCAGTTCATCAAAAGATGAATAATTATTCATCCATATTTTACTCTAAAGCCTAATGGTTTTTAATATTTAATGCTCTTATCCGTCATGAATTTATTTTGACATGTGGTAGGAAGTACAGATCTAACTTTAATCCCAACTTTTTTTTTTCCAAATAATTAACCTATTCTTGAAGCATAATTTACTGAATAATCAGCCCATTCCCTTCAGATCTTAAATGTCACTTCTTATCAGGTACTATAATATTAATTACATATATACATATATGTATTAAAATCTATTCTTATACTACTGCTACATTGCTATAATTATTATGATGTCATATATTTTCATATCCAGCAGTGAAAGTCCTTTCTTTTTCTAATCCTTAAAAAATTTCTGAATTAGTTTTCCTATTTGAGTTTTCAGGTATATTTTAGAATCACTCTGTCAAGTTAAAAAAGAATTGAGTTGTAATCAATTTCTAAAATCGATATAGAGGTTGTGGTAGGCAGAATAATAACCACCCAAAGATGTTCATGTCCTAATCCCTAGAACCTGTGAATTTGTTACCTTACATGGTAACAGGGATTTTTCTGCTGTGATTAAATTAAATATCCTGAATCTTTTCCTGGATTATCTGGGTGAGCCAAATGTTACAGCAATTGTCACTTGCTTCTTTATAAGGAAAGCAAATGGAAAAAGCAAGTGAAGGAATTCTCCTCTGGAGCCTCAAGAAAGAAAGCAGCCCACTAACACCTTGATTTTTGTGACACATTTTGAAACTCTGCTCTCCAGAACTCTAAGAGAATACATTTGTGTTGCTTTCAACCACAAAATTCACAGTAATCTGTTACAGCAAACATAGAAAACAAATATAAAGGTAACTGACATTATTGCAATGCTGTTTTCTTTCAAGAATATGCCACAGCTTTGATTTATATCTTCTTTTATGTCCTCAAGTCAAGGTTTTGTTTGTTTGCTTGTGTTTTGAGATAAAGTCTTTCTATGTCTTCCAGGCTGGAGTTCAATGGCATGATCTTGGCTCACTGTAACCTCCACTCCCCTGGTTCAAGCAATTCTCCTGTCTCAGCTTCCTGAGCAGCCACCATGCCCAGCTAATTTTCGAATTTTTAGTAGAGACACTGTTTCACCATGTTGGCCAGGCTGGTCTCGAACTCCTGACCTCAAGTGATCTGCCCACCTTGGCCTCCCAAAGTCCTGGGATTACAAACATGAGTTACCTTGCCCGGCCTTGCTTTTAACATGAATGTTCTGTATTTCTTGTGAAGTTAGCTCTTAATAATTTAGGCACAATAGGTGCTATTCTTAATGAGGTGTCTTATCTTAAGTGGTCTTTATGGTACAAAGGAAAGTCATTGCTACCTTTATTAGTCTGTTTCTATTCCTCAACTGATTTATCTTTGTTTTATTTGCATATCTTGATTTTCTGTTTTTCTTTTTAAAATTCCTGTTTTTTCTGTGTACAGTGGCACATACCTATAGTCCCAGCTACTTGGGAGGCTGAGGCAGGAGGATCACTTGAGACTAGGAGTTCAAGGCTGTCATGTTCCATGATTGTACCTCTGAATAGCCACTATGTTCTAACTTGGGCAACAGAGCAAGACCCTGTCTCGTAAAACAAAGAAACAAACAAAAATTCTTGTTTTTATTTGTATTAATTCCTGTTTTCCTTAGGTTTGTTTCATTGTGTTTATTCTTGAGTTGAATGCCCATGATTTCCTCATTTAGTATTGAAAATAATGGGTGTTATGATTTTCTTCTCACTGCTTTTGCCATGTCTTGTGTTTTGACCTGTAATTTCTTCAAAAGTTATTTTTAAGTATTCCTTAGTAAATAATTTTGACACTTACTGAAGGCTTATTTAGATGAAATTTCTTTTTGTAGGTGTTGCTTAAAATCTATTTTACTTTTTTTTAATTGTGTTTTGTTTAAAGGGGTATATATAATTTTAAATTTTTGAAAATGATTGAGGGTTGACCTGTGATCTAATACTTTATCCATTTGTATACATATTCAATGGGCCCTTGAGTAGATGATAATATTTCTAGTTTGAACAATATCAATTAAATTCACTATAGTAAACATGCCCTAGAGTATTTCTGATTTCTTTTTGTACCTATCTGTTGGTATATATTTGCCTCTCCTTTTTTTTCACTGTCCAACCTTGTAAGGAATGTTGTATATGTAAACAAGAGTATAACTGGACTTGTTTTTGAACAAATTTAATCATTTTTGAAGGTTAAAAAAATGAATTGAAGGAGTTACAGATGAACTTGACCAGATGTATTTGAGAGATATTTTAGAAGGCAGAATTGACATGACCTGATGACTCAAATGAGAAGAACATCATTATATAGAGTAGGCAAACAGAAATTTTGCAGGAATCTTAATGAACCTGTTTGAAGTGCCTGTATAACATGCAGATTAAGCATATCTAGTAGGCATTAGGTAAAAAGATTTAAAAGATTTTGAGCTCCAGCATGTGATAAAAGCTACAGCTTTATTGACAAAAAGGCAGAATTTTTCCTTTTAATTGAAATTGGAGTAAACATGCTTGCCATTTGAGAAGTGGAAGCAGTAGATTGAAGATAAAAAGAAAAGAGGGATTAATTAATAGAGGATAATCCTGGATCATGAGAAGGACAGCGGATCAAAAACAGAGGTAGAAGTCTTTGTCTCTGAGAGGAGAAGCTACTTTTTCAGAATGGAAGAGGATTAGCATGAAAATAATTTTTTTTTAGGAGACCAAAAGAAGAAAAATAGAGGTGGCTTATTCTTGATTATTTGTTCAAGTCCTAAAAGTTATGGTGGGATCTCTGCTGATTATTGCTGCTTACACACTGTGAAAGAAAAACTCAGACTCTATCTGGTCATTTGAGATATCTGGGGTGTACATTGGTGGCTTGCTCTCCCTTGCCTGATGTCTTTCATTATCACAGGTGATAGTTTTGTGCTAATTTCCTGGTTCTTGGGTGTGGTGTGGGGAGGTCTCTACGAAGCTTCTATTTTGTGAAAGCAGAAGAAGCAATGGCAGTTGATGAGGGACAGAGGTGGAGTGCTGTTAAGATAGTGATCTTTTGTAATAAAATTAAAGAGAGAGAGAGAGAGAGGGACAGTTTGGAGACGGGACAGGAGTTTCTGAGCACCCTCTAGCTAGGTCAGCATGGCTTGGAGGGCCAGGATTGTAATATTATCTCCACAAATATGCAGAAGTTGGGACAGGAGCATGCACATCAGATCAGTGACTTTATTTATGTGGTCACCTGTAGAGAAAGTATGGCAGCACTTTCCCCAACAGATGAATGGATAAAGAAAATGTGGTGTATATGCACAATGGATTACTATTCAGCCTTCAAAAAGAGGGGAATCTTGTCATTTCCAACAACATGGGTGAACCTAGAGGATGTTAAGTGAAACAATTCAGGCCAAGAAGAAGACAAATACCACATGAACTCACTTAAATGTGGAATCTAAAAAAGTCAAACTCATGGAAGTGTGAGCAGAATGGTGGTTACCAGGGACAGGGAGTGGGGAGAGATTGGGAAGATGTGGGTCAAAGGATAAAAAATTTCAGTTATATAGGAGGAAAAAATTTCAGGTGATCCATTGTACAACATGATGCTTGATAACTATGTATTGTATACCTGAAACAATGTATTATATGCTTGAAAATTGTTAAGAGATTAGATTTTTAAGGGTCCTTACCACATGCACAAAAAGTATGTGGTAATGCTTATGTTTATAAGCTTGCTTTTGCCTTTCTGTCATGTATATATATTTTAAAACATCATGTTGTACATAAAAAATATACACCATGTTTACTTGTCAATTATAAACATAATAAAAAGAAAATAACCTACATAAGTACTCCTGACACACACATCATTCCACAGTACATTCCCTTCAAAAGCAGTTACTATTCTGATATCTACCATTATGAAAGACTAGTGTGTGTGTGACTTATTTTACTTAACATTATGTTGTAGAATTTATCTTTATTGCATGTAGCAACAGGCCAGTCTTACCTATTGCTGTAGATTGTATTCATATATCCAGTACCTAATTTGTACTTTTTGGCTTTTACAAATAGTGTTCCCATGAACATCATTGGGTTGTATATACATACATTTTTGGGGATAAACATGTATATCTGGAACTAGAATTTTTGAGTGATAGGACACACGTATGTTCAGTGTATATGTGACCAGTTTTCTAAAGGGCATGGGAATAGTACTACATGAGAGTTCCCATTCTTTCACATCCTCAGCAACATATATTTTAGACATTCTGATAAGTGTGTAGTGGTGTCTCGTTGTGATTACATTTCCCACATCGGTCACATTGTTATCCCCTATTGTGTTGTACTGGTTCAAGCATTTGCTCATTTGCCTATGAATTTTGTCTTTTCACTGATTTTTAGCTGTTTAAAAAGTATATTTTGGAGTGTTTATGTCTTGTCACTTATGTGTTTCTATAAATGTCTTTTCTCAGTCCATGGCTTGCTTTTTCCCTCATTTTAATGGTGTCTTTTAAATAACACAAATTCTTAATATATATTGCAATTTATTAATATTTTTCTTTTATTGTTGGTGCTCTTGGGTCTTGTTAAGAAATTCTTGTTTACATCAAGGCTATGAAATATTTTCCTCTGTTTTCTTCTAAAGGTTTTATATTCCACTTTTAGATCTATAATTCATCATGAATTTATTTTTGAGCATAGTGTGGGGTGGGTGTTAATATATATATTTTTCTTTTGACCCAGGTCCATTTCTTGAAAAGACCACCCTTTCCCCCATTGCACTGCAATGTAATCTTTGTCATGATTCAAATCATTCTAAGTGTGACTCTGCTTCTGAATCTATGTTTTCTTTCTTTGGTGTATTAGTCTATTAGAACATCACTGTGATTACTGTGGCTTTTGATAAGTCTGAAAAGTCCTCCAGCTTCACTTTCCTTATTCAAGATTATCTTTCCTATTTTTGGCCCTTTGCATTTCCAGTATACGTTGTTAGAAAAGTCAAATGCCAACTGAAGGAAAAAAACTATTTGCATTTTTACTACACTTTTATTGAATATATTAGTCAATCTGGGGAGAATTAACATGTATATAGTATGGGGTTTTCTAATCCATGAATATGGTATATCTTTCCTTGTTTTATTTATTTCAGTAATGTTTTATAGATTATTGTGTAGACACTGCAAATTTTTGAGATATTCCTTTTTTTGGATTTACTATTATAGATTGTATTTATTTACAATTTAATTGTCTGATTATTTGTTGTGGTATTAGAAAATGCAATTTTTTATATTGATTTTTTAATCCATAAGGCTGGCTAAATTTCTTATTAACTCTAATGGTTTTTCATTGGATTTGGTTATGAATATTCTAGATATAAAATCATGTTATCCTAAAAATGGAGTTTGGGGTTTCCCCCAAAGTTTATGTATTTTCCTTACTTGTAATTCTTAATTTCATTGGTTAACACTACCAGCAGAATGTTGTATAGAAGTGGTGATAAGGCATTCTTATGTCAATTTGAATCTCAGGAGGAAAGATTTCTATATTCCACCATTAAATATAAATGTGCTGAAATATTTTGTGGATACTTTATGAGAAACTTTCCTTTTATTTTTAGTTTACTAAGTGTTATTGTGGAAAGATACATTAATAAAAGGTATTTTCTAATTCTAATGAGTTAATTATATGAGTTTTCATCTTTATTCTGTTACTGGTGGTTAATTACAATTGAATTTAAATATTAGACCAACTCTACATTCCTAAAATAGTCACACTGACTTGTGTGTATTATCCTTTTTATATATTGCTGCATTAAGGTGCTAATATCTAGTATAAGATTTTTCATCTATGTTTTTTGAGAGATTTCCTGTAGTTTTTCTTCCTTGAATGTCTTTGTCAAGTTTTTAATGTAAACATTTTGATAAACTCATAAAAATGTTGGAAAGCTTGTCCTTTTTCTCCTGAACTCTGGATGTTTATATGAAACTAGTGTTTTTTATTTTCGCTCTAGAAATTTTTTTAGAAGGTGAAAGATTTGAAATTACAAATTCTATTTCTTCCTGTGTTGTTTATGTTAGGTTGTGTTTTACTAGGAATTAAGCCATTTCATTAATGGTATAAAATTGTTCATAAAACCTAATTTTGAATTTTTAATACTTGTGAGCTCTACAGTGATAGTTTTAGTTCCTACTGTTAGCATTTTTTTAATCCATTCTGTTAGAAATTTCCTAATTTTTATTAGTTTTTTTTAAAAAACCTACTTTTAATTTTGTTGATTTTGCATATTGAATGCTTGTTTTTTAATTTTATTAGTCTCTGTATTAATCTTTATACTTATTTTGGGTTTAACTTGTTGTTTGCTTGTTTTTTAAATTTATATTTCCCAAGATGGACATTTCAATTGTGAAGTTTTAGCCTTTTGTCTCATATACATTTAAGACTATAATTCTCTCTAAGCACTGTTTTAGTTGCATTCCAAAAATTTTGATAGATACTATGTATATTAACATTCAGGTCTCAATATTTCTAATTCTTGTGATCTTTCAGTTTTTTGGCCCATAGCTTATTTCTAAATGATTTATGTGTAGTGTGTGTGTTTGGGGGGGGGGGTGGTGTGTGCGCATGGGGAGGTGGGAGTGTTTCTTGTTACCTTTTCTACTTTGTTTTGATGCCTAACTTAATTCCACTGTTGTCAAAACACCCTATGAACACATTCAGTTTTTAAAAAATTGATATTGAAGCTTGCTTTAATATCTCAGCATATATGGTCATTTGATAAAAATACATCTTTTCTAATGTTGTTTGCAATGTTCTATACATAAAAATTAGAACAACAATTTATATGGTTTTGTTTAGATCCTCTATATCCTTTTTGATTATTGTTCTGTTTTTTTCTGCTTATTAAAAGCAAGAAGTTAAAGGCCCCCATTGGGATTATAAATTTGCCTCTTGCTTTTTAGTTACATATTTTAACTCATACTGGTCAGGCAAACATACATAATTTTTATATCATCTGGCATATTGACTCTTACTATAGTATATTGCTCTTGGTTATAGCTATGCTTCTTACCTATTTTGTCTGCTATTCATATAGCAACACTAGCTTTATTTTGGATAGTGCTTGTGTGGTGCTCCTTTGTCCATCCTTTTTCTTTCAAAATTTCTGTGTAGACACATAGACCAATGGAAAAGAATGGAGAACCTGGAAATAAAGCTGCACACCTACAGCCATATGATCTTTAAGAAAGTTGATAAAGTAAGCAATAGAGAAAGGATTCTCTATTCAATCTGGTTCAGGGAAGGGATAGCTGGCTAGCCATGTGCAGAAGAATGAAACTGGACCCCTATCTTTTACCCTACACAAAATTTAACCCAAGATGGAGTAAAGACTTAAATGTAAGACCTCAAACTATAAGAATCTTAGAAGAAAACCCAGGAAATACCATTCTGGACATTGCCTTTGGGAAATAATTTATGAATAAGCCCTCAAAAGCAACTGCAACAAAAACAAAAATTGACAAGTGGGACCTAATTAAACTAAACAGCTTCTGCAAAACAAAATAAACTATCGACAGAGTAAACAGACAATCTACAGAATGGGAGAAAATATTCATAAATTATTCATCTGAAAAAGTCTAATATGTAGAATCTATAAGGAACTTAAACAATCTAACAAACAAAAACCAAACAACCCATTTAAAAGGTAGGCAAAACATATGAACAGATACTTCTCAAAGGAAGACACAGAAGTGCCCAACAAACATATAAAAAATGCTCTATATCACTAAATATCAGAGAAATGCAAATCAAAACCACACCTCACGCCAGTCAGAATGGCTATCAGGAAAAATTCATAAAACAACAGATGCCGGCAAGGCTGTGGAGAAGATGGAACACTTACATGTTAGTGGGAATATAAATTAGTTTAGCCACTGTGGAAAGCAGTTTGAAGATTTCTCAAAGAATTTAAAACAGAACTACCATCGACTTAGCAATCCCATTACTGGGTATACATCCAAAGGAAAAGAAATTGTTGTACCAAAAAGACACATGGACCTGTATGTTTACTGCAGTGCTGTTCATAATAACCAAGACATGGAATCAACCTTGATGCCTATCAATGGTGGATTGGATAAACGAAATGTGGTACATATACACCATGGAATTCTATGCAGCCATAACAAAGCATAAAATTATGTCTTTTGTAGTGGTATGGATACAGCTGGAGGTCATCATTCTGGGCAAATTAACACAGAAACAGAACACCAAGTACTGCATATTCTCACTTATAAGTGGGAGCTAAGCTCTGGGTACACATGGACATAAAGATGGAAACAATAGACACTGGGGACTACTAGAGTGGGGCAAGAGCGAAAGGAGAAAGGGATTAGAAACTGCCTGTCAGCTACTATGCTCTCTACTAGGCGGTGGGATCATTTATACCCCAAACCTCAGTGTCACACAATAAACTCATGTAACAAACCTGCACACTTAACCCCTGAATCTAAAATAAAAGTTAAAATTATTAAAAATAATTCTGTGTTCACATATTATTTAAAATGTGTTTAAGTGGCATATATATTGATTTTATTGATTTTTTTAAACATACCTATCTTAGTTGTTTAATTGGAGTATTGTAATGTTTTACATTTAATATAAGCACTAGTATATTTTTGATATACTGCTGAATTCAATTTGCTGATTTTTAAGTTATATCCATAATTTTAGATTGTAATTTTCTTTTACTGTAATGACTTGCTCAGGATTTTTCTGGTCTCATAAAATGCAATGGGATGCTCCCTTCTCTTCTATATTCTAGAAAAGTTTGTGTAGAATTAACATTTCCTTCTAACATATTTGGTAGAATTTTCTAGTAATGCCATTAGTGCCTGGAGTTTTCTTTCTTGGAAGATTTTAACTATGATTAATGTCACTTATCAATAGAAATCTATGCAGTTTATCTGTTTATTTTTATATAAGCTTTGGGATTTTGTATCTTTCAGGCAATTGGTTCATCTCACTTATGTTGTTGAATTTTGGGGCATACAATTTTTCATAATAGGCTCTTATTATCCTACTCATGGCTGAAAAGTCTTTAATGATACTCTCTCTTTCATTGCTGATACTGGTAAGTCTGCCTACTTTTGTGTGTGTGCTGTTTCGACTAGTGGTTTATAAATTTTTAAAATTTTTTTCAAATAACTAGGTTTGGTTTTCTTGATTTTTCTTTAATTCTTCTTATCAATTTACTTGATTTTTACTGTACTTTTATTTTTTTTCTGCTCACTTTGGGTTTTAGTTGTTCCTCTTTTTCTGATTGCTTCAGATGAAAGCTTAGAAAATTGATTTGAGATATTTCTTCTCTATTATATGCATTTATTGATATAATTTCTTTTAAGCTCTGTTCCAGCTACATCCCACAATTTTGCTATATTGTTTCATTTTCCTTCAATTCAAAATATTTTCTAATTTCTTCAACGATTTCCTCTTTCACCCATATATTATTTGGAATTGTATTTTTTATTTTCAAAATATTCAGGTATTTTCCAGATATCATTCTGTTATTGATTTCTTGTTTGATTCCCTTAGGGTGAAAACAATGTCATCATCTTAGTCTTTTTAAAATTGTTACAGTTTGTATTATGTCCAGAAAATGGTCCAGCTTGTGAAAGCTCCAATTGTGCTTAGAAAGAATATATACTTTGTTATTTTCATGTGAAGTGTCCCATAAATATCAATGGGATCAAGCTGGTTGATAATATTGCTCAGGACTTCTGAATCCTTATTGATTTTATGTCTACTTGTTGTATTGATTACTTAGGAATGTTGAAGTATCCAATTATAAATGTGAATTTTCTATTTCTGCTTATTTTCTCTTAGTTTTGTTTCATATATTTTTAAGCTCTTATTAATAATTGTACATGCAAAATTAGCATTAATAAGATTATTGATGAATGGAACATTTTTATCATTATATACTTTCCTTCTTTATCTTAATAATGTTCCACATTCTAAGATCTTATGGCTTTGTTATTGCTGAGCAGTGGTAAAAGTTTTGAGACTCCACTTTGAGTCCTCTGATGCCACCCCAGCTATCAGGTCAACAAATGTCAACAAAGAGATGACATAGATGTTAGAATTATTAGACAAGGAATTTAAAACAACCAAGATAAAAAAAATTTTCAGTGAGCAGTTATAAACTTGCTTGAAACAAACAAACAATAAATAGAAAGTTTCAGCAAATAAATAGAAGATTATAAAGAACCAAGCAAATTTTTGAACTGAAAGTACGCAAAATCGAAAATAAAAGCCTTAGGGAATGGGTTCAACAACACAATAGACAAAAAATAAGAACGAATCATTCAACTTGAAGATAGAACAATAGAAATTATCTGAACAATGTAAAGAAAATAGACTGAAGAAAATAAGCAGAGTCGTAGTGACCCGTGGGACTGTAATAAGTGATCTAACATTTGTGTCATCAAAGTTTCGGAAGGAAAGAAAAAAGAAGGTGGTCCTCTGAGTTTGTTCAACGAAATAACGGCAGAAAAATTTCCAAATCAGGCAAAAAAAAAAAAAAAAAAAAAAAAACTAGAAATTTAAGAAGCTCAATGACAAATAGGACGAACCTAAAGTAATTTACGCTAAAACACCTCATTGTCAACCTTCAGAAAACTAAAGACAAGGAGAAAATATATAAAGCAGCCAGAGAGAGATAAATGACACATTATCCATAGTGGAAAACAGTAGATTTCTTATTAGAAATCATGGAGGCCAAAAGGAAGTGGCACAGTATTAAAAGGCAGTAAAAGAAAACAAGTGTCAAACTAAAATTCCACATCTAATGAAAATATTTTTCAGTCATGTAGTAAATCAAGACATTCTCAGATGAAGAAAAAATTAATTTGTTGCAAGGAGACCTACCTTAAAAAAATGCCTAAAGGAAGTTCCCTAAATGGAAAGAAAATTATAAAAGAAGAAAGGAACGAACATAATTTAAAAAAAATGAGTAAATGCAATAAACTGTCCTATTTTTTCTTAAATTTTTAAAGTTATATTTTGATTATTGAAGATAAAATTTTAAGTGTCTGGCTTTCAATATCTGTAGAGAAAATATTTAGGACAACTATACTAATTTAGGACAACTATACTAATATTATAAATGGGAGAGAGAGATAGGTTTCTAAACTTCACTCCAACTGGTAAATTGCTGATGCCAGTAGACTTTGATAAGTAATATCTGTGTAATGTAATGCCTAAAATGATCACTAAAAAGATACACAAAATAGTACACTCAAAACATCCTATATTAATCAAATGGAATTCTAAAAATGTTCAAGTAACTTGTAGAGAGGCAAGAATAAGAAAATTGATATGAAAAAGAGAAAGAACAAACAGAAAACCAAAAGTAAATGGCAGATTTAAGTTTCTACATTCTCATCTTGTTACTGGAAAGGGGCCCCAGTCCAGACCCCAAAAGAAGACTCTTGGAACTTGTGCAAGAAATAATTTGGGTTGAGTTCATGGAGTAAAATGAAAGCAAGTTTATTAAGAAAGTAAATGAATAAAGAATGGTTACTTCACAGGCAGAGCAGCAGCATGAGCTGCTGGTTGGCCACTTTTATGGTTATTTCTTGATTACATGCTAAATAACAGGTGGATTATTCATGAGTTTTCTGGGAAAGGGGTGGACAATTCCCGGAACTGACGGTTCCTCCTCTTTTTAGACCATATGGGGTAACTTCCTGATGTTGCCATGGCATTGTTAAACTGGCATGGCACTAGTGGAAGTGTCTTTTAGCATGCTAATGCATTATAATTAGCATATAATGAGCAGTGAGAGTGACCAGAGGTCACTCTCATTGCCATCTTGGTTTGGTGGACTTTCGCCAGCTTCTGTACTGCAGCCTGTTTTATCAGCAAGGTATTTATGACCTGTATCTCTTGCTGACCTCTATCTCTTCCTGTGACTTAGAATGCCTAACCTCCTGGGAATGCAGCCCAGTAGGTTTTAACCTCATTCTACCTAGCCCCTGTTCAAGATGGAATTGCTCTGGTTCAAATGCCTCTGACAATCTCATTATTGTAAATGGTCTAAATACACCAATTAAAAGACCTTTATGAAACAGTGGATAAGAAAACATGATACAACTCTATTCTGCATACAAGAAATTCACTTAAAAATATGTATTTTTAGAAGAGCAAAAATGTAAACTTCGAATCAAAGATTATTATTAGAGGAACATTCCGTAATTATAAAAGTGTCTATACAGCAAGAAGACGTAATAATTCTGAATGTATATGTGCCATATCAACAGCAGTTTCAAAATCCATGAAGCCTAAACTGATAAAACTTAAATGAAAAATACATAAATCCACCATTAGAGCTGGAAACTTCAATACCCCTTTTTCAACAATTGACATAAAAACTAGACTAAAGGCCGGGCGCAGTGGCTCCCGCCTGTAATGCCAGCACTTTGGGAGGCCGAGGTGGGCGGATCAAGAGGTCAGGAGATCGAGACATCCTGGCTAACACGGTGACACCCCGTCTCTACTAAAAATACAAAAAATTAGCCGGGCGTTGTGGCGGGAGGCTGTAGTCCCAGCTACTCGGGAGGCTGAGGCAGGAGAATGGCGTGAACCCGGGAGGCGGAGCTTGCAGTGAACCGAGATCGCACCACTGCACTCCAGCCTGGGCGACAGAGCGAGACTCCGTCTCCAAAAAAAAAAAAAAGAAAAAAAAATATTGGCAAGGCTATAGAAAAAACTCAACAGTATCATCAACCAACAGAAACAAATAAAATTTTGTTGACTATTCCCCTAAACAGCAGAATACACATGTTTTACAGACTCTCATAGAACATATATCAAGGTAGTTCATATCGTGGGCCATAAAACAAACCTCAACAAATATACAAGAATTGAAAACATACAGACTGTGTCGTCTGACCACAAAGAAATCAAAATAGAAATCAGTAACAACAACGACAATCAAAAAGTTTTCCTAACATTTGAAAAACAGATCATATGTTTCTAAATAATCCATGAATCAAAGAGAAAGTCTGGGGACACTTTAAAAAACACAGTAAACTAAATGTAAACAAAAACATAACATTTCAAAATTTGTAACATGTAGCTAAAGCAGTGCTGGAAAGAAAATTTGTAGCATTTAATACTTACATTAGAAAAGAGGAAAAAGAGCCTGGCAACATGGCAAAACCCCACCTCTACTAAAAATAAAAAAAAATTACCTGGGCAGCCTGGGTGACAGAGTGAGATCCTGCCTTAAAAGAAAAGAGGAAAAGTATCAAGTAGATAATATAAGCTACTGTCTCAAGAATCTAAAAACAGGGGAGCAACCTAAACCCAAAATAAGTGAAGGAAGAAAATAATAAAGAGAAGTCAATGATATTGAAAAGAGAAAATGATAGAGAAAAGAATTAAAAACAAAAGGCTAGTTTTTGAAACAACCGATAAAAATGATAAAATATAGAGAAGACATTAATTACCATACAGTATAAAATATTGAGATAACAAAATAATTATAAGATAATAAGAATTATAAGAGAATCAAATAATTATAAAGGAATACTACAAACAATTCTCTATATATAAGTTGGACACCTTAGAGGAAATAAATATAATAATAATAAAGGAGATTTCCTTGAAAACTACACATTACCACAACTCTTTCAATATGAAATAGATAATTTGAATAGTCTTATAAAACCCTACTGCCTATAATTTTGAAGGAATTGAAATTATAATTAAAAACGTTCCAAAAAATCCAGACCCAGATACCTTCACTAAAAAGTTATACCAAAAGCTAAAGGAAGAATTTACACCAATTTTACATAAGCTCTTCCAGAAAATGAAGGAGGAGAGAACACATCCCAGTTCATTCTATGAAGTCACTTTCTCAAACCAAACAAAATCAGTATAAAAAAGAAAACTACACAACAAAATCCTTCATGTATAGAGATACATAAATTCTTTACAAGCCATTAGCAAAAAGAATTAAGCAATATATAAAAATATTTATACACTATGACTCGAATAGTAAAAACAATTCTGAAGAAGAATAAAATGGGAGAAATCTCTTAGCCCAATTTCAATCATTTGTAGATATTATAATAATCAAGACTGTGTGTTATTAAGTTACAAAAAGTAATGAAACAGAATTGAGATCTTAGAAACAGCACCATACAATATGGCCAAATTATCTGAACATAAGTGTAAAAGCAATTTAGTGGAGGAAGAGTAACATTTTCAACACACAGCACTGAAGCAATTGAATAAACATAGGCAAAATAAGAAAAAAGAAAACTTAACCTAAATGTCATACCTTATGGAAAAGTTAACTCAAAGTTGATCATAGATTTAAATATTTAAATAATTTAGCTTTGAATTTTAAATAATTTAAAAGCTTTCATAAGTTTATAATTTATTTTACGTTTTATTTTGAAAGAAATATTAGCTGGATATAGAATTACAGATTGGTAGTCATTTTCTTTCAGTATTTTAAACGTGTTTTTCAAGTGTGATTCATCTTCAGCTGTGTCATTTGAGAAGCCATGATAAAAATGCTCCTTTCAAGGTAAATGTGCTCTTTTCCCCTTTAAGTACTTTTAAGATTGCATGCTCTTTCGTTTTCATTAGGTTTTGAATGTTTTTACTAGGTATGATTTACTTTTTGTTCACTCTGCTAGGGTTTTGTTGTTCTTGAAGCTGTGACTTATTTCATTAGTTTTGGAAAATTCTTGGCCAATATTTTAAAATACTACTTTAGCCACAATCTCTCTTTTCTTTCTTTCTGAAATACCAGTTACACATATGTATGTATTTTTGCTACATCTTTTATGTACTTTTCTGCATATTTAATTTTCTTTTATATTCATGTCATAGTCCTTGTATTTTCTACTGTTATTCGCAACCTGACTAATCCTCTTTTTATGTCTCCAATCTGGGTTTATACCCATCTACTGAGTCTTGCATTTCAGTTCTTCTCTTTTTAAGTTCTAGATTTTACTTGATATTTTGTTATAGATTCTATTTCTCAGGTGAAAATTTTCACTTTATCATTTAAAAACATACCAATAACAGTTATTTAAACATTAATCTCAGGCAATTCCTACATCTTGGTTGCCTGTGTGTGTGTTGCTATCATTTTTTGTTATTGTGGTTTTGGTTTTGGATTTAAAAAATCGAGTCCTTTTCCATTGTGTGGCAGGTAATTTTTGAATAGCTGCTGGATATTGTGTATTAAACATTGTAGAAACTCTAGAAGATGTTATTTATGTTCCTTCAGAGAATCACCTAGAGTAGGATAGATGTGGTGGGAAATTAGAGTAGCATAGATCACCACAAGCCAATCAGAGACTGAGCTGATTTATGATGGGGGTTTCAGTCCTTGATACTTTGTTATAGATTCTATTTCTCAGGGGAAAATTGGGGTGGTTTACCTAGGGTTTATCCCCACTCCTAAGATTTTCCATTCAGGGTTCCTAACTTAGAGTCTTAATTACTTACCAGAATCCCTATCCTCTGCATGTCCTTAACTCCAGTTTATTTTTTTTATTTTCAGTACTATGAAACAACAAAAAATCTACATTTTTAAATTATACTTTAAGTTCTAGGGTACATGTGCACAACGTGCAGGTTTGATACATAGGTATACATGTGTCATGTTGGTTTGCTGTACCCATCAACTCATCATTTACATTAGGTATTTCTTCTAATGCTATCCCTCCCCCAGACCCCCACCACATGACAGGCCCCGGTGTGTGATGTTCCCCTCCCTGTGTGCAAGTGTTCTCATTGTTCAATTCCCACCTATGAGTGAGAACATGTGGTGTTTGCTTTTCTGTTCTTGTGATAGTTTGCTGAGAGTGATGGTTTCTAGCTTCAAAAGCCAAAATAGACAAATGGGATCTAATTAAACTAAAGAGCTTCTGCATGGCAAAAGAAACTACCATCAGAGTGAGCAGGCAACCTACAGAATGGGAGAAAAATTTTGCAATTTACCCATCTGACAAAGGGCTAATATCCAGAATCTACAAAGAACTCAAACAAATTTACAAGAAAAAAACAAACAACCCCATCAAAAAGTGGACAAAGGATATGAACAGACATTTCTCAAAAGAAGACATTTATGCAGCCAAAAGACACATGAAAAAATGCTCATCATCACTGGTCATCAGAGAAATGCAAATCAAAACCACAATGAGATACCATCTCATGCCAGTTAGAATGGCGATCATTAAAAAGTCAGGAAACAACAGGTGCTGGAGAGGATGTGGAGAAATAGGAATGCTTTTACACTGTTGGTGGGGTATAAATTAGTTGAACCATTGTGGAAGACAGTGTGGCAATTCCTCAAGGATCTAGAACTAGAAATACCATTTGACCCAGCAATCCCATTACTGGGTATATACCCAAAGGATTATAAATCATGCTAGTATAAAGACACATGCACATGTATGTTTATTGTGGCACTATCCACAATAACAAAGACTTGGAACCAACCCAAACGTATATCAATGATAGACTGGATTAAGAAAATGTGGCACATATACAACATGGAAATTCTACATTTTTAAAAGATGCTTTCTGCTTGGCTTCTTAGCCTTTTGAGCTGTGAAACTTAGGAATTTGGCAAACTTCTTACTATGTAAATAATTGCCAGAAGTTAGGTTAATGTCTCTGAACTTCACTTTTCTTACAGATCTTGGTTCCTCATGTCTTGACTGCTTTGGGTTTTGTGAACTCTAATTTTTGTCTTTCCAGCTTCATGACATTATTTTCAGCCCTAGTGGCTTCTTTCCCTCTTAGAAGTAAACTTCTTTTGTGGATTCTTAGCGTCTCATTCTACTCCTTTCAAGAATCAGTATATGCCCCAAGAGGAAGAGAGGTATACAGATTATAGGAGTCATCTCAGTTAACATTACTTATTTATGATATTTTGGCCTTTCAAATATTGGCTGCCTTGGAAACTCTGAAATATCTGAATTCTATTTTTTTATCTTTATGGGAACATGAGTCTGCTAAAACTATTTCATCAAAACTTGAAGCAGAAGTTAGGCACATTTTCTTTGGGCAATCTACCTGCCTATAGCCAAATATTGAGTCATTAAGAGCTAGGATGTGTCTGATTTTGATGTTGCAAATCCTTTAGTTAATAAGTATTCATTAGATACTTACTGAATGCTCAGCACTGTGATGTTATAGACTCTGTAGCTAATAGAATATAATTTCAAATATAGTTCCCAAATTTAGAATGTTACATGTAGCAGGAAATACAAAACAGGAAGAAAGTTGGAGATTAAATATTAGAACTATGAAGCATTACCTGCCAATTGAAAAGGGAAAAGTGAGGTTTTTCAAAGACTAATTTTCTCAGCCATCACCTTAAACATGATCCAAATTAGCATCATTATTAGTCAAAAAGTCTAAAATTATGTGACTCCTCATATGATGTATAGGTGACAGCATTACCTATAAAATTTGTTTGCCAAAAACATTTAAGAATAATTTAATCAAACTTTTTGAGTTATTTTCCTTTTACAGAAAATTCAAGGTGTAGATAAACTTTAAATTATAGCATGAGGTACCAGTCAGACAGATTCATGTTGTGGGATATTATTAAGAATTCATGGTTGAGTATCTTCAAAAAGATTTTAAAAAGTGAGCGGATGTTTCTGACCAAAGAGTGGGAAAAAGACCTAAAGACGGAAAGAGGCATAGCAATCAACCCCTAAATGCAAAACATGATGTTAATTGGATTCTCTGGTTCAATAAAGCCAGCTATCTAAATGCTATTTGGGACAACTGTGCAAATTTTAATACAGACTCTATTTTAGATTATAGAATCATTTACTATTATTATTATTATTATTATTATTATTATTATTATTATTATTATTATTGAGACAGAGTCTCATTCTGTCACCCAGGCTGGAGTGTAGTGGTGCAATCTTGGCTCACTGCAACCTCTGCCTCCTGGGCTTGAGCAAGCCTCCAGAGTAGCTGGGACTACAGACACGCATCACCACGCCCGGCCCAGCTCATTTTTTTTTGTTTTTTAATTAGAGATGGGATTTCACCATGTTGGCCAGGCTGGTCTGGAACTCCTGACCTCAGGTGATCCACCCACCTCAGCCTCCCAAAGTGCTGGGATTACAGGCATGAGCTACCGCACCAACCTATAGAATCATTTTTAATTTTCATAGGTATGGCAATGGTGTTAGGACCATGTAGCAAAATACCTTTACTTTTAGGAAATGTATGCTGATGCACTTAGTGATGAAGTATCATTATCTCCACAGCTTATTTGGAAATAGTTTAGCAAAAAATTAAAGACAAGAAAATATGTCAATTGTTGAATTTGGTGTTATATGTATTCAGTTGCATATGTGGGTAGTTTCTAAACTATTAATTCCAATTTTCTCTATGTTTAAAAATTATAAGAAAAAGTTGGAACATACTTTAATGTTGTATACTGACCAGTTAATTAAAGGGAGCTGGCAATGTGAGCTGAACTCCTCAGTGAAGACTTCATTGAGGATTTGGGGGCATGGGTTGGACTTTCAAAACTAGGTCAAAGTTAGATAGATGAAATAAAAGAGAAAGGTCATGCCTGAAGGGGAAGAAATATAAACAAGAGCCAAGAGATTAAGATAAAAATGACATGTCACTTTCACTTGCCTCACTTCACGGTTACTCCTGGGAGCTCTTTCCTAAGGGTGGTAAAGCTGACTCTCTGAACAGAATCGTACATAAAGATGTATGATTATGTTATAGTAGTACCAGTTTTCCCTAAACAAGAGGCTCCATGTTCAGTGGGAAAATTTTGGAGGAGTTTGTTTAAATGTCTTACTTTAAGTACTATGAGTCATTACACTCTTTGTCAGTTCTTTCATCAAAGTTTCCATTTTAAGGATCACTGCACTACTCCATTCAGAAGTGTGTTTCTTATTTGTAGAGTGACATAAGAAAAATACATTGCCTATATGATCATTATTGTTTTGTGATGCCCTGCAAATATTTAAGCATCAGAATGCTACTAATTGGTTCATATAATCAAAGCCTCCAGTTATTACCTCAGGGTCTGCTGTCGTACTAAAATAAATTTCGTAGTGAAACTTATGTTGCTCAATCATGTTACAAATAATCATAATGATGGCTCTGTACTTAGTTTCTTACCTTCTGAATAATAGCATCACCTAGCACTTACACTATGTTTGGTTTTCCATTTTCAAAGTGCTTTGCAATGAGTGACTAGCTGAGCTCTTTTACCCATGAAATTTATTTCTTGATGACAGAAAGAACCACTACCTGGCATCTAGCTATGCCCACTATTGCTACCATAGAGCAAAGAGAAAATCAGTGCTGTGGACTGAGTAAGAGGTTAGAGATAAGGATATTTGTGTCCTGTTTTTGACTTTGCACTTGACTTCTGCATATCCTGGTTTCAGGCAGGCAATTGCTTACTGTAAATTTCACCATCTATACTAAAAAGATAGAATACACATGGAAAAGATGAGAAGCTCATCTCTACCACAAACAGGATGCCCTGAATTTGTAGTAGGACTCTGTTTCCCAATAACATGATCAACAGAGGAATATACGGAGACTACCCCTTTGTGATGTGGGATTTTCTATTAAAAGAATACCTAAATTCTGAGATTATATGATGAATGAAGCCATTCTCACTATATTTACTTTCTATAGTTTCCCTCTCTTTATAAGTCAACACTTGCAGAAAAAAAAAAACCCACCAGGTTAGAGCCAGTTAGTAGTGTTGTGTAAACTATGTACTCTTTCTAGATGTCACGGTCATTGTGGCAAATTTCAATAAGTATAAACAGGAATTAATGAGAATTTATAGTGAAATACATGATAAAATACCTGGTGATACAACTGAAAGTCTCCCTCATCTAATTTTTAGGAGTTTTTTTTTCCTGTTTTTAGTGCAAGTGGTAGATTAAATTACACACAGATATCTATTAATAAAGAAGAAATAAAGACAATGTAGAAGAATGATAGATGATGATTATAATAATAAAAATAATTCAGAGAAAGACAAATTTGTTTATCTGGATATCTGGTTTGATGTGCAGATTAAAATCTATTTAATTTCTTATGGCAGATGTTACTATAGTTACTAGGTTGTTGCAAAAGTAATTGTGGTTTTACAATTTTAATGACAAAAATCACAGTTACTTTCACATCAGCCTAACAGAACTTTTGTCTTCAAGGGAATGCTTATATGTGAATCTCTCTGTCTCTATCTCTTATGCAGTAAAATCTCATACAGATATTTGGATTGGACATGTTCTACTGCAGAATCATAGATGACTAATATTAAGCAGGGTAATGTTTACTTCATTTCCCATAAAAATGAACGTGATACTTTTTCTAAATTAGTGGAAGATGGTATAATCCTGATTTAAGGAATTCTTTTTTTTTATTTTTTATTTTTTTATTATTATACTTTAAGTTTTAGGGTACATGTGCACATTGTGCAGGTTAGTTACATACGTATACATGTGCCATACTGGTGTGCTGCACCCACCAACTCGTCATCTAGCACGGAATTCTTAAGAAAAATGTGGAATGATTTGTAGAACCAAAAAAGAAATCGTTCTGTGATTTCATGTTGGTGAGAAAACACGATCATATACACCCACAGAAGGTGGCTTCTGCCCTTTTACTCTCCTCATTCAACAGAGAGAGGTTATTCGTACTACAACAAGGGACACTGAATTCACACTGAAGTCCCAGCTGGGAGAATGATTTAAGGAGGGCCTGGAAGGCCAGTTGGTGAAATTATTAGCTTTCCAGAGAGGTACCTCCATACCTTAGTTCTTGCTATATTTGCTTCTGCTCTGAGGTGGTAGATTATGTAAAACAGAATATTCCAATTACAGCTGAAAAATCTGGAAAGGGAGCCAAATGTTTTTATTTATCTAAATAATTGATACATTTGTAACCGAGTGTATATGATTAATTTAGCCCCAAAGTAGCAAGAGTATTGAACTGGTATTTAGGCCAGACAAGGGAAAGAAAAGATCAGCTCCTTCCCTTATTCCCTTTGGTGGTTTTGTGGTTATTTAGGACATGGCTATTTTGCTCAGATCAATGATATTTCAGAGAATTATTACTATTTCTTCCCCTCTATATTCTATCAAACATTTGGGTCCAATGTTAAGAAGAGTGCTAATCATCCCTCTTCTTGAAAATGAAAATGACAGGTTCGTTCTTCGTATCTTCTGCAATATTTGTAAAAACTAGGAAATTGTACCCACTTTACAATTCCAGAAAACAAAGATTATTGACATGCTCTTCCCCACAATTCAATGGTGGAAGTTGAAATTAGGCCATGGTTTCTGAATTTTTCTTATCACTATCTGATAATTTTCTTAAGAAGTATTAATAAAATACTACATAGTTGTGCTCATTTGTGTCAGAAGTGGTTTGATTTCATTGTACATAATAAAGAAAAAAACTCTGTTAGCAATGACAATAAATCCAGTACAACATAAGACAACTTCATTTGGTATAATAATGCTTTTCATTCCAGCTTTTCTTGATTTTTCTTATTCTATAAATTTTGGCGGTACCTCTTTAAGCAGAAAGTCTTAAGCCCAAATAAATCGATGCACGTTTATTAAGTAAAAGTGATTGATATGGCTATTCTTCCATAAAATTATTTCATAAGCATCAAGGTTATACTGCTGAAACTATTTTGAAAGCAAACAAAACACATAAGTACATCAACTCAACCTTGTCATGGTCTTTCTCTGTACTTCAGCAGCTCCTAAATACTGGGTATTTCCTTCAATGGCTAAAGCCAGGTTTCAGTTTCACTTCAGTGGACCATGACCACCAATCAGTGCACCATCTTAACAATCACACTGAACTTGAACAGTTCAAGTTCATAAACAATGTGCCATAGGGGTGTGGCTGGGGTGATCATCAAACAGTTTAAGCACAGGAGTTTGATCTTGTGGCCCTGAAATAAATTGCTTCTAACACTCAACAAGCAACATTTAATATTTACTAAAACCCCAACATTCTTCCCAGAGGTTGCAAAGGACATTAACTCGGAGCCTGTTGTGGCCAAGGTCTAAGAAAGGCATACAACTTTAAAGGCAGAAGAAATCAAACCTGATGATTTATAGTTAGGTGCTATTCTTGGACCATCTACATTCAAACTGGTAAGAAGGACATGCAGCAACAAAGTGGGATGAAAAAGAATGCAGCCTATATTTTAAGACCACCAATCTTGTGTTCATCAGTGCATTCATGAAAAAATGAGGAAAGAAAAGTAGCAATGTCATCTCCTTTAACTTAGTACAAAGTTTTCAATTAGAAAATGGAGTAAGTTTTGATCAAGTTTTTCTAAGCAACACACCCTAGTAGAGCCTTGATAATTGGGAATAGAAAGGACTCATAAAGAATTTTAATTTTAAGTAAAAATCCACAATAACTATCATTTAACTATACTGAATTTATAAATATTTTACATGTTGGTCTGGAGATATATGTATCTATATCAAAATTGTGGTAATGTAGGCAATTTTTATTTTCTTTTTTTCCTACTTTTTAGAGGGTTTATAATATAGATTCAGAGAGATATAATTGAATCCCAGCCTTGCCCCTTAGTAGCTGTGTAACTTACGTAAAAAGTGAAATTATATATCAGTTTTCTCTTTTATAATATGTTAAATAATTATAATGGCTACCTCATAAGGTTGTTGTGAGAACTAATACAATAACATAACATTCCAGAATATACAAGTCTTTAAATACATGTTATTATTGCTATAGCTTTTATCATATTTTCTATAATAAGCATGCATTCATTTTATAAAACAGAAACCCCGATAAGAATTATCATTATTATTAACCCCTTCAGAAAACCCATGTGAGCATTCATTTTTGCTTTTTCTTGTTTTCTTAATTGAAAATGTCAACGGTATTTGTTTCATAGTAACTTCTGTAATGAGCCATCAGTATGACAAATGCACAATCAATTCTTTGTCTTTTTCACTTAGGTGGTTTTTTAGTCACACTTTACATTGTTGTTATTCTGTATATACCTATTAATACTTAAAAATTAATCTATATTACATTAGAATACATTCTTTTAAGTATACATAGCTCAAATCTTTACTAATTAGGCTAAAAAATGCCTAAATATAGTAGAAGAAAATGAAGATATATCCCATAATTTAAATACAATTTAGGAATAATTTCCATTTGATCAGTTTTTCAGGTTTATATATAAAACTTTCCCACCAAACAGGCTGCTGCCATACGTGTTTAAACAAAATCACCATTTGGCTGAAGCTTGCTACACAAGAAAAGCCCATTTCACAGTCTACTCACACCTGACTTCATGGCACTTCACCAAGGAAGGGAAAAACAGTTTAGACATTCACAATAAGAACCAACTTGAACCTTATTTAACTTCCAAACCTTCTAAATTTCTTTAAGGCTCAAATAATTCCCACAAAGCCTTGCCTCACTTCCTCCCTGTGCTTACCACCTGCCCTCTGGGAAATCAAACCACCTACTTACTGGAAGAAACAAACACCACTTACATGTTCCCATACAATTTAGGGTTTCCCACATTTTAGGAAAACTTAAAGAGAGAAATGAGATTTTCTCTTAAAAATAGCAACTCTACCAACAATGCCTACATGAGATAAATTAGAACATATATTTCATATTCATTTTCCATATTCTAAACTTTAAATGTCTATAAGCAAAATAAAGCATGAAGTATAATGACACAGTTATGAAGCTGATTTTTTAATACATGGCTTGAGACATTGTATTTTATTTACCACTTACCACTTTTAAGAAAAAATATATAGCTACTAACATATTAACAAAAGTCATGTTAATGAAAAGCCATTAAAATCTAATTGGAAGCTGATCATTCAGTGGCTATGTTTTACCTTCAGTGCTCTTTGGAAAAGAATGTTGAACAGATAGATACTCTCTAAACAGTAATGCTATACTTACACCTTTTTTTGTGGAGTACTTTCATTTTGTTTTATTCCCATAACTGCAGAATTCTATGCTTATTGCTAAATAAAGCAAATTTACACAGAGGTAGAATATATTTAAATATAAACCTTCAACAATTTTGAAGGAGGGAAATGGTGAAATAAATGATTATATCATATCCAAATACCTACGTTAAAAATGAGAGGATTAGGAGTGTTTAGGAAGTTTGGAATCAGTAGTTCATCGTAATCCAAATCTCCATGCTTGCTCTCTGATCAGAAATGAAACTGACTGATGACAGGAGAAACTCCAGCAGAACGGCTATTTGGAAAGGAAATTCGCATCTATATTGATGCAGGGCTTAACCTTAAAACTACAAGATCAACCATTGATGACTGCAGTGTTGTCTGCATAAGAATTGGTTTAGCCATGAAATTTATATTTGCCCTTGGAAATATTTTTGCCTTATATGGGTTCATTCCCAAAAGTTTCTGTGTAATTGGATCAATAGGCATAGTCATGTCTCAGAGGACATAATTACAGGAAACAAATGAAGTAGTCAAGCATTAATATGGTAGAGTAAATAAAGAAAAATAATAATGTAATCATTTTTTCTTCATTAGTATGTCTAACCTGAAAAATAAATGGATTTATGCATACCTAAATTAAAAACACACGTATATATCTTGGCTGGGTGCAGTGGCTCGCCCTGTAATCCCAGCACTTTGGGAGGCTGAGGCGGGTGGATCACCTGAGGTCAGAAGTTCGAGACCAGCTTGGCCAACATGGAGAAACCCCGTCTCTACTAAAAATAAAAAAATTATCTGGGTGTGCTGGTACACATCTGTAATCCCAGCTACTTGTGAGGCTAAGGCATGAGAATCACTTGAACCTGGGAGGCAGAGGTTGCAGTAAGCCAAGATCCTATCACTGCACTACAGCCTGGGCAACAGAACAAGACTCTGTCTCAAAAACGAATGCACGAACAAACAAACAAAAACATATATATCTCATAGGTGACTCATAGTAAGTGAGTCATATAGATAAGTGACAGCTATCAGTCACTTCTAACAGTACTTATATACATCCTTTCAGTGAAATTATAGAGGGTTACTAAATTTCCAAGTATTTTGTGGAACTAGCTGTAGAGATTTGTAACTCAAATGATCCAGGATTTCTCCAATTACACAGCTCTTTTATTTTACCTCAAATATTCAAGTTTAATATATGAAAACATAATAGTGACTGCTTCCTACAAGGTGTCATGTAGTGACTCTTTGCAAAAATATTGTTTCCATTTTTAAAATTCAACTTTTAATTCAACTATAATATATATATAGAAATGCACATAAGTAATAAATATATTGCTGGATGAGTTTTTTCTTAATAAGGTAACTGCATCTATACAATCAAGACTCACACCAAGAAAAAAATCATTACCTGTGTCCAGGGGCACCAGTCGCTACCACCCTTCAGTGTCAATACTATCCTGGCTTCTAATACCATACATCATTTATGCCTGATTTTGAAATTTATATACTGTATATAAATCATACTGTATGTACTTTTAGTGTTCTTGCTCTTTTTATTTGACATTGAATTTGTGAGATTCAATCATTTTTGTTGTTATATGGTGTCCCATTGTTTGAACATACTGTAATTTATTTATCCATTCTACTGCTGTATCTTTGGGTTGTTGCCCCTTTGCTTCTATTATGAATAGTGCCGCCATGAACATTCTTGACATACATGTTGGTGCATATATCCATAGAGAGAAATTAGTTGACCATAGGTGATGCATATGTTCAGCACTAGTAGACATTTCCAAATTGCTGTCCAAAAGTGCTGTGCCAATTTATACTTCCAGAAGAGTATGAGAATTCTACTTGCTTTGCATCTTTATTAACCCGTCATGTTAGGGTTATTCTGGGGTGTGTGGTAGTAATCCATTTTAGTTGTAATTGACTAATGAGGTGAAGCACATTGTCGTGTTTGGTAGCATTTTAGTTTTTCTCTTTTGATCAGTGCCTAATCAGCAAGTTTTTCCATTTTTAACTGGGTTTCTACTTTCTTATTGACTTATAGAAGTTCTTTATGTATTCTGTATACAAATGCATTGTGAGATACACTTATGTCTATCTCTCTCTCTCTCTCCTAACCACTGTGTCTCTCTCTCTCTTTCTCAATCTGAAGTATTTTCCTACTCTTGGATTTGCCTTTTTACTCTTTTAATTTTTCCTATTGATTAAAAATAAACCTTTAATTGTAATATAATTAGATTTAACAATTTTTAATTTATGGTTCATGCATTTGCTGTCCTGTTTACATTCTTCCATCTAAGGAGATTTTTTTTTTAAACTTTTCACATTAGATCTACAAAATAGTTGGAATACTTCAGTATGAAGTAGGTGAAGACTCACTTTTTTCCATATGCACATCTAATTGATCCATCATCATTTCCTAAAAAATATAACCTTTTATGCCCTGCACTGCCATGCTACTTTTGTAATCAATGCTACTTATGTAAATCAATTCGCCATATAGGAGGTCTGTTTCTATACTTTCTGTTTTGTTTTATTGATTTTTTTTGTCTATCTTTTTCAGCAATACTAACTGTTTTAATTACTCTAGCTTGCAATGTATCTTTATAACTGGTAGTGAACATCCCCTAACATTGTACTCCTTCTTCTAGTTTGTCTTGAATATTCTTGGAATTTTCATATATATTTTTGAATTGACTTTTTATGAAAACAAAAGCCTTCTGAAATTTTGATTGCAATTATATTAAATAAATAGATCAATTAGGGAAAACTGACATTTTTACAAAACTGAATCTAGTAGCACTCCAATTCACGAAGATGGTATTTTCTATTATTATCTTTTAACCTTCAATTGTACTCAATAATGTTTTCTATGTTTCAATGTCGCATTTGTATATGCCTTTTAAGAAATTTATTCCTAGAATTTTTATGTTTTGAATGCTATTATACATAGTATCATTTTATACATTTAATTTTTAATTACTTGTTGCTAGTATGTATAAATACAATTGATTTTGTATATTGAGTTTTTATGCAATGGCATTGATAAATTAACTTGGGAGTACTAATAAGTTCTTTTTTGCATTTTCCCCATTAACATGTGTGTCATATGTAGTTAATAAAAGCTTTATTTTTCCCTTTCTAATTTTTACATTAAAATTGTTTTTCTTGCCTTATTGTATTAGTCAGGATTTCTGATACAATGCTGAATTGAAGTGATAATAATAGGTTCCTATATTTGTTTATAATCTCAGGGGAAGACTTTTCAGTCATTTACATTTCAATGTGATATTTGTTAAATGTTTATTAAAGAGTCCCATTTTTAACATAAACTTACCTTGTATAAACTACACTGAAATTATATACTTTAGTAATCTTCCCTTCTCTTTGCTTCATCTCTATGAGCCAACACTCAGCATTGGTTCTTTAACATTTGTCTCTATAATGCAGATCTTTGACAAAGTAAAATAATATTTTAATAGGGAAGCCTGTTGTAGAAATTAGTTACTTACAGTAGAGAAAGAGAAATTCTCAACTTAGCTGATGATTATTCATCTCAAAAAAATATAAAGACTCAAACACACACAAACACACTCTTGCCATCATCACCATTATTTGTTCGTTAAAAGCTTTTGTTGTGGAAAATTTTGAATAAACCTAAAGAAATGAGTATAATGAATACATTTTATTCATTTTATTCATAATTAATGTCAGTAACTAATCTTATTTCACCTATATGTACCAATAAGTTGTCTTCAAGCAAATCTCAGACTGCATTTTGAAATCTAAAATCTAAACTTCAGTATATGTCACTCAGAAATTAGGGCTTCAAAAATAATCACAGTAGCATCTTCACACTCTAAAAATGTTACATTATTAATGTCATCTAATATACAATCAGTATTTAATTTTCCCTAAATGCTATGAGTAGGTTTTTTGACTGACTTGTTTGAATCATGATAAAAAATTGCATTTGGTTTATTTATTTCTTAAGTTTGTTTTAATTATTTCTTAATTCTTAAGTTTGTTTTAATTGTTTCTTAATTTGTTTTACATTTGTTTAGGAGAGAGTCAAACTATCCTTGTTTGCAGATGACATGATCCTATATCTAGAAAATCCCGTCTCAGCCCCAAAGCTTCCTAAGCTGACAAACAACTTCAGCAAAGTCTCAGGATACAAAATCAATGTGCAAAAATTACTAGCATTCCTGTACACCCAGAATTAAGCTGATAGCTCAATGAGGAAGAAACTCCCATTCCTAACTGACAGAAAAAAGAATAAAATGCTTAGGAGTACAGGTAAATAGGAAGGTAAAAAATCTCTAGAAGGAGAACTACAAACGACTGCTCAAAGAAATCAGAGATGACACAATCATATAGAAAAACATTTCATGCTCATTGATAGGAAGAATCGATATTGTTAAAATGGCCATACCACCCACAGCAATTTATAGATTGAATGCTATTCCTATTAAACTACAATTGGCATTCTTCACAGAACTAGAAAAAACTATTTTAAAATTTGTATGAAACCAAAAAAGAGCCTGAATAGCCAACACAATCCTAAGCAAAAAGAGCAAACCTGGAGGCATCAAACTACCCAGCTTCAAACTATACTACAGGGCTACAGTAACCAAAACAGCATGGTACTGGTACAAAAACAGACACATAGACAAATGGAACAGAATAGAGAACCCAGAAATGAGACCACACACTTACTATTATTTGATCTTTGACAAAGCTGACAAAAACAAGCAATGGGAAAAGGATTCCCTATTCAATAAATGGTGCAGGGCTAACTGGCTAGCCATATGCAGAAGACTGAAACTGGACCCCTTCCTTACAAGATACATAAAAATTAACTTGGGATGAATTAAGTACTTAAATGTAAAACCAAAACTATAAAAACCATGGAAGACAACATAGGAAATACCATTCAGGACATAGGCACGGGCAAAGATTTCATAAGAAAGACACTGAAAGCAATTGCAACAAAAGCAAAAATTGACAAATGGGATCTAATTAAACTAAAGAGCTTCTGCACAGCAAAATAAACTATCAACAGAGTGAACAGATAACCTACAGAATGGGAAAAAATTTTTGCAAAATATGCATCTGACAAAGATCTAATATCCAGAATTTATGAGGAACTTAAACAAATTTACAAGAAGAAAACAAACAACCCTATAAAAAAAGTAAGCAAAGGACATGAATAGGCACTTTTCAAAAGAAGACAAACATGCAGTCAACAATCAGATGAAAAAAAAGCTCAATATCACTGATTGTCTTAGTCCCTTCTCATGCTGCTATATGCTGCTATAAGGATATATACAAGACCGGGTAATTTATAAAGGAAAGAGTTTTAATTGACTCACAGTTCTGCAGGGCTTGGGAGGCCTCAGGAGACTTATAATCCTGGTGGAAGGGGAAACAACACGTCCTTCTTCACATGGCAGCAGTAAGGGGAAGTGCTGAGCAAAAGAGGGAAAAGCCTCTTATAAAACCATCAGATCTCATGAGAACTCACTACTATCATGAGAATAGCATGGAGGTAAACTCCCCATGATACAATTACCTCTCACCAGGTTCCTCCCAGGACATGTGGTGATTATGGGAACTATAATTCAAGATGAGATGTGAGTGGGGACACAGCCAAATCATATTACTGATCATAAGAGAAATGCAAATCAAAACCACAATGAGATAATATCTCACACTAGTCAGAATAGCTATTACTAAAAAGTTAAGAAAAAAGCAACAGATAGTGGAAAGGTCGTGGATAAAATGAAACACGTCTACACTGTTGGGAGTGTAAACTAGTCCAACCATTGTGAAAGACAGTGTGACAATTCCTCAAAGTCTTAAAGACAGAAATACCATTCAACCCAGCAATCCCATTACTGGGTATATACCCAAAGAAATAGGGATCATTCTATTATAAAAACAAATGCATGCATCTGTTCATTGCAGTACTATTCACAATAGCAAATACATGGAATCTACCTAAATGCCCATCAACAATAGACTGGATAAAGAAAATGCACCACATATACACCATGGGACACTATGCAGCCATAAAAACGAATGAGATTATGTCCTTTGTGGGGACATGGATGGAGCTGAAGGCCATTATTCTTAGCAAACTAACACAGGAATAGAAAATCAAATACGGTATGCTCTCACTTATAAGTGGGAGCTAAATCATGGGAACACATAAACACATAGAGGGTAACACACATGGGGGCCTTATGGAGGATGGAGGGTGGGAGGAGAGAGATGATTAGGAAAAAGAAATAATGGGTACTAGGCTTAATACCTAGGTGAGGAAATAATCTGTACAACAAACCCCCTTAACACAAGTTTACCTATGTAACAAACCTGCACATGTACCACTGAACTTAAAATAAAAGTTAAAAAATGTTGCATTTGGTTTATTTCTTCGATTTGTTTTCATCCAGAGTCATTTCCTTTCCCTCTTTATTTTTTTCTTTCAATATTTGTGCCTTATAGATGCATTCTGTATTTGTCTGACTGCATACCTGCAATGTAATTCAACATGTTTTTCTATTGTTTGATTTACTGTAAATTGGTAGTTATATCTACAGTATCAGTATGGTTCAGGTTTGAATTCTTTTGCTATCACCTTTAACTTGAAAGAATTACTTTGATGTAGAAATAATCTAATGTAAAAGGGCTAATGATAAGCAGACTTTCATTAATGGCTCCTTTTACTGTTGGTGAGACGGTTGGAATCAAAGTCAGAAGAGAACCATTCTGATTAATGATAGTATTCAAAACACTAAAGCTGAATTGTATCAGTGTTACCTGTGTATGTCTTCTTACATGTCCATTTCTGAGAGCGGCTTTCAACTTTCATTCTTTCTTATTAGATGGGCAAAGGAGCCTGGATTTCTGACCCTGGGCTGAATCTAAAGAAAACGCAAAAAGAGAAGGAAAACAAGTTAGATCTAGACCATTTTGGGGATATTATTTGGGCCAGATATTGAACCTAGTCCATTTTAGAATAGTTTAAACTTTTTAAAAGAGAAAATGTAAAGCTGTTTGCTGTCACTAGTGTTTTACTAACATCTCAAGCTAATTCAGGTTCTAGTTAGCTTTGCTGATGGCTATTGTCAGAGAAAGAGAAGCAGACAATCTTCTTTTTATTCCCTTTACCTTTTCAGCTTAGTCCTAACCCCTCCCACCAACCATAAATCGTAACTGTATCAGACTCAATCCAGGGTTAAAGCAGAAAACCACTAAATGAGGAAAACCCAGGTTGATTGAGACAGTACATGCTCCACATAGTTTTAGGTGTAAATTTATGCCACATAAATTTCCTGCGCTCTTCCTGTTCCTAATTCTGTAGAGATATGTGGATAGCACTGACATATCATGGCAAAGAAGTTCTGATCATCATACATTTTCCAATGTATACCTAATCTAAGTAGGAAAATTTTCAGTGAAAAATTTTCTTAAAGTATTAGTAATATTAGCATATCTTTGTTTTGTTCTATTTTTAAGCGCATCTTTGAATTTTCTCTGCCTAATATTCTTGAAAGGGAGAACATTTTTAACTATTTGAAACACATTATTTGAATATCTCATTTAAATTTGTCATTAGTTTTTGAAAGCATAATTGTTTATTCTTTGAAACAAGGTTAGTTGAATAGAAATGCTGACAAAATCCTTAACCATATATGCATTAATATTGTATACAAGTAACCATTTCAATTAAGGCTCTAACTTTTTTGTTTGGTTGGAGTGAAGAAAAAACTATATTTTAAAAATACCTCTAACCTACTTTCTAATTATTCACATTGACTCGGAGACTGTAAATTGCACTAATAGCACTTTGTTGACCACTTTATTAAAGCAAAAGGAAGGGCAAACCCATATATTGTCAAACCACTTATTGTTTATTTGAAAGTGTTGAATGAAATTGGTGATTTGGAGGTGGCCCTTGTTACTTATGTTGAGTGCTGAGTATATGGAAATTTGTATAATTGCTACACGTTATGTTGCTGGGGCTATGATGTGGTCTCACAACCAAGTGTAAATACCACCTTGCAAGCCAGGGGCTAATATTAGGGAAAAGGAAGCTTGTTTATAATGGATATTTTACCCATTTATTTTTTCATTGTTTTTATGTAGACTTTTGGTCCTTAAAACCTTTACCCTCTGCTTAGTTGGCTTCTGCATTTTAATTTACTCCTTGTCATTATCCTTAGTTCATTAGTTATCATCATTGTATCTATTATTTCCACTATACATATTTTTACAAAGTAATGATGACATGATTGCACTTTCTGTATTTATTCCCAGGTACTTCAAAAAGTACACTTGCCATTTACCACTCTTTTTTTTTTTTTTTTTTTTTTTTGGACATTGCCTTTCATCACATGAATTAGGTTGTATCTTATTGAGCATTTTCTCAGGATGGGATTGTGGTAAGGTCTTGTGCCATCAAAACACATAACAGCCTGTGCTGTCTAATACTGTTACTTTATTTTTTTCATGCTCTCTCTCAGAGCATTGTTACTTGGTTTTTCTACTTTAATTAACAGTTTGACATTAAAAATAACTTTTATTTGAAATATAATTCATTTTACAGTTTTTAATACGTTTACATATTTCATTTGTAACCTATGCAAAGAAACATTGCCTGAGATATGTCTGTGTTAGTTTCTGAAAATTTTAACATAAAGGAAGTTTTCAACAATAAATTTATTATTAAAATAAGTGAGATATACAACACTTTTACTGACCAATATACCTATTGTAATCAAGATTTTTTGTCATTAAGTTTAAGGTTATGAAGGAATCAAGTGACCATAATTCGTTTAATATAAGATACATAAATAAATATATACTGGATTTAGATTATAAAGCAGCTATTTTAATACAAATTATTCAGCACTGGACACAATAGCCTAACCATATGTCCTTTTTGCAGGAAAATAACATAAAAGTAAACCCACAGTACCATGAGAAATTAATATAATTTTTTTAAATTAATATTTTTTTTGAGATGGAGTTTCCTTCTTGGGGCCCAGGCTGGAGGGCAGTGACACGGTCTCAGCTCACTGCAACCTCTGCCTCCCCAGGATCAAGCAATTCTCCTGCCTCAGCCTCCCGAACACAATTTTGTGGAATGATTTTGAAATACAATATCTACAGATATTTGGTGTTTATTTTAAGCTCTCAAACCATTTTTGGTTTTGAATAAAATATTAGGCAGAGATAAAATTTAAAACCTCTTTTTTTTGAAATAGGATGTGTAGTTCAGAGATAGTTGCTTAGATGCTCTCTGCTGTCTGGGCTCTAAGGAGTTGACTTTATAAAACATCTAAAAACAGAATTTTGGAAAGTGTCTTAAAGTTCATCAACTTTAGTATTATCCAACAGATAGTACTACTTGGAACACTACTGTCAATAGATGCTCTCTGAAAACAGAATTCCATAGTAAATCAATAAGGAACCTCTTTATGCATAGCATGTTCTCATTTAGGAGCAACACAATGCATATTTACGTATTAGTGGCTCTGAGGCACCAATACTTGATTTTCAAAAATGTTTCCCCAAATTATTTAATAACAAATTTACATATTTTGTGTATATTAATGTCCCAAATAATTAGGGTACCCCAGGATATCAGTTTATAATAAAATAGTCATTCTTTGATCTAATTCAAGAATTGCTTCTATATTAGACAGTGCTTCACTTAAGATTACATAATTTGGAAATGAGAAACTGACTCTCACTCTGGAAAAGCTATTTTTCACTTGGGAATTCTAATGATCAGAAAAATTTTTACCGTAAAGATTATTTGTTCCAACAAGATATTACAAGAGTTAGCCAGTTGTATGTTTTCACTTAAAAATAATTTTTGTCACTCATCTGAATACTCCTCATCCTGTTTCAAATTTTAAATTCATGAAGATTCACAGGGATCCTTGGATGAGGTATAGTAATCATTTTAATTGTGGAAACGATTCATTGACATCAATGATCCAATGACAACTATAAACCTGAAACAATTAAAGATAATGATCTGAATCAGCATCACATACGATTTACCCTTGCCTCAGAATTTATGTTTTGCATTTGAGGCTTCAGGAGCTGGCATTTGTTGATTTGGAGATACTGATATCAAGTGGCTTTTTGGTAATTGTGCTGAACTGGGAGCCATGTAACAGCACACAGGTGGTATAAGATCTATCCGAATTTCTATTGTTTGTAATCTGTGCTTTTTATGCCTTTAAAATGTATGATGTCACATCAAAAGAGTTACATAAGATTGGCTGCTTAATTTCAAACTCATGAAGTTTGTGCATTTCTATGTTAGTAATACTTCCTAAAACCTCTTTGAAAGGCACTTTTTTGGGGGTCTGCCATTCATTTACCCACTGAATTAAAGGTATATGTCTAATATATGCTAGGCACTGTTCTTGGAATTAGGAGATAGTGAATAAAAGTACATCATGTCCCTCACCCCACCTTTACAGAGTGTCTCATTGGTGACAGATAATAAACAAATAGATATATAATTGCAAGTACTGGACAGCAAAGGTATTTCAGAGGAAGTGACATTCAAGCTGAGACTGAAATGAAGTAAGAGAGTATTGCAGATTGGGGGAACAGCAAGCAAAGAGACTGGAAATTCTATACTGTTTGAATGGTTTATAAGAATGCATTCATTATTATTTGTGTAGATAAATGTAAAAAAATTGATGTGCATTTTATTGAAAAGCTATACATTATAATGTTGAGACATTTGATACTGGATAAATGGCAAAAGTGTTTACTTTTTATGGAAATGTTAGAAATATTTGAAGAGAAACGAAATATATTTTTTCTTCTTCAATTAGTAATAATGATAGGGGGAAATGAATTTTACTAATTTTAATCCTTACCTAAATAGAGCTTAACAATGTTTTATTCAGTATATTTTATTTAAAAACAAATACTAAGTATATTGTATGTACTCTCCATTAAAATAATTACCAAAGCAAATAAAAGTAAAAACATCCATTAGAACATATGGATAGATACCTTTGTATCTGCACATGTACTACTGATTCTAAAGTAAAAGTTGAAAAAAAAACCACATTGATAGATATCTTACACAAAGTGACCCAAATGTGGAACATCGACATTAAGAGAGTGGAAAATAAGTAAGGTCAGATACCTATTAAGTCAATGTCTGACTATAGCCATAGAAATAGGTGCATAAAATTGCTTATGTTTGTACTCCTTTAAGAAAATACAGTAAACGTATATATAGAAGGAAAGTTTTGTGATTTTTTTTCCAGAGGATTATTTTAAGAAAGATTCATCCTAAATTTCCTTGAAATACCCTACTCATTTAGGTCACTGGGGACAGATTTTTTTTATTTTTAAAAATTAAATTGTTACCAAAACTTTCACGACTACACCTGTTGCATAAGGTGAAGCAGTTTATATAAAATGGATACAATGTGATATGATATTATCAGAATTTAGCTGTGACATATTTAAGTATAACTTACAGGTATTGGTCATGGAGCCCAAACCTTAGCACACAAGAAAAATATCCTATGTTGTACTAACATGAACAGTATAATTTTTTTAAAAGGATGTAGGTATCTCTGCCTATAGATAAATTTATAAATAAAAGAATGAAATTAATCAATTAAAGCATCCTTTCTTGATAAATACCTGTGCTATGTACAATTCACCCGATTAACTTATGTAGAAAAATATTGATCCTCCTTATACAACTGTGTTTGCTTTTAGGAATATAAGGATCCAAACATCCCTTTCTGCCTCCTTGCATTTGTCTTCAATATACACAGCTCCCTTTGAAATCAGTGGGATATGAGAGAGTGCAGTGGGGGATAAAAATCTGAGAATTCAGTGGCCCTTTCTCAGGTGGAAGATTGGGAGAGCTGCCATCTAATGATGCTTCTCAGTGGGAGACCCAGTTTGATGAGGCTGAATAGGCCTGAAAGAATTGACTTCCTGATACAAAGAAACAGAATCTGAGCGCCTCACCACTTTCAGAAGGAATATTGAAATACTGAGTGATATAGACTGCCTTTCAAATAGAATTAATTGAATTTGTATAATTTCCTTTTCCTTTTTAAGAGCTCTCATCTTTTTTAAAAAAAATCACCCAGTGTGTTTCATTTCTTACTGTTGAAATTCATTCCTTTAATTGCTTCATTTTTTGAGACTGTCAATAACTACCAGTCTCTTAATTATTCTCTTTTATCATATTTAAGAACCCAATGCCTATATTTTCTTCTGAGATGCTCACATACATCTCCCACTGAATTCAATGGCTCTCTAAGCTGTTTCAGGTGAGTCTCTTATCTTAGTAGTTAGACATCATCATTAGAATAGCTTTTATGTTACATGGGATTTCTTTTAAACCTATGTTATGTGGTGATTTCCTGTAATAAATCTAGAAACAAATAAAAACTTTTAAGTTATAAGAGACGCAAATTTACCAGAATGATCGTCTCTTTCTTTTCTGGATATCTTAAAATCCTAGATGGTGTGAACACCACCTATTTCGCCACAGTGTTAGAAGAAATACATTTTGTATTCTTAATATCTTCCTAGCCCTGGACACCTTATGTTGTGATACCTGTGTTATACACGTAAGACCTATTATTTGAAAGCACAGAAAAAGAAATATCAATTAATAAGAAAGACTCCCATAAATGCAGGATCCAGTGAAAAGTGTTACATCTATATATTATGGGCAAATAAATCAATGTAATCAATCCATATACTGGAGCAAGGTGTAGACACTCAATTCTGTTGAGTGAATTAAGAAATTAACCAGTCATTTGGTTGGAATCCCTCTGGAGTGGCTGTATGGGACGATACCAAAAGGTAGAGCAGGAAGAGTCTTGGGCTTATTTAGTAATCCTGCCTCAAACCAGCTCTCTTTCTAGATAGGAACTTACTGAAACCCCAGCAGCCAATTGTAATGCTTATCATAATCATAACCTTAAAGATTTTCAAAGACGACATTTCCCTCAGCTGTCCTTAGGAGCCTATTTTAAGTGATTAAAATTCAATGCTGTCAAGTAGTTCTTACATTATGTCAACTTAAATTTGTCTTGCAAGTTAAGCCATTTCCTCCTGTACCCTGAAGAACAGCTGGTCACCATCTTCCTTATGATCTCCCTCCTTAAGCTTGAAAATAACAATAAGATCATAAAATCCTCTTTTTTCTTAGCCAAAGTCATCACAACTTAGTCATATTTTTTCAAAGGTTCTTATTTTTTCGAGTGATTTCTAATTTATTTCCAGGACCACTAAGCTTTCTGGTATCTTTGGGAGATTAGTCGATGGCAGCCACTGTTCCTTTCCACTACAGACAGTAACTTGCCAAAATGATTTCAAATTATGGCTGCCTATCTTTTAATACACTGCCAATGACATAATGTTCCCTAAACAACACAAATATAATTGACATCTGTAATTAACATTAGGTCACACTTTTTTGTTCTACATTAAAAATGTCATCTTTGAAACATTATTTCACTGGTTATGTTTGTGCCAATATAGATATATCCCAGATATATTAGCAGTGAACCATGCAGCAGGGAAAGCTTAAATCTCCAAATGCCCTTCACACACTGACTATTTTTAAATCCTTTGAAAGATGATATGAATCATTGCCTATAATAAAGAAAATTTGTTTAAACAGGACATAGTAGGTCTGTGTCTTCACCATGCGAATTATGTGAATGAAAGGTGAATAGTTGGGTCACTTATCTTCATATGTTGTGATTGATCCCTCTGCCTCCAATTTTTCTGTTTCTTTGAGGTTTATAGTTAGAGTCTTGTGGAGTTACATGGCTTATTGAATGATTCTGGTACAACTGATCGATATAATTAGCAATCAAGATAACATAGGTTCTCAGACTTCAGTTATTCCTTCAATTATACAGTTTGCTTTCAAGAACTATAAACTTTCTTGAATATTTTCCAGCATATCTCAGTTTTATCTATGGAGCTTGAGTAAGTTTGTCAAGTTTAAAAGAGTCAATACTCCCTCTAAATCAGAATGAAGCAAATATGATGTATCATACTGTTGTGGATCCTCTACTAAAGCAAAGATAAAGTCAACTAGGTCTTAGTTCTGTTTACCATGGTTGGTCTAGTAAATTTCGTCATTATATTCCAAACTGGTCGTATACCAAATATTGCTGAATAAAGTAAGCAGTTTATCAAACGGGATATAGACTAAAATCCCATATTTGTTTAATAACTGTGTGTGGGTGTGTTTATGCACAAAATCAGTCTGGGAGAACATCTACAATATAATTGAAGTGATTATTTCTGAGTGTTGGGATCATGGATTATTTATATATTCTTTTTATATGCATGCTTTTCTAATTTTTCTACAGAGAACAAGTATTACTTATGTAGTAAGCCAAAAGTTAATTTTAAGCATTTTAGAAACTAAATCAGCTAAAAATGTTTGCTAAACCGAAAATAATCATTCAAATGGTGACCTAAAAATTCCAGCGTATTGGCCGGGAGCGGTGGCTTACGCCTATAAGCCCAGCACTTTGGGAGGCCGAGGCAGGTGGATTACGAGGTCAGGAGATCGAGACCATCCTGTCCAACATGGTGAAACCACGTCTCTACTAAAATACAAAAAAAATTAGCCGATCGTGGTGGCACGCGCCTGTAGTCCCAGCTACTCAGGAGGCTGAGACGGGAATCGCTTGAACCTGGGTGGCGGAGGTTGCAGTGAGCAGAGATCGTGCCACTGCACTCCAGCCTGGTGACAGAGCAAGACTCCATCTCAAAAAAAAAAAAAAAAATCCAGATTATTTGAGTTAGAGACTACATCTATTAAACAGAGAACTTGCTTCATGTATTGTTTCTTCAAAACGTGCTGTGAGTACTCAAATACATTACTCTGAAACAAGTGTTAATATGTTAACTAAAAAAACCGAGTGAAGTTGTGAACCATTCTTTTTTTCCCCCACAAGCAAAATAGATTTCACTTTACATCATTATGGTTGGATAGTGGACAGTAAGAATCAACTACCAGGGGAAAAGAGCAAAGGGGAGATTTCAGGTCCCAAGAGAATATTCTGGGGCATTAGTTTCTACAAATAAACATTGAGTTATGTCAGGAATGTTATGCAGCCGTAATGCTGTCCATCCTGTATTCCCAGCTTTGTGGCTGGAAGCACCAGTTCAATGTTCTGAAATTTCACAGTCGTAAAAAATTCCCTTCTCAAAACGCCAACTTAATTGGAGTTAGTTATAAATTATCTTTGGGTGAAGAAATATGAAGAAACTACATTAAAATAGAGGATTGGGAGCACTAAGTCCAAACTTAACCTCATGACATACTAAGTGGAATGTTTCACTGAGAGTACAGAATCTGATCACAGTTTTTGTTTTTTTTCTTCATTCCTTATTAAAGTGAAACTTTTATCATTTTGCTCCATCGTTCTGATCCTGCAAAGAGAGATTTGGAAAGAGAATTAAAAAATGCTTCTCAACAGTAAAGTACTGGAAAAATACTGAAGAGTTCTAAATATGATTCTTATATATTACTTTTTTCTTATAAAGACAATAGAATGTAGTGGCTAAGACTATAGAGACAGACTACCAAGCTTCATATTCCAGCTCTAATATTGGTAGGCGAACATGGATAAATTGTTTAAACTCTCTAATCCTCAATATCTAAACCTTTAAAATAGTTAACAATAAATGTACATGTGTCATAGAATTGCTGTAGCCAGGAATTAAGACAAAATATGTGAAATTATTAGCACAGTTTCTGACATGGAAAGTACTCCACAATTATTAACTATATTTAATTTGACATATTTATGAAGCATTTTCTATGTCCTGGGAGGTGTGTTAAATGCTAGAAAAACAACAATGAGCATTAAAGGCATGGTGTTGAGACTGACAGAGTTTTTAATCTCATGAGAGACAGGAACAAACAGGCAGTTATAAGTCATTGAGATGAGCATGATGATAAAGATGTTTCAAGGTGCTGTGAAAGTATAGAGAAGGGACACCAACACTGCTTCAAGAAAGATTTATGCTGGTGGTGTCCACATAAAGGCCAGAGTAGAATGAATAGGAGTTAACTAGGTGAAGAAATGGGAGACGTGGCAGGTAACCCAACTCAGACAAGTGAATAATCATGAGTTTATTAGTTCATGTTACTAAAAAGTCTAGAGGGTTTCAGATGTAAATTTATTAGAGTTCTAATTTAATTTCCTTCTTTTTTTTTGTCTCTGCTTTGAGTTTGTTCTGAAGGTGGATTTTCTTGTGGTAGCAAAACAACGGTCAGTTTTAGACATTGCATTTACACACCCAAAAATAGAAAATAATTTTTTCCCAACTGTCAATCAAAAAGCACAGGATTCATTTTGATTGACCAACTTAGTTTATGTGCATATTCCTGAACCAATACTTGGACATTGGAGATGGAGTCACAATAAATGGTTTGGGCATTCACAGTATTCTTCTGGAGCTGGGGTCAACAGCATCCAGAAATCAAGCTGCTACTCAGTAGAAAAGAATACATCCTGGGGTGGCAAACAACAGCGCCCACTAGAGGCTACAGGATGAGAGACATGGTACGTTCCAAGAGCTGGTATATAACTTCAGTGAATCTAAAGCATCGTGTATGAGGAGACTGGGAATGAATGACGGAATTAGAAAAGCAAGCAGATACCAGATGACACAGGTTTTGCAAAATATTTTAAGAAATTTGGACTTCTTTCTGATATAACAAGGGAAGATGTTTTTAAGCAAGAGAGTCAACAATCATGATTGTGAAATCTAGTGCAAAGAGTAGATCAAAGAAAATCAAGATTGGCCACTGGAGATAATACAGGAGGCTATTAATTCAAATGTTAGTTAATGTTGGCTTTAATGGGTGATGGCAGTGGGAATATCGAAAGATGAGTATAAAGATTTATTCCAGGAACAGAATTGGGAGGACGTGGTAGTTGATAGCTTTCTAGGGCTGAGGGAGAAAGGGGAGTCTAGGATAATGCCCATACTCTCGGTTTGGGCAATTAGCAGGTGTTCAGGCCATTGACTGAGATAGGAATGTCAGTAAGAGTAATAGGTTTGGAAGTTAAACTAATACTCTTCCTGTGGAACATCTAAGTGGAAATATCAATATAGATGTAAAGCACGGGAATGTTATATGAGCTTGAGATATTGTAAACACCTTGGAAATGATGAGACAATCTAGGGAGCACACAGAGAAAGAGAACAAAAGAAAATTCAAGATGAAAATGGCAGTAGAGGATGCTGAAAAAGTAGGAGCCCACAGAAGTGACTGAGAAAAGTTAGCCAAAACTCAGTGAGCCAATAAAAGAGAGTATTTCAAAGTTAGGAATGGTTAATTCTCTAATGCAATAGAGATGAAGTAATAGAAATCCATTGGATTTAGCAACAAAAGTCAGTGGATATTTCAGGGAGACTAGTTATAGTGGAGGGGTAAAAATTAAAGCCAGACTGTGAACTGAACCATCCGTGGTAGGTGAGTAAATACAGATGTAGATATAGATGACTCTTAATTTGGCCATAAAGGATTAGCTGACAAACAGTTGAGAGATTTGCTATTATTACTGTTTTTTAAGATTAAAAAAACCTTGAATAGTTAAGTGTCATAAGGAGGGTATGTAGATGAAGATTTATCTAACTAGCTTAGAGAACCAGGCACTGTTCTCAGTATTTTGTATATGTTAACTTTTCCTAACACCATAAGAATCCTATGAGATAGTGCTATTATTGTCTACATTTGACATATGAGGAAACTGAGGCACAGAGATTAAGTATCTTTCCCAAAGTCACCAGCTAGTAAGTATATAGCTGAAATCAAACTGATGGTAGCCTGACACTGGAGTCTGTGCTCTTAACTACTATGCTATATTACCTTCCCTGGGTTAGGTTGCTTTTACTTTACTCTGCAAGATCAAATTAATGGTAGCAGTAACATGTATAGCAGAGAAAGGAAATACATTTCTGGTGAAGCAGAAGGGAATGAGATTCAACTGCAAATGAAAGAAAACTCAGGTAACTTTGTCCTAAAGAAGATGAAAATTTATTTTTCTGTCATGTAGAAGTCTGGGTAAATAGTATGTACTTATGTGGCACCACTTTTAAGTAACCTGATTTTCTTCCATATTGTTGTTTCATTGTGCATGGCTAAAAGCCTCAAGGTGGAACTCTAGCTAGCCTTGTGGTAGCCAATATGTTAACTACTGGCCAAGTGGTACTCTTGAGCACTTGAAATGTGGCTAGTCCAAATGGAGGTGTGCTATAAGTGTATAATGCACATTGAAACTTGAATACTTAATACAACAAAATGTAACAAATCTACATAATTTTTATATTAATTACATGTTGAAGTTATACTAATTTGGACATTCTGGATGAAATGAAATGTATTAGTTATTAAAAGTAATTTCATCTGTTTCTTTTTACTTTTTCAATGTGACTAATAGAAAATTTAAAATTACTTACATGGCTTGCCTTTATGGTTTGCATTATATTTTTATTGAATATTAGTGCTCTAGACTTTACATCTAAGTTCCATACAGCAATACGGAAAGAGGGAGAAGATTACATCCATTACTTTTAAGGATGCTTCCCAGAAGTTATATAAATTTCTGCTTTCATTCCATGGCCACACTTAACTGAAAGTGTAGATGGAAATTACAGTCTTGATTCTGGATGACCACATGCCCAGCTGCAATTGTGTAGTTATGTTAATTCAGAAGAAAAGAAAAGTGGATGTTGGAGGACAATTAGCTGGCTCTGACACACTCCAAAGCACAAACAGGAGAATTAACTTCAGCCTTATGTGAGGGGGAGACATTTCCTTCATTTGAGCAGAAGAAAAAGACAGATGACATTACAGCTATTTTTGCAGGTTTGATATTGAGAAATTGAGAGAATTTTCATCTAGTGACTTTGTGTGTGTGTGTGTGTGTGTGTGTGTGTGTGTGTGTGTGTGTAGAGGAAATGATATCAGTTTTTTGTGCATGTGGGCCAGATTGAATCAGATTTGAGAAAAGTGATGGAGCTAAAAAATGCTGTGTTGAAAATCTGGTTGATATTGGAGGCCATGAATTTATATTGAAACCAGTCTCCAGCTTTGTACCATTTTCACTAGCAGTGATCAGCAGTGCAGGTGTATCTGAAAGAAAAGCTAGTACTTAGTTTTATTCAAAACTGAGGTTTTACTGCGAAAATGCCAAGGAAGAAGAACGGGATCAGGAAGTTGAGGATGTTGACACAAGAGCAGTTAAAAGGATGGACAGTGGAGTCTAAACTGGAAAGGACAGGATGTGAAGACAAATGGCTGCTGAGAGATAGGGATGAAGTACAGGAATTGTGAGAACGGAGGTCCTAAAGAACAGCAGCAGTCGTTAGGTGAGAGAGCTGAAAGGGGAGGATGCTGTAGTCAGAGACTGGTTGATGTTGAAATTGAGTTTTTTCAGAGATGGAATAGGTCTAGGGGATGACAAGGTCCACATTGAGCCATGAGAATGAGTGGCTGAATTAAATTGGAAGAGGTCATTGGAGGTGAAGAGGTCAAGAAATTGAGGAATTAGGGATTTACTGGGGGAATGTGGTTCTTCAGGTCTCAGTCTATTCTGATTTTAATAACTAAAATGAGATGTTCACAACCAATAATTGTTTGGAGACAGTTCTTTATGAATCTCTCCTGTGTCTGCAGATTTTGCAAGCAGAAACAGGAGTTTTATTCTGGATTATCATTACAAAGATATTTGTAGCGCAAAACCTTAACAAAAAGTGATAGTGTCTCCCTCTGGTATCAAGGTCAGGCATGCTTACTCTTTATTATAAAAATTAGCATATACCCTAAATGCATAGTTGCTCTTCTGTAACACAACACATTGCATGTGCAGGTGTTACCTGGTCCTCTTCACTTTGTTCTGTGGAATTGGGGTTTGGGGAACCAGCAAAAATGCTGATACTCTGGCTACTGCTATTGCTAGGAATTATGAAGTCCTTTGTTTCTGACCCAGGAGTCTTGTGTCTTCTGCCAGCATCCATAAACCTGTGGCGGATGAACTTCTTAGCCTGTATGCAATATAAAACTCTAAGACTCTTCACAGTTTTTGATAACTGTTTTCAAAGTTCATTAAGCTCTAATATATTCCATGAACCTTCCTTCTCCATTAGGGATATTTTTGCCTCCTTCCCTTTATTATCCTGAACACCAGAGCCACACTCTTATTTCCATTTGTTTTTTTCCTCAATATGATATCCTCTTTAATACTTGTGGATCCTGTGCTATGCACATCATTTTTAAAAATGGGAATGTTCCATTTTTTATTTTTTAGGCCTTGTAATTTATTGTTATGGATAATTTTTTTCCTGAGTATATTTGATATAAAAATATTTGCTAAATATATGAGTACTTTGGCAGTTCCAAAGCTTTACCACAATCAGGTGCAATCTTTTACATCTCATATACTAACTAAAGCAGGTGGATAAAATCAATTGGATGTGTAAATTCTTTAAATAATGGCAAATGGAGCAAATTGAATTTCAAAGTGGAAAAAAAGGTGAACCTGAAAAGCAGTGGTAAGAAGGTCATCAGCAGAATTAGCAAAAAAAGTCTGGCAAAGTTACAGTTAGGCAGCCAGTAATACTCTATTGATCAGACTTTCTCAATCAATGAGGCTGTGCCTAGATTATTGATGCAAAGGTATTAAGTAAAATTTTATTTCAGCTAACTTGTTGGCTCAGATGTCAACTGAAAGTCATTTCCTCAGTCAATCAAATATACAATAAATCTAAACAGATTTAGCTCTTAAACATTTTTGTGTCTATTCTTTCCAATCATACAATTATCTTTGAGAAGTTAACAATTAAATTTTTATATGAACAAACACATGAGGAAAGCACTTTCTACAAAGCAAACCAAACAGCATATTCCTAGGGGGAAAAGACAGATATGGAACATTATTTTTCTTTCTTGAAGATAATTTAATTGAAACTATTTGAAATGATATATGTTTAATTCACAGTTTAGTTCACAGTTTTGGTATCCTCAATTCCCAGCATTCATCAATGTATTTCGTAAGATCCATTGTGGTATCTGATATATCTAAAAGTTGGAGTTAAACACAAATCATTGACAAGAATAGCAGACAAAACTTGCTGATAAAGCTAGTGGTTTTTGTTTTGTTTTGGGCAATGGGGCAGCCATTTGGTAGCGTACTGACTGATGCATTCTGGAAAAATAAATTTCCCCTTTCTCAGGGTGCCTCTTTGGTTGGCGATATTAATTTTCTTATTACTTTACTCATGTCTGAGTCTATACCTTTTCGCTATTCCCAGCATCATCTGGAAATTGTTCTAATTATTCTAATGTTTTTTATAATATTAGATACTTTATAATATTGACCCTTATATCACTTCTCAGATTTTGTAATCTTGCATATTTTTCACTGCATATTTTTCTCAGATTTGGTGATATTACATATTTTTCACTGCCACCCTAAAATGGTGCCTATTTGTCTTTCTTTCTCTCCAGTTCAATACCTATTCCTTTCTTCAGTGGGAAGGAAGAATATCCACACACCAGGCCTGCCCCTACTCACAACTCAGGCCTCCTGGTGACACTATCCTACAAAAACCTCTCCTTAAAAAAAGAAAACTTAGAGTGCAAAAATACATACCCCCAGCTGATATTGGTTTTACATCTGTGAAATTCCAGGCTTTGCTGCATCTATGTAAATTTTAGTCTGACATCAATATATAACTGACACTGAAACTGGGAGTGTGAAAAGCCATCATTCCATACAGTTTAAGGTTCAACCTGTTCTGTTGTTTTATTTTCTAATTGTTTAATCGATCTACAATACATCATCTCTTATTAACTAGATTGTAAGCTTCTTTTTAGAGACATGAAATACATTTTCCATTTGTTTATATTATCTGCATAACCCCAAACAGGGATGGAGACAGTAATGGTCTTTATAAACACTTATTGATATGGCTTTTTTCATCGTAGGGATGAAGCACAAAGACTAAAATTTATTTTAAAAATACTTAATAGCTGGTAATTTTGAAGCTTCTGTAAGTCTCTGTCCAATACCTAGAAAGCTTCTGTATTTTGCCTAGCTAATCGCTTCTTAACCAAACCAAGGCACAACTAAAATCATTTTTTAAAAATCTACTTCTGGGCCTGAGCGGTGACTCACGCCTGTAATCCCAGCTCTTTGGGAGGCCGAGGCGGGCGGGGATCACTTGAGGTCAGGAATTTGAGACCAGCCTGGCCAACATGGCGAAACACCGCCTCTACTAAAAATACAAAATTAGCCAGCTGTGGTGGGCATGCCTGTAACCCCAGCTACTCCGAAGGCTGAGGCAGGAGAATTGTTTGAGCCCAGGAGGAGGAAGTTGAAATGAGCCGAGATCATGCCACTGCACTCCACCCTGGGTGACAGAGAGAGACTCTGTCTCAAAAAGAAAAAAAAAAAAATTCTACTTTTACTATTGATTATGCCTCCTTTACTTTTCAAGACAAATAAATACGTAATAAAACAAAGCATTTAACTCAAGTCAAAAAACAATTCCCTCCAAAACATCATTAATATAAAAACATGCTTTCCAGATCAAGGAAGTTGTTTTTCTCTTTCTCGTTTTAAATGAGAACTGGTCAAAAATCAGAAAAGAGAAAAGCAAATGTCCTAATCAACTATTATCAAATGCTTTTCTCTACCAAAGATGAAACATGTATAAATTTACAAAATGAAATTTCTTTGTGTGAATTTTTAATGAGTCTTTTCAGAAGAAAATGCATTTTTATAAATTAAAAGTAGGTTGTCAAACTCCAAACTGCTGCTAGTTTTACACCTGTAAAATGCCATGCCTCACAACACTTAAATCTCAGGCTGTCTTTAGTAGTACACTGGATTGAAAGCTCTTGCCCATGAATGCAGGGTGGCTGATAAGATACTGTCATAACAAGCTTTATTCAATACTATTCACATTTTCGTTTACAACCAAGGTAATATGAAGGATACTGGTTAGGAACTATATTAATTTCTTAAGGCTGCCCTTACAAAGTACCAAAAACTGGGTGGCTTAAAAAAAACAGAATTTATTCTCTCAGTCTGGAGGCTGGAAGTCTGAAATCAAGGTGTCAGGAGGGCCATGCTCCCTTTGAGACTCTGGGTGGAATCTTTCTTTGCCTCTTCCTGTCTTCCTATCTTCTTCTGCCAATCCTTGACATCCCTGCCCTGCAACTACCTCTGCTGCCACATGCAGTTCACCCTGTTTGTCTGTTTCATGTGACATTTTCCTCTTCTTATAAGGATACCCATCATATGTATTAGGGCTCACCCTAATGACTACACTTTCAGTTGATTACATCTGCAAAGGCCTTATTTCCAAAAACAGTCACATTAATAGCTCTCCAAAGTTAGGACTTCAATTATATCCTTTTAGGGAACACTAGTCAATCCACAGCAGATGTAGGTGACAATGAGCTTCAACCCATAACACATGTAGGTGACAATGAGTTTAAGCTTAAGAACTAGGTATGCAAATTTATTATTAAAAATATTTTTAAGAAAAACAATTACTGTTCTGCAATCATAAAGTTTAAGCCAGAAATGTAATGGACTTTCCCATTTGCATTGCTGACACTAATGCAAACTTCCTGTTATTTTATCTTTTGTTTATCATTTATCAGTCTAATATTTGGAAAATATATTTGAAGGCTTCCAGTTTTTAACTTCGAAGGTCATTTTGCTTCTCTATCATCCCTTTAAAACTTTTATGTCTCTTCTGTATAGCATATTTATTTTTCAATGCTATCCGTTTAAATGACCTAGATTAGATTTTACAGCATTTATATTTAGTAGCTAGTCAGTAACAGCATTTTGGAGGCAACTATAGCACCTTATTTATTAGGAATCTCAAAATGTTAAAATTTTGACCTCCTGTTGATGAAGCACCTAAATAATTAATACATTTTTCACATTTCAGCTAAGGTTGGAGGAATACAGATTTGCCTACTTACACTAGCACATTTTTAGCATCAGCAATAATTCTATTTGGTCTCTTTAAGTCTGGTTTTAATACTAATGTTACTTTGTTTTTAGAAATTGACCTCCATTTTAGGGATTAAGTACAGAGTGATAAAAATACCAGAAGATAGTTTATGATAAATAGATATAAATAAATAATGTGTATGAGAATTTATAGTTTCTCTTTCTCTGAAACTTGACTTTGTGAGATAAATAATAAATCTGAGACAAATAGCACCTTTAATATATAAAAAGAAAAAGATTATCATGTGTGTTGTGTCTACATGAGTTAAGAAGTTGAAATTTTTTTTCCTTTTGTGTCTGAGGTTATTTTTTAACTAAGTTGACTGGATATTTTATCTCCTTGTAGTCCTGGTCAGACTGATTAACTTGTTTTCAGTAGCAGATAAATGAATACATTACAATGAAATATTTTAATTTAAAAGTTTATAAAACTATGCTGCAAATTTGAGTGGTTTTGAAACTTACACTTCTTCATTTCATATTTAATTGAAACACCAAATATTTATTAGCATGTTTATGTATAATCTTTTTATTTTACTTGTTGTAAAAAGCAGAAATCATTTTAAGAATCTAATGTGTGGTATGAAATATCCAGTTGTATCTGTTTGTGATTAACCATAAAGCTTCCATATGTGGTGCCTGTCTTTGGATTCAGGCTGTCCACAGTAACTTGATCAGGGGTATAATTACACCCTGCTTGAATCAAGAAAGTCAAATAATGTCAAAAACAATCATTTTACTTGGAGATGTCTTGAAAATTAAAAGCTGAAAAAATTTAGATAGCATGATGTTAACATCTCAATGAATCAGACTGATCTCCTGGTATAAATTGGAAACTGAAAGAGTTGAAAGCTCTGTGGTAAGACAATGCTGTAGGAAAACACAGAGAAGCTCATGCATTCAAAATACATATATTTGTTGGCTTTTAGTTAATGTCTAAATTCAAGTTCCTGAATTTTTTTAAAAATAGTGGCTGGCACTGGTACTGCATCTTCTGATATACTTAGTCTTTATCCACTTTCAAATATTTTATTGCTCTTGGAATCAATAAAATGATAGTATTGACCCAAGTAATATCAAACTGAAATAACAATATCTGTGAGATCTTAATAATCATATAATTCAGACTTCACATTTCAAAAAAAAAAAAATCCAAGAAATAGAAAAGTCAGATAACTTAGCAAGGAAACACCACTAGTTTTTGGCAGAACCAAGAGCAGAATTTCTAATTTCTAGGATAGAACTTGATTTTTTATACTTCTACAGCTTTGGAAGGTCAATTACCCCAGGAAGAAAGCCAGGATGGTCAAACTGAAATGGTAAACTGTGCTGCATTACAGTATTAAGATGGAGGGGAAGCCAGGTTAGGACCAAGATGCAGTTGAGTAGAACTACTACAAGAAACCCAAAGTTAACAGTCAGACAGGAAGGAGTAAAGTCAAAGCCAATTACGCAGATGTGGAGACAAGCTGTGAGGTAAGCATGGATCATACAATTCACAGGACAGATATTTTTCAGAGGTCATGATGCTTCTTTCTTAGGCTGTCTGTTTTTCAATGTAAATGCCTTACATCTCTTGAACATGTGCGTTGGCCAGCTTCAAGCTGCTGTCTGACATACACTCTGATCTCTTCAACTAGATTCCTATTAGTTTATTGCAGTAGCTATACTGCTATAGGTATATAGGGTGTGTGTACTTGACAATCGCTGTGAAATTCCTAAAAATAAAACTTGAGGAAACATATCAGAGTAGAGATATTCTTATACATATCACACATTACATTGTAGGCACATGCCATTTCACATTTTCCCAAATTAGGTTTTATTCAATCTCTACAAAATAAATAGATAATAATATAATTTTTCACCTGTATATATAAATCAATCCTATGCCATACATGTAGCATATTGAAATTTCCTTTCGTTTCAAAAAAAAGGATAAAAGTGTATCTTGCTTCGGTAACTTCTATTTAAAAATGAATAAAATGAATAAAAATTTAAACTTTAACTTTTTAAATTAAACTGATTCATTTTGTGTATTTACACATATTAAATTTTTATAAAATCTAATAACTTTTCTTGGCTTTCCCCATTAGCCACACAATTATAGACTATTCTGTCTCTTTCTCACTTCCTTTTTCTTTCTTTCTCTCTCTCCTGAGTGCTCAGGATCAGCTAGAGTTACAGAGTAGAAAATTCCATTTTGGACTCTTGACCAAAAATACCCTCCCAACAATGCTTACCAGGTTAAACTTGGGATAATTTATGACTGAGTGCTGTCTGAGCAGGTTGTTCATGGACCAACCTAGGTTGTAAGTTGATTCCCAAGCTATAGAGGTCCTGCCCCATTATTTGACATTCTTGATTCAAGCGGTGTGTAATTATAGGCCTAATCAAGTTTCAATAGTCAGCCTTAATAAGAATCAAAGCTCGAATTTCATTGTCAACCATCATTTAGTTTCATAAGGAATGGAGTGCGGAGAATGATATGGCCTTTCGGAGTGAGTTTGCTGCATTTTATATTAGCTGAATTCTGCAGTGTACCCCCTCTCTACAATAGTCATAAGCAAGTTGCATAGTTGCAAAGTTTGTTTCATTATAAGATGGTACAGATGAAATGATTTGGGGGTACCTGTAAACATTTACTCTTAGATACCTCTCCAGCCTAATTGACTAATGCCTACATTTGATGTTATGATCTAAATACATCTGGGGCACAGTAATACCCAGAGATCTCTCAGCATAAATGGATTTACTTACTTATTTCTTGGGATGAATTTTGACAGAGGATTTGGGAAAAACAATGTAGAAAGGGGAATCTAAGGGTGAGACAATTTTGCTTTCAGACAACTAAGGTTGTAGTCATTTTCCCCAGAAAAAAATCCTATGATGGGCTCTGGGTACCCAAATATGTGAGCTTTTATGATTGGGCATACAGTAAGGAAAACAATTTAGCTGAACATTTACCTCTAGGGATAAAAATATAAGCATCTCCTGAAGAAGGACGATCTACTGGGAGAAATCTCTGTCTATCACAGATATCTACTGACCCTCTGCTGTGCACACAACACAGTACTTTGTGTTCGAGAGTTGAAGAGACTTTAGATTTGTTACTCTTTCTAAGACTGTTTGTCGGTTGTAATAACACTGCATTTTGAAAAGTGGCTGTTCTTTATTTCACCTTTTGTTCTCTGCCACTCTAAGTGATTTTCTTGATGATAAAAACTCTTCTATTATAATTTTGGTTTTCTTTCCTTCATTTTAAAGCTATTTGTCATTATAAAATTTCATAAAAATTGTATGTTTTGCACAACAAAATAGGAACAGACAGTTGTGGGTATACTGCTGTTTATGGTGTCAGAATCATGTTTTGCATAGCACAAACTTATAGCTATTATAATATTATAAGGGAAAGATTGACTGCTGTAAACTTTACATTCTTATTGTGTAGACAGTATTGAGCAGTGGTTAAGAGCACAGAATTGAAGACAGACTATGTGGGTTCAAATCTCAGTTCTGTCATTTATTAGTCATATGACCTTGGGCAAATTATTTAATTTCTTTATTCCTCAGTTTCTTCATCTGTGAAATAAAATGATAATAATATATCAATCATAAAGTTGCTAAGAGAATTAAATAAGTTGACCTTGGTAAGGCACTTAAAATAGTGCCAGGTACACTAAAAATATTTGTGTGTTTGTTAAATAAATAAACATAAAGATATTCAATAGTCCAAAATATATTTCTTGTCTCATATTATTTCTATTAATGTATAATACACTCACTCTGAAACACTTAGTCTTCAAAATAATCCCAATATAACAAATGCTTGGAGACTAATGTCAACTTAAATAATTTTAGAATTTTAAGAAAATGAGCAGCCAGCCATCATGCTACCATTTTAAAATTAGATCACCAAAAGTGAGACTTGCCACTTAGAAATTACTTTACCAGTATGCTTAGAAATGGATGGATATGATTGTGTGGGAGGAGCTACTCATGGCCATATTTAGTGTGATACCCAACAGGTGCACTGTGCTGCCTTGATTTGTGATGCTGACCAGATCTTCAACTATTTTTTCTGGAGGCTTGATGATTGGAGCATTAAAGAAAGTGATATGTGGAAAAGCTGTCTGTTGAATTGATACTGCTGCTATAAAATTAGTACGATGTAGCTTTTCAATAGTTCTAATGCAGAAGTATCATAAAAGAATAAACTCTGAAGATATTCTCTTTGTCTGGTAACTGAAATATGTTCATAGCTTCTTGTTTCAACATCAGTTTTTTGCCTGTTTCATGGAACTTTGTTACTCAACAGAGCTATTCGGTAGTTCTATATTCTGAATATGAAATACAAGGTAAACACTGAAGCACACATTCAATGTTTCCTGAATTGAATAAGAATTGTCAACATATATATACCTTCATTTTATACATTTACTAACCATTTGGATTTATAGTTCATTAGATCACACCCAGCACGAATGAGGTCTCTCACATATCTCTTTCTTCAAATTGTTTCTTATGGCCATGGTAGAGCTCAAAAGTACAGCTAAAGCACTTGATCCTTTAGTGTATTAAGATATTTCAGGCACGGCATGGTGGCATACACCTGCAATACCAGCACTTTGGGAGTCTGAGGTGGTAGGATCACTTGAGCCCAGGCATTCAAGACAAGCCTGGGCAACATAGGGAGACCCTATCTCTACAAAAAAATCTAAAAATTAGCTGAGTGTGATGGCACATGCTTGTAGTCCCAGCTACTTGGGAGGCTAGGGTGAGAGGGTTACTTGAGCCCAGGAGGTCGAGGCTATAGCACTGTATTATTCTGCTATCATGCTGCAATGAAGAAACACCCAAGACTAGGTAATTCGTAAAGAAAAGAGGTTTAATTGACTCACAGTTCTGCATGGCTGGGGAGGCCTCAGGAAACTTATATTCATGGTGGAAGACACCTGTTCACAGGGTGGTAGGAGAGAGAAATGCCAAGCAAAGGGGGAAAAGCCCCTTATAAAACCATCAGATCTCATGAGAACTGACTCACTATCATGAGAACAGCAGCAAAGGGGTAACAACCCCCAAGATTCAATTATCTCTTACTGGATCCCTCCCACTAAATGTGGGGATTATGGGAACCACAATTCAAAATGAGATTTGGGTAGGGACACAGCCAAACCATATCATTCTGCCCCTGACCCCATCCAAATCTCATGTTCTCACATTTCAAAACACAATGATGCCTTTCCAACACTCTCCCAAACTCTTAACTCATTCCAGCTTAAACCCAAAAGTCCAAGTCCAAGGTCTCATCTGAGACAAGGCAAGTCCCTTCTGCCTTGAAAGGAGGCTGAAAAATAAAAAGCAAGTTAGTTACTTCCTGGATACAATGCAGGTACAGGTATTTGGCAAATGCACTAATTCCAAATGGGAGAAACTGGTCAAAACAAAGGGGCTACAGGCCCCACACAAATCCAAAAATCCAACAGGGCAGTCACCAAACCTTAAAGTTCCAAAATGATCTCCAGGTCATGCTGATGCAAGAGGTGGGCTTCCACAGCTTTGGGCAACTCTGCCTCTGCAGCTTTGCAGGGTGTAGCCCCCATCCTGGCTGCTTTCACAGGCAGGGATTGACTGTCTGCAGCCTTTCCAGGCACACGGTGCAAGCTGTCGGTAGATCCACCATTGAGGGATCTAAAGGATGGTGACCCTCCTCTCACAGCTCCACCAGGTGTGCCCCAGTGGGGATTCTGTGTGGGGGCTCAAACCTCACATCCCCTTCTTCAATGCCCTAGTGGAAGTTCTCCATTAGGGCTCTGCCCCTGCAGCAAACTTCTGGCTGGACATACAGGTGTTTCCATACATCCTCTGAAATCTAGGTGGAGGTTCCCAAACCTCAATTCTTGACTTCTGTGCACCCACAGGCTCAACACCACTGTAAGCCACCAAGGCTTGGGGTTTGCACCCTCTGAATTAATGGCCCAAGCTGTACATTGGCCCTTTTTAGCCATGGCTAGAGCTGAGCTGCTGGGACACATGGGACCAAGTCTGGAGGATGCACAGAGCACGGGGGCCCTGGACCCAGCTCAGGAAGCCATTTTTCCCTCCTGGGCCTCCAGGCCTGTGATAGGAAGGGCTGCCATGTAGGTCTCTGATGTGGCCTGGAGACATTTTATTCATTGTCTTGGTGATTTAACATTTGGCTCCTCGTTACTTATGCAAATGTCTGCAGCCTGCTTGATTTTCTCCCCCAGAAAAATGGGTTTTTCTTTCCTATCACATTGTCGGGCTGCAGATTTTCCAAATTTTATGCTCTGCTTCCTCTTGAATGCTTTGCCGCTTAGAAATTTCTTCCACCAGATACCCTAAATTATCTCTCTCAATTTCAAATCTCCACAGATCTTTAGACTAGGAGCAAATGCCTCCAGTCTCTTTGCTAAAGCATAACAAGAGTGACATTTACTCCAGTTCCCAACAAGTTCTTCATCTCCATCTGAGACCACCTTAGCCTGGACTTCATTGTGCATATTGCTATCAGCATTTTGGTCAAAGCCATTCAGCAAGTCTCTAGGAAGTTCCAAACTTTCCCACATCTTCCTGTCTTCTGAGCTCTTCAAGTCTCTAGGAAGTTCCAAACTTTCCCACATTTTCCTTTCTTCTTCTGAGCCCTCCAAACTGTTCCAATCTCTGCATGTTACCAAGTTCCAAAGTCACTTCCACATTTTTGAGTGTCCTTATAGCAGCAACCCACTCTACCAATACCAATTTACTGTATTAGTCTGCTGTCATACTGTTATGAAGAAATATCCGAGACTGGATAATTTATAAAGAAAAGAGGTTTAATTGACTCACAGTTCCACGTCGCTGGGGAGGCCTCAGGAAACTTACAATCGTGGTGAAAGACACCTCTTCACAGGGCAGCAGGAGACAGAAATGCCAAGCAAAGGGGGAAAAGCCCCTAATAAAACCATCAGATCTTGTGAGAACTCAGTCACTGTCATGAGAACAGCAGCATGGGGGTAACAAACCCCATAATTCAATTACCTCCCCCTGGGTCCCTCCCATGACATGTGGGGATTATGGGAACTACAATTCAAGATGAGATTTGGGTGGGGACACAGCCAAACCATATCAAGCAGTTAGCTGTGACTGCACCACTGCACTCTAGCCTGGGCAAAAGGGTGAGAGCCTGTCTCAAAATAAATAAATAAATAAATAAATAAATAAATAAATAAATAAGAAAAGAAAAGAAAAGAAAAGGAAAAAAGAGTTTCATATAATCCAAAGGTAAAACCACAACTGTAAATTGGACACTTCTTTAAGGCCCTACCTTCACCATAGTTGGTTATATGTCCAACTGAAAATGATTCGAATATTTAACTTCTAATCCCCCATCTGTAAAACAGAAATGATGCAACCTAATGTCCTCAGGCTGCATGGCCATCAATTAGGAACAATTATCCGGCCAATCTATGTCTTCTTGTATGTCTTGAAAATTCACTTGGTTCATTGAGATGTCCTAGACATATATGTTTATGTGAAAAATGGGCAGTATTATTTGGACAGCATTCATAAATGTAATGACTTCCACACAAGTCAAGGACTGGTGAACATTAGTAATAGGGAAGGAGAATTATAATGATTGGATTTATACTATAAAAAATTGCCAGGCTGAACTGCCCAGCTACGATAATTCCTCAAAAGCAAAAATGTTGCCCTTACTTGAGAAGCAGAAGAGAGAAAGATAAGGCATACAGCAGAATACTCCTTTGGGATCGGGTTGATTCCAGTAATGTTTATCAATGCTCTGAATGATGGAAGAGAAAGCATCCTTATTAGATTTTCCAATAACCCAGTTAGGCAGGAAGAAAGAAGAAGTTAATTCAAAGAGACTTTGACAAATAAGAAATGATCTGTCAACACAAGTTCAGAAAAGGGCAAGTACAAAACAAGTATTAGGCTCAGAGTATCAGTAATCTGATAGAAGATGGGAATGGCCAAAATGAGTGTCCTGGACTAGACCTGTGGCTCTTAGTAAGGTGAATAAGAGTCAGTAATGTAGTGCTGCCACTTTGAAATATGTACTTAGAGAATAGTAGGGCATATGAAATAGGAATGATCGACATTACCTAATAGATGAAAAATAGATCCAATCAGGGAAGGGTAAAGATGACATATCCCAAAGAAGAAAAGGTTAAGGAGAAGTTTTCCCATATAATATCTGTCTGCTACTGAGATATTCCATTTTTGCATATCCTATACCATAGGAAATCAACAAATTGTGATGTTAACACCAAAGTCTTTCTATATATAGCAAGTCCTCAAATAATGTTGTTTTGTTCAATGTCCTTTAGTTATAATACTGATGATAAAATTGCTTTGTGGTTGGGGTCATTGTCTGTGTGGAGTTTACACATTCTCTCTTGTCTGTACAGGTTTTCTCTGGGTTCTCTGATTTCCTCCCACATCCCAATGTTTTGCAGGTTAGGTGAGGTTAACTGATATATCTAAATGGTCCCAGTGAGAGTAAGTGTGCATGGGTGTGAGTGCACCTTGCAATGGGATGGCGTCCTGGACAGGATTGGTTCCCACCTTGTGCCGTGAGCTGCCGGGAGAAGCTTCAGCCATCCATGACCCTGACCTAGAATAAGCAAGTAAATAATAATCTTACTTGTTTGTATTCATCTTTCTTAAATGTATGTATAGCTCACATTTATCTCAATGCTTAACATTAGAGGTGTTGTGGGTTTTTATTTAGAAGTTTGGTGATATTTTTATGGCCAGAAATATGCCATAGAAACTTAACTCTTATTTTTATCAATTAGTCTTTGGTAAAATTAGTTTCCTTATACATTTCACCTTGTACATTTTCTCCTACATTCCGCAGTTTCCAAGAACCCATCGACCATGTTAAGTGAGGACTTACTGTATACTCCTCAGATAGAACTGCTTTGGAAACTATCACTAACATTACTACAACCGGATATTAACCAGTTTTCAAACTGGTTCATCTTTTAACTGAATATGACCAGTGGTCTTTTTCTAATTGGAAGTGTATAAATCACCATATATGGTTAGCTCCTTGGTCCAGTTCAATATTGATTCTATATCCCAAGGGATATTTCCCTGAACAACTGTCTTTTTTGGTGTTAGCTTCACACACAATAATGTGCTCTTTAATATATCCTGGATTATACATTTCACAGCCCATTATGAACTTGTCAGCTATGAATTTAACTAAAACCTTTTGCAACTACCTACATTTTTAGTTTGTATTACTGCTTGCATAGTGAGTTCTATTTATGTAGCACCTGATGTGCTCAAGTATTACTTTATTTTTCTTTTATTCATCCTGAACTTACTTCTTTAAAGGTCTATGTTCTGGCTCTAAGATTCCAGTAATTGATAAACAAGCCTATTCTCTCTTTTCAAACATTTATCACAAACATTTTTGACATTTCCTTCTCTAGATGTCAGAAGCCTATTTTTTTCAGTCTATCTTTATAAAAAGTCCTCCATTCACACCCCATTCTCTTGGTTATTTTATCTCATTTCCTTAAGCTTCCTTGGGATGTGTTAACTGTTGACATAAATAGCTGTTTCCTCTTGGGTCTGCTTCCATTCCATACAGGAAAGGTGAAGCAATGCAAGAGCCCAATACATTTAATTCATTATATACACTGAAACAGCCTACAAGTGGATATTCCACAGGCCTTCAGTACTTGAGAAATACATGCTCATACATACTAAGTACAGTCTCTTTTATCTGTGATCTAAGACCATCACTACCATTTTATCCTTTGTGCACTATATATGAGCCCCTCCCTAACTTCTTTCTAGATCTTCCTTCAAGGGAGAAGTAGCTATAACTAGAATACATCTTTTCCTATCTCTCATGGTTATTTTCCTAATTTGCGTGTGATTTTTCTCATTGTATCATCAATGCAAGAACAGAGGTACATAGCTACTGCACCAAGAGTGGGCCTCTCACAGCTGTCCTTCAATTGCATACATTACTAATCCATTTTGATAAACTATAAATATGTTCTTATTTGCTCTCGCTTTTGTAGTTTCTAGAATGTACACATTCAGTCTTCTCCTGAATACGCTAGTTCTCTACATTGTCTTAAAAATCTTTAAAGTTTCTAAATTCACTGCTCTAAAGAATTCTCTATCTGGTAACTAATATGATATATCAGCCTTCTTCGATGCCTTATGTAACACTATCTCTCTCCCACATCTCTTTTTAAATTTCTTAACTTAAAAAAATCCGATGTTATATTAAAGCCCATATTTTCCTCTTCAGATTAATATTACATACAATATTCCTGGACATATATACTATTGCTATCTGCATGTTGTAATGTTATTTAAGGCATAAGCCCCTCTTTATTTTACATCTAGTCTAGTTCTATTGAAGATTAGTTTAATATTTTGTATTTAGTTTCCATTGTCTTCTTCTAATGCCTAACACTATTCTATGACAGAAAAGCTTGGCTATTTTTAGGAAAATGCTTATAATGACTTCAGAGTCCCTTCAATAGAGGCTAGCTAAGAGCCACTTCTGCCAGATGTATTTTTGAAATAATATTTTCCTAGATGCTCTGGTCCACATTTCAAGTTGTCTGCCTATTTTATTTCATCTCCCCGATTGATTCAGCCATTTATCTGTGCTTCCTTTTTTCTTTCAGTTATTAAGTGCTTCTGGCACTGTGTGTTTGGTGCTGGTCATATAGCAATAAAAGATGGCATTTTTGCCCTCAAGGAGTCTATAATCTAATACAAACAATTATTCAGATTCTGATGCTCTTCTAGTTTTTCTTCATTGGCTTAGTATTTACTACCAGAAAAACTTAGGGTTAAATGCAAACTGAGAGTTTTAATTACATACTTTCTGATTTAGATCATTTATTTTAAAAAGTAAAATACTTTTTTTTTTTTCAAAATGGCTAACTGGAAGCATTTTATTCACACCTCATCCACTTAAGAAAACCAAAATAGTGTGAAGACAATCATACTTTGAATTCTTTTTTCAAGCGAGAACATGAGAGTTCAACAGAAAAGTGACAGGAAACATCAAAAACTAGGAAAGAGAGGGAAAAGAGGCAGTCTGCTTGGCTGGGACCAGCAGGGAGCTAGAAGTGATTCCCCAGTACAAGGAGAGGGTGAGTGAGAGTATTTCTGTGGTCTACCTTTCCACTGGGGAAATCATACAATATTAGGGAGCTGAGAGGCTCAGAAGGAACTGCTCCAGGCAGGGAGCTTGCTCTGTGACCCACAACCTTTCTGAAACCTAAGTGGTTACAGCAAGATGTCATGGCTGCCAATGCTGGAAAGCAGGCACTGTCACTGGGACTTGAGTGGGATGCGAGTTGCCATGGAGACTTGGTCTGAGCTGGGTGGGTGCTTCTACAGCCCAGAGCTGAGTTACAGGCTAGGCATGGAGTAACAGATTTGATGGGCCAGCTGGGTCTGCTGTGACAGCCAGGACAGGGGAGCGAGCCCCACTAGGGATGGGGTGTGAGAGGGATGTCTGTCTCCCACCTGCTGGTCAAGGTTGTGGCCTCTGTGACCAGCCCCACACTCCCCCTGGCAGGGATTGGCAAGGCAGCTTCTGCCCCTTACATGAGCATTCCATGGGGAGCCTGATGGTCGCTTTGCCCCTTCCTATCATGGCTGATGCATGTACTTGCCATTGGAAAGCCTCAGAGCAAGCCTGCCCAGTGTGGCTTTGCCCAATTTTGCCCTCCTCCCACTAAGACAGAGACATAGTCTGGAGTCTTGGATATTACACAACACAACCCACCACCTGGGCACCTGAGCACTCCTCTCAAGGGATAGAGGTTGGATCTAAACACCCTTCTGCCACCACCTCAGTGGGCACCTCCCTGTAATTGCCACCTGTTGGCTTGGAGGCTGGCCTTCACAGCCCATCACAATCCTGCCAACACAACTTAACAGCACTTGGGACCCAGAAGAGCATCTCACCACTGTTTTCACTATCGCCCATGACAAACTGGCCACCCAGGAACTCAAGAGTCCACTTACTTACCTAGTCTATCACTATCACAACCAGCATCTGAAAAAGCCCCCCCAGAAATCCAAGAATTGGCCTGCCTGAAACTGCCAATACAAGTCCCACCCCAGGGCACAAGGATAGATACTCCTACTCCATCACCACTACCACTGAAGCCTGAAGATAGGTCCAACTGGTATTTTAGTCCCAAGCACAACCTCAGCAAAGCCTCCTATAAAACCCACACTCTAACACACCAAAAAAGCCACAGACACTGCTAATGTTATTTATAGCTAAAGAAATCATAGAGAGCCTTTAGTACTGTGTGTATCCACAAGCAAAACCAAAGGGCCCTCCCCAGCCAACATCACAAACACACCTTCAGGAAAACATCTCCCTTGCAATGAAATTAAGTTCAAAAAGTAGGAGGAAGCAACTGTTACATCAGATGCCCAGATATCAACATAAAAACACAGGAAACATGAAAAAACAAGGGAATATGACATACCCAAAAGCATAATAATTCTCTAGCAATAGACCTCAACCAAAAGGAAATGCTGGAAATCCCAGATAAAGAATTCAATTCAAAATACTGATTTTCAAGCTCAGTGAAATGTAAAAGAAGTATAAAAACCAATAAAAATATCTCAGAAAAACAATTCAGGATATGAAAAAAAATTACCAAGGAGACAGATATTTAAAAAAATCTGCAAGTGAATAATTCACTTTAAAAACACCAAATACATTCAAAAGCTTCAACAATAAGCTAGATCAAGCAGAGGAATTCTGGAACTCGAAAATGGGTCCTTTGAAATGATCCATCAGACATACATAAAGAAAAAAGAATAAAAATAATGAACAAAGCCTTTGGGATGTTTGGGACACCATAAAGCAATTAAATACTCAAATTATTGGTAACTTCGAAAGCAGAGAAATCAAAAGGTTTAGAAAACCTATTTAACAAAATAATAGTTGAAAAATACTCAAGCCTAGCAGAGATTTAGACATCCAGATACAGGAGGCTTAATGGTTTCCAAACAAATACAATGCAAAAAGATCTTCACCATTGCATGTTATAATCAAGCTGTCTAAAGTCAAAGTGAAGAGTGAATTTTAAAAGCAGCAAGAGAAAAATATCTAGTCACTATAAAGTAAAACTCATCAGACTAATAGCAGACTTCATTGCAGAAACTCTGTAGGCCAGATAAGAATGGAATGATATAGTCAAAATGCTGAAAGAGAAAAAACCCTAGTAGCCAAGAATACTAGATACAGCAAGATTAACCTTCATAAATAAAGGAGAAATAATCTTTTCCAGACAAGCAAATGCTAAAACATTCATCTACATTTGACTAGCTCTCCAAGAAATACCCAAAGAAGTTCTAAACTTGGAAGCAAAAGGATGATATTTACTATCATGAAAACACACAAAAGTACAAAACTTGCTGGTAAAGCAGTCACACAAAGGAAAAAGAAAAAAATAATAAAATGGCACCACTGCAGATCATATGTTAGGCCACAAAACAAGTGTCAACAAAGTTTTCAAAAAATGAAACATACTATCTCCTTAGACCACAGTGGAACACAATTAGAAATTTTATTTCCAGAAGAACTTTGAACACTATACAAATACATAAAAATTAAAAAACATGCTCCTGAATGATCATTGGGTCAATAAAGAAATCAAAATGAAATAAATTTTTTTGAAACAAATGAAAATGGAAACACAACTTAAGAAAACCTCTAGGATACAGCAAAGGCAGTGATAACAGAATTTTATAGCATTAAATGCCTACATCTAGAAAGTAAAAAGATTACAAATTAGCAATCTAACAATGTACATTAAGGAACTTGAAAAGCAAGAACAAACCAAACCCCACATTCACAGATGAAAAGAAATAACAAAGATCAGAGTATAGCTAAATAACTATACAAGGGATCTCATATTGTAAGTAGAGAGTAAAAAACAATACAAGGGATCAGTGGAATAAAGAAATTGTTTCTTCAAAAAGATGAACAAAATAGATAAACCACTCACTAGACTAATAAAAAAAGAAAATCAAAATTAACAAATTAGATATAAAAAAGGATACATTACAACTGATATCACTGAAATACAAAAGATCATCAGAGACTATGATGAGCAGAACTATACACCCCCAAACCAGAAAACCTAGAGGGAATGGATAAATTCAAAACTTGCAATCTCCCAAGATTAAACAAGGAACACATAGAAAACCTGAACAGACCAATAACAATAGCATGATTGAATCAGTAATAAAGAATCGCCTAACAAAGAAAATCCCAGGACCAGATAGATTTCATGGTTGAACTCTACCAAAAGTATAAAGTTCTTTTACTAATTCTCCTGAAACTATTGCAAAAAAATCAGATTAAGGAATTTTCCCTAATTCATCCTACAAGGCCAGTATCATCCTAATACTAAACCAGACAAAGACACAACAAGAATAAAATAAATACTGTAGGCCAATATCCCTGATGGCCATAAATGCAAAAATCCTCAACAGAATACTTGCAAATGAAATCTAATAGCATATTAAAAAGATAACACACTATGAACAAACGGGTTTTGTTTCAGGGATGCAAGGATGGTTCAACATACACAAATCAATAAATATTATATATTACTACATAAACAGAATCAAGGACAAAACCAGATGATTATGTCAATAGATGCAGAAAAAGCATTTGATAATGTTTGACAATGCTTCATGATAAAAACCTTCAACAAACTAGGCATAGAGGAAATATACCTCAAAATAATAAAGGCTATATATAAAAAACCCACACCTAACATCATACTAAATGTGGAAAAGTCGAAAGCATTTCCTCCAAGAACTGGAACACAAGACTCCTCACTTTCACCATGCTTATTCAATATAGCAATGGAAGTCATAGCCAAAGCAATCAGGCAAGGGAAAAAAATAAAAGACATCCAAATTGGAAAAGAGGAAGTCCAATTTCTCCATTTGCTGATTACATGATCTTATATCTACAAAAATCTAAAGACTTCACCAAAAAACTCTTAGATTTAATAAGTTAATTCAGTAAAGTTTCAGGATACAAAATCAAAGTTAAAAAATCAGTACCATTTCTATAACCAAATAATGATTTAGCTGAGAAAGGCATCAAAAAAGCAATTCCATTTTCCATAGCTATGGAAAAAATAAAAATAAAAAAATGGAGAATACATTTAACCATGGAGGTGAAAGATTTCTACAAAGGAAACTACCACACATTGATGAAAGAAACTGAAGATGACATCAATGAGTAGAAAAACCTTTCATGCTCCTGGATTGGAACAAAACAATTAAAATGACCATACTGTCCAAAGAAATGAGTAGATTCAATGCAATCCCTTTTAAAACACTGTTATTTTTCACAAAATTAGGGAAAAAAATCCTAAAATTCACATGGAACCAAAAAAGAGCCCAAACATCCAAAGCAATCCTGAGGGGTGAAAAAGCTGGAGGTGTGACATTACCTGACTGAAAATTATATTACAAAGCTATTATAACCAAAACAGAATTATAAGAGTATTAAAACAGACATAGAGATCAATGGAACAGAATAGAAAAGAATAGAGAACCCAGAAATAAAGCTACATATTTACAGACAACTGATATTTGACAAAGCCAACAAGAACATACATTGGGAAACGAACACCCTTTTCAATGAATAGTACTGGGGAAATTGGATAGCCATATGCAGAAGAATCAATCTGAACCTCGGTCTCCCACCATACACAAAGATTAATTCAAGGTGGATTGATCAATTGACCAAACACTATAAACTATATAGAAACTATAAAAATATGAGAAGGAAACCCATGGAACCTCTTCTGGACAATAGCCTAGGCAAAGAATTTATGACTAAGACCTCAAAAGTAGAGGCAACAAAAACAAAAATAGATAAATGAGACTTACACTTAAAAGTTTCTACACAGCAAAAGAAATAATCAACAGTGCGAAGAGGCAACCTGTTGAATGGAAGACAATATGTGCAAACTATTCATCTATTAGGGAACTCATATCTAGAATATGCAAGGAACTCAAACAACTCAACAACAAGAAAAAAATAATCTTATTAAAAAATGAACAAAGGACATGAACAGATATTTTCCAAAAGAAAATATACAAATGGCCAATTAGTGATGAAAAAAAGTTAAACATCACTAATTGTCAGAGAAATGCAAATCAAAACCACAATGAGTTATCATCTTACCCAAATCAGAATGGCTATTACTAAAAAGACAAAAATAATAGATGTTGGTGAGAATGTGGAGAAAAGAGAACACTTATACATTGCTGGTGGGAATGTAAATTAGTACAACCCCTGTGGAAAACAGTATGGAGATTTTTCGAAGAACTAAAAATAGAACTACCATTTGAACCAGCAATCCTACTACTGGGTATCTATCCAAAGGGAAAGAAATTTTAGAAGACGTATGTGTATAAACATAAAAGGATGTAAAATAGACGAAACATCTTTGAAAAAGAACAAAGTTGGGAATCAAACACTGCCTGATTTCAAAGCTTATTGTAAAGCTACATCAATCAAGATAATGCAGTATTGATGTAAAGATAGTTAGATTGGTAGACAAAAGAGAGTACAGCAACAGATCCACATATGTACGGTCAATTGTTTTATTATAAATATGCCAAGGCATTTCAATGGGGAAAATAATCTTCTTACAAATTATGCTAGGATCATTGGATAGTCCTTTTTAAAAAATATGTACCTTGACCTTTACTTCACACCATTTATAAAAATTAACTCAAATGGATCAGAGAATAAAATTTAAGAACTAAAACTACAGGCTTCCAGAAGAACTCATAAGAATAAATCTTAGTGTAAGTGCTTGGCAAGTATGTCTTAACTATAAAAAGGTATGAAATATAAAATTAGAAATAGTACTTTAAACTTCAAAATTAATAGTTTTTGTGTTTCAGAAGACACTTAGGAAAATGAAAACACACAGACTGGTAAACAATCTTTGCAAATATATATTAGGTAAAGAACTTGAATCTAGAAAATATGAATAACTCAACTAAATGATAAGAAAACAAGTCTCATTCTCATCTTCACCCAAAAAATTGGCAAAAAATTTGAGCAGAATTTTTTCAACCAAAGAAAATGTGGATGGAAAAGTAGACATGAAAATATCTTCAATATTATTTGCTACTAGGAGAACGCAAATTAAAATATCATATTTATGTGATGTAAATATTTCCCCCATTTGCCATTTAGCTTTTATAATGTTTTAAAAATTTATTTTAAAAAGTTTTGCCATGCCAAAGTTGATTTTTTAGGTTAATATAAACTATTAATATTTTATTGTATGGCTTCTGTGTTTTAAACTATAAGTAAAATGTCAGGTAGCTATTTCAGTACAATTTATTGAATAGTTTATTATTCCTCCTACTGGTTTAAATAATCATCTTTATCATAAATTTCAACTCCTATATATAAATTTTGTTCTGCATCTTTACTTCTCATTCTTTTTCTTTAGTTTGTTTATATATTATACATAAATACCATACTCTTTTAATTACTAAAGCTTTATTATATGTCTTACTATGTAGCAGTGATCGTTTTCTATACTTATTTTTAAACCATAAATACCAAATGCAAAAGGAACCAAGTTCTGAGAGGAAATTACAAGAGATTGATAGTAAGAGCACAGTTATAGAATTGGCTGGAAGAGAGAGGGCTCACCTGAAGCAAGAAAAGAAAGGGGAGAGTGGTATAGCAAGAAAATGGGAAGTTACATCACTACAAACATTCAGTGAAATGAGAATTAAAATCATTTGCTCAAAGAAAAGAAGGTAGAAGTTTGATAGGCAACTTTAAAATGGTGAAAGGAAATGAGAGAAGATACCTGGTTAAATAAAAGAACCAACTGAGAACCTGCAGATCTGGAGAGAGGTCAACCTTAGGCATTCATTTTTCACCTTCCTGCCATCCCAAACCAAAAAAGCCTGGGGTTAGCCATGGATATGATGGATTGCTGGAACGAACCTGAACTCACGTACAGTAGGATTAGTGTAGAAGGAAAGCAAGGGTGCTAAGGCTGCTGTGGAGATTTGTTGAAGGTATCAACAGCGGGGTACTGACTATGTTTAGAACAGAGGCCAAGAGGATACTGGCAGTCTGGGTGAAATGGAACAAATATGGAATTGGAGGTTGCTATGAGGCTGAAAATCAGGAATCTTGAAAATGAGAGAGTAAGGAGGTTGGAAGAATAAAAAGTTATGTTCTGAGAATGGGCAAGTGATTAAGATTTTAGGAATATTGCAGATTAAGACAACACCAAAAATCCAGGAAATATCTGTAAGAATAAAGGTCATAGATGTAGGTAAAATTATTGGAGTTGGGGAAATTAAATAGTTGTAGTGCCAGATGGAGTGTAGTACAAGACAGGTCACCTCTATGTATTCTGAAAATTTGTAAGTCATGGCTGGATGCAGGATACAGAGAAAAATTTTCAGTTCCATACCAATGTCTTAAATTAGAGATTGTCAAAGTGAGGTATATAAATCTATGTGGAGCTACAAGACACTTGTCAGGCATTCTATGAGGTAATTTTATAATAATACAAAGATATGTGCCCCTTTAATCCTGTTGATATTGGCACAAGAAACAGTGTGAGGAGAGCTAACATCATACTTAATGTTGAGAAACTGAATGTTTTTTTCCCTAAAATAAAACAAAATGTTTGTTTTCATCACTTCTATTCAACATTGTACAGGAGGTACTAGTCAGGGCAATTAGGCAAGAAAGAGAAACAAAAGGAATCCAGATTGGACAGGAAGAAGTAAAACTATTTTCAAATGACCTGATCTTGTATATAGGAAATGCTAAGGAATCCACAAAAAAACTATTAGAACTGGTAAGCAAGCTAAGCAAGGTTGCAGGGTAGAATATCAATATACAAAAATTCAATTTTATTTCTATACGCTAGTAATGAATACTCTGGAAATATTTAAAAACCAATTCCATTTATACTAGGATCAAGGAGAATAAAATACTAAGGAATAAATTTAACAAAAGAGGTGTAAGACATACACTGAAAATAGTAAGACAGGGTTAAGGGAAAAAGAACTAAATAAACGGAGGGACATCCCATGTTCATGGATCAGAAAGCTTAATATTGAAGAGACAGTAATAGTTCCCAAATTGTCCTGCAGAGTTGATGCCATTTCTACCAAAACCTCAGCTGCCTTTTTCTAAGCATAAATTGACACAACCAATCCTAAAATTCACATAGAATTGCATGTGACCCTAAATAGCTAAAATAATCTTAAAGAGGAAAAACATAGCTGAGGCACTCACAATTCCTAATTTCAATACTTACTACAAATCTATAGTAAACATTACAGTATGGTACTGGCATAAGCATAGATATAGAGCAATGGAATAAAATTGAGAGTCTATAAAGAAATATTTATGGTCACTTAATTTTACATAAGGGTCCCAAAACTATTCAATGAAAAAAGAATAGTCTTTTCAACAAATGGTGTTGGGAAAACTGAATATCCACATGCTAAAGAGCTGGATACTTCCCTCACATCATACATAAAAATAAACCCAAAATAGATGAAAGACCTAAATGTAAAAGTTAAAAATATAAGACTCCAAGAAGAAAACATAAGAATATATCCTTCCAGCCTTTCATTGAGCAATAGCTTCTCAGATAGGACAAAAAAAGCATAAGTGACAAAAGTGAAAATAGATGAATTGGACTTCATCAAAATTAAAAACTTTTATGCTTCAATGATATCGTCATGAAAATGTAATAACATCTCACAGAATTGAAGAAAATATTTGCAAATTATGTATCTGTTAAGAATGTAGCATTTGAAATATATAAAGAACTCTTACAATTCAATAATAAAAAGACAATCCAATTAAAAATCGAGGGAAGAATGTTAGTAGATATTTTTCCAAAGAAAATATAAAAATGGCCACTAGTCACATAAAAAGATGCCCCTCATAATTAGTCATTAGAGAAATGCAAATCAAAACTGCAGTGAGATACCACTTGACACATGCTAAAATGGCTGTAATAAAAAAGACAGATAATAAGAAGTATTATAAAGAAATTGCATGCTTCACACATTGCTGGTAGTAGCGTAAAATTGTGCAATCACTTTGTAAAACAGTCTGGCAGTTCCTCAAAAGATTAAAAGAGAGTTACCATATGACCCAACAATTCCACTCCAGTCTTTATTCTACACCTAAGAAAAATATAAAAACATTGTCCCCAAAAATCTTGTACATGAAAGTTTGTATCTACATTATTTATAGAAGCCAAAGTGGAAAAAACCCAAATGTTCAACAACTGATGAATGAGTGAACAAAATGTCATATATCTATATAATGTCATATATCTATATAATATTATTTATCAGTAAGAATTATTTGGTAAAAATATTATTTGGCAATAATACATTCTACAACATGAATAAACCCTGAAAATATTATCTTACGTGAAAGAAGCCAGACACAAAAGACCACATATCCTATGATTCCATTTTAATAAAATATCCAGAATAGGTGACTCCATAGAGAAACAAGAATAGTGGTTTCCAGAGCCTGCAGGAGAAGGGGAATAGGGAGTGACTGCTAATGGATATAGAGCTTCTTTTGGAGGGATGAATTTTTCTAGAATTTGATAGTGAGGATGAATGCACATTTCGTGGATATACGAAGAACCACTGAACTGTACACTTTATAAATGTCAATTTTGTGGTATGTAGATTATAACTCAATACAGTTAGTATTTAACAAAAAACAATGGGGGTATAACAGCTGGCCCCTTAGCACAAATCAGGGTAGTAGTGGTAGTGGTACTGAACTCTGTACTTGCAGTCACTGTATTCTATATGCCACTCACTCACAGTAAGAAAATAGAAGTCAGGCTGGGCGTGGTGGCTCATGCCTGTAATCCCAGCACTTTGGGAGGCTGAGGTGGGCGGATCACCTGAGGTCAGGAGTTCAAGACCAGCCTGGCCAACATGGCGAAACCCCGTCTCTACTAAAAATACAAAAAAGTTAGCTGGGTGTGGTGGCAGGTGCCTGTAGTCCCAGCTACTCGGTAGACTGAGGCAGGAGAATCACTTGAACTGGGAGGTGGAGGTTGCAGTGAGCCGAGATCACGCCATTGCACTCCTGCCTGGGCAACAAGAGTGAAACTCCGTCTCCAAAAAAAAAAAAAAAAGAAAATAGAAGTTAGCCAATTTCACTTAAGAATATCTTTGATGAAACATTAAAAATTATTATTTTTGCTGGGCGCGGTGGCTCACGCCTGTAATCCCAGCACTTTGGGAGGCCAAGGCGGGTGGATCGTGAGGTCAGGAGATCCAGACCATCCTGGCTAACACGGTGAAACCCCGTCTCATCTAAAAATATAAAAAATTAGCTGGGCGTGCTGGTGGGCGCCTGTAGTCCCAGCTACTCGGGAGGCTGAAGCAGGAGAATGGCGTGAACTGGAAGGCGTAGCTTGCAGTGAGCTGAGATCACGCCACTGCGCTCCAGCCTGGGCAACAGAGCGAGACTCCGTCTCAAAAAAAAAAAAAAAAAAACTATTATTTTTATTAACTCTCCATCCTGAGTACATATCTTTTTAATATTCTGTTTTATAAAATGGGAAGTATGCATAAAGTAGAGTGTGATGATTGTCACTAGGAAATGTTCTCTTGAGATTGTTTGAGTTGAAAGCTAAACTAGCCACTTTTTTAAGGAAAATAAGTTTTACTTAAAAAAAAAGATTGACAGGAAAAACTATGGTTGTTCAGCTTTGGATATTTGGATATTTGGTGGACATTCTGTCAAGAATTAATGAAGTGAGCCTGTCACTTTAAGGAAAAGAACTGACAGTATTTGTTGTCAGTGATAAAATTTGAGATTTTAAGTGAAAATAGAATTTGTGGAAGCTTGTATCCTCCACTGTAAACTTAAAAGCTTCCCAATACGTAAGGACTTTCCTGATGAGATTGTTAGTGATAATAATAAATGCAATTTTTGATTCTGTATAATGAAATATATCATTGAAAAACTCACACAAGTCAATATTTTACAAATGACTAGTGTGGGGTGTTATAAAATTTTGCATTTATTAAAGTTCCATTCAAAATACCGGAAAGATTTATGTATTTAAATGTGACAACATTAGATACGGATTCAAACTGCACATTGTAACTAAGCTTTCAAAAACTACCCTTTGTCAATTTTGGTGAGTTATCAAAGAAGAACATTCATAATTATTTGGAGAGGCTATTAAATTTTTTTCCATTTACCAACACATTTTTATGTGGGGCCAGATTTTATTCATATACTTCAACCAAAATGACATATTTGCCATAGATTAGATGAAGATGGAGATTTGAGATTGTCTTCTAATAAGACAAATAATAAGTTAAAACGTAAATATTGTCACTCTTCTCACTATTTTTGTTTTGAAAAATATATTTCTTTTACAAAATTACTTATCCAAACATGTTTGGGTTATTCCAATTAATTAATAAAATAATTTAAAAAACATCTGCTTTAACTTCACATACGGTAAATCTCAATAGATATAATCCATGTTTAAAAGGCTCTTTGTGGGCCTCAGTAATTCTTAAGAGTGTAAAGGGATCCTAAAGCTAAAAAATTTGAAAACCACTGGACTGAATAATATAAAGAAAGGATATAGAGTTGATAAAAAGAAGAAATTTTTGATATAATTGGATACTTTGAGCATCAATAGTTCATGCATCAGAGTTAGAAAACTAATTCTGCACAATTTTATGAGGTGGCTATTATCTTTTTTTGCACATATGAATATTGAGATGCTGAGAGTTTAAGTAAGCGACTCAATGTCACACAGCTAGTAAGTATTGAGAGGTGACAGCGTGCTGGCAGCCCTGGCAGCCCTCACTTGCTCTCCGTGCCTCCTCAGCCTTGGCACCCACTCTGGCCGCGCTTGAGCCCTTCAGCCCGTGGCTGCACTGTGGGAGCCCCTTTCTGGGCTGGCCAAGGCCAGGGCCGGCTCCCTCAGCTTGCGGGGAGGTGTGGAGGGAGAGGCACGGGCGGGAACTGGGGCTGTGTGTGGGGCTTGCGGGACAGCTACAGTTCCGGGTGGGCGTGGGCTTGGCGGGCACCGCACTCGGAGCGGCCTGCCGGCCCTACCGGCCCCGGGCAGTGAGGGGCTTAGCACCCAGGCCAGCAGTTGCAGAAGGTGCGCCGGGTCCCCCAGCAGTGCTGGCCCGCCTGCGCTGTGTTCGATTTCTCGCCGGGCCTTAGCTGCCTCCCCGCGGGGCAGCGCTTGGGACCTGCAGCCCGCCATGCCTGAGCCTTCCCCGCCACCATGGGCTCCTGCGTGCCACCCGAGCCTTGCCGACGAGTGCTGCCCCCTGCTCCATGGCGCCCGGTCCCATCGACAGCCCAAAGGCTGAGGAGTGCGGGCGCATGGGTGCGGGACTGGCAGGGAGCTCCACTTGTGGCCCCAGTGCGGGATCCAATGGGTGAAGCCAGCTGGGCTCCTGAGTCTGGTGGGGACTTGGAGAATCTTTAGGTCTAGCTAAGGGATTGTAAATACACCAATCAGCACCCTGTTGTCTAGCTCAGGGTTTGTGGATGCACCAATGGGCACTCTGTATCCAGTTAATCTGGTGGGGACTTGGAGAATCTTTATGTCTAGCTAAAGGATTGTGAATACACCAATTGGCACTCTGTATCTAGCTCAAGATTTGTAAATGCACCAATCAGCACTCTGCCTAGCTCAAGGTTTGTAAATGTACCAATCTGTGCTCTGTGTCTAGCTGATCTGGTGGGGACTTGGAGAACATTTATGTCTAGCTAAGGGATTGTGAATACACCAATGGGCACTCTGTATCTAGCTCAAGGTTTGTAAATACACCAATCAACACTCTGTATCTAGCTAATCTAGTGGGGATGTGGAGAACTTTTGTGTCTAGCTCAGGGATTGTAAATGCACCATTCAGCACCCTGTCAAAACAGACCAATCAGCTCTCTGTAAAACAGACCAATCGGCTCTCTGTAAAATGGACCAATCAGCAGGATGTGGGTGGGGCCAGATAAGAGAATAAAAGCAGGGTGCCTGAGCCAGCAGTGGCAACCCGCTGGGGTCCCCTTCCACACTGTGGAAGCTTTGTTCTTTCCCTCTTTGCAATAAATCTTGCTACTGCTTACTTTTTGGGTTCACACTGCCTTTGTGAGCTGTAACACTCACGGTGAAGGTCTGCAGCTTCACTCCTGAAGCCAGCGAAACCATGAACCCACCAGAAGGAAGAAACTCCAGACACATCCAAACATCAGAAGGAACAAACTCTGGACATGCCACGCCACCTTTAAGAACTGTAACACTCACCGCAAGTGTCTGCGGCTTCATTCTTGAAGTCAGTGAGACCAAGAACCCACCAATTCTGGACACAGTATCAGAGGCATATTTGAACCTAAATATTAGTTTGGCTTCACAATTTGTGCCATCTCATTTTAAAGCGGCAAAACGTAACTATGAGAATGCTGACCACACTGTCAGGTGCCACAGGACGCAGCCTTTTACGTGCCTCCTATGTATTCAGAACCATCCTGGGCATTTGTCACACTTTATCTCAGTAATCTACAAAACACTTTGCAAAACTGATATTATACATCTCACTTTGCAAATTAGAAAATGGAGACTTACAGACATTCAAATCATTTGCTCAAAGTAACAGCTGTTTAAGCACCAGATGACTTCAGTTGAGGGTTCAGTACTCTAATTTTTAAACCATATCTTAGCACTTTCCTTTATAACTCCAAAGATAGCTATTTCCAGTATTTTATCAGAATATAGCTTTAAAATAAACCAAATGTCAAAATACTGGTATTCAAAACATCCTATTACCAGGAAATCACTATTATTAAATATAAATAAATAATTCTCTATGGCCTATGTAAAATCTTACAATGATCTATCTATCCATCTCTGCCATCTCTGCATATATTAAAAAAAACTTAGAAGATATATATATATTTTAAAAAACTTAGAATCAGGACTTCTACAGATTGTTTCTCCTTCCTTCTCCTCCTCCTCCTCTCCTTCTCCTTCTTTTTCTTTTCTAGACCTTTCCTTTACATTATTAAGTCTAGTGGTTTTGAAACCAACCCAATAGTCTTATAGGTAGTTTTGTTTTTTGTATAAATATAGAGATCATCCTTTCTGGTCTTAAAGCTTGAAACTTATATTTGTTTTATCTGAGTTCCTTCCATTCCTAGGCTTCTCAAAAACTACCAAAGAACTGAAACTGACCAGATCATGGCATCCATAAAATGAAACACCAGGCCCCTCATTCATCATGATTGCTTCCTTAGGCTGCCAGAGTTCCTGTTTTCCTTACATTGTTAGATTTCTTCCCTGCTAAATAAACCCCTAATTTATTCAGTCAGGGAGATGGATTTGAGACTGAGCTCCCATTTCCTCAGCTGTAGCACCTGATTAAATCCTTCTTCCTTGGCAATACTCATGGTCTGGAATACTCCTCATCTCAGTCATTGGCCTGCTGTGTGGTGAGCAGCAGGACCTAAACCAAAGTCCTGGTGTTTCAGTAAGTTTTCAAATTTTTTGGCTTTAGAATCCCTTTACACTCTTAAGAATTTCTGAGGATCACAAAGATATTTTTAAAATGGATTGTCTACTGAAATTTACTGTATTTGAAATTAAAGCAGATATTTTTAAAATTTCTATTAATTGGAAAAAGTAAATGATATGAGAAGGGGGCAGGGAAATGCTGGGTAGAGAAGGGCGGGGTCCCTGGAGAGAGCTCCACCTTCAGGCCTGTGCCCACGGACCTAAGTGAGGACAGGCACTCCTGTTTTTGCGCCCAAATGCTGCATTTTCCAAGACAATTCTGGCCCGCCATGCCCCTCCCCCACCCCCCACCCTTAATTCTGTGCCTTCCCCAACAGTCTATTAGGCACACACACAAGTAGCTGGATATTGAGAGGTACACACCAGCAGAAGAACACAACGACAGACGCTGGCAGGCCATCGATGGTGGAACAACACAGACACAGGGAAATTTAGCCAAGGGCAGTTGGAGGAGAACCCAGCCACTGAGGGGCCTGATTCCAGGAAGACCATCTTTCCACTCCATCCCTCTTCTGGCTCCCCATCCATCAGCTTAGAGCTACTTTCACCACTCAGTAAAACCTTGTACTCATTCATTCTCTAAGCCCATGTGTGATCTGATTTTTCTTGTAGACTAGGGCAAAAGCCCCAGATACAGAAAGCTCTCTGTCCTTGTGATAAGGCAGAGGGTCTAATTGGCTGATTAACACAAACCACCTGCAGACAGCTAAGCTAAAAGAGCACACTGTAACACAAACCTGCTGGGGATTCTGGAGCTGTAAACACTCAACCCTAGACAGTGCCGTGGGGTCAGGGCCCCAAAATCACTCCCCATGACCTGCTTGTCTGCATCATGCTCCCCCTAGGGATTTGAACAGCGGGGCACCGAAGAAGCAAGCCACACTCCCTGTCACACACCCTGCGAGGGGTATATGGGAAAACTCCTCCGGTTTCATAATGAAACCCAAAACATATTTGGATAAGTAATTTTGAAAAGGAAATATATTTTCCAAAACAAAAAACAGTGAGATGAGTGACAGCATTTACATTTGTATGTACATATATATGTAAATATGTATAATATACATTTATATATGATATATATAATTAAAGCTAGAAGTAAACACCAAAACATGAACTTTTGTAATATTAACAGATAACATTTTTGATATCTTCAAATACTTACAAGCTTTATCAATAATATTAATGAGTCGTTTGTTGATACTGAAATGTGGATGAGGACAAAACCCCAAAGTTATTGGAAAGAGTTTGAGAGTTATAATAATCTTACTTTTATAACATTTGGAGTTATGGTTAACTTTTTCTTCATTCAAAATGAGCTACCGATAATATTGAGAGGTGACAGCCTGCTGGCAGTCCTCACAGACCTCGCTCGCTCTAGGCGCCTCCTCTTCCTGGACCCCCACTTTGGCGGCACTTGAGGAGCCCTTCAGCCCACCGTTGCCCTCTGGGAGCCCCTTTCTGGGCTGGCCAAGGCCAGAGCCAGCTCCCTCAGCTTGCAGGGAGGTGTGGAGGGAGAGGCGCGAGCGGGAACCGGCGCTGCGCACCGCGCTTGCGCGGGCCAGCTGGAGTTCCGGGTGGGCGTGGGCTTGGCGGGCCCCGCACTCTGAGCAGCCAGCCGGCCCTGCCGGCCTGGGCAATGAGGGGCTTAGCACCCAAGGCAGCGGCTGCGGAGGGTGTACTGGGTCCCCCAGCAGTGCCGGCCCACCAGCGCTGCGCTCGATTTCTCACCGGGCCTTAGCTGCCTTCCCGCGGGGCAGGGCTTGGGAGCTGCAGCTTGCCATGCCTGAGTCTACCCCCGACCCCCTCCGTGGGCTCCTGTGTGGCCCGAGCCTCCCCGACGAGCGCCGCCCCCTGCTCCACGGCGCCCAGTCCCGTCGACCACCTAAGGGCTGAGGAGTGAAGGCGCATGGCGCGGAACTGGCAGGCAGCTCCACCTGCAGCCCTGGTGCGGGATCCACTGGGTGAAGCGAGCTGGGCTCCTGAGTCTGGTGGGGAGGTGGAGAACCTTTATGTCTAGCTCAGGGATTGTAAGTACACTAATTGGCACTCTGTATCTAGCTCAAGGTTTGTAAACACACCAATCAGCACCCTGTGTCTAGCTCAGGGTTTGTAAATGCACCGATTGACACTCTGTATCTAGCTACTCTGGTGGGGACTTGGAGAACCACCTTTGTGTGGACACTCTGTATCTAGCTAATCTGGTGGGGAGGTGGACAACCTTTGTGTCTAGCTCAGGGATTGTAAATGCACCAATCAGCGCCCTGTCAAAACAGACCACTCGGCTGTACCAATCAGCAGGATGTGGGTGGGGCCAGATAAGAGAATAAAAGCAGGCTGCCTGAGCCAGCAGTGGCAACCTGCTCGGGTGCCCTTCTCCAGTGTGGTAGCTTTGTTCTTTCCCTCTTTGCAATAAATCTTGCTGCTTCTCACTCTTTGGGTCCACACTGCCTTTATGAGCTGTAACACTCACTTCGAAGGGCTGCAGCTTCACTCCTGAAGCCAGCGAGACCACGAACCCACCAGGAGGAACGAACAACTCCAGACGCGCCGCCTTAAGAGGTGTAACACTCACCGCGAAGGTCCGCAGCTTCACTCCTGAGTCGGCGAGACCACGAACCCACCAGAAGGAAGAAACCCTGAACACATCCGAACACCAGAAGGAACAAACTCTGGACACGCCGCCTTTAAGAACTGTAACACTCACCGCAAGGGTCCGCGGCTTCATTGTTGAAGTCAGTGAGACCAAGAACCCACCAATTCCAGACACAATATCAAGTTTTATAATTAATTGTTAACTTTTATTTTTCACTAGCACAATTTCGTTTCTATAAACTGAACACTCAAGGTAACATCACCTTGCTCTTTTTTACTCTCCTGTGTTTCTGACTGTACTGTCTTTATGTGAGCTCAATTTCAGTCATATTTCCTGTTCCATAAGAATAACATTAAAAAAAAATTCAGTTACTCTAGCAATTGGAAAAAATCAAACAAAATGAAGGCAAATTTCTATATATTGGTTCATTTTTGGAATACCGTTTATAAAAATAGTGTATTGTCATTCCAAAATTGTTTTATTTACTAGTTTGGATTTATGATTTATACTATCCAGTTTTCTTTTTATGCTGAGCTCTGTTTTACCTATTTTAATTTTTGATTAGGTTTGACTGCCATTTCATATCATTTGCACATTAGAAGAAGACATTGGGACATGCTGAGGCCAACCTCCATTACCAATAAATCAGAGTTTCTAATAAACTCTTATATTGTCCCTCTGATTATTACTTCTGTTCCATTTGAAAAGGAAAACATTTCAGTTTTTAATTCTCTTTCTTAAGCCTACTTTTCAGAACACTACAGCTTCAGACTTGCTTCTTTTTACTCATAGGTGAGATAAAGGCAGTATTACATAATAATAGGTCAAGAGTGTTGCCTCTTAACTGATTCAGAGATAAGTTTGAAATCCTGCTCTGCCATTTATTGCCCAGATAATATTGCATAAATTATTTAGCCTTGCCATGCCTCAGTGTCCTCATCTCTAAATGATGATAATACTTGCACTGTTGGTTTATAATCATGATTAAATGAGATAATAAATGCAAAGGCCTCAGCACATTGCCTGGCATATAGCAAATGCTAAACCCATGGTAGTTATAATTTGGACAATGAATTGGCTGTCTTAGGAAATTTGTGCCCTCACCTCTTGTAGCTTTCTTTTTCACTTGCTGGCTATGTAAAGCAAGAGCCCTCTTCATGAATGGAAAGAAAAAAAAATAAGATGTTTTTCCAAATATGTAAAAGTTTATCTCTGTTTTTGTTTTTAGTGTAATTAGTGTGGGATGTCAATGTATTTAAAATTTAAGGAAAGAGAAACATGATAATGTCTCAAGATAGCAATGATTGGAAGTGAAATAGACAGACATGCAACATATTCTTCGCAACTATGAAGTTAACAGGGAAGGAAGTAAACTAATTAATTAATTAATTGTATAAACTGACTCTAGAAATCAATAAAACAGTAATCTATAATAATATCCTCAGAAAGATAAAATATTAAACTCATAATTTAAAAATGTTAGTTTTTTACAAAAAGACAATTCAGCAAATCAGCAAAAGTGGTTGGAAATTATTGACAGAAATTTTAAACAGACAATAAAGGAGTGTTGACGTACAAAACGACACCAACAAAAAGACAATTGAAAAGTCTGAAGGTAAAGTTAAGGAACTATTTTAGAAATTAGAAGGGAAATAGAAAAAAAAAAAGTCAAGTCAGAAACCAATTTCAGGAGTTTTAACCTCTAACAAACAAGAGTCCCAGAAAGTGAGCAGAAAAAAAAAAAAAAAAGGAGAAGACACTGTCAGATAAATGCTAAAAGAAAATGTCCCAAGAGTGAAAAACTCTAGTTTCCAAAACATCTCTAACAGTTAGGAACTTGGTTGAATGGAAATAGGTGAGGCCCACGTCAGTTATTTCTAGTGTCTTTATTTTCCAACTTTAAAGATTCTGTTGTTAATCTGACATCTATGGTCATTTCTCATGCCTTTTATAGTAGGTTTTTAATGGGTCTAAAATAAAGTTTGTGTCTACTCTTTCTTGTTTAACTGGAATTCTCTTAATTATCATTTAAAAAAAATCTGTAGCCTAGTAGTAGAATGCTAGATCCACAGTAAGAACTCATTATGTGCTTGCTGAATAAAAGAACAATTTTTTGAATAAGCAAGAGTAACAGGGTCTGACCAGACAACATACTGTGTCAACTTTTTCAGAGTTACTCGTTGCTAACTTAGGGATTTGGGCATATTACTTCTTATCTCTGAGACTTAGTCTCCTCATCTGTGTAATAATGTTAATAATAAATTACTGAGACATTTTTGAAGATAAATGAGACAGTATTCACAAATTATATATCATAGCCCTGAAACCTGGCAAGTTATTAATAAATGTTATTAACCATCCTCCTATTCCGTCTTTTGGACCCACAGCAGAGCATCACTATGCACACGAACAAGACCTTCCTTGAGTTTCCATGCAGTAATTAATTCAAGGCCTGCCTCTAATTTAGTTATTTTAAGTGCAATCTTTTCCTGGGACCCCAAAGAAATTTGGCAACATATAAGATGTTGCCAAGTGGTAACTTTTATTGAGAAATATATTACGAAATTCATATCATATAAGATTGTTCAGTGATAAATTTCACCTATTAAATTATTTTAAAAATAACAGATGCATTCTCAAATGTGTTCAAGTTCAACTTGAATATTTGATCTCTTTCGATAACCCATTCTACGCTACATGTTTATTTCCTTGAAAATAAGAATTTAAAACAAACAAATGAAAAACCCCTTTCTGTGCATTCTTCCTCAGTCAGAAAATAATCGAGTTTCCTTTGGCTTCCAGTACGTTGTTTCAGCAAATACTGAATATGAGGGGAGTTGTACAACTATTTTTTAAAAGTAACTAGTTAGACTTTTAATCATTATTAAAATAAAAACACAAAGGATATGAATTATATTCTGGTTATTTGTCTATGCATGTTTCACTGTGTTCTGAATCCTGGAATGTTTCCTTTATCAACAGGAGAAATAAGACTGCAAGTTCATTCTAATATTTAGATAAGCTACACTAAGAAAAAAATAGCCTACGACTGGGAAATAGGAGATTGTATCTCTAGTATATAGCTTTTAATAGTTATATTTAGCCAATTAATTTAGGTACAATGATTTTTAAAAATATTTGTCATATATTAAAAAAATTTGTCCATATCTTCCAAAGATTTATACTTAATAGCTTATATAATGAGTTGAAATTTCTTCTTTATATTAATAGTAGGAAAGACGTTCAATGAGTAGAAAGGAAAAGGAGCATCATCTGGGCCCACATTTGCTAAAAAAAAATAGATTATTTTGTTTATTTGGTATGAAAAACCTGCACTCTTATGTTCTGAATTAGTTGTGTATGGGAAATTACCAGAAGATAGAGGTGGTCCACACTAGGTCCAGAACTATCCAAAGAAATAAGAGTAAAAGGCCATCCACCCTAAATAATCTTTATTATAGCAGCATCTGAAATGTACACATTAGAGAGTCAATCCTTTGACCAAGCAATACTATTATTTGTCCTTGTCTTTCTAAATGAAAAAAAAAAAAAAACAACAATGTATTTACAGATGTGTTGGTGAGACAGCTTGTTAAATCATTGCCCTCAGTTTCAAAAGGAATGACCATGATAGTGCAGTCCTCAGACCCATGAAGTTTGAGTATAGGTTCATAAGGAGATACAAAATGGGACAGAGGAGAGACAATAAAGGAACCATAAAGGGACACAGAGATGGAATGTGGCAGTCACTTGTTTTATAATTTTTGCTTAGACTCATCCAAGGAAATAACACCCTTGTGTTGCCGGAAAAAAATTAGGCTCTGAAAGTGTTCTGACTCTTCTAGGAAAAAAGAAAAAAAAAACTTCATTTCTTTAGGAATAGATGAATAAAATAAGTGACATTTCTGTTAAGGAACTTAATCATGGTGATTAGCAGACTTTCCCAATGAGCAGACAAAAATCAATGGAGCAAGCCACCTTTATGCAAGTTCCATAAATCTGTTTCATATACTCTTTTACAAATTTGCTTTGTCTGAGGAATAACAATTACAATAATACAATAATAGTTGTAGTAACATACTCATTATTAGGAGTCTTTAATATGTGTTATCTCATTTAATACAGCAGCATAAATTAACATGTGTTACTCTCATTTAATACAACAGCCCTATGGGTAGATAATATCTTTATCCCTTATTTTAACAGACAAGGAAACTAAGCTTAAATGAGTTGTAATATTTGCCCACGGTTGCACAGCTAATAAACATACAAACCAATATTGAAGCCTAGTTGTATCTATTGCAAGATCTTGGTCTCTCAAAAACCTATGTATACTTTTATCTTCTAAAAGAAAACTATGAAAATGCAAGATACTTAAGTTATTATCATTATCTCGAGAAGAACGTTCTGATAATGAAGCCTATGAAATGTTAGTATAGATTTCCAAAAGAGTGTGTCTACTCTTTTCTTAAAATGCTAGAAAATAGGCTGGATGATCAATATTAATTATAGTAGCTAACGTTAATGAATAGCAATTAAGTTCCTGACACCGTGCAAAGCATTTTCACATACAACCATGTGAGATGATTTTATTTCCATTTTACCAATTAAGAAAGACTCAGAGAAGTCAAATCCTCATCCAATAAAAGCTGGAGCCAGAATTTAAGCCTGAATTGTTGTGAAATGTTGCCAGCCTTTGTCCATGATACCACAGTACCACCAAAAGGCATATGCTATTCAAAATCAACTGTGCAGAACATCGTTGAAGAAAAGGGAATTAATCAGAGCCTCAAATTATTCTTGGATAGGAAGACTCAATATTGTATGGATGCCAATTCTCTCTAAATTAGGCTTTAAATTTAATGAAATCACAATCAATATTCCAACCGAAGGACAGAAATCGGTCAAAGAGGTAATAGCTATAGGGGAGCAGTTTTCAGCTGAATATAAGAAAGCATCTTCTATCAGTTAGACTTACCCAAAAATGGAATAGAATTGTGTGATAGTCAACCTTCTGTCATCGTAAGAATTACAATGGAGGATAAACTGACCACCTGTTGAGGGATGCTCAAACAGCATTAGAAAATGGTCACTTCCTATATGTCCATTTCCTGGGCACCGAACTATTCACTTTCACTTTTAATCTCAATTAATTTTCATACTTCCCTTATTTTATAGGCATGAAAAATCTTTAATAGTGAGTAAGAGCATGGATTGCATCATCACGTGCACTCGGGCTTGAATCTCATGCCCTGTACTAGCTGCAAAACTGAGAAATATCTTTAACTCTATAGGTGTCAGTTTCTTAGTCTGTAAAATGGGCATACTAAGGCCCATCTCATTGTGTTCTTGTAGGATTAAATATAGTAATACCGAAAAAGCATTAGCACATCACTGCCCACGTGTTAAATTCTATTAACTGTGAGTTATTGTTGTTATTGATATGGAGAAATTGAAAATCACATGAGTTAAGTGATGTGCTTCAGGAAACAGCATATATAAGTAGTCCCTGAACTAGGTTATCTTTAAATTCTAACTTTTAAGATAATATGAATTTGTGGAACAATGTTATGATTTCACAATAACATGATATAAAGAGATCAGAAAAGTGTTATGTAAAATCCATGTATTACCTAATCATGAATTGTCAGTTTAATTTAATGATACATATTTAAATGAATGAATTTAGCATTTGAAAATCTATTACACAAAAGGAAACAAAAAAGGAACTTAAAACCAAGCAACTCATCAGGTGATTGACCTATTTAATGTCTAAGTTTCCTAAGGGAATGGAGAAATATATTTTTATAAGGTTGGAGAAAATAATTCTTAAATATCAATATTTCTCATGAGTGTAAAAAGAGTTGCTATTTCTTTTTTGTTTCTTGATGATCAAATAAATAGAAATCTCAGAAATCTCTCTATAAATGCAGACCAGGAGACAAGCCACTGTCTCTCCACTGGGAATGCTTCAGAACCAGGGCTGTTGGAAGAAGGTTGAAAAACACAGTCTGAAGAGATTTGTTTTAACCACATTGTGAAACAAGTAATATTCAATATCTTATAACCAAGTTAAGATACCCCAGTGGTAGACCTCTCTAGGACCTGAATGTTTAGTGAGCATTATTAAACTTTCCTTTTTTTATGGTTTTCCTTCATCGAACCTGGATATATGTATGCTTTATTTAACATGGATTGAAACTGATATATAACCTGAGAGACTTGTAAGCTGAGTGAGAAAGGGTGATATTACCTGCCCTCATCCAGTAAGGAGGAAATAAGGGAAAGATATTAACAGCTAAATCGCCTGAAGGGGAGTTATGTCTGGAGGACCAGGATGCAACAATTTTCTTGGCATGGACAATTTTCTGGGTAAAGATAAACAAAAATGGGCATGATGAGGACAAATACCAAAAGCAATTGCAAGTCAAATTTTAACAACTACTAAGGATACAATCAAACAGCGATTGGTAGACTACGATTAGCAACAGGAAACAAATAAAAGATTTTTCCAAATTGCAGCAGGTACACAGTTATTTGTTAACAGCTAATCTTTCTACTTTTAAAAACAGCTTAATTGAGGTATAGTTGGCGTACAATAAACTGTTGCATATTTAAGGTGTAAATTTGATAAGTTTTGATGTATGTATACACCTGTGAAGCCATCACCGTAATTAAGATAGGGAACATACTTATAACTCCCAAAGGTTTTCTCCTCTCCTTTCTACTTCTATTACTCCCAAACCTGTGTTCATCAAACCACCTATTTGATTTTTGTTACTATCGATCAGTTTGTACTTTCTAGAGTTTTAAATAAACTGAATCATAGTATAAAATCTAATAGTCTAACTTCTTTCACTTAGCATAATTATTTTCATAGTCAAACATGTTGTTGCATGTATCAACAGTTCTTTCCTGTTTATTGCTAAGTAGCATTCTATTATTTCAGAATACCGCAATTATTTATCCATTCACTTACTGATGAACATTCTGTTTTTTCCATTTTGGGCTACTGCAAATAAACCTGCTATGAGTATTCAATGTACATGTCTTTCTTAGTCCACTTGGGCTGCTATAACAAATTATTATATATTAGGTAGCTTATAAACAAAAAAAAATTTGTCCAAGTCCTAACACCATCACATTGGTGATTAGATTTCAACATATGAATTTGGGGAGACACAAACATTCCAATAATAGCAGTGTCTTTGTTTTGCTTTTTATCTCTTGGGTCAATAACTAGTAGAATGTCCAGATATTATAGTATAATAGGTTTATGTTTGTCTTTTTTAAGAAACTGCCAAACTGTTTTCCAAAGCGGTTGTACCAGCAGTGCATGAGAATTTAGTGGCTCCATATCCTGGGAAATCCTTAGTTTGATCAGGCCTTCAGATTTTAGCCATTCTAACAGGTGGCATATAATTGTAGTTTTATTTTACATTTCCTTAATGACTTATATGATGTTAGGCAATTTTATATGTTTATTGGCCATCCATATATCTCTTTTTGGTGAAATATCTTTTCAAATCTTTCTCCTATTTAAAAAATTAGATTGCTTGTCTCCATATTACTGAATTTTGAGGATTCTTTATATACTGCAAATACAGATCCTTTATCAAGTATATGATTTGCAAATATTTTACCCCAATCTGAGGTTTCTCTATGGCTTCACTGTCTTAATATTATTGTCCAAAAAGATTTTTAAAATTTAAATAAATTTTAAAATTCCAACGGAAGAATGTTAGATTTTAAAATTTTATGAACTCTTAATATTTTCTGTTATAGATAATGCATTGGTGTTATATTTAAGGAACATTTGCTTGAATCTTAAGGCCACAAGACTTTTTCCTACATGGTCTTTCAAGCTTTTTGTTATTTTAGGTTTTTCATTTAGGTCTATGATCCGTTTAAGGTTAATATTTATATATTCTGTGAACTATGTATTAAAGTTATTTTTTCTAATTTGTAGACATGAAATTTTTCTAGCACCATCTTTGGAAAAGACTATAATTTTTTCTACTGAATTGTTTTCAAACCACTGTCAAAATTCAGTTTTCAATGTATGTATTGATATATTTCTGAACATTCTACTTTGTTCCATTGATCTATATCTCTTCATTTGTTCCAATGCCACATTATCTTAATTAATGTAGCTTTATAATAAATCTTGAAATCAAGTAGTACAGTAAAACAACTTTGTTTCTCTTTTTAAAATTATTCTGGATGTACTAGGTTTTTTTGCATTTCTATATGAATTTCCAAATCAGCGTATCCATTTCTACAAAAAACGCCACATTGAATTTTGAATGTGATGATATTTATTAAGCTATAGATCAATTTGAGGAGAATTTACATATTAAGAGTACTGAATCTTTTGAATGAGGAACAGAGTACATCTTTCCATTTACTTACATCTTCTATAATTTTTCTCAGTGATGTTTTATAGTTTTCAATGCACTCACTGGTCTTTTACTCTTGTTCAGATTTATTCTTATTTCAATTTTTGGATGCTTTGGTTAATGACATTGTTTTTTTAAATATCAATGTCCAGTGGTTCTTTGCTACTACATAGAAATCTAATTTTGTGTATTGATCTCATATCCTGTAATCTTGCTAAATTCACACATTTGTTCTAGTGGATAGTTTTTAGTTTTAATTTCATTGAATTATATACATAGACTCTTATGTTGCCTGAATAAAGACAATTTTATTTCTTCCCTACTTGGATGCGTATACTTTATTTATTTTTTTGCTGATGCTACTGACTTAAAAACTCAAGTAAAATGTTGAAGGGCATTCTTGCCTTATTCCTGATCTTAACGAAAATGCATTCAATCTTTCTCTTATTAAGTATGATATTCCTGTAGGTTTTTCATAGAAACCACTTATCGATTAGAGAAAACTCCCTTTTACTCCTAGGTCATTGACAGATTATATCAGAAATGGATGTTCATTTTTTTAAATACATCTACTGGTCGATGACTTTTTAGTTATGATGAATATCATGTGCTGAATTACATTGGTTGATTTTTAAATGTTAAATCAAGTTGCTTTCTTGGGAAAAACCCCACTTGGTCATGATGTATTATCATTTTTATATACTGTTGGATTCCACTTGCTAAAATTTTAAAAGAATATTTAAATTTTGTTTATGTTTATGCATTACATAAATTGTTCATTACATTTATAAGGGCTACTGCTCTGTAATTGTATTTTCTTGTAATATATTAATCTGGTTTCTGCAACCAGGTAATGCTAGCCTCATAATTGACTTGAGATTATTCATTTATTTTTTTTTTTTGGAAGGATTTGTGTAGAACTTTATTATTTATTTTTTATTCATTTAGTAGAAATTACTAGCCATCTGGGCCTGAAGTTTTCTTTGTAGGAAATTCTTAATTACAAATTCAACTTCTTTAATAGATATAGAGCAATTTATGTTATATCTTTTTGAAAGCCTTTTGTATTTAATTTATTTTAAACAATTTGTCCGTTATTTAAATTGTCAAATTTATTGGCATATTTTAATAGCACTCATTTATTCTTTAATATATCCAGAACCCTTAGTAAGACTGTCTCTTTTAATCTTGATGTTAATAATTTGTGTCTTTTAAAAATCTCCTGATTACTATAGCTAGGGGTTTATCAATTTTGTTAATCTCCCAAAAGAAGTAACTGATAGTTTCATTGGTTTTCTTTATTGTTTTTGTTTTCTGTTTTCTCTTTTATTGACTTTCACTCTGATCTTTATTATTTCTTTTTTTTTTTTTTACTGTTTACTTAGTGTTTGATTTGTTCTTCATTTTCTGTTTTCTTAAGGATCTACCTCAGCTTAAGGTAGATTTGAGGGCTTTTTCTGTTTTAATATAGGTGTTCAGTGGTCTAATTTCCCCCCTATAGTTTGCTTTAGTGGCATCTCACAGATTTATATGTGTTTTCATTTTTATTCAGCAGAAAAATAATTTTTAATTTGCTTTCAAATTACAGTATGATTTATGGGTTTTTTGCAAATATGTTATTTAGTTCTCAAATATTTACGTTATTTAACAGAGATTTTTCTGCTTTTAGTATCTAATTTCATTCCATCTGGTTGTAAAACAAACTTTTAATAATTTGGATCACTTTTAATTTATTGAAAATTATTCTGTGACCCATAATATTTTCTATTTTTGTAAATGTGTGCATTAGAAAACAATCTACCTTGCTGTTTTGAGGTAGAATATTTTATAAATGTCAATTAGATCAAGTTGCTTCATAATACTGCTATAGTCTTATAGATCCTTACTTGTTTTCTCTTTGCTTGTTCTGTTTATTATTGAGAGAGAATCCTAATCTCCTTCTATAATTGTGATTTATCTATTTCTCCTTGAAATTATATCAATTTTGTTTTTGCTTTACATAGTTTGAAGCTCTGTTATTAGGTGCATAGTCATTTACTATTGTTATTCTTGACTCATATTATTATGAAATGAAATATTTATTCCTAGTGATATTCTTGTTCTAAAATTTACTTTGATATTAACAAAGGCACTTCATCTTTCTTTTGATTAGTATTAACACAGCATTTTTTTTTTACATTTTACAGTTAATTTGTTTGTCTTTAAATTAATAGTTAATGTAGGTGTCTTTGTTTTTTGGGTTTTTTTTGTTTGTTTGAGATAGAGTCTTGCACTGTCACCCAGGCTGGAGTGCAATGGCACGATCTCGGCTCACTGCAACCTCCACCTCCCAGGTTCAAGCGACCCCAGCCTACCAAGTAGCTGGGATTACAGGTGCCCACCACTGCATCCAGCTAATTTTTGTATTTTTAGTAGAGACAGGGTATCACCATTTTGGCCAGGTTGGTCTCGAACTCCTGACCTCGTGATCCCCCCGCCTTGGCCTCCCAAAGTGCTGGGATTACAGGCATGAGCCACCATGCCTGGCCCTGTAGGCTTCTTTAATAAGAATATACTTGGGTCTTGCTTTGTAATTCAATATAAACTTCTCATTCTCTTAGTTTTGTGGTTAGATCATTTACATTGAATTTATTTGTTATGTGGTTAAGTCAAATGTATCACCTCATTGTTTTACATTTATCCCATCCATTCTTTCTTTTCTCTCTCTTTTCTGCCTACTTAAGCAAGTACTTTTTCCATTCTACATTCTCTGTTGGTTTATTAGCTATAGCATTGTTTAGTTTAGTGTTTGTCTTAGGTTTTGTAATACATCTTCAACTTTTCACACTTTCCCTTCACATAGAAGAAAAAAACTTACCATAGTATACCTCAATTTCTCTCCTCTGGGTTTTATGCATTTATTGTCAGACATTCTACTTTTATATGTATTATAAACTCTACAGTACATTATTATTTTTTCCTAAAAGGTCAATTATAATGCAAAGAAATTATCAAATTGATAAGAAAATAATCTTATGTATTTACTCAGTGTTCCTTTGTATAGGTTCATATTTCCATCTGGAATAAATTTCTTTGCACCTGAATAACTTCTTTTAACATTTCTTGTACTGCAGGTCTTCTTTGAAGTAAATTCCTTAACCTTTTATATGTCTGAAAAAGTTTTTATCCTAACTTTATTTTTAAAAGGTATTTTTGCTGGGTATTGAACACTGTGTTAACAATTTCTTTTCTTTCAGTACTTAAAAATATTGCCCTACTTTTTTCCTGATTGCCTTATTTCTGATTTTTAAAAATCTCATTTTATTCTCAACTTTGTTCCTCTCTCTATAACGTCTTCTTTTCTTCCTGAGTTCTGTGAACTGCTCTAGCAAATTAATAGAATCCAAGTGTGGGAACCACAATTTATAGTTAGTTGGTCAGAAGCACAGGTAAAACAACCTGAGGCTTGTGACTGGCTTTGGAAGCTGATGGTGGGACAGTGTAGTCATGAGGGACTGAGGCCTCAATTTGTGGGATATGATGCTATCTCCAGGTAGACAGTATCAGAATTGAATTGGAGGACACCCAGCTGGTGTCCACTGCAGAACTGATTACTTGCATACTGGTTGGGAGAATTCCCTACACATTTGGTCATAGAGTCTTCCATGTTGTTTGTGGTGAGAGCATAGGAAAAATGCTTGGGCTTTTACTTCACAAAATGCTATTTAAAAAAATCATTTTAAAGGGCAACTTTCTAAGAAAGAGCATGAGAGGAGAGTTCCAAACATCTCTTGATCATTCTGCCATATAACTGGAGCTTGATATTTAATCAATCAATTTAGATATGTCTATGACAAGAGGTATGTATGGTTAAATAAGATGGTCTGCTTTTCTATGCTCTGTTCCTGTGAATTCCTTAAACTATGTTAACTTGAATGCAAATGGGACATAGACAAAGACACAAAGTGTTAATTTTTGTATTAATTTTTAAAGAGCTTCTGCACAGCAAAAGAAACTATTAAAAAAAGTAAACAGAAAACCTACAGAATAGGAGAAAATATTTGTGAACTATGCATATTAGACAAAGGTCTAATATTCAGAATCCATAAGGAACTTAAACAAATCAACCAGCAAACAATCACATTAAAGAATGGGCAGAGGCCATGAACCGACTCTTAAAAGAAGACATATATGTGGTCGACAAGCATATATAAAAATTGTCAACATTACTAATCATGAGAGAAATGCAAATTAAAACAAAATGAGATACCATCTCACAGCAGTCAGAATGGCTATTATTAAAAAGTCAGAAAATAACACATGTTGGGGAAGTTGTGGAGAAAAGGGAATGTTTATACACTGCTGATGGGAATATACATTAGTTCAGCCACTGTTGAAAGCAGTTTGCAGATTTCTCAAATAACTTAAAACAAACTATCATTTGACCCAACAATTCTTTTACTGGGCATATACCCAGAGGAATATAAATTCTTCTACCAAAAAGACACATGTGCTCATAAATTCACTACAGCACTGTTGACAATAGAAACGACATGGAATCAACTTAGAAGCCATCAACAGTGGACTAGAAAAAGAAAATCTGGTACATATACAGCATAGAATACTACATAGCCATAAAAAGAATGAAATCATGTCCTTTTCGGAAACATGAAGGGAGTTGGAGGCCATTATCCCAAGTGAAGTAATGCCAGAACAGAAAACCAAATACCACATATTCTCACTTAAAAGTGGGAGCTGAACATTGAGTACACATGGACACAAAGAGGGCAACAACAGATAGGGATGTACTTAAGGGCAGAGTGGGTGGAGGATGAAGGTAAAAAAAAATACCTATCGAATACTATGCTCACTACCTGGGTGACAAAATTATTTATACACCGAACCCCAGCGACATGCAATTTACCTATGTAACAGACCTGCCCGTGTACCCCCTGAACCTAAAATAAGAGTTGAAAAAGAAGAAAAACAAATGAAGAATTGAATGGTTTGAGCCATTAGTTAGTTCTTGGACTGCCTACGGGTCATTCCAGTCTAGTTTATGTGACCAAAAGTGGAGCATCTGATGAAATCTGAAGAATTATTCGTAGTCTACAGACATGTTACTTTGAACACACCTGATCTCCTCTGAAGAATTATCAGAAGTTGTATTTTAGTGAAGGCCCAAACAATTCTGAGCACGAATCATTCTTCTCCCTTCATTTTCAAAGAAGGACATAAAGTTTCACATTTGTGTTTAGTCTTTTTCTTAACAGCGGTAAATTTACTCGAGTATATTTTCCTATTGATGTCTTTATCTACTCCTTCCTTGTCAAATCCCAGACCATAAATGCCTATATAAAATCCCCTAACATCCTGTCTAACCAGCAACTATTCTAAGGACCTTCCTGTCTATATTCTAACTCTTCTTATCTGGTATCATCAGGATCTCTCTGGAATGCCTCTCACTCTCTGCCACTGAGGATTTATATATTCCTTGATGATATGCTTGAATTTTTATCAGATCTACCCCCCAAGATGCTACCTCTCAGAATATGACCACAGACTCTGTGACTCTCCATTTTTCTTCCCTCATACCGGAGTCAGTGTTTCCAGGCCAAGGATAAAGGTGAATGGAACACTGGATGAAGTCAAAACGTTAAATACTCTTTATCTATCTTCTATTTTTGGTCACTAATGTAAATTAAAAGATTAGCATAAAATTAATCTTTTAAAATATACTAGCTTATATAGTTTCTCAAGCATGATCAGCTTACAGGGTTGTTTTTCTATTGTTTTTAAAGCAAAATAATCTATTGTCAGGGAGTCCATTCTCATCGCCAAGTAAAACATTTCACAATGTCTATGTACCAGAAAACCTCTCCCAACTGCACTTGTTACTGATTCCATTTGACAAGCTGCTGCCTCTCGATAATTACTGTACAAACCACTACTTCCAAAATAAATTAAACTCTCATCACTTTATCTTGCTCTTCTACATTCATTAATAAGAATCTTGTAAAAGAGGTGGCTGCACCTGCATTAGTAAGTGCAGAAGCTCATGTTAAAAGATTGTGCTTTTGTATATCTTTTGTCTGAGAGCTATGTTTAGCTCATCTACAATAAAAGTCCTGGTATTTTTAAGGGGAAGGGGTGGATGGAGCCAAACTCTAAATTCATAGGGGATTTCTAATTCATTTTAATTTAATCATGTGGATTTGGTCTATATATATTTAGTCTCTTTATAAGTTTAATTTCAGCCACTAAAGAATCAGTTTCGGTAGATATATTCAATGCTGTACATTCCATTGATTTTCACTAAGTGGAGACTCTGCTTATATCTGAGATGCAGCCTATTCTTACAGCTGCATAAAGGAAACAAATACGGCAAAACTGGGCAGAATTTTCTTGTTTTGAATCCTGGTCATAAATCATATTTATAATATTTGACATTTGTCAAATTCCATTCCCAGAGAGTTAAGTTAAGTTGAACATACCTCCAATTTCCTTTCTTAGAAGATTTTCTGATGGCCCCAAACTGAGATCAACATTATACAGTAAATACCTACTAGAAATATGGTTCCTCTGTATGATAATAAACTTCTTTTGTCTTATAGCTTTTTCGGATGATAAAATGTACATTTTTTTTACTTTGATGAAAACAATAAGCATTTCTGGTCACCAGAGAAACATTTTCAAACACTCTCTTCATCATTCTCAAGTAATTAGAACATTTTTTAAATTCTAACATTGATCTCTTTATTGATTATTGGTATGATTGACTGATTGAGACCTTCATTCAACAAATATTTATGAAGTACAAATGAATACTTGGCTTTGTGCTAGGTGTTGTATTAGAGATGACATTTTTACATTTTTAACTTCTGAGTTCAAGGTATATATCAAGTTAAAGCTTCAATATCTTTAGAATGTTAGTGTTTAGAGATTTCTCTGCTTCTCATTTCACATAGCAATTAACTCTTGATAATATGAGTACAAAATTTAATGGCAGCCTCTGATGTTGATTGACTATACATTTAATAGCAAATACTAGTGTTTACCAAAAGTTACTTTAAGATACTGTCTTTGTTTTCAGCCGTGTCCCAAATTTTCTCACCTTATTCTGTAAATAACCTTGCCTACAGAGATTTTAGAATTACTGCCATAATACCCCAAAGCAAACAATTATTCTCCAAGACAGTTTTGATATGAGATATAATGTCTCAAAAGATTCCCTGACAAATAGCCAAACCATCCTGACAGTGTAAAATGAAGCACTTGTAGAAAAACCTAGGTTCTCTTTCTTAAAAAAAAAAAAAAGAAAGAAAGAAACCCTTTCTCTCCACAAAAAATCTTATTATAAGTAAGACATATATATTTTCCTTGATAAAACAGCTGACAATAATTATTTGTGAGCTCCCTGATAGCCCTGGGTTACTTCATTTTCCTCACTTTAAATATAAAAAAGTCTTCAGAAATATTTAGCCATTTATCCAAGGTCATCCTATAGTTTATAGTATTAATTTCAGGACTCAAATTTTCTGACACTTTGGAACGTTTAGACATTGAAAAATAATGTCAATACTCTTAAATATTTTTCCATAAATAAGGTCAATATTCATCTATTTTTATATTTAACCTTTATTTCTACACTCTCCAGTTTTGGTCTTCTTCACTTATATTTATTTTTCATATTATATTTTATATCTAAGATAATACCCACCCATTTCCTAATACCTCCTGTCCATTTCTTCTTATTGGTAACCAAAATGAAATTATTTCTCCACTCAAAATACAAATGGTATGCAATTTCTAAAATTTTCATTATAGTCCCTTGGAAACAAAAACATTTTTGATGCTTATGTTTTTCTCTTCTACAGTATGACATTACAATTCAGAAAATAAAAGAGCATCTATATATCAGGCCTAAAAATAAATAAATAAATTAATTAATTAATTAATAAAGGGAGAGCTGGTGACAGTTGAGAAGTTAATCTAATTCAATGTAACTAGGACCTTTTCTTGAGATAACAAATTCTTTAAAGATAATCTGTAGTTGTATTTGTGTTGATCAAATCATATTGGAAATGTAAGGAAAGGGAAGAATAAATAAACTTTATATGAAATTATTTTGCATTGGGAATCACTAACTCCATACTTATCAGTTTTGCAGATTCAGAGAACTGTAGGCTGTTAATAAATTGGAAAGTATTCCAGTAGAAAGTCTAGTTCAACAATTTTGCAAAACAGATAGTTTTGGACTGTTTTAATGTTTTGTTTTTGTTTTTTGAGATGGAGTCTCACTCTGTTGCCCGGGCTGGAGTGCAGTGGTGCGATCTTGGCTCACTGCAACCTCCGCCTCCCAGGTTCAAGCGATTCTTATGCCTCAGCCTCCCAAGTAAGTGGGATTTTAGGCACAAGCCACCACGCCTGGCTAATTTTTGTATTTTTAATAGAGACGGGGTGTCACCATGTTAGCCAGGCTGGTCTCGAACTCCTGAACTCGTGATCCGCCCGCCTCAGCCTCCCAAAGTGCTGGGATTACAGGGGCCCAGCCAAGCTGCTTTAATGTTTAGAAGACATTCTTATTTTGAATAAAAAAAAATCTCCCTTTTGTATTGTCTTCCCATAGGTGCAAGTACTTTCTTCTGAATCAATGAAGATTTGCCACATAATTGTCATTAATATACATAAGAATCACTGTTATAGCTATATGATTTTTTTTTCTTCACACTGAATAACTTTTTGTTTCTTTCAATGTAATATTCCAGGCCCCTTTGCATTATGAGGGCCTTTGATGAGTGTTCTGTGCTTGTCAGTTTCTTCTGAAAATGTGGTACTGAGTTCTCTTGTGATGGAGTAGATATTGAAGAATAGGGATAATCACATCTCATAACTAAGAAAAAGTATTCCTCAAATGCAATCTAAAGGTTAGTTGTTGGTTCATATAAACGTTATGGTAAATAAAATGAACATTTTTAAATAAACTCAGTTTTCTTGGCTCTAAAACAAGGATGCTGAGCAATATATTTTTAAATTTACTTTTCACCTTTGTTGTCTGCAAACATCCTAAGGATGATTTCTATGCCTTCAACCCAAATGATGAAGAACAAAATCAACCCTAATATGGCACATTATTAGAGACTTCCTTTTAGAGTGAAATCAGTCCATTAATAAAAATTCGAAAGTATAGTTGTTCAACCAAACACTGAAACATCTAACATCCAATCCTCATTTATCTCAGGTGCTAAACATACACATTTGGGGTCATCACAATGACATTATAAGAGAGATAATAATTGCATCACTTTAAAAATTAGAAAACTGAAACTGAGTTAATTTTTCAAATCACATAACTTATTCCTTGTAAAAACAGGATTCAAATCTAGGTCTATTTGTTATTACCCCATGAAATAAAGATATATTTTATCTATGGCACTTCCATATATAGATGGTCCCTGACTCACAAGGGCTTGACTTACGATTTTTTGACTTTATAATGGTGCAAAAATGCTACACATTCAATTGAAATTATACTCTGAGTACCCATACAGCCATTCTGTTTTTTACTTAAAGTATTCAATAACTTACATGAGGTATTCAACACTTTATTATAAAATAGAGTTTTTGTTAGATGACTTTGGCCAACTGTAGACTAATGTAAGTGTTCTGAGCACATTTAAGGTAGGCTGGGTTAAGCTATAATGTTCAGTAGGTTAGGTGTATTAAATGTATTTCTGACTTGACATTATTAACTTATAATGGATTTATCAGGATGTAACTCAGACTTAAGTTGAAAAGCAACTCTATACTAACCCCAAATCACAATCAAAATAAAAAACTGAATCTGTTTTGATATGCCTTGCTTGTAGGGACTCATTCTAGTTTCTTCAGAAAGTCCTTTCTGATCCTACTAATTCAATCTCTTCCCTCTGATTCTCTATGACACGTTATTTAAAACACTTCTATAGCTTTAGGCTCATTGTGGCTTATACTATAGATATTTATATACTTGTCTAAACATCCCTACCATAATGCAAACCTTAAAAGGGCAAATACCATATTTTAATCATCATGATGCCCATAAAATGATCTAACCCAGTTCTTATACAGAGCAGGCACTTTATAAATATTTATTGAAATGAATTGAATTAAAATCAAAATGAATTGAGCACCACATTCTACAGCTTTTAAGCTTTACATTTGAGTGACTAACTGAATTGCGAGAGGTGTTATTATGAAATTAAGCAGAAATTAGTTTTATAACATTTTTTCATGCACAAATAACATAAAACTTTTAGAACATTATCTGGAAGTCATTGCAGTATATAATGTCTAATTTATTTCCACAAACATATGTTTGTTAAACATTCACGATTTGAATTACGGCTTTGTTTCTTTGCTTTTTGCTAAATTGCCTTTTAAGTTTTGATAGTACTGATCAACAAAATAGCTGACAAACTTCTGAAATATTGGAATTGTCTTTTCTCTAATCTAGTTATGGTTTATAACTCAAAGGTGAGTACTGAGCATTTTAGTGTTTGTTTTGCATTAATTTCATCAACCAAATCAAAAATGTTTGTTGAACATCTCATGAACTGTTCCAGGGATTGGGAATTTACTGAGAATGAGAATTAGTTATTCTCCTAGTCAAGCTGTTCCTAGGGTTGTAGGGGTACAGATGCAAAAGCAACAGGGCCATTGCTTAACAGCAAAAAGGAAGAACACCTTAATGAGCCTGCGGATGTCAGGAAAATCTTTCTGAAGGAGATGACTTCTGAGTTATCCTAGATTTAGTAAGAATTAGTCAGGCCGAGGTCATGTTGGAGAAGGGAGGAGAGCTTTTGGGCAGAGGGTACAAGAGCAGCAAATGCCTGGTTTATGAGTAGAGTTAGATATTCAAAGTTGATGAATTATAAAATGCCTGGCAGAGAGAGCTTGGAAAAGTAGCTGGAGAAGTGGGGAGAAGCCACATTAAAATGGGACCTGTAGGTCAGGTGGAGGAGCTTTGATGCTTGTCACTGAAGTGTGTCAAGCAGAAGAGTGCCATATTTAAGTGTTCATTTTAGCTGGAGTGTTCCCATGCCCAGAAAAGAGAAGATAATGGCCTGTGTTTGGGCAGCTGTACCAATGGTAGAGGGGAAGGCATAGATTGAGATAAAATAAATAGGGCTTGGTGGCTAATTGGCACAGAAGCACAAGGGTATGTAAAAGAATTAAGCTTCAGGCAGACTATAATTACTTCACTTGTAGATTTGTTAAAGGAATGAGTCATGGCTGGAACACTGGCTGGGACTCTCAGCACACAGGTTTAGACAAAACCAGAAACACAGAGAGCTCACCTAGGGAGAATATATAGAGTAAGATTAGCAGTGGGCCAAAAATGGCATCCTGATGAATATCATCAATTAGAGAACAGTATCAAAGAGAGAAGTCCTCCAAGGAGAGGGAAATTAATGTCAGAGATATAAAAGGAGCTTCATGATGATGTGGTATTATGAAAAACAAAGGGATAAGTGTTTCTAGAATGATCAAATAGTCGAGTGTTAGATATTTTTGGTATTGCAGGAGAATAAGAATCAAAAGAACAGCTTGGGCAACATAGACCTCATCTCGACACAAAATAAATACATTTGCTAGGTGTGGTGGCTCGTGCCTGTAGTCCTAACTACTTGGGAGGCTGAGGTGGGAAGATCACTTAAGCCCAGGAGTTCGAGGATGCAGAGTTATGATTGAGCCACTGCCCTCCAGCCTGGGTCACACAGTGAGACCCTGCCTTAAAAAAAAAAAAAAAAATCAGAAGAAGAAAGACAAGGAGAAAGAAAAGAGGAGGAGGAAGAAGAGAGGGAGGAGATAAGGAGAAATTCCAATTTGAGTTTTTTTTCTTTTTCTGTGCGAGACAATTCTGTAAAGTGCTTTATATGCATCACCCCAAACAACCTTATGAAACAAGTACTTTTACGATAAAATTTCATGACATTTTAATTTGTATATTAATAAAGGGCAGTTGGCTTTCAGCCCCAGGAATTCCCAACTAGTCAGCTGTTCTGGCTCACTAGTTGTTCCATAAACTTCATAATAATAAAACTCCAGGGTGCCATGGTTGATTTTTTGGATGCCACTTACAGAGTTATGACAGCATTTGTTGCTTTACTCCCATTTTACAGATGAGAAAACTACAGAGAGATTAGATGATTTGTGTTGGCACAGTCATGAGAACATCAAAGGGGCATTATTTTGGCCAGAACCCACCTACCTCCACTTATCAACCAACTCTAAATTAGCATATTAAAAGACACAGTGCTTGCTATTTAAATGTCGCTTCAAAAGCCCTTTTGCACAGATATTCTGAAATTGCCACTGGTCACAGTGACTGTGTTAATTAGCATATAACAGTATCATGAACTTGAGAATACTTTACATTCCATAAATACCGAATTAATTATTCTTTAAAAATCCTACTTAATCTGATTCTCTTTCTAGTGCTGTGTATTCCCTAAATGCAAATGGGTAAGTTTTTCTTTTTGATTCCTCTTAGATTTTGTACTGAGAAATAGGAGAACTTCACAACATCAGCATTAGAATTCCCCAGAAACTCTGTATCAGCTCAGCTTTCCTCCTAGGCAGAAAAAGGTGACCTATTTGTTAAGTCTATTGTTCATTTTTATACATGTTACACTAATTAACATTGAAAAAGCCCCACCTCCCTCCTTATAACCCTAATAAAAACTAGATATTAAAATAACATAGGTCATCTATAGTCAATGAGCAGCTTCAGGAGAAAAATTACGCCATTGATATCCAAGATATTTCAAAAGGGAAGATACGTTGAAGTTTCTATAAACTATCCACAATTTCAAATTAATAGTTCAATAGTACTATAATGCTACAGTTTTGTAAGAAGCCTTATAAGCAAGCACATAAAAAGGACATATTCATATACTCAACTGCCCTTCATGAGATCAGATGTCATGTCTTTTATACTAGACACACTTGGGTGGAAAATCCCTACCTTGGAAGTTTGTGGAGGAGGGAACACTTCACTATTTTTCATGTGACAATTTTATCTTCACTATGAACTGACAGGGTAGATAAACTGACTATGGGGTTTTCTAGAGCATGCTTCTTTGAGAATAGGACTGATTCCCTGGAAATAATACCAAAGGAAGGAATGTAAGAAATATTTTACAAAATTCCTATTTTAAAATTTTCAGTCTGTAGAAATTGTGCATGCAATATACTTAATAGTATTTCTATTAGAGAATGGAATAAGTGTGCTGCTTATTTCCTCAAGTAAGGAAAAAAGTTATAATTAGATGTCATCACTATCAATTTAATTAGTTTTTTTAAAAGGAGGTTGGTCCACCTCGCCTGTTGGAAGCAGACATCAGGTCATGCCATGGAACTTGGCCATGCTGAACCTTTGATTGTGTATGTTCCTCCCAAGAAGGGGGATTTCAACTGTCTGATCTTTGGAAACAAAAGAAACTCCATCAGAAAATCAGAGCAGTAATATCTGATTTGATATTATTTTCAGGGAAAAAAATAAAATGGTCTTTGTTGAAAAGCCTACTGAATAATTTCTAGCATCTCTGAATTGTTCACTTTACATTTTTGTAAAGTGAGGTCTTTACATTCAGGTCTAGAATGCAAGAGGGACTATCATCTTTTCACTGATGAAGATTCCTAAAACACCACAATCGATGCTCAAACCAAGCTTTGCACAAAGTGGCTTCTCTAGATTTGTAAACAAAATTTCCTCTTATAAGGAAAAAAAAAAAAAAAAGAACTTTCTCTAATGATAGATGACCCCTAAAGTTTATTGATATGTGGTTCAAGAAATAGATACTCATGTTATCTAAATGTAGATCGAGACATAGCTTGGGAGAATCTGGAATTTTCTCCAAAATGTCCAAGATTTCTTTCAGCATTTAAAGTAACAATAAAATGGCTTTTAATTGTTTTGAAAAATTTTAAATCTACATTTGTGAAGGTTTCTCCTTTTTTCAATGATCAGTTATATATTGTCTTAGTATTTAGAGCCTGCTATTTTCAATAAATTCAGGCCTAAATATGTCCTCTTAATTTGGTTCACTTCAATTCAGCACCTGCCAACTGACCATGGGCTATGATCTGGTATCTATGCTAGGAACAAGAGCATTGAGCCACTGGCCAGTCTTCCCCCAGTTTAGCACAAGAGAGAGAAAATTATGCTTACCCCATAACACAAGTTCTATTTGAAATAAAGTGCTTTTGGAGCATAGGAGAAGAGACAAATATCTCTGCTTCTGTTTGACCTGGGCTTAAAATGATGAATAAGATTTGTATCCAATCCTTTGCCCATTCTTCTCCCACCATGCTTTCCCCTGTTCATTCTCTTTGCAGCCAAATTCCATTTTATGAGTAAATGTCAGATTATGCTCTTTTTCTGCTTACATCCCTGATGATTTTCCTTTGCACTTAGAATAAGATCCAGTGTTTTCTCCGTGGCAGGCAAAGCCCTCCAGGATCTGGCTTTGGCCTTACCATCCTCATCTCCCCTTGCTTCTGACTCTGTTCTAGCCAGACTGGTCTTTTTGTTCCTCAAGGTTGAAGCCCAAATCCACAGACTCTGATATCTACTGTTCCCAATGTATAAAAAGCCTTTTCTCCCATCTTTTAATAGCTCATGCTTTTTCTTCATTCAACTATCAATATAAATATCACCTTTCCAGAGAGGCCTTCCTGAACCTCATTACTTAAAGCACTCTCTATAATATCACACTGTTTTATTTTCTTTATTTTGTTTTCTACTATTATCTTGTTAAAAGAAAAACCTTAGACGCATTAAATTTAACAGATGAATTGGGCAAGGAACAACAATTCATGAATTGGGCAACCCCCAAACCAGCATAAATTCAAACAGACTCCACGCTGCTGCGTGGTTGAAAATTTATGGGCAGAAAAAGGAAAGAGAAGTACAGAAAACAGAAGTGAGGTACAGAAGTGAAGTACAGAAACAGCCAGATTGGTTACAGCTTGACTTTTGCCTTATTTGATCATGGTTTGAATAGTTGGCTGCTTGTGATTGGCTGAAACTCAGTGATGGAAACAAGGTAGTTTACAGTCTGTTTACACATCTGGTAAGGTTACAGTTCACTATGTAAAGAGAAACTAGGCCAAATTTAAAATATGTAAGGAGGCAGCTTTAGGCTAAATTTAATGTAACAATCTGAATATACTGCACTTCTTCTTTAATGGTCTGGGTTAGAACAGCCATCCTGAATGTCCATGGATTGCACCTGGGTGAGTGAAGGCGCCCTGTTTGTCCAGTTCACTACGGTACTGCCAGCTCAAGAACAGGGACTGGTACATCCTAGGAGCTCAGTAATCCTTGTCGAATGAATGAGTAATGATCACTACATTTTCAGATTCTTTGTCCGGGTTAAATAATAAATGAAGAATCTGGTTGAGTTTTATCTTTGTACAAGTGAATATGCCAATTTATATTTCGGTGCAGTTTTATCAACTTAATGATCTGTTTTTAAAAGAAGGCCAAACCTAATATAAGAAAAGAAAAGATGCAGAAAGTGTTCATGGCATCTATTCCTTGGAGTCCTTAGCCAATGCTGTTAGCCTTTCCTGGCACTAAATTCACAAATGTAAGAAAAATTAAAAATAAATTACCTCTTCCCCTTTTTATGGTTTCAACAGTACCACTGTCTTTGAGTGTTCCCCAAAGAGGGTACATGGGGTCAGTTTGCACATAACTAGCAAGGTTGAAACACTATTTCTGTTTTGTTGCAATCTTTCCTTTATGAGAAGGCTAGCATTCCAATATTATTAAAAATGCAAACCAATAAGACATAAAATGGCTTGCTTATTGCTAACATTTATGCAAAACCACTTAAAATGTTAAAAATATTAATCTCCTACCCTATGTAGCAATTAATGCTGCACAGACGACGACAATTGTTTTTTTCCACTGGAAAATCACCAGCAATCCACATTCTCCTCTTCTACTTAATTAACGCAACTATATATATCCTTCAAAGTCACAGGAAACTGGTGTAATTGCTTTTGTAAATTCAACTATCTCCAATGAAGAGCAGATTGCTAAATTAAATGCAAGTAATTTGAAGCTTAAAAAATCAGAAATATAGACATTCTTGCCTCTGTATAGTGTGAGGTGATATAGAGGTCAGCGAAAGAAAGGAGAAAGCAAGAATTCCTGGATTTGCCTTTGATTCTCTGTTATTACGAACATTTTAAAGACCACTTTTCAAGCAGAAATCATGTTATATAAAATAATTATAATCAGCCATAACATTGATGACAACATAGATGTGTGCTGAATTGATTTGGAATCAAAAATTGTGTGTGTATGTATGTGTAGAATAATCTTAGCAATTCTGAAAAGCAGAAGACAATAAGGATAGCAGAAACAAGGCTGAAAAGAAAATTCATATTTTTTACTTATTTAATTTCCTCTAGAGAAGATAAAAGAGAAGAAAATGGGGAAGGGAGAAAGGAGAGAGGTGGAAAGACAGAGATCAAAGATGAGATGTACACAGAGGATCCTCATTATTTATGGATTCTGTATTTGAAAATTTGCCTGTTCACTAATATTTATTTATATCCCCCAAATCAATACTTATGATGCACTCAAAGTCTTTGCAGATATGCACATGTGCAGAACAATGAAAAAGTTAAGTTGTCTGACACACGCATTCCCAGCTGAGGCCAAAGTGATGCCCTGCCTTCTTGTTCCAGCTCTCATACTGTCACCAAGTGTCCTATTCATTGTATATTTAGCGCTTCAGTTTTTGCACTTTTGTACTTTTTCTTGGTGATTTCTGTGTTTAAAATGACTCCCAAACATATTGCTGAAGTGGTGCATTGTGTTCTTAAGTGCAAGAAAGCTGTGATGTGTCTTACTGAGGAAGTATATGTGCTAGCTAAGCTTCATTCAGGCATGTTGGCTGTGAGTTAAACATTAATAAATTGACAACATATGTTAAATAACATGGCTTTAAAGAGAAACACACATGGAACAAGGTTACACACTGATAGGGTGATGAAAATGTAACCAGAGACTTACAGGAACCTAACTCTATATGTCTCCTAAGAGCAATGATTCAGTATTTGCTAATTCCATTTTGCAGGGACTTTATAGAACATAACGACCTTATACAATGGAATGTGTGGGGTGTGTGTGTGTCTGTGTGTGTGTGTGTGTGTGTGATGCAAGGCAGAAAGAAAAAAGAGATAAAATGGGAGAGTTATCTCATGTCTTGATTAAGTGTGGATCACTTATCTAGAGGAAAGATTAAAGTGATCAAATAAGAAATAAAATGATTCGAAGAGCAAGTGGAAGTTAATTTAGAGTGGAAAAGGGGTCACAGAAGACAAGGACTAAGAAGAAACTTCAAGAGCTTAACTTTCCTTCGTTATGCAGATGAGGGATGTGGGAACTGGCATAATGGTCAAAGCAAGGCTCTGGAGCCCAGTTCAAATGGTTCTCACCTTCTTAACTTCCCTGGGTCTCATTTCATCATCTCTAAAATGGGAAAAAATATATGTCACACAAGACTGTAGGGAGAATTAAATAAAAAAATAAATCAAAGATTATAGAGAGGTGTGTAGCATGTATTCAAGCACTAAATAAATAATTTGATTATGATTAAATGGATAACCAGACTTACATTTACTCAGAAACTTGCCAGTCCGCATGTCCCCTTATCCTCTGATTAGCGGGTTTTTGTTGTTGTTGTTGTTGTTGCATCATTCTGGGGCCCTGGAGGTACCAGTTGGGTTGACTCACTTCTAGATGCCATCATGATAGTTGGCATGGGAAAGCTTATATACCCAACATATGCCTTTGTAGCATGGACTACGTAGTTGAAGAAAAATGCAAGCAGGTGGTTAAGAGAAAGATAGATAATTGCATCAGTTTTATTATAAAAGAAAATAATTTCCAAAGAACAGAAGTAAGAAATCATGCTGCCTTGTATCCATCCACTACCCAATCATCTGGGTTCATAAAATGGAATTGACTTTGATTCCCACTATGAAAATAAAGGAAACTCATGTAAGAGGGAGGAGGTTTTATTCATATCCCCCTTTTTAATGAAAAGAAAGAGAAATAACTGCATCTTGAAGTCTCAGTTTCTTCATGTCTAAATGAGAACAATAATATATACTTTTAAAAATAATGTTAAAATCCTAGAATTCATTTATCTTAGAACATTCTACCAAATTTGGAAATGGAAGCCTAAAAGGTAAATTTTGTTAGGATTTAAGGTAATTTATTTGATCTCACTTTTCACTATTAAGAAAGCCATTGAATGAAATAAAATTACCGTGCATTACTGTGATAGTTAATTTTGGATCAACTTGAATGGGCCATGGGGTACCCAGATGTTTGGTTAAACATTATTCTGAGTGTAACTGTGAGAGTGTTTCTGGGTGAAAGTAACATTTGAACCAGTAGACTGAGTAAAGCGCATTGCCCTCCCCAATGTGAGTGGGCTTCATCCAATCCACTGAAGCCCTGAATAGAAAAAAAGGACAGATTAAGGAGACTGTGCTTCTTCTCTGCCTGTCTTTGGGCTGAGACATTGGTCTTCTCTTGTTTTCAGATTTGGACTCGGATAAAAGTTTTACCATCAGCTCTCCTGCTTCTCAGGCCTTTAGACTTCATTTGGAACTACACAATCAGCACTCCTGTGTCTCAGACTTTCACGCTCAGACTGGAACTACATCATTTGATTGGCTGAGTCTCTTTCTTTCCAACCATAGATCTTGGGACTCCACAGCCTCCACAGCCACACAAGCTAATTCATTACAACAAATCTCTCCCTCTCTCTGTCTCTTTCTCTCTATGTAGATAGATCTCCTATTGGATCTATTTCTCTGGAGAACTCTGACTGGGTAATACATTACCTTTTATATCACATCTTCACAGACCTACAGAGAAATTCTGTGCAATGTGTGATGAATAATAATAATAAACTATTATTTCACTTGTCAGAGGAAACAATTCAGGATACGTCTGCTATTTTAATACATTTAGCTGATCCTTTTTTTTATTAACATGAGTGACTGGTACAGAGCTGGTAAATGAAATCTACAGATTGTATAACTTTGTAGTTCCAGATTAGAACAGATAACGTTGATGAACACTTCAAAGAATTTTGCTTTTTGTCCCACTTCTCTCAAAGGGATTCTGGCAAAAGTTCATATTTTCATCTAGAGAAGCATACCATTTTAAAAACATATTTATCTTTAAACCCATTCCATTACCTGCCTACATTTGTATTAAGTACAAATTTTCATGCAGTTCTTGCTGTGTCCTGTGATATATCTCCCCATAACAGATTCATTGAAAACTGTGACTTTAAATTCAAAATCAAATAATGGTACATTTTTAGCCATTTCTACTGTCTTTGATACAGGTATATTTTTATGAATAGGACTTATACTTATTTCTTCACAACTAAGAATAGTATTTGTTAGTGTCAATTTAAAGAAGTATTCCATCAAATAAAATAGTGTGGTTGCTGCTGTTTTTTCATTTTACAGTAGTGCAAATTGGAACATATGATCATGAGAGGAGACAGGACTATACTTCAGTTAATTGTCCCAAGTGCATACTATTTATTATATATTTGAAGGCTAATGAACTCTGAGCTGTAAAAATTCACCTCATTGAATTTCAAGAATATTACAAATAGGTAAGGAAACTAAATAAATCAACAGATTTACTCAATCTAAATATTTATTTTTATCCATTTCTAGAGTGAGATGAAAGCATTCCCCATCATCAGAGTGTAGGCTTAATGTATGAGAAGACCATTAAACTCCCATCACTTAAACATAATAACTGCCTCATGTGTCTATATGATGTTTCCAAGCTATTTTTAAGCCATTTAAGCTTTTCAGTTTATACTAAACATCCACCCAGAGATTTCCTGTGAAATTTGGTGCAATATTTTAAGTGATTGGCGCAACTTGATTTTAAATAAATTTTAGAGTAAAAGTAATTTCTAAAATACAACTTACATAATTTTCCTCAATGCATCACTGGCTCTGAATAGTGGCTTTCAAGTTTAAATCATTAAAAATCTTTTAGAATCCCCATGCAGCTATACTTTGTATAGATCTACTGTAAATTTTAAGGAGTTACTGGTACAAAAATGACAAAATAACATGTAGTATACTTTCATATTTCTGGTTACCCAAAAAAATTTAGAAGAGCCAATATTTCACAAAATGTGTGGAAACAATAGTAAAGAAACAGAAAAATTTCAAATAAGAACTAAAATGATTTTTGTTTCCTGATAAAATGTTTGATCTGTGAAGAGTGCTATTGGCTAGAATAGTATTTTGTGAATTAGTGTGTCCTGGGACCTGGAGGACTGTTACAGGGAACTTTGGAATTTCACCTGGAAGGAGCGGATGACAATTGGGAATGATTGGCTGACTCATCAATGAAGACAGACAGCTGAGGTAGGATACAAAAGAGCTATTGATGGCTTTTGTCTATGTCAGACAGAAGCCTAAGGGAAGGGTGACTGCTCTCGCCTGGTGTCATGGATGTCACATGATAGAAAGTTTTATGTTTGTTTCTGACATTAGGCAAACAAAAACCTTTTGAGGGCTGAATTAGGCTTTTGTTTTGAGCCTGCAAGCTGCTACTCATTCCTATTGATGAGTACTGATCTGATTTCAGCCTTTTCATTTTTATGGTGTTAACTGTGTGGGGAATGTGTGTAGAAGGCCGGACACAGGACCACCGACCCCATCTCCCTTGAGTTCACATATCTTTTGGAATTTCCTTTTTTTTTCTTTTCTTTTTTTGTTTCGTTTCAGGAGGGGGGCTGTCTCAGGAGCTTCGCAATCTCTTTGCTTAAATGAACAATATGAGTTAGGCCTTCTGAAATCAGTTTAGCAAAAGACTCTTTTTTCTTTTCCCTCTGGAAAAGGATACAACACTATCACCACAATTCAGCTTTGCTTGTCGGGGTCTGTGCAAATTGTGAGGAAAAGAGTGCTTTGAGGGAGACTTTCTATTCCCTTTGGTCCCTATGATCTGTATACTCACTTAAGGTTCTGAGGTTCAATATATGATGACTTGGCAGGAAAAGATAAATCCATTTTTTAAACGCATGGTAAGGATTGCATTCTTGTTGAGGGAGTCATATATTGGAAAAACCGAAGTCATTTTTAAAGCCCTTGATTATGGCAGACTTTTAAATATATACATTCACTTTGAATTAAAAGAACCCAGAGAAATGAGAATAATTTCTGCTTTCTGTGGCCAGACTTTGAAGTGGAGAAATGTGGAAGTAAAAGCAAATAGCATAACCTGTTTTAATCAAAAGGAGTCTAGCAAGAAACAATCAATTAAAGAACAGTCTGATTCTCTGCGACATCAATGTATGAAAATCTGTTAGACGCCAGATTGTGTCTCAAGACACATATGATGAACTGAACAAAATGACCTGCTAATAGCTTTTACGGGTAATAAATGCATCATGTTATTGGTAATTCTGCAGATGGTAAATCAAGCTAATATCGAAGCTGAAACAAGCTACTTGTTAAATGTAGTTCAAAATGATTTTCTCTGTTATTCAAAAACTGTATTATGCTTAAAAGAAAGATGATTATGCCTTATATTTCTAAGCATCTTAAATGGATAAACATTCCCATTCTGCTATGGAGTCATTTTAATTTTTAAATCCTTTGGAGAGAGCATGCCTGAAATAAATCTAAGCTGAGAAACGCTATGTTTATTTAGATTATGAGCAGGAACTAAAATGTAAAACCTGTGCTGAAATTGAAGTGTGACTCTACTGCATACAATGCACATTAGATAATATTTCCAATCAGCATTTGGAACACTGACCTGATGAATTTGAACATTTGAGCACAATGCACATTAACAAATGGTGAAGGGATGGATATGCCAATCATATTATTGACTCTCTTGGACAGTCTGATGTACCCAAGGAACATTTTAGCTTCAATTTTATTGTTATATATTCAAAAGTAGATAGCAACACAATTCTAGGAAGGAAAGGGAAGTTGAAAAAGAGGAGTCAGGACAACAGCCCAAGAGAAAACTCCAATAGGAAATGAAAGGCTGTGACTACCCATGATATACAAGGGGAAACTCAAGAATGAAAGGAAAAATTAACTCTGCCGATGGATAGATCAGACCACTGCATCCCAAAATAAGCCCCTCCCATCTTCGAGGTGGCTATTGTTAACCTGACATTGTACATGTCATATAAGGAAGCCCATTAATTTGTATTAACTGAGAATAAGATCAGTTATAAATGCATATTTATTTTTTTTGAAGTGCAATTTCAGGTATATGAAAAGGAAATCTTCAATGATGGGTTTATTTTCAAATAAATGTAATTTAAGATGTATGCATGTTTTCAGACTTATGTGTTTTCATATATATTTACACAAATGCATTCATGTATATAAATAGGCGGACATATATATACATATTATAATTTTATGAACTGCTAATACTATTGCAATTCTAGGAAGCTGCAATAGCTTGTTTGGAGTAAAAGAAATATTTTTTCTTTCCTTTAAAAAAGATTATATATGTCCAGTGGACTCATATTTCTAGCTTAGAAAGTGTTCAGGATCTAGAGTCTTTAAAAATTGAATGTATTTTAATTCCAAATTTACCTATTACCTGAGACATCTTGAAGAAAATCAGTTTAAGGTCTTAAATTTCCAGTATTTTACTGATAAAAATTTAGCTATTTATTAACTCTATGTTATGACTTTAAAAACAGTGACAGTAATTCTATTTTTTAGCAGTTATAAAAGGGTAAAATATCACCTTGTTAGAACAACAGATGTTTATAATCCATTAACATCTACTAATTCACTGCAGAACCAGAAATTTATAGTAGGACTAATTCTAGGCCAAATTATGAAGCTGGGAATCATTACAATCAGCAGTCCTTCAAATTCCCCTAAGAAATCCTTTTCACAAAGATTCATAATGTCTTCTCTAGCTCTTTTTAAGGCCCCTTGTCTTTACCTAGGGTCTCCCATTGCCATTCCTCACCTCTACCAGCCTTTCCCGTTAACTCAACCCAAGCACTATGATAAAGGCACGAATAAGATATTACCTCGGCAGTTTCTAGAATGTTTTCAGCTTAAAATACCAACAAATACAACTGAAAGTGGGCTAATTCATAAAGACATTTATTATTTTACATAGCAAAATGTCCAAAGGAGGACAGCTCCAGGTTTAGTTCATTGGTCAGCTCAACACTAGCAACTGTTCCCCCGAACTCTGCCATCCTCAATATATTGACTTATCCTTTTAGGCTCCGTTTCCAAGATGGCAACCACAGTTCTTTGTATGACTTGAAGATGACAATATACGAAAGCCAAAAAAAAAAAAAAACAAAAACAAAAAAAAAAAACAAGAAACTATCTCATGTACTTTTTTAAGAGTAAGGAAAAACTTTTGAGAAGTTATTCAGCTGATTTTGTCTTAGTTGTCATAGCAAAAAATGCACCACATACCCACGCCAAAACCCATCACTTCATAATGGGAATCAAATCACCACTACTGGCTCCAACCAATCATGACCCATGCTGGAAACAGAGGAGCTAGAGTTTCACATCCATTTTTATGATATTGGCTGGGGGATGGTGACAAGAGATGGCAAGGAAAATTCACAGAATATAAGAGAGAAGGAAAGCTGGTTAGACACAAATTAAGTTGGGAATTTCACTTGGCTGCTAGCAACAGTTACTTTAAAAAAGATAATTTACTTCTGTACCACATAAAAGAAGTGTAAAAAGTGAATAAAAAGGAGTGTAAAAGAAAGCATTCCAGGGCTAGAATAGTTACTCGGGGGCGTCTTCAGGAACAGAGGCTCCTTCAATTTTCCTCAAATACTATCTTTATCATGCAACTTCCACCCTCAGAAATAACTCATGAGATCCAAAATGGCTGCCAGAACTACACTCATCTTATGTGCATTTTCAGCGGGAAATAGGATTGAGGATGGAAATGGAAAAAAAAAAAAAGGCTTAAAATTTCTATTTATAACATTTTTGACCAGAACTTAATCCCATGAACTTATCTTATTGCAATGAAGGGTAGGAGATGTAGCATTTTAGCTGAGTTCATTGACTTTCCCAAATAAAATATAGAATTGTTTTACAAGGACAGAAGGGAAGAATGGAAATTAGTTAATTCCCAATACAATAGGCCATAGGTTATTACAAAACATATGCTGTTCACCAAAACAATTTCAATATTAACATCAGTTATACAATATAGTTACATATATGTGTTTTATAGCTTGCTATAGAATTAAATCATATTTTAATAGTGTGTCAAGATGTAATTCTTTCCTACTTTTTCTTTGCTAAGTGCTTCTCAGTATCTGGAAATATTCTGAGATAGAAGCTGGGAAGCATCAGATTTAATATATATTTGTGATTCCATGAGGCAAAATAGAAATTCTGTCAATTCTTACTGTGTTAAGACGGGGCAGGGGTGCTGATGAAGTTGATACATTGTAAGGTGGGAGGCAGCGCCAAAAACTAGAGGAACTCTTTGACATTTCTCCCTACAAAATATGTCCAGTCAAGGCTTTTATGAGAGGATAACTCTGTAGTCAACTCTAACAAAAAAGAGAAAGCCAAGAAAATAGTGAAAATGTAGTCATGATTTGCGGTTTCTGTTTCTTAGTAAGATCAGGCACACATAAGAATTTGGCAATTTTCATTAGAAAAATGTAGTGAAAGTGCCATGTAGTGTATGTTGGACTCCTTACATGAGCAACCCTTTTTCCTGGATCATGGGGCATAATTAAATGCTCCAGAGTAAGCCAAACCTAGATTGCCCACTGAACTCTGTAAAGAAATGTAGACAAGCTCTGTCAATACATGTAGATATCCAACAAGTTTTATTTCTCTGATTGATAACATAATAGAAGTGTTTGTTTTTATTTGTGTTTCTGATAATCAACTCTTTGGTGTGTCAATTTACTTATATCATTGTATCTGCTCGTGGATATTAATTTTTCCAGTTAGCCACAAAAGAAAAGTTATGCATAAATTGATATTTTATATTGAAAAATTATATCATTTGTTCAAAATACTTCTGTCAGGCACACTTGGAAGATAAAAAATTAGCTGCAAAACTTTAGTAAACTTTCAAGACAACAAATTAATGGGCTGAATCCATTCATAAACCATTGGAGCATGTAAGAAGTCAACAGGTGGAGAAAAGGAATTATTACAAGATGAGTACAGAAAGCACACTTTGGTATAGATAATTCTATGAACGTAGTATCCTTCTAAGACTTCCGTAAAAGCTTAACAGCCCTGACCTAGATCAACACTATGGCTCTTTTTTCCGGTCCCTTTTTGAGATCTATGTACAATCCATGTTTATTCTATTTACATTTTTTAGTTTTGTGGGATGGAAAGGAATATAATCTGACAGCCAGAGAACTGTGTAGTTCACAGTAGACCTTGATTCTGCTTCTAGCTTCTCTATTCATACTGGAGATTCTATGCCAATTTTGATTCAGAATTCCCTTACAGATGCAATGCAGCTATAATGTTTTTACAGCCACCTTCCATATAAATTCAAACACCACAATGCCATTCCTGTTTTCAGTGACAGTGCTAATAACTGTTCAGGTAATGGTACTATATTTAGTGGCATTTCCTTATAACATGGTTTGTTAAACATCCGAGTTCAGTCGGAGACATGGCCACTGCTTTACTTTTTTCCAGTAGGATTTCATTACTGACATTATTAGAGGCATCTCATTATACATTGGTTTCATTTATAAGACAGGTTGACATAGAATCTAAAGGCTACATATGGTTATATAGGAGAAACAAAGTTATTAGTAAATCGTTTATCACTAAAGTGAAAGTAATTAAGAGACATCTTACTAATCATTCTAATATTTATGAGATATTGCTTATAAATTATTAGCAATGAATATTGAATTAATGATCTTTTGACAAAAACGTAAAAAACTTTCTGACTTCTGTCTCTTTCTTCTAACATTTTGAGATTTTGCTGTCACTGACTGATGTGGAGGCAACCTATTTACACTGATTCGAACTTGTTGACATTTAAGTGTTAAAAAAGCACTATCTAAGCAGTAGAAAGAATATAAGAATGACATTCACAAATATTTCCAGCTGTCAACAAGTCAGGTTTCTTACTAACTGTGAGCTCCTGAAGTACTGTGTTATTTCAATAGAGTGAGAAATACTGTTACCTCAGGTTCTTTTTTTTGTAACCATATACTTGTCTCTATTAATTAGCAAAATATGTGAGTCTTTCCATTTCTCCCATCTTAATGTGCATGATTCTCCCTTTAAACAATAGCAGAAAATAATTTTCCATGCATTCAACAGATAGATGGAATAGGTGATCATTCACATGAAAACCAAGGATACCACCTCCCATAAGAAAGAATTTAATTAAAGATCTATTTTTAGTAAGTAGGTAAGTAGTAGCAAAAACTGTAAAATATTCCTACTCTAACAGTCATGGAAAAAAGATAAAACAGGAGTATCTCTTTCCTTTTATCTTCCTAAGGAGAATATAACCTCTCATTTGTGCATTGAATAAAGAGACCCTCACTGACATCTCAGTAGGACATCTAACCCTGTGAGTGTCCACTCTGTTGCTGAGATGAATAGGGCTGTCTCTTTCCATCTCCTGGCTTCTCCTTGTCTAAGAAGATATAAAGGCAGAAAAGGCAGGAAATGCAGGGGAGTTAATACCACACCCTTTCTCCTTCTAAGAACTAACTTCACTGAGAAAGGAGTCCCTACCCATCTGTCATGCTGGGAAAGGATGTTAATACTTGCTAAAAATAAAATTGTGGGATATAGTAATAAAGCACAGTGAGCTAGCTAGTCTGACCTCTGGTCCTAACTCCATCACTTACCAATGCATAAACTTAGCAAATTACTGGATTTCCTTGTGTCTCCAATTTCTCCTCTGTAGAATGAGGATTATGATAGCACCTACTCTACTGGTTACTGTGGGAATTAAACAATTTAGCATTTAGAACAATGTGTGGCACATAGTAGTCCCTACCTTGCTTCCCAGTCCTGCTCTTCCTTCTTTGTCCTAGTCTCATGCTTCTAATTTCTTCAGATGATTTTGGCCACGGCAACTAAAATTTTGAAAAGTCATGTGAGTAGAATCACCCTGGAAGCTTGAAAGAGGTAGATTTAAGACCAGTGACATGATGTACTGCTTTGTGTAGGATTTAGCATTTTGAGTATGTAGAGGAAACTATTATGGTATGATTGGAGGGTTTTTGAGTAGCACCCCTACATTCCAAATCTCTCTTTTGCTATCCATCAAAGTATTAGTGTACTCTGTGAAATAAATTTCTCCAAAACTCAGTGACTTAAAACAATAGACTTTTTTTTTTTTTTAAATCTTGCAAATTCTGTGGGCATAGCTTAGATGGGTGTATCTGGCTCAGGTTGTCTGAAGAAGTTATAGTGTGTCACCTGGGACTGTGGTCTCACCTGAAGGTGTGATCCGGGAGGGATCTGCTTCCTAGCTCATGAACATGGCCAGCTACAATGTCATAATGCAACCCTGGGGAGAGGTCCATGGTTGAGGCCCAAGGCTTTCTAATGACCACATTTAGTTTGTAGGTTGTCTTGCAGAATGTTGTTCTTCACTTTGTTAAATTAGACCTTTTATTATACATCTATAAAATTAAACTCTCAGGGAATTCATGTGCTATTAGACTTTGCTAATGTCTTGGGCGAGTTTGATCCAAATTAACTTGGATTTCCTTGCTTTCTGTGATATAAACACTTCTCATTTATAATATATGAGTGGTTCTTCAGGCCACCCCACCCTAACTTTGGAATGTTAGACTTTTATGTTCTTCAGGCCACTCCATGACTGAAGTTTTTCCCATGCTAATTTACACTGACCTGCACTGATCAGAATTAGCTGGTTGGTCTCTCTCCATTCTCACTCTCATCTTTCCTCTTCATCTGCTTCCCTCTGAGGACCAAATTCATGCCACTATACACAGCAACTAAACAAACTCCAGTGGCTGTTTCTAATTTAAACTGTTGGATTTGTCATAACCCAATCCATTAGTATGCTCTGTAGAATCAGAAGATCTTCCATTTAATAGAACTTGTCCCCTTAAAAAACTTAGTGTTTTAAATCGCAATTATATTTCTTTTATTATTCTCCAATTCACATAAGATTTTTTAGTTCTTGTTAATTTTTACCTTTGAGATTTCTGTGATTCAAGAGTATGGAAAGTTAGGTATGGGCTGATTCAGTTTTTAACTATTATAAATAATTTTAATTAAACTTCCTATTCCCTGCCTCTTTATAATTTTGGAGAGCTGCAAAGGTAAGGTTTTTAAAGTTTATTTATTTATTTATTTATTTATTTATTTATTTATTTATTTGATACAGAGTCTCACTCTTGCCCAGGTTGGAGTGCAGTGGTGCAACCTTGGCTCTGCTTCCTGGGTTCAAGTGATTCTCCTGCTTCAGCCTCCCAAGTACTGGGATTACAGGCACCTGCCACCACACCTGGCTAGTTTTTTTTTGTAATTTTGGTAGAGATGGGATTTCACAGCATTGGACAGGTTAGTCTCGAACTCCTGATCTCTAGTGAACTGCCCACCTCAGCCTCCTAAAGTACTGGGATTACCAGCGTGAGCCAGCACGCCTGGCCTTAACTTTTGATTTTAAATTTTACAAATGTTTTCATTAGATTCATGTCTCTGAAAACACACCGAAATGCAAACAATTGGGTTTATTTCAGATACATGATTTATAATACAAGTAGTATGCACAAGATTTGAAGAGGCTGTCCTGATATTTTGTCAGATATTCTCAGGCCTCATTTAATTATATTTTTATAGGTATTACCAGTTTTTATTATGCTATTTCGTCTAACTTTTGTTCTTTTTAGCTAAAGTTGTGGTTTATCAAGCCCTGTCTTTTAATATACTGTCAGTTTGTCAAGTCTAAAATTCGCATGATCTCTTTCAATACTATAATCACAAATTGAAAATTACAATAACAATGCTTAATTCTTTCTGCTCAGGATTTACAGCAACCTCACCCCAAATTAAATTAATGTTTTGCAGGAAGTACATATTTATATTAAGAATTTTAAACTAAGATATTTAAAAAAACAAAAAGTTGAAAGAAAATTTAAACAATGATACACTTTAAGAAGAGAAGGGATTTTTTAAAAATGTATGATTTACTAATAGAAAAGTTAATTCTGGCCAGACGCAGTGGCTCATGCCTGTAATCCCAGCACTTTATGAGGCTGAGGTGGGTGGATCACTTGAGGTCAGGAGTTCCAGACCAGCCTGACCAACATGGTGAAACCCTATCTCTACTAAAAATACAAAAATTAGCCGGGTGTGGTGGCAGGTGCCTATAATCCCAGCTACTCGGGAAGCTGAGGTGGGAGGATCACTTGAACCTGGGAGGTGGAGACTGCAGTGAGCTGAGATCATATCCACTATACTCCAGCCTGGGTAACAGAGCAAGAAAAAAAAAAAAGAAAGAAAGAAAGAAAGAAAGAAAAGAAAGGAAACAAAGAAAGAAAGAAAATAGAAAGAAAAGCTACTGCTAATTTGTGAGATAGAAATAAAACATTTTTTTTTTTTTTTTTTGAGACAAAGTCTAGCACTGTCACCTGGGCTGGAGTGCAATGGAGCAATCTCAGCTCACTGCAACCTCCACCTCCTGGGTTCATGAGATTCTCCTGCCTCAGCCTACCGAGTAGCTGGGGTTACAGGCGCACACCACCATACTCGGCTAGTTTTTTGTATTTTTGGTAAAGATGGGGTTTCACTATGTTGGCCAGACTGGTCTCGAACTTCAGACCTTGTGATCCACCCACCTCAGCCTCCCAAAGTGCTGGGATTACAAGTATGAGCCACCGTGCCTGGGCGAAATAAAACAATTTTTGAAACTTAAGCATATCACCAAGAAGGGGGCTGTAAACTTTCAGATTCTTAATCATGTTTTACAACAAAACAAACCCTCAAATAGGAGGTATTTAAAATATTATAAATTATTACACTACTTTTGTTACAGTCTCACCAATGCACCACAATGTAGCAGTCTCTTATGGCCCAAGGTATCACCCAAAGTTCCTTGTCTCATGATCAAGAAAGTTATGGAGTGCAGACACCAATGGTAAGGTTGGAGCAAAAGTTTAATAGGCAGAAAAAGAAAGCTCTCTGCTGCGGAGAGGGGACCCAGAAGAGGGTTGCCATTTTTACAGTTGAATGCATAAACTTTTATAAGAAACCGACGAGGGCTGGGCATCTCATTTGCGTAAGGCACAAATTTCTGCTAGCTCCACCCCATCCTCCTAGTGTGCTTGCAAACCCTTAGCTTGAGTAACTCCATATTGCTTTGTTCCCCTTACTGCGCATGTAGCAGGGAATGGAATTTTCCATCATAGACATGTCTGGGCAAGTCACCTGTGTAGGCTTTCTTATCTGTGTGGCTGTGGGAATGTCTTAGGCAAGCCTCCCTGTGCAAGTTCCCTTATCTATCTATACCTGTAGGCTCTTCTTTTGTTTGAAAGAATTCAATCTAAGACCCACCCTAACTGCCTGCCTGACTGGTTTCTTCCTTTCTCCTCTCTCACTTTTACAGTACTTCTCTGAGAATAAAGATTAATATAAATGTTTATCTTCAGCTTTTCTGGTTATCCGTAACTACTCTATTATTCATAAAGTCAAATAGGTTTTATAATTCTAACTTTTAAAAATAACCAAAGTGACCTGACTTCAACTACTCTTGTTGACATTATACTTAATTCAAATCAGCTAAAATATTTTTAAACTCAAAAGAAAAAGATAATAGCAAAGGGCAGGCTAATGTATTAAATTACCTGAAAGGAAAAATAGTATTTTTTGGAATTAATGTTCACACTAACCTTTTGATATTCAGGATGAACATGATGGCATTAGCTCTTTGCTATTCAGTGTTTTTCCCTTCAGAAAATGTTGGCAACTTTTCATTCTTAAAATAACTTTTTCTTTTGGCAATCACTGAGCTGCACACTTAGTAACCACTCAGAAGCCATCAAGGAAATGTGAGAAGATTCAGGTTTAATAAGGAAAAAAAGGCTTATTATTGTCATCTTTCATTACATTTCAACCCAAAACATGGAGTGGAATTTTTTTATCCCCATTCAGTGAGGGTCTTTCTCTACCCATTGAATTTTTTTTTTTTCTACTTGAAACACCTACCTCAATGTTCCCATGTGTCTTTCCTAGACACTTTCTAGGAACTCTTGGGAGAGGTTGGATATCAATAGGGTAATGCTCATGGGAATGATACTTATATTACAGTTTTGTGTTTTCTACTTCTAGCTATAGGAAAATTAGAACAAATTATGCTGGCCAAGGTTAGACAAAAACAAAACAAAATGAAAAACCCCACTGAGTTTGTAAGTCTTAAAGTAACCTGCCAAAACTCACCTGGCCAGTAGTGGTACAACATTTATGTGATTTTGGTGGATGGAGTCAGTATCATGAATTGATTACATACATATGCATAAACCTAGTTTTCTCTATCTTAACATAGAGACAAAGAAAATTTTTCACTAGCACAAACTACATCACTAAATCTGTTAGGGTGGAAGCCCACAGCAATTTTAGCCAGGAGCAATGGGAATTCCTCTGGTCAGTCTTTTTTTTTTTCATATGAGATAATAAAAAATAACTTTTATTGTGAGATAATCTTTCATTGATATAATACTTGAGTGTTTATTTTATCAAAATATTTTTACATATATTCACTTTTTTCTTAACATTAAAAGTGAAATTAATAATTATTATTTATCAATTGCTTATTAAGTGACAGACATTACGCTAAGAACTTTATATCTTATCCACACAATGTGAAGTAGCAATTATTACTGACTACATTTTATTGATGTGGAAAAAGACTGAGAGAGATTAAGTTATGTATAAAGCATAGGAATTCAACTAGTGTTAGCTTAAGTGAGAAAAGGAGAGTTACTGGCACATAACAGAATAGTTCACAGATTTCCAGTAGGACCTTAGGGACTAGGATGGAGGATCCAGCTCTGCTAGAACGCTAGAACACTCTGTTCATTGCTGAAGCCTAGAGTCTGAACTTCTAGGTGTGGACAGGATTGGCTCCTTTTGAAGGATATGAGGAGTAATCTGCTTCATTTGTCTCCTAGATGCCAGTGGTTGCTGGCAATCCTTGGTGTTCTTTGGCTTGTAGATGCATCGCCCCCATCTGTGCCTTCATCTTCACATGTCATTCTCCCTGTGTGTACATCTGTGTCTCACTTTCCCCCTTTTATAGACACCAGTCATATAGGATCAGGGTCCATCCTACACCAGCATGACCTCAACTAAATTAATTATAACTGTAACAAACTAATTTCCAAAAAGGTCACATTCTCAGGAACTAGGGATTAGAATTTTAACATATAAATTTTGGGAGGCACAATTCAATTCATAAAAGTTTCTCTAATAAAGAGACTAAAAGAAATTGGTATAGCTTTTCTGCTAGGGAAGATTTATTTTCTTCAGCCATTGTGTTAAAGCTGAAGAGGGAGGGAGGCAGTAAACTCACCTTGAGGGGCAGTCTGGAGGAGAGTTAGGAAAACAGAGTGGGGAGACCAGAAGCACAAATAGTCAATTAGAGAGCTTGGGGAGTTGGAGTGTGGAAAAGGGGATGGGAGATAGCAAAAGCATATGGAGGTGTCCAGGATAGGTTTTTGAAAGACTCTGAATTGCCTGGTTGGAGGCTGGTTCTCATCCCAGACGCCATTGAGATTATAGAAAGTGGGTAGTATAGTCAGAGCAACAAGTGCAAGAAGTCAACTTTGGCCTCATTATTGAAAATTAATCACTGAAAGGAGTGGTAAAAATATAAAGAGAAAGAGAAAAAGTGAAAGATCAAAGATTAGGATGCAGAATCATTCTTGAATTTATCAAAAAGGTTAGCATCATTATGAATAACGTCTTTAGAACTACTTTTGTTCAAAAAACCACTTCTGAATATTTAAAATGTAATTAGTGATTTGGTTTTCTGATATACATTTCCTGGAAGCCAACTGGATCTAATCAGCTCTGGATCTAATCAGCTCTGCTAAAAACATTTTCTTTAGAATTTATAAATAATGATGATCCATATAAGCTGAAGCCTCATTATTAATGAAGTTCTTAACTGAGCTAATACATGTAACATGCTTAGAATAGTGCCTGGCATATAGAAAAGATACATGTCAGCTAGTATTACTAGGCAACTTTTGATCCCTTATACACCAAGTAAAATAGAACAAAGTATAAACAGACTAGAATGTGTTTGCTCTGGGCTCCTTCCACATTAATGAATTTATTTTCAGATCTCTGATAACCACTTCTGATTGTCACTGAGATAATAAAATGTTGCAAAAAAAACTCAATATTAATGTGTGAAAAATAAAAAGCAATTTTTATGCTCCCCATTCATTCATTCATTTGTTCAACATACCACTGATAAATTAAATGCTTACTCTTTTCAGCTTTTTAGAACCCTTTATTAATGAATCACTAAAAGTCATAGCAAAAAAAAATCTAGTAGCATAAAATATTAGTTTGAAATAAATGTTTCAGAAAATGGCAAGTTAAAATATTGATAATTTTAATTGATATTAATTTTGAAGTGATAATTTTGCATCTTGGTCAAGTAATTACAATAAAATGTCATAGCAAATAATTCTGTAATACCTAGGGTTAAGCTGATATATTATTATGTCATGCATATGATGTATATATTCTTAAGACTGTACTGAAATTTGTAAGGGGTTACAAATGAGGTATAAGTTATTTCCTGGGGTTGCTATCAATCACTTTTTAAATCCTTGTGTAATGATTTTACTGGAAATTTTATAACAACTACCCACTTGTACAACGTTAGTATAATTCTGTTTTTATGTATTCTTTATCCATCTTAGGTACTCAATTAATATTGCTTAATATTTTTACTGTTGTTTTATATCGTTTTAGTCATCAGCTTTACAATTTAACCATTTAGTATGTATTTTGAAAACCATGTTTAAAAGGCTGTTTAACGACATCCAACATTTATCAGCATAAAGTCACACTCAAAAGGAAATATTACTAAATCTATGTTAAATGTATTTGACCTCTTGTTACTTGATTTTATATGGGAACCTCTATAAGTGTCCAAAACTAATATTGAAGATTCTTTCATAATTTTCCATCTGTCTGCACATTAGAATCACCTAGGATGCTAAATTTTTTTTCCAGTACCCTGGGGGTCCATCCCAGACCAAATTAAATCAGGATCTCTGGAAAACAGCCTTGTGTATTAATATTGTTTAGAAATTTCTTGGGTGATTCTAATGTGCACCTAGGTTGACAATCACATAAGCTATATTCTGCTTTTAAGAGTAAATAGGTTGGGAGCGGTGGCTCACGGATGTAATCCCAACACTTTGGGAGGCTGAGGGGGGCGGATCACAAGGTCAGGAGATCGAGACCGTCCTGGCTAACACGGTGAAACCCCGTCTATAGTAAAAATACAAAAAAACTAGCCGGGCGTGGTGGTGGGTGCCTGTAGTCTCAGCTACTCAGGAGGCTGAGGCAGGAGAATGGCGTGAACCCGGGAGGCGGAGCTTGCAGTGAGCTGAGATCGCACCACTGCACTCCAGCCTGGGCGACAGAGCGAGACTGTGTCAAAAAAAAAAAAAAAAAAAAAAGAGTAAATTGAGAAAATACTTATAATATGAAAAATTCAACGGGCACTGAAAAAATAAAGTGACTTGCTGTGTGAGGGATACATTTTGGCAAAGCATCTTACTTTTCACCTAGTCATATATAGAACAAAGCACTGTTTCTTGGTACAGTGGGGCATATAGGCAGTCATAAAGCCAAGGAACCTGCAATCAAGTCAAGGAAAACTATATCAGCTATTACAGAAATGCAAATTATTAGGCCAATTTACTCCTCTACTCAATTATTATTTGATCTCTCTCTTTCTCTCTTTTTCTCTCCTTATTTTCGACTCTGACTTTTGATATTGCAGAAAGAAAAAAAGAATCTGTTATTCTTTGTTGTCTTAAATTTTTAAAGCTAACCAGTAAGGGTAGTAGGAAGCAAGCATGGATGTGTTACTTCCCTGGCCCTGGAAGGAACTAAACTGAGAACAGATTAAATTAAGTATATTACTGAATCATTTTTATATGCTTATTAAAATTTCCATAGGTTTCTATATTTGAATACATATGTCTTAAAAGTTAGCTACAAAGAATTGTAAGAATTGTTCTAGTTTCTATTTTAAATGGCAGTTAAAAAATAGTCTGACTGGAATATCTTTTAAAGCTTTTGGTTGAGACCTTAAAAAAGCTAGCACCTAAGCAAAAATCAGTTAAAGTTGCTTTGAAAAATCCCTTTAATTTTTTATGAGATACAGTGCACATGGCTTTGTGTGTATATATAATGGTTGAGTTTTTTGGATAATTTCTACAGAATATATGTGTATTTTAGCATTATCTTAATGCCTTCCAGAATGAGGAAAATGCAGGGACTATGTACATTTTAAGAGTGATGTTAAATAAAACTTATTCATGAAACTTTTTAAAGACAGTAAGGAAAATTTTATTCAAGCGGGAGTACTGCAATGGGAGTTTTACAGTAATGAGAGAGATTGGGCTCAGCTCCAAATACAACAAGAAAAAGTGGGAATTTAAAGCCAAAGCACAAGGGCCGGTGTGTCAGTGGCTAGAAAATTACTATGATGAAACATAGGGGCTAGGAGATTCAGATATGACAAGATCCTTGCTAAAAGTAAGCCAGAGTGATAAGATAATGGAGCATGGGGATTGGAGGTTGGGATCTGATTACAAATCAAGGGTGATCAGATACAAAGTATTGGGGATTTTCCCTAAACTAACTCATCAGGGGTCTTGCAAAAACTGGATCAAACAGGCCAAGGACAGAACCCAAAGTTGGGGCTTAGTCAAAAAGTGGTCTTAGAGGAGTCTAACTCAAATTTGGTGAAGGAGAAAGTTTTCATCAGTGGAATAGTGTTCTAATTTCCTTAATTCCATTTTGTGGAACAGAAGTAAAGTGGACCAAAACTAGCCACCAAAATACTTTCACTGTAAAAAATTCTAGGAGTATGATCACAATTTTCTTGCTTTCATAAATTAGTACTTTTATGGTATCAACAAAATTAGTTTAATAGATTGTTAAATGGCCAACAAAGACAGTACTTAGTTCAATTTCTACATAATATTTTCAGTCAATTATTTATTTTTTTCAAACATTTTGCAAACAAACTTTGCTCTGCTGCCAACGTTCCTCTGATTCTTAGTTAATGAACAGAAAATGTTCCTACTTGGATAAAGTTTGCAAAGACCATGTGGTGAAAATGCACAGGGCCCCTATAATTCTAACTTAGAACCACACCAGGCTGTGGTGTGGAAAGGAAGGACTCTATTAACTATTTTAATAGCCAAGGAGTGAATAAGTTTAATCTTTCTCATTCTTTGGAGCAGTTTCCCAAAAGAAATTTGACCTTCCATGTTGGTTCCCAGAAATAAAAAAGAACCCCAAAATTATTCTCTCAAGTCTTTCAGAATATTTGAAATTTAATAGTAGGCAAATAATTTACTTTTAAGAAAATACAAATAGTTTAAAATTTTACACTTTCAGGAAAGCTAACCTTTCATTGTAAGTTAATTGTCAGTATCAAATTTCTAGAGGAGAAGAGTCATAAATTTCCATTTCCCTACTTAACTTGGTGAATTAGGTAGAAAATCTAGGGTAAGTCACTTATAAAAGATTTGGAGGTTCTCTTTAGTACTTTTTGAGACTTTTTCTTCTTTCTTTTAAGTTCTGAATACTTGATGTCACTGAGACCTAGGCTGACTTTCTTCCCTTTCTTTTATTGAAAGTCCCAACCACGTTCAAGCATCCAGGGAAAACATTTTGGCTCTCTTTTTCTCAATCCAGGGAATAATATTTTTCTCCCTGCATTCAGGCCACTATTGCTAGGCATGTCCCTGATATCCACCATTTAAACAATCTTGCATTTCTATGGTGAGTCCGTACTTTCTCTACTTATACTTCCTTTTATTGTATTCAGTTTGCTTTGAAAGAAAATTCTTGGAAAGGATGGGGTAGGAGTTGGTGAGAGTGCATGAAAACAAAGATGTGCTGTGGAAACAGGCCGAGCTTTGGAATCAAACTGTCCTGGGTTTTAATACCTGCTCCTCAAACACTGTTTTGCTAGAAGAGTTTAGACAAATTACCCTCTGAGTGTCTCAATTCTCTTAGCAGTAAAATGGAAGTAATAATAATATAATTGCTTCTCCCAGAGAAGATGTCCTTTCCCCTGGCACTTTCCCTTACCTTTCCCACAAATCTGACTTAAATTTTACACCTATCAAGTCTTAGAGCAGGATCCTTTTCAACCTAGGCTCCTAGAATTTATTTTTTTCTTCTGGAGGGTAGACTCTAAGAATGAATTCTTCAAATACTGTCCTGATTAGAGGGGCTTTAGGCTGTACTACAGAAAATTTCATAAAAGCATACATATATATATTTGCTAGATTTAACTCCAGAGTAGAAGTCTTAACAAGCTTTTCAAGACACGATATATAAAATCGGTTGAGTATTGCCTCTGAAGTTTATTTGATTGATGAAATTGACCTAGATATGTAATTACTGTCTTCAGTTTCTGCATCTGTAAGATGGGGATTGCAATACTACCTAACACATAAATTCTTGCAAGACAAATATACACACACACACACACACACACACACACACAGAAAGAGAGAGAGAGAGAGAGAGCACCTATAGAGCCCATAGTGAATTAGCTTTTGCTATTTTTACCTGGTATAATGCAAAATGTGGTAGATTAAATTGAGTCGAGAATGAGAGATTTGGTTGACGACTTATAAATTCTCCCTATCAGCAAGGCGTGGTGGCTCACACCTGTAATCTCAGCACTTTGGGAGGCCAAGGCAGGCAGATCACGAGGTCAGGAGTTCGAGACTGGCCTGGCCAACATGGTGAAATCCCGTCTCTACTAAAAATACAAAAATCAGCCGGGCATGGTGGTGGGTGCTTGTAATCCCAGCTACTCAGGAGGCTGAGAAAGGAGAATCACTTGAAACTGGAAGGCAGAGGTTGCAGTGAACCAAGATCATGCCACTGCACTCCAGCCTGGGCGACAAGAGCGAAACTCCATCTCAAATAAATAAATAAACAAAATAAAAATAAAAAAGAAAAGAAATTCTCCCTATCATAATTGTGCTCAGTTCAGTCAAAAATTCACAAAGTATAGTAGACTGGCTGGCTCACAACAACATAAATTTATTTCTTACAGTTCTGGAGGCTGGGAAGCCCAAGATCAAAGCACTGACAGATTTGGTGTGGGGTTAGGGCTCATTTCCTAGTTCATAGATGGCTTTCTGTTCACTGTGTCCTCACATAATAGAAAGGATGAGAAGTCTCTGGGGTCTCTTCGATTAGGGCACTAACTCCATTTATGATAACTCTGCCCTCATGACTTAATCACCTCCCAAAGAACCCATATCCTATTACCATCACCCTGGAGCTTAGGGTTTCAACCTATGAATTTGGAGGCAGGGGGACAGAAATATTTAGACCATAGCTTACTTCAAAAATAAATACACACACACACAGACACATACACACCTACAAACACACACACACATATATATAATTAATTGATCATCAATAAAGTTGTCTAGCCAATTCCACAGGGAAAGAAAAGTCTTTTCTACAAATGGCGCTGAAACAACTGGTTATCAGTGAGGAAAAACACACCAACCCTTTCCTTGCACCATACACAAAAAAATATTTTAAAATGGGTCATAGACCTAAAAATAAAACCTAGAACCATAAAATCACCTGTAATAAAATATAAGGACTTTTAAGCCTTGGATTAGCCAAGGCTTTCTTGTTTAGAACACACACACAAAATCAATAAATTGGATTTTACCAACATTAAATACTTTTGTTTCTGCAGAAAGAGAGCAGAAAGCAAGCCAAGACTTGAAGAAAATATTTGAAAAAAAAAATCAGAGAAAGGATTTACATCCAGAATATACAAAATATTCTTAGAACTCAATAATAAGACATACAACCTAATAAAATAAAATTTGATTAGGCTCTTCACCAAAGAAGACATATGAGTGGTGAATGAGTACAGAAGAGATGCTCAGCGGTATTATTCATTAGGTAATGGTAATTAAAGCTGCACAATCAATTAACATGTTCAAGGATGTCTAGAGTAAAAAAGACTGATTATGCCAAATATTGACAAGGATGTGGAGGAAGTGAAGTTCTTATACCCTGCTGGTAGAAATGTGAAATGGTAAATTGGAAATGGTACATTTGACCAAAAGGTTCATTGGAAACAGTTTGACGGTTTTCTTAAAATTTTAGATATATACCTGTCATATGATTCAGCCATTTCACTCCTATTTATGCAAATAATTGATAACATATGCCTATGCAGAAATTTGTATGCAAATGTTCATAGCAGCTTTATATGCAATAGCCAAAAACTGGAAACAATCCAAATTTACAGCAATAGATAAATAAACAAACAAATGGGGTGCTGCAATACAAATGGAATACTACTTATCAATAAAAAGGCACACATTACTGATGCATGCAACACTATGGATGAACCTCAAGAATCATTGTGCTGAGTGTAAGAAGTTAGACACAAATATACATACTGTTAGTTACCACTAATATAGAATTCTAAGAAATGCAAACTAATCTAGAACAATAAAAGCGGATTAGTGATTGCCTGGAGACAGGGATATAGGAAGAGATGGAATGGGAAGGAAGCACAAGAAAACTTTAGGATATTATGGAAACATTCAGAATCTTGATTGTGGTTATAGTTTCATGGGCATATGCATATGTTATACTTCAATAATTTTATTATGGGATTTTAATGTGTTGCTAAAAACTAAAAAGAATTCTAAAAAAATGTAGTCTTAATTTATGTATTTTCAATTCTTTGACTTATTTGGAATGGATACTGTAACAAACTTGGTAAAAATGAAACTCCCAAGGCAAAATATGAGAGGAGATGTAATGTTTTCTATATTGGAACATTGGTGTTTTTGTGTGTGTGTATGTGTGGGGAGCGTTTAAAAGATCATGAAGAGTATAAACTGAGCTACTAGTTGTAAAACATTTTCCATTTAATCCAAGGAAGTTCAAAGACACTGGGATAAATCCCTGCACATGAAAATGTGGGGGAGAGGAAAAGTTTTGCAGGCTTTCTCTTAAGAGAACATAGTCTTGGGGGCAGAGGTGCAGAATTTGGGATTTAAAATTTTTATTTATTTATTTTATTATTTTTGTTTATTTTGAATTTTTATTTTATTGGAAACTAAAACATTATAATTGTATGTATTTATGGGGTAAAAAGTGATCTTATATGTATAAAATGTATACACTGTGAAATGTGAAATGTCAAGCTAATTAACATATCCTTCTCAAATTCTTATCTTTTCTGTTGTGAGAACAATTTCAAATTTATTCTCTTAGCAGTTTTTCAAATATACCATACATTTCTATTAACTATAGTGACCAACTGTCCAATAGATCACAAAAAACTTATTCCTACTGCATCCAGAATTTATTCCTTCTGGTGAGTTCTTCGTCTCGCTGACTTCAAGAATGAAGCCACGGACCTACACGGTGAGTGTTACAGCTGTTAAAGATGGTGTGTCTGGAGTTTGTTCCTTCAGATGTTCAGATGTGTCCAGAGTTTCTTCCTTCCAGTGGGTTCGTGGTCTTGCTGACTTCAGGAGTGAAGCTGCGGACCTTCACAGTGAGTGTTACAGCTCTTAAAGGTGGCGCATCCGGAGTTGTTTGTTCCTCCTGGTAGGTTCGTGGTCTCGCTGACTTCAGGAGTGAAGCCACAGACCCTCACAGTGAGTGTTATAGCTCATAAAGGTAGTGTGGACCCAAAGAGTGAGCAGCAGCAAGATTTATTGTGAAGAGCGAAAGAACAAAGCTTCCACAGCATGGAAGGGGACCTGAGCAGGTTGCCGCTGCTGGCTTGGGTGGGCAGCTTTTATTCCCTTATTTGGCCCCCCTCCGTGTCCTGCTGATTGATCCATTTTACAGAGCACTGATTGGTCCATTTTACAGAGTGCTGATTGGTGCATTTAGAAACCTTTAGCTAGACACAGCGCTGATTGATGTGTTTTTACAGAGTGCTGATTGGTGTGTTTACAAACCTTTAGCTAGACACAGAGTGCTGATTCGTGCATTTTTACAGAGTGCTGATCGGTGCATTTACAATCATTTAGCTAGATGCAAAGTGCTGATTGGTGCGTTTTTACAGAGTGCTGATTGGTGACTTTACAATCCTCTAGCCAGACAGAAAAGTTCCCCAAGTCCCCAGTCAACGCAGGAAGTCCAGCTGGCTTCACCGCTCTCTACTGTCTAAATGAAACTTCATACCATTTAACCCATACAAGTGTAGATTTTTTTTCTAATTTTTTTTTTTTTGGTATATTCAGAATTTGATGTATTTAGGAGTAGATATTAAATCATACTATTAGCTTTTCAAGAAGGCCCAAATGCTTCTATGAAGACTTCTTTGTCAAAAATTAAAATACATGAGCACAAAGAGACCCACATAGACAGCAAATAAGTTTTACAAGCAATCTCATCTTGATAAGAGTTGTACAAAGATGGAAATGAGGGATGATTCCAGGCGTTTTAGGGGGAACACGGCAGATATCATTCTAACCCCCAAGACACTATGTTCTCAAGACCTCTTAGAACTAAGTGTTATCAGAAATAATTTGAGGAGGGCTTGGTCTTCAGAACAATCCTGGAGTCTTGACAGAAATCTAAAATCTCCAACAACTCCTACCCTTTAACCATACCCTAGGGGAAACTGATCTGTGGATATTACATGTGTGATTATGAAAGGTGAAGTTAAGTGAGAGGAGTTGGGGAATCTGGAAGACAGTGAGCTCTCACTCTAACACTGTAAGAAACATGATCTCAGTAGACCAATAATTTGCCTCTTTATACATCTGTAAATAAATGGAATGTTTTTAAGAATATAAAAAAAAAAATCAGAAAATGACAAAATCTGACTCTGCCATTTCCTGTCAGGAGGGTTCTTGCTCATTACCTGGCCTGTTACGATACCCTGTATCCCATCTCTTCAGCCTGAGAAAATAGTTTCTTCCTGGTGAAGGGTGAAGGAGTATTATGACAGTTTCTCATCAACATCAATCTTCAGGTCTCTTTACATAGACCTTCTAATTCCAGGGCAGATACGTTAGTTTATTCCTCCCCAGAAGTGCTTATTCACTGGTCTATGCCCTAGGATGATTTATATTGACTAACTTTGAATATCTTTCCTCACTTTCATGTTCTGTATTAATTTTATCTGACCAGCTAGAGTCCACCTCCTTCTTGAACCTCATGGCTATCCACAAACCTAAGCTGCTTCTCCCATAGTACATAAATTCTGCATCAGCTACTGCTTGTGCCAGTCTGTTCACATTTATTGCTGATTCCTTTGAATGATCAGTTATTTTCGTTTCCCTGGCTAGATTATACTTTCCTCGATAACAGGAAGCAACTCATGTAATTATCTGGATTCTTTTCAGCATCCATCCTAATATCTGACACATAATGCTCAATAAATATTATGGATTAATGTATAAGATGACATAATGGGAGTATAGTAAGGGTGCTGTATGTGAGTGAATTTTCAGAAATAGTAATAACACTTCCGTGTATCTGTAGATAATGGCATTTGAGCTCATGAGTTTTGGCATCGGTTTAGTTGAAGTCTCAGCTGTCACTACTGGGGCAAGTCATTTAATCTCTGAGTATCAATTTCCTCATCTGTAAAACAGGAATAATACTTTCCTTATAAAGTTATTGTAAAGATCAAAGGAAATGTTCTTTGAAGTCATTAACATAGTACCTGTCTCAAATTCTCAATAAATTGTAGCTCCATATAGCCTTTAAAATTTCAACATTGTTTCAGATGATTTTACTTAATAATCCCAATAAGCTTCAATAATATAGAGAGACTCAATAATCTCCAATTTATTAATGTAGAAATTGAGATTGGCAGACATAGTAATTTGTCTAATGTCACACAGTTTGTAAGTGAAAGAGATGAGACTGAAATTCAAATTTTCTGATTCTATTTGTCCTGAATTATCTATTAATGAAGGGGCATTGTGGCAAGAGGCATGAGGTGATAATAAGTAATCCCAAATTTGTGATTATCATTGCATTTAAATTAATGAAACTGAAACTTAATATATCCTTGGATTTGGTGTTAATGGTGGCCCAGAACAGGTGCATTCTGATTCTTTAAACTAAGGTTAGTCATCACACAGGAGCACCAACCTACTAAAAGGAGGACTAGGTGGCCAGTGAGAAACAAGCAAAAGACAAAGAAGAGAAGAGTGTAGTCTACTCCCTAAAATCTATTTCATCTATTATGTCCCAGATTTTTATGTTATGTAATCACACTTGTCAGTAACTGATTCTGAAGTGAGCATGTGATCCAATTCTGGCCAACAGAGAATGAAGAGAAGTTGCCAACAGGGGCTTCTGGGAAATTACATTTTGCTCCCAAGGACCTATAAAAGCTAATCTCTTTTCTTCTCCTAATTGTTGTCATGTATAGATGTGCCTCCTGAAATTGTTACAGCTATTTCATCACTAGTAAAAGGGAAGAGCTACCTCCAAAAATGGAAAAGCAAGATATAAGAATAATCTCTGCCTTTGATAATATCTTTGAGCATGTGACCTAACCTCTCTGGAATCCACTGGATTTCCAGTAAAATGAAAATATGAAAACATTATCATGTGATTTAAGCCAATTTTAATCAAAGTTTCTACAACTTGTAGCTGAGAGAATCTTCACTATTACAGTGGGTCTCAGAAAACTTTAGGAAATGAGAATAAGAGAGGAGAATGTTGTCCCTACACTGAAGATTGAAAAAATATCACAAAGATTGAACCTAATAATAGCTTTTAATCCAAAGATCCATTAATCTGGGCAGACTGCATTTTGTAGCATCTCCAAATGTGACAAGCATTTCAAACCTTGCTTGTCAATGTGTTTAAAATGTGCATGACATTTTCAAGGAGAGGAAATCAAGTAATTGCCTGAGCGAATGGTCTTTTTGGAGTTTTCTTAAACTAATGCTTCCCCCTTCAGTAGGTGAAAATAAAATGTGTGGGTGGAGGTGGGGAGAGGGACTTCAAATTGCTTTTTAAAAAAAACCTCAAATGTTATCTGTCTCTTTTGATGTAATAAACCATGGGAATTCCTAGGTAGGCGCTTGATAAGCAGAAAATCAGATGAGAAACTTCATCAAAGCGAAATTCCCAGAAGAATTTGGGCCTGTCAGTTGGGAGGATTTACCACAGTGAGATTTTCTAGCTAATGGTTTCATTTTGCCTAAATCACATAATCTCTATGTCTCACCTCTTTCTGGTCACAAAACAAAAATACTAAATACTGTCCAGCCTATATCTCACAGTGATAGTGAAATGATAATATTATTATTTATACATTTTCCCAGCACTTAAAAATGTCTTCCACATAGTAGAAGCTCAACAAATATTTGTAAAGGGGCATGAAGTACTTTGAATTTAAAGAGTCTAAACAGGCTGGCCGGGTGGCTCACGCCTGTAATCCCAGCACCTTGGGAGGCTGAGGTGGGCGGATCACGAGGTCAAGAGATTGAGACCATCCTGACCAACATGGTGAAACCTCGTCTCTACTAAAAATACAAAAAATTAGCTGAGCGTGGTGGCCCGTGCCTGTAGTCCCAGCTACTCAGGAGGCTGAGGCTGAAGGATCATTTGAACCCAGGACGCGGAGGTTGCAGTGAGCCGAGATCGCGCCACTGCAATCCAGCCTGGAGACAGCCTCCGTCTCAAAAAAACAAAACAAAACAGCAACAAAAAGAGTCTAAACAAAACGAGACAACTAGAACATTGATAGCCAAATTGAAATGAAAAGGTGTTTTATTCTGCCTGACATCAATTATGATCTCAAATGCCTGGGAAACAATTTATTGGTCTGGTTTCTGAAAAATATCAGACTATCATTGTCACAAGTTCTTGATATTTAAGGCTTAAAATAGATATATTTAGGCCGGGCGTGGTGGCTCACGCCTGTAATCCCAGCACTTTGGGAGGCCGAGACGGGTGGATTACGAGGTCAGGAAAATCCAGACAACCCCGGTCTCTACTAAAAATACAAAAAAATTAGCTGGGCATGGTGGCGGGCGTCTGTAGTCCCAGCTACTCGCGAGGCTGAGGCAGGAGAATGGCGTGAACCCGGGAGATGGAACTTGCAACGAGCCGAGATCGCGCCACTGCACTCCAGCCTGGGTGATAGAGACTCCGTCTCAAAAAAAAAAAAAAAAAAAAAAAAAAAAAAAAAAAATCTATTTAGTTGGAAGTATTTCTTGTAAAACAAGATTTTATTTTTTGTCATAGTGTTCTTAAAGTTATATTCATATTTTATAAAGAAATATTTAAACTTGCTTTATTCTATTGCTTATCGGGAAGGTCTTTCAAATTCGAGGCTCTCCTTTAATGCCTGGTGATCCCTTCATGTTTTAGGATGAGGCACTAAAAGTTTATTAGGTGTCCAGTGTGAAGGAGCACCTTCACATGGCCTAGTATGAGTGATGTGGCTTGGTCATTTCTTTAGGAGCACCTTCAACGTTTTTTATCAGAAAATATTTTCTCTTGGGATGTGAGCTTCAATGTTCTTTGAGTCAAATAACCTAAGAGGCTTTGAGATCATCCCGTCCAGTGAGCACATTTCATTTAATACTACTGAAATCATTCCCTAACCCCTAAAATCTCCTAGAAACTCTCTCTAGAAATTAAACCTATCACTTTTTTTCTGGAAGGTGAAAGAGATCCAGTGAACCAATAGCTACATACATAACTCTTCCAACAATTTTCCCATCTTCCTATTTCTAGTTCTGCTCATCAGCAGTACCTTGGTATTTCTGGGGTTCTTTGTTAGGCTTTAGCATGCTTTTGAGGTTCTCCAATCAATACAACAAATTCATTCAACAGATATTTATTACCGTATGCCAAGCAGGGATTAGGCACTTGGTATATGATAGCAAAGAAAAACAAAATTCCTCTCTTCAAGGAATTTACAGAGTATAAGAAACAGTTCATAAAAGAGACACGTGATAACTAAATAAAATACTTAATATTTTAGGGAGTGACTAGTTTCATGAAGAAAAATGTCAGAATAGGGTAATGGGATTAGCATTGCCAGGAGATGAAGGGCTAGGGGCAGTTTTAAAAGAATCATTATGATAAGCCTTATTAAAGCTGTGGACTGAGTAGAGCCTTGATGGAAGGGAAGGTGTTACTCAAGGGAATAGCTAAGTGATGGTGTTGCAGACAGGGGGAACCGCCTGTGCCAAGGCTCAGAGGTGAGACCTACCTTGGAGTGGAAGGGGTGAAATGTACTGCAGCAGGTGATGAGAAAGGCAGAGAGGAGGCAAGGCTGGGTGGCAGAAGTCTACTCTGATTATGTAGGGCCTTATCTGCCATTGCGCAGATGTTGGCTTTTACTCTAAAGGAAATAGAATGCCAATGCAGGCTGTTAAGTACGAAAACGACATGATTGAATGTATATTTTAGGAAGATCACTAGTTCTGTGTTAAGAATAGATGAAAGGAGACACCAGGGTAGAAGGAGAGTAATCAGTTAGGAATGACTTCATTAGTCTAGGCAAGAGATAATAGGATAATGTAGGTGTATTCATTTCCTAGGACGGCTCTAACAAATTACCATAAACTGAGTGATGTAAAACAACCAAAAAATGTATTCTCTAATAGTCTGGAGGCTAGAAGTTTGAAATCAAGGTGTTAGCAGGGCCACTCTTCATCAGAAGGCTCTAGGAAATAATCCTTTCTTGCCTCTTCCAGTTTCCAGAGTTTGTCAGCAAACGCCTGGTGTTCCTTGGCTTGTGGCAGCAAAAGTGCAATCTCTGTTTTTGTCTTTACAGGGCCATCTTTCCCTCAGAGTATGACCATGTCTGCAAATTTCTCTCTCCTTATAAGCATGGCCTGCCCCTAATCCAGTATGACTTAATCTTAACTTGCTTACATTGGCAAAGACACTATTTCTTAATAAGGTCTCATTTTTAAATACCAAAGGTAGGGCTTCAACATATTCCTTTTGGGGGGATACACTTCAACCCACAACAACAGGTAGAACTAATAAAGGTAGTAAACAGTGATGAGATTCTGGGTGTGTTTTGAAGGTAGAGCCAGCAGAATTATCTGAGGGGGTGGATGTTGGATGTGAAAATAAACCAAAAAAAACAAGAAAGTCTCCAAGGTTGACTTAAGTTTTAACCTTCATTCATCTGCTAATTTAGTTACCACTCACACATCTGTTTTTCAGCTTTCTAAATCCTGTTGTTGTTGGATCCTTTTCCGTTATTTTCTCTTGGGAGTTTACGACTTTAAGAAAAATCACTAGTTAGGCATTTTAGTGAGGTTTAGAAAAGAATTGCAGCAAACACATAGGTATATAATCAGCCATGTTTACCCGGAAGTTATCCAAGTTATCTCCATGGGGACACCCAGGTTTTATGGAGGCTGAAGTTTGTTTATTTTCAGGACCTATTTTAAGAAAAACTAAATTATAAATACAAAATTATTATATTAGTGTTGCCCTTAAACCTGGGCTAGAGGGGGTCCCTGTTATGGATAGAGACATACATGCATAAACATACATACAGTTTATTAAAGAACCCCAGCTCCTCTGTCACTTGGGATTTTGACACACAACGCTAACTCAGAGCCACCTGTAAACCCACACCTGTGCCTTCATGACTACCTTTTAGGCCATGGGGAAAGGCTTTTCCACATTTCATGCTCTATGGTCTCAAAACAAAAGGTGACTATGTCTAAACATTAGGAAGATTTGGGGAGTTTGCTGCTGTCAACATCTGAGATGTACATCAAACTTAGAGGTGATTTGAGCAGCAAAAGTACTAGGTTAAGAGAAAAGACAAATTAATTATCTTGTTAATTCCTTCTGCTGAGCAAGCATGACTGCAAGAGAGTCTAGCTTCTTGAAGTTTCCCAGTAGTGCCAAGGATTTATTCATGCATTTTTTCTCTTATTTGTTTATTTTCTTATGCTTCTATAAATACTTTTTGTATGAATTCAGAGGTGCTTCCACAATATGCATGGTGCTCACAACGGTTATAGTAATGGCAGCTGAAAAACACTTTTCAGTGGTAGACGATTCATATTATTCTTAAATTAGTATATACGTAGCTCTAGATATAAGCAATTGAAGTGAATATACATTCTTTACCTCACTATGTGCATCTAGATATTGCCTTAAGAGAATATAAGTTACAATATAAGTGACAGCTATAGGATCTTAATTTTATAGGATAAAATTAAAATGTTTGACAATATTTTTTGTAACAATAATACATCATGTATGAATTCTTATAATGTTTGAACATGATATTTAAAACCGATGGTTCAAATCTCAATCTAAGTATCACTTTAATAAGTTTATTGATAATTTCAGTTGCTACTGTCTCAACAAAGTTCCTTCAAGTTGAATTCATTTAAAAATTTATTAAATACTCAAAAAGAGTTGATAATATGGCATCATTATGAATAAAATACAAATTATCTAAAATCTTGAATATTACAATATACATAGTGCTCTTGCTGAAAAGTAAAAAAAGGCAAAAAATCTTTAATTTATGAATTATGTACATTTTTGTTTTTGCCATATGAAAATTACCATCCCCTCAACAGAATACCTGGATCTATACAATAATTAATTTCAGTCATGACATTTGGCCAACTTCTAGTCATCTAAAAACAACCTTTTTAAAAAACATTTTTCTCAAATTTATCAATATGGAGGTATACTTGTGAAGACTGGAGATTATAATTTATTTATAATTCTTAGCATGTTTAAAATTTAGACATTTAATCACATGGTATGGCTGCACCTCTGTTGTACTATTCCCTAGATCCTAAACATGTTAAGGGAGAGTGGGCCTGTTCAAACACTTTTATTTAGAATGAGAAAAAATTCAGGCCAATGTACAAATTCCAAAAAATGGCCATATACATATTCCTAATTCCGGACAAAAAGGACTAACTTTTTAAAGCTAATTCATTGCTTAACACAACCTCCATATTTTTCCAGTTTTTGGAAGTATACTCTTTGATTGCATCTTCATATAATAAAAACTTATATTTTAATAGAGAGACTAATATACTTCAGTAATTCTTAGCATGATCATTCAAAGTTTATCCATATTGTTAGCTTAGAAATGTTTTTGCAGCTACACAAATCATTATTGGTAATGTCCTAGAAACCTTAAGATTATTATACATTTGGGAAAATCTCTATCAAGTTTCTTTCATATGTGAATTGTTAGAAATAAACTTTCTACTGTCACTGCTATACTTTGTGCCCTGAAATACACAGGAATTCTGATATATTCCATTTTTATTGGTTCCCCTCAAAAATAAATTAGGATGAGCTATATAGATGGTGTGTTTGGAATTGCATATGCTACATTTTTAAGTATATTCCTGACAGAAGATACCTTTTATATTCATTGGGTGCTGATGAGGTTTTTAGTGACAAATTTACAGTGTGATGATTCTCACAGTTTTTCCCAGAGGACATGCTCCTGTTGTGATGGGCCCTCTGCCGCTGCCTTTCCTGTCACAATGCTAGGTATGCTGGCACAGGTTAAGAGAAGTGGACTGCAGGAGCCCATCTGGCTGCTGTTCCTATAAAGGGATGTCTAGCAATGACTTCATGTCACACAGATATGCCTGAGAATCATATACATAGATGTCAGTAAGCCCAAACTAAGTGTATCCCTAATTCAACTCAACCCTCCTTAAGCCAGATTTCTCAAATGCCCATGGCTTCTCTAATGCCACCACACACAAGGAGGAGTGTGCGGAGTGGAAAGTAACATCACTCTTTAAACAATTGTGGGTAAATGCCTTGGTTTTGCAAATATTACAGAAACCCATGACCATGTGAACACACTGCTTGGCCCTCTTTCAAGGTCTTGGGAAGGGGCCTGTGTGAATGTGGGCTCTGCAGTTTAAGCTTCATCAGCTTCACAGCAGAGCCACTCTAATTCCTGTATAACGTTGTTCTGTTGTCGCCCTTGATTGCTCTGAATGCTTGGCTAACCAACAACTGGAGGTTCTTCACTTTTGAAGGTTTCCATTGCTTTATATAGGATAATAAGTACAGTGTAGATCATATAGATTTCACTTTAGTTCGCAAATTTCAGCCATAAAGCTTTTATAATAAGAATAACATCAGTTAGTGGGCAAACAATTTTTGTTTTTCAGAAGCTATAAAAAGCAAGTGTAGAATTGAGCTGGCACATGAGGCAGCACACGGAGAAGAAGAATGAACTCAAATGAAAGCACAATCTGGAAGAATAACTTCAAAACAATGCACGCAGGACCAGAGCCCCGCTGCTACCGTTTATGATTCCCTCAAAGCCCGGTGCTCACATCCTTCGCTGTTAGTGCCATGGCACACTCTTGAGGCAATGAGCAGGTCAGGGGGGCGCGGGCTCTGGATTCTCACATGGTAACATGAAGAAAATCAATTTCAATCCTCCAAGGATGATACACTGCATCTGCAGGTCACTGAACACTATCCGTTCTCTAAAACCCTTGAGACTTGAGGGATTTCCAAAAATTACCACACCTCAGATTTTGGCCTAGCATATTTTACATTTCCCCCATTTTCATCTATATGGATGGGAGAAAGAGGAAGAGGCATGTACAAATATGGTTAACTACCTGAACTTCCCGGTTTAAAAATGTCTGTTTTTAATAATACATTCCAGGAGTTCTAATCAACCAATACAAAGATTGACTACTGTATTGATCCATATAAGGAAAAGATTTGCATCTTTTTTGGAAAAAAAAGCATTTATTTTACCACTGGACGCAGGCACTATTGTCTTGATAAATGCCAGGACAAAGTTAAATATTTTAGTGAGATTTAGAATGAGCAGTCAAGGACTAGCAAAGTAAGAAGCATAAGACTGGCATGCATCTCAGAGCACCACTCTCCACTTTGCTTGTATGTAGCCTAGCTTAATTTATCTAATTATTACAAACCTCAATTTAATCATCTATAAAAAGGAATAATAACTTCTATCCTATCAATGTTAAAGGACTGTTTTAAAGATAAAATAAGGAAACTACGTATAAATGCTTTTTAGATTGTGAAATATTATAACATTTATCATATTTATTTTATAACATATTATTATATTTATTTTTTAATAGCTGAAACTGATACCCTAAAGGAACAGGCTTTTTGACTGAGGTAGGGGTGAGATACAAAAAATAGAGGTGAGAATGGATATTTAGTGTATGGTACAAATTGAGGACAAAGTAAACCAAGATTGGCCAGTGGGAAGTCTGAGGCATCACAAGGTCCCAGGAGGGCTTTTGAGTAAGAGCATGGAACAGTCAAAGAAAGTAAGATGTAAGAATCACAAGAGGGAGTTTTAACTACTTTTAAGTCAAATTTTACAATTTCTGGGTAGAAAACATACAGGGATTTTATATGCCTAAACAATACAATGGATGCAATATAATCTGGTTCAGAAATTCCCTTACAAGTTAAGCATAATTGGAAGACACATTTACTTTCTCAAACTGTGAATCTTCCAGAGTTGCATTACACAAGCTGGCAGATTAGTACTCCTCCAAAGCATTTATTAAATGCTCATTTGTCCACAGTGTTAGTGTGTGACATATAATGTGCTAGGAAACGCATTTCAGTTTCCTGTATACTCCCAGCTCTTTATATACTAAAGGAAATTATGAAGGGGTGTTATAATATTTATAGTTACAATAAAGTCAGTGCTCAAAATCTGTCTAGTTGCTTCTGTCCTAAAGTCAGCATGTTTGGCGATCCAGTTTAAAGGGGAAAAAAAGCAGTTTGTCTACAGTGGAAAGCATTCATAAGTGTTCCAGTGAAACAAAATTTATCCAACTTTATATTTTGCCCTTCTTAAAATGGCCATTCTGTTCACATATTGAAAAGCTGGATGTAAATCATTTTGATTTTAGGATTATTATGAGAGACTTTAACTCTGACTGAAAGGAAACAAGACAGAAATCCCTGAACAGGAGAGTGGTTTGTTCCTGACTCCTGTTCTAAAACATGCCAGATTAAGGTATCTCACTGCTTTTGCTTTACTAAGGCCAGGATGTTTGGTGACATTATCACATTATTAAGAAGGCACTTCTGGCCTGCATCACTAGTTCATGTTTGCAAATTTCTGTTTCCCAAATGCAACAGACCTCTCCCCTTGGGTATGCCGTGCTGGGAGAACTTCACGGACCTGGCAGTCTACCATGTGAGCATCAGTGATGGGCAGTGGACAACAAGGGCAGCAATGAGCCACATCCCAGGAGCAGGTAAACCCTCAGGATTTCTGGCTGCGACAGTTATCACTCAATAGAAGCAAAATAACAGCAGAAAACTGGAGGAATTATCTGTGTCTAGCAGAGAGGAGAGTGCTGAGAGCTCTAGAATAGAGAAGGAATTGTAATAAGAGCTCTAGTGACACAGAATAAATGCCAGATAAAGGTAGGAAGCTAATATGAACCATCTGATGCGCAAGAATTCAGAATCCACCATCTAAGACTGGCTGCAGTGTTGTGGAATGAGGTATAAATCTAGCTACTAGACCATTCTGCCTGCTGGATTCCCACTTTTTCAGGACTCAAGGCTCAGTTATGTATTCTGGGATTATTTAAGTCCCTGTTCTTCAAGGTTTATTATTTGATACTTGTCCGCAGCATTAATAAAAAGCCCATCTAACAAAGCCAGCTAGTAATAATCATAAAATAGTGACTAGTAGTGTATATTAATTGTTGGCTGTGTGGCATACAATGTTCTAAACAAAGTGCTTCATGTTATGGAATAGATGCAGTTATGTGTTTATAGAGTTATTCATCATAGTTATTAAGATATGTTTTGAAAACTCACTAATGGATATTGTGGTTTGCTTATTCAGTATTCAGAAGTAAGCCTTGATGTATTTTGTGTAGAATAATTCTGTTCTCTTACTCAGATCCTTGATTGGTTCAGGGCTTGACATGAAATACAAATCTGGGCCATGAAAATGAAGAGAAGTTTTCTGGCGACTTCTTTAAAAGTTCCGCTTGAGCAGGGCATGGTGGCTTACGCCTGTAATCCCAGCACTTTGGGAGGTCAAGGCAGGTGGATCATGAGGTCAGGAGTTCCAGACCAGCCTGACCAACGTGGTGAAACCCCGTCTTTACTAAAAATACAAAAATTAGTCAGGCGTGGTGGTGCGCACTTGTAGTCCCAGCTACTCTGGAGACTGAGGCAGGAGAATCGCTTGAACCTGGTAGGTGGAGGTTGCAGTGAGCCAAGATCATGCCACTGCACTCCAGCCTGGGCGACAGAGTGAGACTGTGTCTCAAAAAACAAAAACAAAAACAAAAACAGAACAAATTAAAAAAAAAACAGTTCTGCTTCCCTTTTCCATGAGAGCTTCCAGGAGTAATCACATTACAGATGAGACAGACTGTAGGTGAGGAGATGATACTCTGTTTCATAGCTGTTGGACTACTGTAAAGCCCGGGCCATTTCTACTGGAACATTTAATTGCATTCTTGTTTATGCCACCACATGTGATAGGGAGAATAATTCATCCCTCCCACCCAAAGCTGTTTACATCCTAATCCCCGGAACCTGTGAATATATTACCTTTTATGGCATACATGTTTCCTTACTTGCAAAAGCGACTAAATTTAGGATTTTGAGGTGGGAAGATTGTTCTGGATTATCCATGTGGGCTCACATTAATCACAACGGTCTTCATAAGAGGGAGGAGCAGCATCATAATCAGAAGAGACGTGATGATGAAAATAGATTCCAGAGTGATGCAGCCATGAGTGAGCAACCTCTAGAAGCCAGCAACGGCCAGGAATGTGTTCTTCCCTAGGACCTCTACAAAGAATTAAGCTCTGCTGCCATCTTGATTTTAGCCATATAAGACCCATCTCAAATTTCTGACCTCCTGAACTCTAAAATAATAAATTTGATTGTTTTAAACCTTTACATTTGTGGTAATTTGTTATGACAGCAATAAGAAATAAATACACCACATAAACATAGTCATGTTTGTAAGTATCAAAAGCATGATCAAATTTTTAAAGAAGCATAAAGTAACTGTGAATTTTGAAATTTAACTAACCTACAATTTTGTTTGATCTGCCACAGTATAAACATTATTATTATTTTTTAATCAACAGAAAACAGAAACTTACCTCTACTATATTTAGGTAATTTGACTTTCACACCATTTATGTTAGTGATGCAACTCGTATGCCATCTGTATTATTTTTAGGTATTTGTAACTATCTGCTTGTCTTTATTTTGGCTGGAAATATTACATGAAGTCCTGAATGATATCCTTTGCAGATATCAGAATAGATGCGCCACCATCATCAAAAGTGTTTATGTTGGAAGTTCTTGGTGGTTTACCTCTTAGGCTAGTTCAATCTACTTTGTTTTAAAGTGTAAATAGAAGTAAGAGTACTTCCTGAGGAATTTGAGTAATCCAGAAAATAACAAAGTAAACTCTCTGTTTCAAATGATAAGATAACCATCCTCTTATCTTGGGTAAGCTCTGTACAGTGGATTTTGGAATTGTTTTCGTGGAGATGATTACTTAGAGTTGTGTCTAGGAAACTTGGATTGATTTAGATATTGAAAAGAACATATGTTTAATATGCATAATCTGCCAACATCATCCAGTGTTCCATGGAATAGGAATAATCCAAAAGCCTGCATATATCGTGGATATTGATTCTTACAGGACCACAAGAGAAGGAAAAATAATCTGCATTTTGGTGGGCTCACTTCCCAACAGGCTCTCCTCCATAAACAGAGCTTGGAGGCAGCAACTGGCACTTACTTCCAACTCAAGAATAAGCACACAATATTACTTGATTGGCTAATGGTGCAGTGTGCACTATTAGCCCTCAATTGAGCTTATGAAATTTATTGTTAATAACTTTTAAAAAGTTGTTCTGTTTTACAAATAGGAGGATAACAAGCAATAGGATTAGCCAGATTTTTCACCTCCCATTTTTTACTTCATGATCTCTCATAGAAATCAGCCTTGGGTAAATAGTACAATAGAATAATGTCATTTCATTATAATGATGAGGATAAAAATCTATTCCCAGCTGGCTGGGTCCAGTGTGTAGAGTTTGCATGTTCTCCCCATGTCTGCTTGGGTTGCTCCGGGTACTCCAATTTCCTCCCACATCCTAGAGATGTGCCTGTTAGGTGCCCTGGTATGTCTACATGGTCCCATTCCTAGTGTGTGTGTGTGTTTGTGTGTGTGTGCATGCGCATGCACCCTGTGATGGGATGGCATCCTGTCCAGGGTGAGATCCCACCTTGTGTCCTGAGTTGCCAGGATGGAATCTACCCACTCAATACCCTGAACTGGAATAACTGGGTTGGAAAATGAATGAATGCCAATGATTGTAAAATAAAAATTTGTGAAGTCTACGATAACCATACAAATGGCAATAAACGGCACAGTAGGAAAGAGTCCACCTTATTTTTGATTGTTTTTGAACTCTGTGGTGGGAGAAGATACTCCTTAGAGTTTTCACTTTGCAAACATTTATTCCTTGTTGTAACCCACTAGGACTATGACCATTGCTATACATCAATTCACCAAAAATTGGGCAATTATCTTGTTTTTATTAGTCTTTCTTAAATGTATGAATAGCTCACACTTATTTCAATGTTTAATACTAAAAGTGTTCTTGATTCTTATTTAGAAGTTTGGTGTAGTTTTTGTAATCACAAAGATACCAGAGAAACTTAACTCTTGTTTAAGATCAGTCTATGGTAAAATAGGTTTCTTTTTTTGTTCTTGTTTTTCTGTGTGTGTGTTCGTTTTGAGACAGGGTCCTGTTTTGTAGCCCAGGCTGGACTGCGGTGGCACAGCTCACTGCAGCCTCTGCTTCTGGGCTCAAGTAACCCACCAACCTCAGCCTCCCAAGTAGCTGGAACCACATGTGCGCTCCACCACATCCAACTGATTTTTGTATTTTCTGGTAGAGACGGGGTTTGGCTATATTTCCCAGGCTGGTCTTGAACTCCTGGACTCAAGCAATCCACTCGACTCGGCCTCCCAAATTGCTGGGATGACAGGCGTGATCCGCTGTGCCTGGCCTAAAATAGGTTTCATTATACGTCATTTCACTTGTCTCAGTTTCCAAGAAACAATTGATAACATTAAGTGAGGACTTTACTGTCCTAGGTATTTCTCAAACTTTTCCCTGTAATGGTAGTAGTTAGGAAAGTATGGGATCTATTTAGGCATAAATATTTCTTCCCTTCCTACCTACCTGTGTAAATATAGTCAAAACAATTTTTTCAAAATTTCAATTCCCTATTTTGACAAATGAGGATACTAGCAATACCTTTCTCATGAAATTGAAGTCAGAATAAGATAATTTGTTTATAGAATCTAATATGTATTAAGTATTCAATAAACATTAGTGATTATTATTTTCTTTACCAAGATTTGGTTGAGAATTTACTGTCAAACAAAAATGTTCCCTGGTTATCTCATGCTCCATGTTTACCATTTTATTACTATGCAGCAAGACAGAGTTCTTATTAGATACTGTGGGACTGGATTTAAGGTGACTGTCTATTAATCTAATTGACATCATGAGGCCCTTTCCATCATGTAATGCTGCCTTCCTCTTTTGAACTCATTTGAACCACAAGGTGAAAAATGCAGTAATTCTGCTGAGGCCACGAAAATGATGAAGTAGGAATACCTGTTAATTCTATACCTACTTGAAAAACTCATAACTCAAAAGCACTCTAACAGTGAGGTACCCTATTGTGCAGAAGAGTTTATGTTTATGTTAGCAACTTGTAGTACAGAATATGATATAAGCTGGGGGGCAGTGCTGTCAGCATCTTAGACTGCTAATATTCATTTTGGCTTCCTTAGTATCCGATACAGAAACATGTATTTACAAACTGTAAGAAGTAAGTTATGTCCAGTTCTGAAAGTGTTGCTTGTAACTGAGTTTCGTGCTGGAGTCAATTAGGCTTATGCCTGTTTACAATTGTCCAAACGCCATAGGTATACAGCAGAGTATCTTGATACAATTTATGCCCTTAAGGAGGCCAAAAGGAAAAGGAGACAATTCAAACATAAATATACCTACCTGGAAAAGGGCAGATAGACGATAAAATGCCAACAGAATACTATGCCTTCCTGAAGAATAAATTTGTGTTTTATGGTATATGTTAATGACAGAGATAGAAGACAGTCTCAGAGGGCCATTGAAGGTAACTCCTTAGTAAAACGCAGATTTGAGCATCTTGGAAACACTGAGATATTATGTGTCAGGAGAGTAGATAATTTTTTTTTTTTTTTTTTTTTGAGACGGAGTTTCACTCTTGTTGCCCAGGCTGGAGTGCAGTGGCGCGATCTTGGCTCACTGCAACCTCCACGTCTCGGGTTCAAGCGATTCTCCTGCCTCAGTCTTCCAAGTAGCTGGGATTACAGATGTGTGCCACCATTCCTGGCTAATTTTTGTATTTTTAGTAGAGACGGGGTTTCACCATGTTGGCCAGGCTGGTGGTCTTAAACTCCTGACCTCAGGTGATCTGCCCACCTCGGCCTCCCAAAGTGCTGGGATTACAGGCCTGAGCCACCATGCCTGGCCCAGTAGATCAATTTTAAATAAATAAAGATGGCATGACTTTGAAAATTGTTATAACCCCTAGAAACAATGAGAATCCCTTTCATTAGGATGGAGTCTTCATTGTCAGGCAATAATGATATAATTACATCTCTTTGGTATAGTTCTAAAGTGAGACACAGCCTCTGTTCCCAGAGGAGTTCTGGATCCAGGCTTGAGCCCTTGTGCCAGCTATGTCTGGGAACAGAAGCAACTGTTAAGATCATGCTATGGTAAGAAGAAAGAAGATTCTCTGCCACCATGTTCTGAACCAAACTTCCAGACCACAACCTACCAAGTAAGCTTCCAGAAATTCCCTCTGGGGTCCCCAGGGAGACCCTGGTCACTAAGTTAAAAACTTCATCCTGCTTCTGAGCTGTCAGTAAGTCTCGGTCCAGGCAATGTTTTATCTATCCACTAGTCCTCCCCTTAACGTTTCTGGAAGAAACCATGTACCTCCAGAACAGATTTGATAACAAGAGGCAATGTGCTGCCACAGTTTTTGGACTCTCGTAAAACCAAGAGATCCTTGGAAAATATGGAAAAGGAATTGTTCCAGACTTTGCACTGTTCCTGGATATTGGGTGGAAGGCTTGAGTTCATTATCTAGTCATCGACATTTCAGCATGTCCTCTGTTCAATGTTGTGGAGGGTGCTCAGGAGCAGAAAATGGCTCCAAATGACGTGTGGTCTAAGAGAGGAGGGAGACAAATCTGCACGGAAAAATATCACAAATGATAGTAGAAACACAGTTCTAACTGGATGTGAAAACAGTATGCTTTCTGTCTTAGCTGAGGTCCCACAGGCCAACTATCCAAAGGTGATAAATATCCCCTTATTCAGAGGTAGAATTACCATGAAGATAATGACACGTTAGCTTCAAGATTCCTCAGGTACATGAGCCTCTTCCAAGGCCCTATATTTAAGGATGTTCTAAATTTTTGTATTATGTTTCTTCCAGAGGGCTCCTAGTATTGTTTAATTTCCAGGCACTGAATAATTTAGAACCTCTACTGGGAACCAGGGATTTTGACACAGGAGTAAGTGTGCTTCTGGGGTACCAGCACTTTCCAAGAGGTGTACAACATATATAGTTTTAAGAGTATCAGTCCCTATATCCACAATTTTTGTATGTGTTTTTTTTTAGTAAATTGATTTGCCTAAGAATATACCTGTGATCCAAGTGTCATGTTGTTTTTTTCCCACATTTTCCCCATTACAATTCTCTTTTTCATACTTTATGAATGAAACTCATAACTTTCACTTGTCCCACATCTTAATATGGTAACCCTTTTTCCTCCTGGGTGTAGAGATAGATTTCAAACAAAGAGATTTTATAAAAACATTGTACGTAGAGAAGACTCTTCTAATCTAGATACCCTCTTATCTTACCTTTGTTTCTATTAAGGGTGACATGACATTAGAAGTAGAATATTTTTATCATGTTGGAAAGTTCTAGATTTAGACCATTATTTCCATTTGGGGTCCTTGCCTCTTCCATCCACTGACTATTGATGAAGAATAGGGAGACTATGAAGAGACCAATGAAGGCAACACAAAGAAAGGATATAGAGGGCTTTATTGCAGCCGTGCAGCCAGGGCCTCCTTGATTTCTCTCTCTCTCAGAGGATTAGAGTTTAAAAGACAGGTTGTTTTCATGGGAACATAAATTAGCACACTTATTTTAAATGAAAAATAAAGTCATATTTTTTCTTATAGAAAGTCATTTTGATAGATTTCAGCATAAGGACTTGTTTTGCCATATAGGTTATATAACAAATATTTTCCATAAATAAAGCAAATCAACAGGTCCAACGTTTTGATAACAAGATATGACAATATAAAAAGCTTTTTTCTACCTAAAAGAATTATTTTGGAAAATAATTTGAAATAAGCCATGTTTTTTACCTTACCATTTCTGACCATGTAAATTTAAACTAGGTACTTCTCACTGAAAGAATAATGGGATTATTATCATTTGATAAATTTTGGTTTACTTATGAGAAATCAGAAAAGGAGTTACTCCAATGATAGAGAAATCCATTCTTTTCAAAAATAGATGGTTTGCTGTTTTTTTAAAAAATAAAATTGATGCAGGAACTAATCAAGTCATGTGACTTGACCATGTGACTTTTGGCACATAATTTAAGATTTCTAAGAACTGAAAAACATAGCTATAACAAAATAATTCCTTACATTATCACCATATTATTTATGTGAGCTAACTTTCTTATGCTTATATCTATAAAATATAGGAATAGATTTAATGCTAAATTATATGTTATTTCAGCAATAAGTTATATTCATCCACGAATACATAAACTAATTGAAAATAAAAAGTTCAGCCATCTCATTAAGGTACTTCTTTCCAATAAAATTATAACTTTATCTTTGAAAAGTATTTATCAACCCTTGTAATATATCCAGGTTGTTTTGATCAATTGTGTAGTAATAATAATTATAATGACAACTGAATCCAGAATAATTTTTAAACATTTAGAAAATTGTGGTCATAATAATTTCTAAATTACATTTTGATTTGTACGCAGATTTTCATTCCAGAGAAGCATGACAAGGTGATCAGAAAAGTAATTTCAAGCATAATAATATCAGACATTAGGTAAAACTTCTGTAGAGGGAATTGAAAATGGGCTTTAAATTCAGGAAGTAAAAAGGATGATGTAAAATTTTCAACTATTAAAGACGATCTCATGCATGTATTTTAAAAGGATAATGGTAGGTATCAAATTGCTGTGATAGATTTCATTGGTTACATTAAAAGAATAATGAAACAGCTTTTATTTTATCAATAATGATATCCTTTCATGCAATTATTTAAATATAAGATTAAAAAGTTTATTTATCAATCTAAAAATATACACAAGGATACCTAATTTAAAAATATAAGGTTACATGAAAGAAAACAAAAGACATTTTTTTAAAGACTCCCTAAATACATTCTGCCATGCTGAGAGACTGCAAAATCATTGCCCCCAATATTAGGGATCATCCACCTCCAGCCAGTAAAGGGAAGTTTCTCTGGAGACAACTGTATGTTAAGCTCCATACCTGCCCCTAGTGGGGCTTTCTCCTACCTCAGGCAAAGTGAGAGTGGCTTCAACGAAAAACCTCTGAGAGTTGAATATGGGATCCAGGACCTAATGGCTGAATTCCTTGAGACAATGTCTAAAAGTATAAAGCTACATCTGGAGCTGCCATCGTGGCAACTGAACCTAGTGAGAAGTCTGAGTTGAGGGTGAACCACACTTCCAATGAGCAGTGAGAAGTTTTCTGGGTGATGTGAAGCTTGGGTTTAACCCTTTCCCACCACAGAGATGGATTGAAAAGGCCAGGATTTTGATGTTGTCGTTGTTCATTCTTATATCCTCAACACCTGGACCAGGACTTTGCATAAAGTGGTTGCTCAATACATATAATCAGTAAGTTAATGAAATCTTAACCCTTTTCAAGCACCGGTGTACATGTTCAGCCCACTCTTTGAGGGCCAGTTCAACCTACAAATCTTCTCAGGCTGCTCTTATTTGACATTTCTGGGTCTCTATGGGTGAAGTTTTCTCTGTGCAGGAATCACGGAGCTCTGATCTTCATCCATGGCCTCTTGGCCAAGAGTACCTCTGGCTTAGAGGCTGTCAAAATCCTGTGCTGACCCTGTCTACTGGAATTCTGGTATGGCTTGGGACCAAGCTCCCACTCTTAGGTGCTGTTCAGCTCTGGAGAGCAAGAGGTACTTGGTTTGAAATTAGAAGGGAGGGAAGCACCTCCCTACACCATCACATTTTTTTTTCTACAAATATTTGGATAACATAATGATTATGGTGATTTTACTACTTTTTAAAGAGACAGATGGAACTAAATTGTTTAAGGATAATAAATAAAAACATAGAGTATAGCTGGTGGAGGTATGTGGTTAAAAAAATCTATAGTTGGAAAAAAAACGTAGCTTGAGAAAAGAAAATGAGGGGAGCAAAAGTAGGTTCAGATATGTTAATAGTCTAACTAAAAAACACGTACAAAGTATAGAAAGTTTCCGATAAACACCTCAGCATTTTGTTTCCTGCCTTTCTTTCTTTAATGTGTATCCACGAGTTCATTCAGTGCACATGTATTGTGATCCCATGGAGTGGGAGGAGTAGGGAGCTTTTGTTATGAGTGTAACAGGAGAGTCAGACAGCTATAGCACAACCCCTGCCTCTGCTGCCGGCTGGCTACATTACTTTGAGCAAGTTGCTTCAATTCTCTAGGCCTCAATTTTCCCATCTGTAAAATCAAGATAAAAATAGTATCTGCATGATGGGGCTATTGTGTAATTATACTATACTGTATATTATTGTGTACAACAGTATAATACTATAATAGTATAGTAATACTATTATACAATTATACAAGTATTCTATAATACTTGTACTCAGAGTAGTGATGATTAATACTGATAGTTTAATTATTATGTTAATTGGGTACACACTTCTTTTACTGTCATCAATAACTATATATCAACTTAAAGGTTCATATTTAGAGACTTAGAAATCTTGGGTGGCCTTCACAGCATGGTGGTTTCTTAAAAGTATAGCATTAATATTTTCCAAGAGATATTTTTTATTTTAAACCTGATATGCTAATCCATAACGTTTAGGTTTGGTTTTTTTTTTTTTTTTGAGATGGAGTCTTGCTCTGTCGCCCAGGCTGGAGTGCAGTGGCACAGTCTTGGCTCACTGCAAGCTCCGCCTCCCGGGTTCACGCCATTCTCCTGCCTCAACCTCCCGAGTTAGTTGGGACTACAGGCGCCAGCCACCACTCCCGGCTAATTTTTTTGTATTTTTAGTTGACACGGGGTTTCACCGTGTTAGCCAGGATGGTCTTGATCAATGTTTAGGTTTTAAAATATGACTTACATTGAATATGTTTTAGATTTAAAAATATACATTATACTTCTTATGCAAAGTAGTTAGTGGTTAAATCCAGAGGTTTGGGCCAAAAGGGCACTGCTTTAGTACATCCTAACTGGATAAAATAATAGAAAGTAATATGGCTTTGTGATAAATATTATTAATGCTTACATTTGATTTTTTAATTTAATGAAGTAATTAAATATTATAGATTTTAATAAAGAATGGCTAATTTTGTCCAAGAAAGATCATCTTATTTTATTTACTTCCTTTTCTTAGACATAACCTTTTAGAACTTTAGTATGTTACTCAAAGCTATAAGAACAATGCATTGTGAAACTGAGACTTTTTCTGGAATAATGAATAGCCCTTCTGGTAGCTATTCATGTAGCAGTGGTGGAAATCCTATTGTTGGAGAAGTTTTAGGGCCCCAGGATATTATGTTCTGAGAGTTGATGGGTGTTGGGTAAAGGGAAGGATAAGGAGGAAGGAAGATGATAAAAAAAAATCTGCCACAAAAGTGAGGCATCTATATCACAGATTCAGAGATCAAACATCTGAATTATCTGTCCAACTTTGCAGTTGGTTTTCTATGTCAAATCAATAGCTCCTCCTGTCTCTCAGTAAACACAGCTTCTGTACCCTCACTATACCCTTCTTGCGGCTTGCGGCTGTTTGTCATTTTGGAGCCATTTCTCGACAAGACAGCCAATGCTGATGAATCTGCCTTAGTTTTCCTGGAAAATGCAAAAGAGTTATATGCTCCATGTATTAAGACTCAGAAACCTAACAGGTGCCTTACAATAGCAAGAAAGAGGCTTGGAGAGAAATGTAAAGGTGGCATTGCCATGACACATGGATATTGGACTGTTTGGTTGAATTTTATGTTCTACCTGCTTTTTCAAAGCATTGCTTTCCCAAATCCCTAATCTTTCATTTGTTAGGAAGATATCCAGAAGTTTTCATTTCATAATAGGGAAAAGTTTTTTTTCTCTGCCTATTTTCATGACAAATTTACTAAGCCCCTTCATCAGTCTTTACTGAGTTTTCTGGTGGCAATTTTCATTGTCTAAAAAACAGGCAGCCTTTGAAAGCTGCTTCTTGCAGCAGATTCTGCACTTCCTCGTATAGTTTCACAGAATCTCCTTTCTGAGAGGTCCTAAGGCTTTGCATCCAGGGGCAAATCAGCTCAGCTCAGCCCAACACAATGACACCCACCACGAAAAGGGCCAATCAAAGCACTGATCAATACTCATCAAACTGGAAATTGAGTACGCTTTTTTAAAAAAATATAGCATTTAGTTAACCCATCCCTCTCTCTTCCCTATTATACCACAGACACAACATACATGGGTGCATGCAGACACACACACACACACACACACACACACACACACAATGTATTTCTGCTTTTTTTACGACAGTTTAAAAGAAATGCTGTGTCAGTGTTTTGATGCATCCAGGGACTGAATGTAAACAACATGGTACAACTCTGAAAACTGCCATCATAAAATATTTTAAGAGCCAGAATAGAGTAAAATAAAATAAAAATGTCTTTTTATGTGATATCTCAGAGTAATTCAGGATTTATGGTACCTTAACCTTTAGAATCCAAAATATTAAGCTATGTTTCTTAGAGATAATAACTCGGTTGTCCCTCACTTATGTGTCTTAGATAAAAGCCTACTGCCACAGAATCCATGAATGCTCAAATACCCTTGCGGGCCTTTAGTAGTAAATCTTATGGAATAGCTTATGGCCAATGTAATGGCCCACAGTAGCCTGCGAATATCATGAATTCTAATAATACTTACATCAGTAGAAACATGAAGTAATGTCTCCATTGTAATTAAATGATGTATTTAGAGCAGTGGACTAAATGGTCCCCTAGTGTGTTGGTGATATATTCTAATAGTCTTCTCTTTACAGCCCCACACGGTAATATTCATGCTTTATTCTGGAGGGCTTTGCTTCTGACTGAACATTTGAATTGCAACATTAAGTGGTAAAGTGGATTACAGTGAGGCCCCATGAATATGGATCCTGATCAAGAAACTAAGTGCTTAAAAAAATAAAATGTTACTATTTAAATAGAGTGATTACAAAAACATTTTTATACGGAGGAATGTCAGGAGTCTTTGCCGCACTTCTTATTCTATGTTCCCGAAGCAGAACATATTTGCCACAATTAAAAATTTAGTAGGGTGAAACATCAGACCTTAAATCACAGTAATTTCTCCTTCACTTATTGAATTTAATTTGGGCTGTTTGAGGTACAAATTAGTTGTGATAATAATTACATTATTCCATTTTTAAAACATGTTCGTTCCCAAGATTATGGCCAACGATAGAGTATAAATGTAGAAAGGGATAGCCGTCGCCAGGGCCGAAATGAAATTATCCTGCAGTTCATTAGTTAAAAGTGTCACATTTTGAATTTTCATTCTTTATTTTTCCCTTGAATCAGTCACTAAAGCAGTAGCTTGAGGCATTAGGAGCCTACGGCAAAGCTGAGGGCACTTCAGTCTACTCAGTCTAGTGGGTAAGGATAAGTCAAAGAAGAATGTCACGTATTCAGTAATCAAATTAGACAGTGTGCCTATGTATAATGTAAAATTATAATAAAAAAGTCTATATATTCATTCATTTGATAAGATTTATAGTGTTGTGAGATGTTTTCTAGTATTTATTGAATATTACATTTCTAGGTGTTTTAAACACATTTTTTAAGGACAAGGAAAATTTTCCACTACTGTTAATAATTCTTACTGTACATTTGTTCAATAAATGTGGATGTCTAATGATGAAGTACTAAGTATATGTACAGCTGCCTTTTTTACTTCATCGAGTTAACATTGACAGGTAGTTTGCATGCTGTATGTGTATGTGTGTTCGTGTGTGGTATGTATGCGAGCGCACATTTGTCTACTGAACGTACTGTGGCTTTAATTTCTGAGCACTTGCAAAAGCATCACGCACGTCACTAAAATTATGTACATAATGGCATTTGTTGCTCAGTTGTTTTACATTTAAAGGTGATTTGGCATGTCTTATTTTCTAAATTTGCCTTTGCCGTGTATTAGAAATTGGCACCTGTTTCACAAATCCAGAAGCTTAAAAAATATGTCCTTGCTTTCATCACAAAACTTTGCTCTTGTAGGAATAACTGGCGGTTTGGGGTAAGTTTACATTGGCTTTCTTATTTTTTTTATTGCTTTAAAAATACAACATTTTTGTTATGCTTTCAAAATTTTGCAAAAATCAAGAGCTGCCCATTTAGGTTGTGGTAAAAAACCAACAAAAAGACATAAAAACACTTACTGCTCTAGAAGAAAAGAAAATCAAATGCACAGGAACATGGAGACTCTGGTCAAATATAGCACTCTAGCTAAATGAAGAGCTCTTTATTTGGCCAGTTTAGACGCGGCTTCGGTTGGCAAGCTAATTCTTTGAGTACCACCCTTGAAAATCATGCTAATGAGGCTCTTCACTTCATCAAGTAGGATTGTGGACCTTTTTGTCTGCATCATTAAGGCCCCAAATTGCCCCATTAGCAAGGCCTCAAATTGCCCCTCAGGGTCAATATTTAATGCAGGTGAGCTTAGGTTAACTACCTTCTGAACCCTCTGGACAACAAACAACGTGGAGTACCTGTTACAGGGAAATTCATTTTCTTCCAAAGTTTCCTTTGTAAAACACCAATTTCTGTATTGGAATTATGTTTAAATTCATTTGGGGAAAAAAACACGTTAGGTTTATTTTTTGTTGCTCATTCCACAGGAGCAAATTTTGAAATGGAAGACAGAAATTCTTCCATCAGACATTCTATCAATGGCTCATAGGCTTTGATTTCTCCGTCTGTAAAATGGGGATAATTATGCTTTCTCTCAGATACCTTCTGAGGGTGTTTCTGCCTTTAAACAAAGAATGAAGAATCCACAGAAAATAGTAAGAGTGATAGCAACATTTAGCAAGTTCTTACAGAATTTTTTTCCTCCAAGATTTTAGCAATTTAATGGTCATTCTTATTAATTACTGAGTTAAAAATTCATGAAAAGTTAGAATTATGAGTAGTAATTCAAATGTGTGCAAACTTAAAATTCAGAATAGGATTCTGTGCTACTAACATTGCGATAATACATAGGGCCAGAATGTCAAACACATTTAAACCCATAAATATAAAAATTTTCTTACTCATTAAAATTTGAAGTGAGAGAAAGGCAAAATGATTCTTCCTGTGTCTCTATTGTCCATTTGGCTTCCTGAAAACTGGTTAATACTCAATTGCTGCTAGTTATCTCTAGAGACTCCCAGTGTTTTGGGGGGAATAGCAATTATCTTCCTGAGCATGCGCAGCAGAACCCACTGGTGATGTCAGGACATGAAGCCTTTCATATGTAGCAACTGAAAGATGAGAGCCATGGTTACAGTTTCCAGCAAGTATGTGAAACAGAAGCCTCGAGATTATATTCCACATCTAAGTACAGATAACGTTTATGTCTCCTGTGTTAAGGTTAATTTCCATGCGTTTAGGCCCCTGAAATCCTCATCACCTCTGTGGTGGTACCTGCAAAGTCAGTTTTGCTACTGAATGGGGCCCCAATTAAGAAGTGCTTGCTGGTGTCCTTCCAGCAACATCTTGTGAGTTTGAACAATTTTAGTGAAATAAATGTAACAAGGAAAAATGAATTCTCTTTAGCCTCTATTCAGCCAAAATTAGCCTCCGTGGATTCTGGCTCACAAAAGCACCACGGGCCTCTGGCTGTGCTCTGTAGCTGTGAAATAGAATCAAGATTCCATTAGGCATCCCAAGCTGCCTCCTTCTCCAGGGCAGACAATAAAAATGACAACAGGGGATTGTCCCTCAGCTAGTCTAACAAGGGGGTGGGTTCTTTTCTAAGTGACTAGATGTCTGTTTAGCTGAGGGAAAAATTTAAAGAGGCCATGGGCCAAATTTTCTTCAATTCTTTGTCTCACATGTTTGTTTCTAAGGTCATCTTCAGAGAGACCTTGAATTCTACCTCTGTTGGCACTTAGAGGCCATGGCTTTTTTCCCCCTTTTAAGAATTTGTGTGCTGAGACAAAAATAAGACACCATACATGGTCCAGATAGTAGCATTATTCTGTTAAGAAATATCAGAAGTTTTAGCAATTGCACGTGGATTACTGGTTTTGTCATTTTTTTTTTTCTTAACTGAGGGATACAAACTTCCTAAGCTAGACAAATACTAGATTGGAGACAGAGTTTCTGTTTTCAGAATTTACTTATGAATAAGAATATTTAATAGATAATTCTATGCCAATAACCACATCATAAAGTGAATATGAAAGACATAGGGCTTTATAACCTTGGCTTTACAATACCCTTGTATGCTCCTGTGGCCCTCATGTGTATCTTGGTCATTCATTCTGTTGAGGGTCAAGTCTTCAGGTTGTCTACAATGGAGGGGCCCATGATAAACTATGACCTTGGAAAAATTCCCTTGGCCATAAGCTCCCAATCAATTTCTCATTTTATTTCCTATATCAAAAGTGCAAATATCTAAGAATGTTTTCTTCCCCTGTCCAAGGATAAATGTAATATAACTTATTCAGACCTCTCATAAATTTGATTGAACATTCTTTCTCTTTCTAATGGGCCCAGTAAATAGAGTTCTGTATGTCCCTTGACAGATGCCATAGAATGAAATTCAATACAGCTTGTCAATGAGTATCAGAAAGTTAAAGAGTTCATCAGCCATTCATAGTAATTGTACAGTATTCACATAGAGTAATAAATGTATATTTCACAGTCACTTCTCCTTTGCTTCAGTCAAAATTACTGGCAGGAAGTAACATTATATAATCCATGGTGTCAATTACTAATGGTAGTGGAAAGTAAATCATAATGTTTTCATTATTGAATTGCTAATACTTGGAGGTTGTAATATTCCATATAGAAAGTCTTTAATAAGCAATTATTTATGTGCTCACTTACTGGATGTTGCTGAACCAAGGCATTTCTTTAACACTAAATGGAAATTCTATTCAGTAATTCTTTCTGTAAAGTCATTCATTGGTATTAGAGTTTTATAGAGTTGCACAAAAGAATATGTTGCGTATTTGTTATGGCATTTTAGCTAAAAAATAAAATAAACCAAATGGTACTGCAAATATTAAAATACAAATGGTCACTTATAAAATATAACTGACTCTAAGATAAAAGACAACTAAATTTATCTTGGTTTTGAACACTGAAACTGCAATCTGAATCTAATGAATAAATGGTCAGAAGACCAGTGCTCTTAAATTGGCTTTTCCATTTATAACTTATTGTGTCGCCTCAGAGGATAATCCAAAAATCTTTGAGACTCCACTTTATTTGTGAAATGAATACATGTTACTACCAAAATATTTTTTCAATCATTTTGTGAATTAATATATTTTGTTAAATATTATTATTATAAGTACAACAGACATAGTCTATTAGATTTAATTAATCACAAGTTACTAACATCTGAGCTTCCATAGATGAGTTAGTTTCATAGATGAGTTAATTATAATTCTTCAAACAATTGTTAAGTATGGCACCTAAGCACATTCAACTGTAACTTTTCAGTATTTGGTCTGATTAGGTTGTTTTTTGTTTTCAGTGTGGCTGTCTTTTTGACCCCAAACAAATTTGCATGAGGGAAAACTGTGCATTCATTGGAATTAAGAGAAACTAGGCAGTATTTAAGCTCAAGTAAGGAAAAACAAACAAACAACAACAACAAAACTCTAGCAAGAGGCTTATGTTTCATCTGCTTTCCGACACCTTGATGATGACTTTAAAACACCTCATCAGTGTTCAGATTAACTTGGAAAGCTTCTCAGAGGAGGTGGTTTGGGAATCATTCTTTGAATGACATAGTAGCGGTAAAAAGGAAGAAATATTTTAAATAAGTTAAAGAGACATATGTGAACACGGAACATAAAAGGAAATAGGTAGAACCATGAGAAATCATGGCTTAAATGAAAGGTCTAAAATAAAAAGACTAGACAATTGCATATGATATGATTTAGAGGATCATAAGACCATCTAATGGTAGTTGGGAATTTTTAGGTTACCTAGTACAGTGATTTTCAAAATTAGCTTATCTACAGGGTTATCTACTCAAATAAAACTGTATAAGTAACTTAATATATAAAACAGGTCAGAGCCCAGCCACTCTGTGTGAATGGTAACCCTGGCTAATGTACAGTTCTCCCTTGTGCCTTAGCAGTAGCCTGCTGGATACCTTCATGGGAACTAGGGTTTAGGGTAGCACAATAAAAAAAAAAATTTTTTTTTGATAGTTCTAGGGCTACCACTAGTTTGTATGACATCTTCTGTGAATTAGAAGAGGGCATTCCTATTATGTAGATGTGGCCCTGTGGATGGCTTGGCAAGAGGCAGCACCTTAAGGAGTTAAAAAAAGATGCTCATGTTTCTAGGTGGAACCTGTCTAAATCCTATAACTCCATAAGAGATAAACTTAGCTTTTATGTATAAACTCCATCTATGCTCCACAAATAGCAACCCTTTGGTCATTCCTAAACTTAGCTTTTATGTATAAACTCCATCTACGCTCCACTTATAGCAAGCCTTTAGTCATTTATCTAGCTACAGGGTGCACTCACCCACAGCATGGTCTGTATTTTGGATGCTGGACCTGGGGAAACAGCCAGCCCTGGAAGCAGTTGTAGATAAGTCTAGGTAGAGAATTCTGAGGTCCTGAGTACCTAGAATGCAGTCTAGAGGGACAGGTGGTCACATCATTTTGGCCATGAAGATTCATCTCATTGTGGGAAGAGGCCTCATCGGAGAAGAACCAGAGTGGGACTCCTGAAAGCATTAAGCTCAAGGCAGAAGCCCGTGTGTCTCTGTCTAAGGATGATGCATGCACTGAATATCCCCATCTACAGACTGATGGGGCATGAAGAGTGAGCAGATAATGGAACCTAAAGAAAAAGAACTGTTGGGATGAATTCCTTACAGGAGCTGGACCTCTTACAGGAGCCAGGTTATGGCAGGAATGAGCAGGGGATTAGAATGCTGAACTCCCTCTTCGCCTTCTCATTCCCTGTCGGTGTTTTCCATTGGCCAAACCCATCCAGAATTCAGAGGACAAGGGAGACTGTTGATGTCGCCTATACAGGTCAGCCTCTGGGGGAAAGAGCAGGGAATCTGGAGGGGAAACAGAGGAAAGACAACAAGCCTTCTCAATAGAAAAGTGATCCAATTTACAAAGTGCTTCTTCACCAGTGTTTAGGATGACTGAAGATTGGAGAGGCTGGAGGCTATGACAAACTAATAAAAAAAATTATTTATGTAACATAACTAGTTTGTCATTCCATACATTATGTTATTACTTCTTCACAATAACATAGCCTTGTGATGTAAGATAAGTACTGTAAGATCTTTCTTTTTTTAATGAGAAAACCAACAGTTACAAATTTAAATGACTTATCTAAGACAATACTGGCCTTTTTGATTCCCTGCTAGTTCCTCTGAGCAATGCCATAGTCAGCCATTGGTGAGTATTGGTTGTGTGGAGTGTCTGAAAGTCTGAGAAGGGGTGGCCAAATAGGAGACTGCAAAACATTGTGATTCTTAGCTGCTTTTTTTTTTTTTTTTTTTTTTTTTTCCTGTTCTGCAGGCCTGAGGGCTGGAAGAGGATTGGTATGGTGTAAAGCTCTGTAAAAATATCCTTATCTACTTAAATTGTAGTTTTTCAAGTCTTTTTTTTTTTTTCTCTTTTTCAGGGGAGACAAGAGTCTCGCTCTATCTCCCAGGCTGGAATGCAGTGGCACAATCTCGGCCCACTGCAACCTCTGCCTCCCGGGTTCAAGCGAATCTTGTGCCTCAGCCTCCTGAGTAGTTGGGACTACAGGCATGTGCCACCACACCCAACTAATTTTTTTATTTTTTTATTTTTAGCAGAGATGGGGTTTTACTGTCTTGGCCAGGCTGATCACAAACTCCTGACCTCAGGTGATCCACCTGCCTCAGCTTCCCAAAGTGCTGGGATTACAGGCATGAGCCACCATGCCTGGCCTCAAGTCTTAACTTTAAACATTCTATTATGCTACTCTGAAATTATAAATTAAAATTTAAAAAGTTATATGTCACATGAGATTTTTCAAAGATTTTCTTTTTAGATTTAATAAGATGGTTTCCTTAAGGATAATACTTCATTGAAAATTTATTCCTACTGAAACATCAGAGGACTGTACAATACACATGGACTGACAACCTCCAGGTCATAAATATATGGGAAGTAGTTACTAAATAGTATTACTGCTATGGAAGAGACTGATAAGTATGCAGGGGAAGGGGTAATTTTTGAAAGTTTTCTGTAAGTCAAATAGATTTGGAAATGTCACATGTTAGCCCATCAAAGGCTCTGAAAGATCCTGCAGTGATGAGGCTGAGTCAGTTTGTTTAACCTGTAGAAGAGACTGACGATTGAACACTATCAAAATAGGGAAGGCAGGTAGAACTCAGCTCTCATCAAAACTCCTATTTGATATATATCCTTCGCCTCAGTATTCTGATGGCTTAATTTGGAGAAAGAGTGATTTATTTTGAAGTGTTCTCTGGAGGTCATAATGTCTTCTCAGTTCTGCTGATATAAAATGTTATGTTTGAGGAATATGATGCGGAAAGTCTTTAGTGAGTTAATTTTCTCAGAAGGGGTAAAAGAAAGCTTTGTCTTCTAAAGTGTCAAAGCACCATAAACCCTTCAAGATCATACATTGATTTAATTGTTATTTTGAAAATTTGTTCAAATTCAACAACTATATTTTATATTTTTCCTTCATCTAAAGTAATGTCTAAGGCTGTGCAATTCTCTCTAAAGGTATATAAGTGTTTCAATAACTCAAAGCATTTTCTCTTCCTATATTGTTTAGCTGAAAACACTCATTCAAATTATTACAGAAGTTAATGGAACTTCTAAAACATTGTTTGCTAATGAAAATATAACTTGTCCTTATACTAAATATCAAATATCAAAGCTACTAATTTTGTCTTTCCAGGATTCTTTTCCCTTCCACCATTCTGGTTTCAGATCCATACCACCACCCTCATGTCCCGTCCCCAAACACGCTTGACCCAGGATTGGCCCATGGAGTGCCCCAAGTCCAGCCATTTAAGAGCCTTTTCCAGGACAAAAAATATAACTGGATTTGAGCGAGAAAACAATCTTCTCAGCGATTGGTATGTGGGCCCCATGCTGCTGCTGACTATGGTCCTTCCCCAAGATAGAAAAATCATGGCAGCGGGAGAGAATAATGTGCAAGAAGAGAGACGGCAGTAGTGAGAGTCAATGCATTTTTCTTTGGGCTATTTAAGTTAGTTGTAGAGATTCTGTTGAGATTCTGTCACTTTGCAACTGAAAGTTATCTGATGAGCACACTAAAGGATAGCAATTATTTGATTCTTTGATATTTATGTTGGGTGTTGAAACTTTTACCTAGTAACTCTCTATTTGGCGGTAATTCACTCCAGTGATGCTGATTGCAGTTAAAAAAGATCTTCATTTGAATATACAAAAACAAAAATGAAACTACTTGCAATTTCTTATGAAGGAAAATTTGTTATATTTTTTCCTAATGATGTGAAGCAACTCTGCAAACTGCCTAGGAAAAGATATGTCTTCCAGATTCGGGGACTTATTTCATGGGTATAAAGGTTTTTGAAGAAATGTATAAATTAGAACTCCATAGCCCTTGGCCTCTATATAGACACAGTAAATTATCTTAGAAAATAAGCCTTGAAACAAAATCAGGTCTTGATTGTTAGAAATGGGTTAGTAGCAGTTGAGAATTCTGCATTTTAATATAACAATCATATATATATGAATATGTTAAAATATATGCTTATATATGTATTTTTTTAGCAAAAGTAAACTATTTGTACTTGTCCAGTTATCTAACTTCTGCCAGTCAAAGAATAGGGTATGTTGACAACTCTTTGTTATTATCTTGATCTCAATCTTTCTGTTGGAGAAAGATATTGTGAGTTGTTAACAACTATGTGGTGAATAGCTACTGTGTGTAGAACATGTTGAATGATACTGGGGAGTAAAAAATTACAAAGTCATGGAAAACTCCACTGATTGCTACTGATGATGATGTTTTGAAGTTCAGCTACTCTGAAACACTCTGGTCCCATACACAATTGATATTAGAGTTGTCCACTTTCCACACTTCATTCCTTTATAAATAACAACTATGCTGCAGTTACAGATTACAAGTACTTTACACGTGCATAACAATTAATTCTCATAACATTATTGTGAAAAAGTTACTCTTATTTTGTAGATAAGAAAACTAATATTCATAGATTTTTATAACTTTTCAAAGCTTACTTGGCTAGCAAGTAGCAGAGACGCAATTGAAACACAGTGTTTTTCTTTCAAAATCCTAATTTTTCAAATATTGCCTTTCCAAACAGAACAACCATATATTCATTTTCCATTTAGATGATTTCATTTTATCTATCACATTAAAATAGCATAATAATTCCTATGTTATTGAAAGAAGTTAAATATCTTTAAAAAAATACACAAAAAACGACGTTGACATTTACATTTCAATACTCCATTGTTCACTTTCCTCCCCCAAACCTAGCAAAATGAAGCTGAGGCTATGGTAGGGGAGAGGTGGAGAGATCCATTTCACACTTTGTTTGCACTGCCTTTGGCATGTGGGGCCAGACAAACGAGAGGCAACCACAAATCCCCCCATCCGACCACTTGTCCAAAGGGGAGGTGAAAAGGTTTAGTGGGAAAAGTTTGACATTTTATCCCAAAACAAATATTAGAGATTATCTGTGGAATTAAATTATCCATATGTACACAGTCTAGGGAATTAACTCTATCTGAAATGGTGGATTATTGCAGAAATTGAAACTAAGCCCTTAAGGCACTCCTTTTACTTTGTTCTCCATATTTTTTACAATCAGCTTTTAGATTATTTTGGCTATTTTGACGGCTGCTTTTCAGTATATTCCTATTTGGTATGTATTTGTGCACTGCTTGAGCTGGTCTGAACAATCTTTAAGAAAGTATTCCCCTGATAGCCCTAGAAGCAGACAAGTATTACTTGAAGGGAAAAAGGAGATTTCTATTATGTTTGAGAGTCACAAGTGAGCAGAAGAAATTTGAGAAGTATAAAATACTCCACAGACTGCAAATCCAAAACCAAAACATAACTAACAAGGTTTTAACAAAATAAAAAACCCACTGGTTTTTCTTATATATTTTTGTAAGAGGCACTTTTAGTGAGTTATTCTTTCCTGAATATATGTATGTATACACACACACACACACATATATATACACACACACATATATATGTGTGTGTGTAATATATATGCAATTTTTACTTAGCAATCTTTCAAAAGACCCCAGATCTGGACAAGAATTGAGAAAATCAAACCAAATAAAAATAAATATGACATGGTCCTCACCATTTTATGAAAGCCCAAGAAATTATTTCAGTGATGGAAGTATGTTAAGGGATATATGAAAGCAGTAAGACCATTTCCCTCAGCTTATTCTTTTTTATAACTACTTATTGGCATATAGCTAACAAATTTGGTAAAATCGCCTTCTCATCATGACTCTCTGAGTTTGGCGATATGTTCCCCCATGGGGAGGAACCCTGCAATAGGGTGGGTGAGTGAGGATGCACTAGGAGAATGACTCTCCTGCCCCATTCCTCAATTTTTTGCCCAGCAGAAGTGGCACACATGAGCAGAAGCACGTTCAAGCTATTTATTACCTAGAAAATTTTACACATTTTAAATGTCATAGAAACTAAAAATAAATTGACTTCACTTTTAAACTACATCTTAGTTTTCCATTCTGAAGCATTTTCAACAATCATACTAGGTTTCATTTTGTAGTTTGAGCTAATTAAATGATCTTCAGAGGTGGTATTTCCCATGCTTGTTTGTATTTCCACAGAACAGGGAGCTCCATGTCAGCTCTATACACTTATTCTGAAGTTGGGGCATAAAATGTGAGTCAGTGATTAAGAGTAATGGCAGTATATTGTGACCAAGTACTAGTAAAAGAACGCCTTGTCTGACGTGGGTCTAATATGCCCAGGTTTGGTGTTTCTAGTTACTGCTGGGTGAGAATCTAAGACATACTGAAGACTCTATCACAGACTATGACTCATTTTAACATTTATTCTTTTCTTCAACATCTGTTTTGTTGAAGAGTACAGCAGTGTTTATTGGACTAAGAAATGGGCCTCTGCTGGTGAGGTGAGTTCTAAGACAGTTATACAACTTTAGTTTGCATGAGAATTACCTAGAAGACTTGTTAAAACACATCAGCTTAGACCCCAGCCCCAAGGTTTTTTATTAAGAATGTCCAATACGTGACCTAAGCATTTCCTTTTCTAACAAATTCCCAGGTGATGCTGATGTTGCTAGTCCAGGGACCACACTTAGAAACCATTGCTTTAAGCTACTCCCCATGTGTAGCTTAAATAATTACTCTTTAAGTGAAAACAGGTAATAGGCAGAAGAGGGACAAGGCTCAATGTGTCATGTGCTGTTATTAATTGCATAAATTCATTCTTAAAGGGACAGCAAGGACTATGAACGCCAATGTTAAGAGTTTTTTAGGCAGGGTGCGGTGGCTCACATTTGTAATCCCAGGATTTTGGGAGGCCAGGGCGGGTGGATCACTTGAGGCCTGGAGTTTGAGATTAGCGTAGCCAACATGGTGAAACCGGTCTCTACTGAAAATACAAAAATTAGCCAGGTGTGGTGGCACGTGCCTGTAATCCCAGCTACTTGGTAGGCTGCGGCACGAGAATCACTTGACCTGGAAGGCAGAGGTTACAGTGGGCTAAGATTGTGCCACTGCACTCCAGCGTGGGCAACAGAGCGAGAGTCTGTCTCAAAAATAAATAAATAAATAAATAACATTTTATATAATCTCTGAGAAAGAGAAATTTAAACTTACATAAAAGTCACTTCAGGGGCTAAATACTTTCCAGGTATCACTGGATGCTGATTCATTACACAATAAAAACACGTTGATAAGAATAATTTTAAAGTAAAGATTTAAAGATTTGTAAAAATAAGATCTTCAAAACCTGTTGCACAATCTTATTTTTAACAGTTTTAGGTTTTGTGGAAGAAGTTTGTACCAAAAAATAAAAAGTAAAAACTTAAGTTTCAGGATTGATTTCAATCTGATAATTGTCCCAGAGGAGACTTATTTTGTGGGACTTGAGAACCCTGAGAATCTGAACTAAATTACTCAGGCTGTTAAGACATCTATGATAGCTCTGAATGGTGCTCTGAGGGCCAAGCCAAAAGGATACTACTATTCCTGAAGACTGAACTCATTCCATGGAGTAGCCAATGTAGTGGGGAGTGTCCCTGGACTACTTAAATACTGCAGGACACACATAAGAGGAATGTGCTGGTAAATACCTCAGCCTCACATTTCATCGAGAAATTTTAATATGTGCTGTGTTGTATTGTTTCCAATTTGGTTGCAGTGGTTATGCGAATTTTGCCTTACTTTATTTATATATTATGTCTCTGTGGTGTGTGAGCACTCAAGAAAATATGTAAGAAATATGATCATGAGTATAGCTTAAAAACAGTAAAACAGAGTTAATATAAGCTGGTTGTAAAATATAGTGCAGCAATATTGTTCCATATATGCTATTTGAAATATTCTAGGAGGAGAATTAGGGCTTCCAAATTAGCAGGTTCCCCCTCTTACATATGAATAATATAACTAAATATTAATTTTTATTACTATTTCCCATATAAAATATTTATGCTATGCAGATTTTCATATTCAAATATTTCTTTTTAAATTAATTTAATAAAATATTTGGGTTTTTTTTCCTTTAAAGCTCCTGATTGCCTCTTATAAAATGATGCAATGGTTAGAGGTCATTTTACCAGAGGTGAAGAACATAAAAAATAATTGTTGCAAAGAAAGTGAAGCATTTTGTACACAATTTCAATTCCAGTGGTAGTTAGCAGGAAAAGCTAAGGAAACAATGAACACAGTTTACTACTGTAGACAGAAAAGCAAAAATGTGAAATAACTTTCCAGTTTATTTCTTTTTTTTACAGGGGACATTATTCATAGAAACTGTAATTCAAGGACTCCAAACTAAAAATTATGACATTCTGTATTTGTTTTATAATAAGAATTGTGATTCCACCAGGAAAAAAGGGCAACTGTTCAACTCTTTGATGACAAACCTTGCTTACTTTAGAGGTAGTTTGGTTTTTCAGAATGTTGCTTTAATAATTATCTAATATATAATATGAATTCTCTGTGGCAGCCTAGATTGCGAATTCCTTGAGAATACAGATTATTAATCATTGTTTATCACTGTGCCTTGCATTTAGTGAGTGTTTAACAAATCTTTGTTAATATTTTAGCTATATTTGGGATAGGTAGACCACTGGAAAAGTCAGCGTTTCATTCGCAGCTCTGCACTAGCTAGCTGCTTGGTTTCTAGAGCACACTTTCATTATGTGTAAAATGAAGGGAAGAGAATAAATGGCCTCTAAAGTTCTTTCTACCTCAAAAATCACATTCTGCATAATTAAATGCTGTACAAGACCACTGCACCTTGCACAGAAATAATATACAAATTTAGAAAGTATAAATTGTGGTATGTTCTTAATAATATGGAATTCTTTCATTCCGTTTCTCCTTTTCTTCGCTCTCTGTTCTTCTTTCATGACACCCAATCTTCCATAGCCCATCAAGCCTCCCTTTCTGCTCACACATTGTTAGTGGACCACAACAGTCCTCCCTTTGACTACTGCTGTGGCTTCACTTTACTTGATGCTACCAGTGTTCTCTAATGAAAGCAGTGAGGGTATTGGTTCTAAAATCCTGATTCTTCATCTTAAAGTCATTTAATTACCTTCACTGTGTACACAATGAAGTCTTCAGCTGTGCAGACAGCATCCTCCAAGGTATGACCACCCTTACCTTTTATTCCAATTTTTATCCACATAAAGATTTGCTATGCCATATTCCATGAGGATAAATCAGTCATTTGCTCCACTCTGGAGGTGCATGTCCTAGATCATCGTCATAGAACTTTCTTACTTATCTTTCTTGCTAGATTTAGTTTAACCTACAAGGGCCCGTCTCTGTCCTCCACAGGGTCATATGCCTCAGACTGTAATCATTCTGAAAGCAGGGGTCAGGTCTATTTTATCTTTATATCCCCATAGCACAGTGCGATTGATCCCTGGGCTCATAAAATTCTTGTGGACTGAATGAATGAAAAGACAAATGAATACAATTTTATGTATACCTATTTAAGAATATTTTCAACTTGGCATCGGTAGCTAGTTTGTATGACACAGAAGGGAGGTTGTTGCATCAATAATCATAGATTCAGAATCATTTTTTTTGTTTCAACTGGGCATGTCACATTAGTTTCCTCATATGTAAAATGAAGACTATTATGATCCATGCCCTAGCTGTTCATATGGGAAAAGCTAAGTGAAAGCACTATACAAATGTCAGTTGTATATGACTGGGAGTTCATTTCATTGTTCTCTGTCTTAATCATTTTGCATGCTTGATGTCTGACACATAATAGCAATTAGTTTATTGACTTTCAACTTTTTAATCTCCTTATTTTGTAAAATCTGACCAGGGATTTCAAAGCTTTTTTATTATTTCAAGAGTGGGTTTCTTAAATAATCTCCAAATAAAGAATAGAGACTTTATATTTGTATAACTATATATATTCTTTGCCTTTCTTTTTCACATGCATATCACACAAGCATATACCATCCCCCTTTGCCCCTACCACAAACATAGTCAGGTGACGAGTGATCTTATTAGGTAATTTGCATTGCCAGAGGATTTGTTTATGTTTTAGATAATTTACAGTTTAAGTATATAAACATTTTTATTAAAAATAAGATAGTTTTTAAGCAACCAACTTGCTTTCTTTGAAAAGTAAAGGAAAGTATGTAACCTAAATATATTAATAAATTATGAAAATTTGAGATCCCATATATAAATGTACAAAATAAATCATTTCAAATCATTAACATGTGTATTTAATGTCTTATGAGCAAGTAAGATACATTTTCAATCTTGAGAAATGTATAATCTAGTGAAAAAGGCAAACTTGCAAATACATAAATACTATAGCCCAAATATTTGACTTGCCTATACATAATATTCATATCTTTGTGATCCAAAGTCAGGATGTCTAATTTTTTTACAGATTTATCTTTTCTAAATAATTTTGAAAATTTCTAGAAATGCTCATGTCCATCCATGAATGTATCCTGTCAGTACTTACTTTGGCTGCTGATAAGCTTGCAAGTTTTGCCAAGCTTCCAGCTACTCTGAGGCTGGGCTTCAGCTCCCATGTTTTTTACCTTGACCTGCTTCCTTCTGTGATGCTCAAAGGCAATGAGACTGGAGAGGTGTTGCTCTTACCAGCAATAGACCTTTGCACTTAATTATGCTTGATACTTAATTGAGAGGGAGAAATAGTCTTTCAGCAAGGTTTCTCTCATCTCAAAAGTTTACAGTGTTAAGGTTCCACAGGGCAGACCTCAATAGTCATGTAGACTTTTTAGGGGACACTGGGATACTTGTCCCAGTTCCTTAGCAGATAGCCTCCAGCTCTTAGCACCTTCAGGGTCTGCTGCCTGCAACCAAGGTCGACCCCTTCCCAAGGCAATACATTCTGATGGGCAGTTTTCACCCCAGAGCTCCCTATGGGGTTGGCCAAGGCTTTGTCAAGACTGCACTACAGTTAAGTTGCTCTAATTACCCAGTTTGGCTCCCTTCCTCTTCCTTTCTTTAATGGGTATCAATCCTTAATAAACATCATGCACATCAAAATCTTTCATATTTGTTTCCAAAGAACCCTACCTGTGATAGAGATTTTGCCCTAAGCTGCTGCCTGCTCCTTCTGATGCCAAGCCAACCACTGGTTCCATTGCCAGCATCATCTAGGGGTGGATCTTTTCTATTCCCCCAAGAAATAAAGCTTCTGCAAAAGAAGAATCCTCTGGTGTTCAGTGTAATCCTTGACACCATGATTCCTCAAAGAAACTCCTCCCATATGCCCTGGAGAATAATCCTTTCAGTGTGTTCAGGCTGTGGAAAACAAAAGCTGGCAAAAGGAATTTTCTGCAAGCAGTTCCTGCTTTTTACATTGCTTGCAACTTCTTCTGTTTAAGAAAGCCCAAATCTTTCTAAAAGCTTGGAGAGATTTATTTATTTATTTAGAAACAGAGTCTCACTCTGTCGCCCAGGCTGGAGTGCAGTAGTGCGATCTCGGCTCATTGCAACTCCTGCCTCCTGTGTTCAAGCGATTCTCCTGCTTCAGCCTCGTGAGTAGCTGGGACCACATGCGTGTGCCATCATGCCCAGCTAATTTTTGTAATTTTAGTAGAGATGGGGTTTCACCATGTTGGCCAGGCTGATCTTGAACTCCTGGCCTCATGTGATCCGCCCACCTCAGTCTCCCAAAGTTCTGGAATTACAGGCAGGAGCCTCCGCACTCGGCCTAAAAGCTTGGAAAGATTTAATTTGACAGATAGGAACATGTAGTGCGAGCAAAGCATATATTGTTATCTGAATAAATTATTCCAGGGTTTTAAGCAGGGGAATATCATTGCCATATCCATGCTTTAGAAACAGAACTATGGCAAGAGAATAGAGGGTGACTTAGGGGTTGGGTGGGTTGAAAGCGAGTGAAGATAAAGAGGTTAGATATGGAGCTAACAGATCAGCCTGGGTGAGAACTGAGGAAAGAGTGAACTATAGAAGAAGCTATGGACATAGAGAGTAGGAGGCTGAGTATAAATGATAATCCAGAGTCAGAAGTGCCTTATTTTAGAACTTGAAGAACAAGAGGGAGTCAATGACTAAAGATTCTATTTGGATCTAATGGAAAGACGATGATGCCATCAACAGAAATGGAGGCACAGAAATAGGGCTATTATGACGGAAGGAGAGTGATTTTACTGGGGAGAAGGCAGAGTTATAGGTGACTGTTGGGAACATGGCAAAACAGTTGGATGGGTAGAGGCTAAAGTGGGGGTTCAGAATTACCCACTGGGAAGCACTACTCAGTCATACAGACTTGCTTTCTTTACAGAACGTTCTTCAAGTGCCAGCGGAGTGATGTGGGTGGGGAGGGTCTTTGTCATCAGAAAGCTCCTACAGTTGATACATAAAATCTGTTGTTGTCCTCCTGATTCTACTCTCTATAGCAACAACTTGGATATGGGCTGGTTTCAAGAGGTGTCATGAGATGGTGCTGAAAGAGGAACAATTAAGCAGATAATACATCTGAAAGCAATATAAGTAGCTATGGGTTAAGTAGAAGACTGAGAACTAAAATATTTTGCTCTTGTAAGAGAAGAAACAAGAAAAAATCTCCAGTGAATCTCCAGATAAAGAATAGAGACTCATTTCCTAACTCATCTTCTCTCGGGAGAAGAGAGAACTGATGAATATTCTACTCATCATCATTTGGAATCAGATTCAGCTGGAGGAATGGGGTTCTGCAATCCTTTGACATCATTACATTAATAAAAAGAGAAAGCTTTTGACCTCAAATGAAAAATCTCTTCCCTGTCATTTAAATATTAGCCATTAAATCTCTGCTTCCTGGAATCTGAAATAAAAATTCCAAATCTTTTGGAAACACAATTTTCATTCACAATTTGTCTTCTTACTAAGACATAGCAGATATTGATATGATCATTCACACTTTTCTCATTTTAATTGTCTAATATTGCACGGCATTTATAATTAAAGGTCATTTTAAAGATATTTCTTTAAAAAATTAGGGCTAATTATAGTATTTAAAAATTCAATATTTATTTAGCACTTACATGCCAGTTGATTTGCTTTTTCTGCATGATCTTTTATTGCTCCCATCCAATCTTTGAGGGAGGTGCAATTATTATTTATTTTTCTTTCTTTTTTTGTTTTTCTCTGACACAGGGCCTCACTCTGTCACTCAGGCTGGAGTGCAGTGGCACAAACATAGTTCATTGTGGCCTTGAAGGAAGTGTAATTATTATTCCTATTTTACAAATGAGAAAAATAAAGCCAAGAGATTTTAAGTACCTCAAAGTCACATGGTTTATAAATGTGGAAGACAAGACATAAAGATAGAACTGCTTGATTGTAAAATACTTTATCTTGATTATGTATTATTCTAACTCCTCTCATGGCACTGAATCTTAAATTTAGATTATTGTAGGTTAAAATGTGTATTTTGAAAAGTGCTGAATTATGAAATAAAAGTGTTACTTTTATTGACTCTGTGTGGGATAACAAGATTTAATTTAGTTCAAAAATGAGTCAATTATGTAGAGATACAAAATCATGAATATAATGGATAATTTTTATGAACCTTTTAAAGACAATTCATAAAGAATTGAATACCATGATTAAAGTTACCCTACCTATTTTTTTTTACCATTTTGGATAATTGGAAAATGTTAAAAGTAAACTTTTAAAATTTATAATTGTCTAGTTAATGGTATTCATTTTATAATACTTTGAAATAATTAATTAAAGCTTAGATACCTTTATTCCAAAGTTGTGACAACATACCTGAGAAAAATTTCTAAAGTTCCTGTGTGACTCTGAATATTGTAACATTTTTCTGGCTAATTCTTATGTCAGTGCAATACAAAAATAGAGATAGAATACTTTGAAGTTGCATACTATATTAGTTAGAGTAATATCAGACTATGATTAAAAAATTAAATGCATATGTCTCAAACACAGAGAGAATGAGTTCGTTCCAGATCAACTGGCAAAGTGAATGAGTAGGGAGATGTGCTCTAGTCTATGCAGTTATTCAGGGATCCAGGTTGATGAATATTGCCATTTTCTTCATGCACATTGGCATCCAGCTGGCAGAAGGGGGAAAAAAGCCTGGAGGATTTTGAATGGGAAGTTATACGAGGCTGGGCATCTAAGATACACACATCACTGACTCACATTGCATTGGCTAGAATGCAGTTACTGGAGATGTCCAACTACAAAGGAGGCTGGAAAATATGCTCTGTGTGTCCAGAAGAGGAAATGGGTGGTGTTATATTTTTGGTGATCTCTGCCACAGAAAACTGTAGGTTTAGGTCTCAACATTGACAGTTACTTCTTGTGAACTTGAACATATCATTTAACCTTTTTGAGCTTGTTTCCTCTTTTATGAAACAGTAATTTGGCCAGGTGTGGTGGCTCATGCCTTTAATTCCAGCAGTTCGGGAGGCCGAGGGGGGCAGATCACCTGAGGTAAGGAGTTCAAGACCAGCCTGGCCAACATGGCGAAACCTCATCTCTACTAAAAATACAAAAATTAGCCAGGTGTGGTGGTGCCTAACTGTAATCCCAGCTACTCGGGAGGCTAAGACAGGAGAATTGCTTGAACCCGGGAGGCGGAGGTTGCAGTGAGCCAAGATCGTGCCACTGCACTCCAACCCAGGTGACAGGGTGAGACTCCATCTCAAAACAAAAACAAAAAACAGTAATTCATACTTTGTATATTTGTTACAAGAATTAAATGCGATTTGTCTATAGTGTACTTAGCTCTTAGCTCACTATTGGCAATAGGAACTACTCAGTAAACGGTAGCTATTTTCTTTTTTTAAGAAGATACTCAGGCACATTGTTTTAGGTATGATGAGCTCTTAGAACTTGGTGGGTATGACCTAGGATCAGAAACCACTGGACAAAATCTTGAGCAAGGGACAAATTGGAGTAGAGATTTAGATTATTATTACTATTAAGTAATAATGATAGCATTCATTATGTACTAACTTGACAAAGATCTTTTCATAAATTAACTCATTCGATATTCTCAATAAACTTATAATACAAATGCCATTATTATCCTAATTTTTTAGTTGAGAAAACAGAGATTTAGAGAAATTAAATACTTTTTTTTTTTTTTGAGACGGAGTCTTGCTCTGTTGCCCAGGCTGGATGGAGTGCAGTGGTGCGATCCTGGCTCACTGCAACCCCTGACTCCCAGGTTCAAGCGATTCTCCTGCTTTAGCCTGCCTAGTAGCTGGAATTACAGGCGCACTCCACAATACCTGGAAAATTTTTGTATTTTTAGTAGAGACAGGGTTTCATCATGTTGACCAGACTGGTCTCGAACTCCTGACCTCAAGTGATCCACCCACCTCAGCCTCCCAAAATGCTGGGATTATAGGGGGGTTATAGGTGTGAGCCACTGCACTGGCCAGATTTAGAAAGATTAAATAATTTATACAAGTCCACAATCAAATTTGGAAGTAAGATTTAATTCCAGATCCATCTTACTCCAGAGTTCACATCCTAAATAATCCCCCAAAAAGTGAGCACCAGAATCTAGGATGATGGAGATTTATTAAATAAGACTTGAGGATGAAAACGGAAGTGAATTAAAGTCTCAAGAGTGTTCTGAAGGGTTATTGACTTTCTTCAGACAAGCTCAAGAACATGAAAACGCAGTTTTAAAGACGAAGGATTTGTCCCAGAGATCCATCTCACAGGATAAAGATGGGAGACCAACATCAGTAATAGTATCTTTGACCAGTGAAAAATATTGCCTACAGCAAACTGACGTAACTCAGAATGTGAGGATGGATTGGAAAAAAAATACATAAATATTTGTTGATAGTGTCTGAGATTCAGCTTATTACTCCAGAGTGTAAGGATGCCACCTGAGGATACTGCCAGGTCATGCCTAAAGTCTTATCACCCAAACCAAACCAGAAGGGAGCACAATGAACACCCCTGCAGCCACATAGCATCAATGAAAGGATCTGAAATTTGACAAGATTGGAAACACCTTCGGACAGGTGAGTGCTAGAGTAGGGAAAGGGCTTACTAATGGTGAATGGTTCCCATCTGTAGTGTAAGGAGGGACGAGGGAGATTCAGTTTGGGGAATAGGGATTTATCTAGGTTAAGGGGTAGTTATTTCTTTTGGAGCTCAGATTGCGTAAGGGCAGTCTCTGCTTGAGCAGGAAGCAGGCACTGTCCAAAGTGCTTTCTTTGGTCCTCTCCAGTGAAAGTGATCTACCCTGCCTATGAATCTCTAGATACTTGTATGCAGTGCTCTCTCCCTGAATTACACACTCACATATACATTCGGACTTTTCAGGGCATTCAAAAGACACATACAACCATTTTCATTTCTGTATGAATGTGATTCAAACGGAGGAAGGAAATCAGATTTCCAGAGACATTTTGTTACTGGATGAAGGCAGGGGTTGGTTGGGGAATGGAGGGAGAAGGAGAATAAAAGGGAAAGTAGGTAGCATTGGTAAAGCAACTTCTGCCTGCTGGAAGGTGGCATATCTTGGATGAAAATATTCAAGTACTGCACATAATATCACCATATATTTCAGCATTGATAATCATGTGCTCATTTATTTAGCCCCCAAACAGATGTAACCAACATCATCACTTTCTATGAATAATAATTTACATTTTATTTTTAGTAAATAAAAACTTCTGGTTCTATTTTTGAGGCAGAGCCTAAAATTCACACACACACACAAACACACACAATGTTTATATTTTAAAAATGCCATTGCCATTGGCTTCGTTTCCATCTACAATTTTAAATTCAATAATGCATAATATCAACAACAGCAACAGCAATACGGGGAAAGGGTGCTTGCCTTTTGAAGTGGAATAGAAGCTCTGTGGCTAATGGGACCATGCTGTAACTCTCTTGAGCTATACTTGAGCTAGATATATCCCTGTGGAAAGTAGCAATTACCTTCAATCTCCCTGATCTGAAGTAATCCTTGCTACATGCGTCCCTCATTGTGAGTGATGAGGCCCGCTGTTTGCTGAGTCTAAAACCAAATGATCTCTCACAAGCAAAATTTAAACTTGAAATAGGATTCTCTAGCTCCCGATTCTGAGTCTATTTTTTTTCGTGTACTTTATACATTCCCAAATCAGGTTCAGGCTGGCTACAGATGGTGCTGGTGTGTAATGAGAAGGGCTCTGAAGCTGCTCCAGCTCCCAGGGGAGGATTCGGTAATGGAACTAACTATGTATTGTCCACCTTATATACTAGATTTGATTTTGGACTATTTGCCCAACTGTGTTTGTTTATTTCTCAGCACTGGAGGGCTTCCATTAGCTCCAGGCTGATTGAACATAGACTATGGAGTAAGAAGGAACAGAACATTTTTTCCCCCGAATGCTGATGTAATCCCTTTTCTTTTACTGACAACTGAGTAATGTTTGCCATTGGAAACTGTGTTAGAAATGAGCTGATATTTGCAGTCATTAGTGGAAAAGAATTGTTTTGATCCCAGGGAACAAAGTGAGCATTATTTTTTAGATGACAACGTTTCAGAAGTTTGTGCCTAAAACTTGTGTATTCAAGACCCTGAAAGGGAAACTGCTAACATTTTTAAAGCTGAAAATTACCTTGTTTCAGAAAATCAAAAGATTAATATTTAAGACCTCATAAATTTTGCTCATAGAGCATAGCCAAATATTATCATAATGAAAACCAAAACCTCAACTCAGCAAATTAGTCACCAAAGACCACATGTAAATTGACATTTTAGTTTTTTAACTAATGGAATCATTTGTCATATTACTGAAGCAGTTCATTATAAAAATAAATTAAGAATAAATAAATTGCAGTCATAGCAATCATGATGAAATTATTAGCAATCACATTTACCGGCATGAAAGTTTTTTTTTTGCATGCTTCTCATCAGCAGATGTTTTTCAAAATAACTTTGCAAACAACATCAATGTTATATCAAGGTTTATTTTTTAATTACTAAAAGCATAGTGGAAGTAAAAAAGAAAGTTACTAATTAAGAAGGGAAAGAAAATGTTGTCTTTCCCTTTCAAATATACACAAGTTCAACTACACAATTCTAATATCAAAATGAGAAATCTCTGTAGTACCTTAACTAGTACAAAGAAAATTAGAAAGCGGAGACCAGCTCATGCAGTTTCTAAATAAATGAAAAGGAAATTACATTTCTCTGGGTAAATATTTACTTCCTAAAGCGTGCCAACAAAAGCTACTATTTTAGAAATGGGACTTGGTAGTAACTAACTTGTACTTAGTTGATTTAATTGGAAATGTGCTGTTTTTCCTTTTAAGCCTGTGCTTTAATTGTAGAATAAAGAATTTTCAATCTGATGTTCTAATTGCACTTGGGATCTGGTATCCTGTTTACATATATATCGATCTGTAAGATGGCTTCATATGTATCAGTGTCGGCCATATTAGGAAGAACATCTAACCTATTTTTACTTTGGTGTTCATTAACAGGATATTCTTGTTTCTAGATTTTAAAAATTAAGCTTTATCCTTACTATTCATTTTGTGGATATAAACATTGTGCCTTTGATTTGAAATTTCAGTAAAATTTCAAGTGGAAAAATATAGAAAAATAATTTTAAGTTGTATAAAATGCAATTTAGTACTGACATGCAGTTACTCGCTGAAAGTAACTTCTATCTCTATATAATGTATACACAAAGACATTTCTCCAAATGGCTATTCTTATTTCTACCTAATATTTGGTTTAATTAATTGGTAGAGTGAGATAAGAAAACTTTCCAAGTTGCTTGTGCAGCTAATTTTATATATACATATACATATGCATATACATGAAGTAACAAAAGTTGTAACTATTCTTATTTTTCTTCACAAAAATGAACCCTCCATGATGCTTTAAAAACAGATTAAATTATAACCAGTGTTTATCTGATTATGATTTTTTATTCCTCATTTTACAAACTATTTTGGACCTATCAGACGCAGTCACTGGGATAATATTTGGGATTGACATGATGTGGTTGAAGAGCTATATTCAAGTGAATTTGGAAAAAGAAAGTGCTATTTCCAGATAAAGGAAATTGCTTTTTAAAGTCCAGTGGACTAGCCACCTAAAATGAGGATGGAGAATGGAGAACTGGAAGAAAGGAAAGAAAGGGAGAGGAGGAAGAAGGAAGATATGAGAGAATAAGAGAAGGAGCAGAGGATGGGAGCTTAAAATCTCATAATGGGCTTGGGATTGGCTGTTTAAAATCAAACATACTTCTTGAGTATTCCTTTCACTTAGAAACAGTTACAGCTGCCTCTTCATTTATGTTTTCAAGATTCACTAGAAAACTGCAGCATTCATAAGGAATCTTAATCCCTTCTTAAATTTTGAAATGTTGGATAATAGCTTTGGGGCAATGCTCAGCTGCTTGAAACTCACACAGTTTTCCTACTAGTGTAATATATATATATATATATATATATATATATATGGAAACATGGAAGTAGATAATAAAAGAATAATTTATTTAATACATTTAACTTATAAACAATTTAATATATTTTCAAGTTGTTTTTAAACCAATCATCTAAGAAGAAACGATGTCAAGAAACAAAAACATCATAGAGTACTTTCTCACTTTATGAAGCTTAACGTTAATAGGTTGAAAATTGAAATGTAAATTGATAACACTTTGCCATAATGGGATAATGCAAAAAAAAAAAAAAAAAGAGCTTGGATGTTTTGTGATTATCTCCTTCTAATAAACTTTATAAGAGAGGTGGATTTAAATGCATTCTGAATCACAACATTTTAGAACACAGACCTTGAACAAGATGATTTTTTTGTTTATGAGTTGAATGAAAAATCTGTATTTAAAAGCATTCTCTGATTACTTTTTTTTTCTGTCAGTGGGAATTTTCTGTGTGTGGGTGCATGCGCTCATGTGCGTGCATGTGTACATGTGCACACGAGGCTACATTGGGGACCTCATGCAGTAAGTTACAATGATGGAGCATGACAGTCAGAATAGCACACACTATTAGCTGGACCTCAACTCTATTACAGTGCTATGTTTGGTGACATAGAATCAAGAGACTCAAGGATACAAGGTCAAAGGTAGCAAAACATTACATTAATCTGTTCTCTTCACAGATACCAGTGTATCTCCATGTAAAATACAGCATTTGCTGCTTAATTATGAGAAACAAATGCCTAAGGATATTATTTAACAACAACAACAAAAGAACACAAAATAGTTGTCTCTTAGCTAAAGATTTGTAGATAGCTTTTCCCTAGCTCTTATTGTTTTTCTCTTTTTATGACCTCTACAGTTATTACTGGAATTGCTCATGATACTATAAATTGACTTAGTGGCATTGTATTCATTCATCCCTTGCTTCCTAAGTGCCCACATGAAAATGACATGAAAATAATCAATCTAAAATGAAATTAATAAATATCCTACCTAGGCACGCCTTATATATCACAGATGGACTAGATGACATAATATGCAGAAGCTATTTTCAATTGGTGAGGAGACAGAAAATTGACATCAATTTTCATAACGAACATTGAAAGAAATACAAAATTTAATTGCTGAATATCACTTCAAAGTAAATGATCAAATTTCAAGAGAGTGGGTTTTATTGTGGGATTGTCACACTAACTTCACGTTCTAAAAAGAGAAAAAGAAATTGGTAAAATAACTATCATATTCAGCCACACTACTTAACAAAGATCTTTTTTACTAAATGTGCCACCGATTAATATGCCTAGTAGCAGAATCTGCTAAGTGATCAAATAGTTATTAGGGATATGTATAAATGATATAAAGCTACCATACTTGTAAGGCATAATTAGCTATCACCCACGTTTCTTAATCACACAATTCATAAAATTGTAAAAACTTATTTTTAATATTTTAAATTTTGGATGATTATGAGCTCTAACTTCTGTCTCAACAGACTAGGGAAAGGTATGATATATATTCATATACTAGTATAATAGATGAATTTTGCTTTAAAAGGTGCTCCTGGATCTTTGTACATTCCCTACTGCTATATTCTCACATTCTCTATATGTTCTGTACACACCCCATCAGTAGTTCTAGGAGAACTAATTCAGAAAGTCTACCATTTTGAAATGCTAGAATGAATGTATCCTAAATAGTTCAGCTGGTACTGTACAGTTATTCTATCTGGTACAAATAGGCTTTAGCTAAAGGCACCTAAAATAAATAAATAAATAAAATAATAAAAGAAGAATCAAATCCCTCTGAAATTCTTTCACATGGTCACTGCCTTTAACCTCCCTGCCTCAGTACAAAGTTACTCTGTGTCCTTCACTTCTCTGGTTACGATAGAGCTATTTTCTGAGGAGCGATTCATAACAAAGAATTTTCGTTTGTGAGAGCTGTGCCTAGACTGACGCCATGGGCCTTTCCCCACCCCAAGAGCCTTTTGTTTTGTGCCAAAAGAATTGCTCCATTCATTATCCCCACAGATGCTTGGCCTGAAGGCAGAGAAAGTCAGTAAAAACAACAAGAAGCTGAGTTCTCCACCAGCCTAGGCTATCATTATCTACACAAGAGATGATGAGTTTGTAATGAAGTTGACGAGGCTTATTCAGACACTCGCAGATTGGCAAGAGGATAAAAAGTGTCTTCAATTTTCGTGTTGTCTGATGTTGAAGTTAGCTGTCATCCGGCACTAGATTAGTCACACTTTGAGGCAGGGCTTTGGAGAAGGGGTCAGAACAAAGCTACTGTACTATGGTATTTCACAGTCTGAGGAACAGAAGCATAATAAATGTGCTCTGTAATTTAAATCAAGGCGCTGCTGTGGGAAATCGCTGCCTTTTTCACTGGAGGTATTAGTGCTGGGCACTGTGCTTCTTGACATCGCATAACATATAAGAAGTCTGCACAACTTTGCTCTTATAATTGGAATGAATGCAGTGATTATATTGGATGAGGCTCTTCTGAATTCAGCAAAATAAAGACTCACTCGTCACAGAGGATACATTAGATTATGTGTGTTTTATGCTTTTTTAATTCAATTGAAAAATTGGCTAAACATGAATGAAATTCTAATTGGAAACATTTCACACTTTGGCAATATAGATGGTATTTGATAAGTGTTACTGTTTTCCATTCAGTAGGGAATTCTTAGAGCTGAATAAAAAAATTCTTTAAGTAGGACCACAAATTAACCATTTACCACAATCAAATCGGTGGGGTTATAGAAAAAAAATTCCCCTTAAAATCCTAACAAAGCAAACTTTTGAGGAAGGTAATGTTACACACTTTTGGAGGAAGGGGCAATGCCAAGATTTAAAGATAGCCCTTTAATTTACAAGTTAATTTTAAACATTTATTAAAATTTTTTCCAAGATGTGGAAACAGTGTTTCAATTTTAATTTTAAAATGTCAGAGCTTCAAATAGATGTGACTGATCAAAATACTTTAAAAAAACCGAACGAGAAATGTTCTATAAAATGTTTAAATAGAGCATACTCTTACCTTTCAAATATTTAAAAGCTTGAAATGGAAAGCTTTGTCTAGAGGCACTCAGTATTGGGCGAGCTGAGTGTTTCACATTACTTATTGTTCCGTTCTCAGATATAATTCAGACTTAACTTTGCCTGTGGTCTTCCACTGTAAAATATGAAACTCATGAGCTAGCTCATTGTCTATGAATGTTTCCCACTCCCCCACACTCCGTGTTCCAGTTGGTTGGGTCACAGAAGTGATTTCACTTGCTGGCTCTCAGAGTGTTCAGCCATGTATGCAGGGGTTAGTTTGCCAGCCAATGGTCCATGAAGGATGTGGGTGGAGAGGAGGAAGAGAGAAACAGTTACATTTTTTTGTAATGGGAACTTCTAGATCTAACAACTGTCACTAAAGGCTGCTACCGTTGTTGCTTACTGTTCACTTTCTGATCTATTAAGATCACCTTGACTCAGCAGATCTGTAGCCCAATGGAAGAAAGAAAATAAAGACATTGGCGGAGGCTTTGTTCAAGATCCCTAGTCTTGATGCTGATTATCGATCAGGTGATTAAGGCAGATGAAGAGGTTTTTTGAAAGCCGAAGCCTCTGTTTGTGTCTGTCTAGTGTGCCCCGAAAGGGGTTGGGAAATCAATACCCTCAATCACGGCAGAGAGCATTTCTCTGTCAGTCACATGCACTGAAGTGATTAGAATTGAGTCATAAGGCAATGAATAACTGGCACTGGCTTCCTGCTCCTCTTTTTCACCTCATAGAAAGCCTAATGAACTCTCTAGGTTGAGGGGACAGGCTTACGACTCGTGTAGCACTATTAACATACCATCAGATAACAGCAAACCCCTAGGTTAAAGTCGGAATTAGAGATATTAATTTCAATCTATTGAAAGACTGATGCCAGGGAATGCTTCAACCTACCAGGCAAATATAAAAGGGTAGCTGAGTGGCTAACAGTGCAATCTCTTTTCTCTAATATTAAGACTTAAATACACTTCTATATTTAATAAGATGGTCAGAAAGAACAGGGATAAATAATTTAGCAAATGACTTTACAATAAAATATAACACTCCTCCCACATCTCAAATGTGCTGATAATTCTTCCCAAATTCTCCAAATTGAAATATTTTTAAATGTTAATTTTTTTGTTCACAAACAGGAATAATTTGTTCTATCATTTAAAATAAGCATGCTGTTGTGTTTCTGGGCTCACAGTGGCTTCTGGCAAGTATATGCCCTACTCCTAGCCTTGGGGGAAAAAAGCACCCATACTATTATCCAAAATCTATAAAATGTGGGGTAAAGAATGTCCCATTTCTCAGACTGAAACTGCTGAGGAATACTGGATGTTACAAGTGATCTCTTGAGCAAAACTTCGTGAAACAATGTATATATAATCCATGATAAGAGGCAATCAAACACTAACAACCCTTTACAAAATAGATTTTTGTCTGACAACAGATATGAATGTAGGTTCCAGAGAAAAACAGCACAACATAATTCAAAAAGCAAGGCAAAATCAACAACAAAAACTTAAGTAAATCAGCTGCTGTACTAATTAATCAGCTTATGTAACCTTACTTCTGCATTTTGTTATCCTATTGGCACCTTGAGTTTGCGAGTGGTGCCTGTGAGCTTAGTATCTAGAAGCCCTGCAGTAGTAAAAGTATCCTTCGTATTGCTACTAGCTACTGTTATTTATGTGCCTCTGTGGCAGTCTTTGTTATTTATCAGAGACTTTTTTTTTCCGTGTAATCATGATGTAACTTTCATTTCCAAATCCATTGACCTACCAGGCAGCCTCCACTCTGCCAATTCTCTTGTCAGGAATGCAACGTTCAGGCTGGTCTATGGGCTGCTCCCTCATCCATTCTTCTTGATAGTGCATTTGCCTTAAAGTTGGACTTCCCTGAATTGACTTCAAGGCTCACAACAGGAAGAGTTTAAAAGGACTTATGCAGGTTTTTTTTTCCAGTCTCATACTTTCATAAACTTATATGATTAGAGCGGAATAAAATAAGTGATCTGGTCCAACCAATTGCCTATAATCACAAATCACCTATGTTATCACAAACTGATTATGTTCTGACAAACTGTGAAGAAGCCTTGGGGGAAGAGATTATACACCCCCCTCAGTGATATTTTCCAGTCTTTAGTTGGGAAGCTTTTACATACAAAGAAAAATAATTTTCCTCGTATTTCATTTTCTGCAAAGATAAGGCAATATGGTAGAGGACAAGTAGCACTTGAACTATAGGAACATGACCAAAGTTCTCACTTTGGGAGGCTGAGGCAGGTGGATCACATGAGGTCAGGAGTTCAAGACCAGCCTGGCCAACTTGGTGAAACCCCATCTCTACTAAAAATCCAAAAAAAGTTAGCCAGGCATGGTTGTGGGTGTCTGTAGTCCCAGCTACTCGGGAGGCTGAGACAGGAGAACCACTTGAGCCGAGGAGGTGGAAGTTGCAGGTTGCAGTGAGCCAAGGTCGTGCCATTGCACTCCAGCCTGGGTGACAAGAGTGAAACTCCATCTCAAAAAAGAAAAATTAAAATAAAAGACCAGAGTTCTATATCCTGATTCCTCTACTTTTGTGAGACTATAAGTAAATAATTTTCCATCTCTATACCATAGTGTGTTTATCTAAAGTCGAATTCTTGTAGCTTGGCCTATTGATATAATTAGGGAGGAACAGAAGTATATATATTGTAAATTCTAACGAGTAATGTATATTTAAACAAGTATTTTAAAGAAAATAAAACAGGCCAGTGTCATCACATAAATACTGTCTCATTCCCATTGAACAATTATTACACGGCAAATGCTTTCATATGAATTATCTCATTTAGTTCTCACAGCAGCCCTATGAGACAGGTATTACTGTCTTTATTTTCATATGGGAAAAGTGAAGCTTGGAAATGTTAAGTGATATATTGAAGGGTATACAGCAAATGTTGAGGTTGAAATTCAAACCCTATAAGGTTAATTTCAGAGCCCATTGTATTAACCTCTCTGATAGTCTACAAACTGGAGATAAGCAAGAGACAGTGTTATGTCATAGCAAGAATATGGGCTTACAAGTTTGATAGACATGCCCTCTAAGTTTGCTTTTGCTGCCCCCAGCTATATGACATTGAATGAGTCACTTAAACCTTCCCATCTTTAAAATGGGGTTTGTCCAGTTGTGGTAGCTCATGCCTGTGACCCCAGCAGTTTGGGAGGCTGAGGTGGAAGGGTTTCTTTCAGACAGGAGTTTAAGACCAGCCTAGGCAGTACAGTGACACCACCATCTCTTCAAAAAATAAAAACAAAATGGAAAATAATTTTTAAAAAATAGGAATAAATGCTACTCATTTCCTAGATGTTTATTGCAAAATTACAGGAGGATTAAATAAAATAATATCTAAAGGCACTTAGCACAAAGCCTTAATTGTTCTATAAATGGCTTCAATTATCAATAATAAATGATATCAGCCTTAAGACTGACCTCTGTGAAAAATGTGTTTAACATTCATCAAATGAGAGCTCTATCTGAGCATATCCGAGATGTTGAGATTGAGCACAGATCTGCCATCAGGAGCTCACTGTCGGCTGGGCGAGGTGGCTCATGCCTGTAATCCCAGCACTTTGGGCAGCCGAGGCGGATGGATCACGAGGTCAGGAGATCGAGACCATCCTGGCCAACATGGTGAAAACTGGTCTCTACTAAAAATACAAAAATTAGCTGGGTGTGGTGGCATGTGCCTGTAGTCCCAGCTACTCAGGAGGCTGAGGCAGGAGAATCGCTTGAACTCAGGAGGCAGAGGTTGCAGTGAGCCAAGTTTGCACCACTGCACTCCAGCCTGGTGACAGAACGAGACTCTGTCTCAAAAAAAAAAAAAAAAAAAGCTGACTGTCTAGTGATACTACTAAAGTACACCTTCAGTGTAACTCTGAGTTAAGGATATCTCTTCATTACTTTGGACAGTGACTTGACTTAGACACACTGCATAGACAGTAACTGAATATCGGCTGAACGAATGGATGAATGAGTGGGTGGATATTTAGGGGGTTTCTTCCAATATATTAAGATTTAGATTCAACTTCAGTGTCCCCTGAGACACAGGCTAAACAAATTTCAATAGTTTTGTTTTATTTTATTGTATTTATAGCACCCATTTATGCTTTATTTTTTATTTTTTATTTATTTTATTTTTCCATAAGTTATTGGGGTACAGGTGATATTTGGTTACATGAGTAAGTTCTGTAGTGGTGATTTGTGAGATCCTGGTGCACCCATCATCTGAGCAGTATACACTGCACCATATTTGTTGTCTTTTATTCCTCACCCCCCTCCCACTCTTCCCTCAAGTCCCCAAATCCATTGTATCATTCTTATGCATTTGCATCCTCATAGCTTAGCTCACACATATCAGTGAGAACATATGATGTTTGGTTTTCCATTCCTGACTTATTTCACTTAGAATAATAGTCTCGAATCTCATCCAGGTCATTGCAAATGCTGTTAATTCATTCCTTTTTATGGCTGAGTAGTATTCCATCATATATATATATATACTCCCATTTCTTTACCCACTCGTTGATTGATGGGCATTTGGGTTGGTTCCACGATTTTGCAATTGTGAATTGTGCTGCTATAAACATGCGTGTGCAAGTATCTTATTCGAATAATGACTTCTTTTCCTCTGGGTAGATACCCAGTATTGGGATTGCTGGATCAAATGGTAATTCTACTTTTAGTTCTTCAAGGAATCTCTACACTGTTTTCCATAGTGGCTGTACTAGTTTACATTCCCACCAGCAGTGTAGAAGTGTTCCCTGATCTCCGCATCCATGCCAACATCTACGGTTTTTTGACTCTTTCATTATGGCCATTCTTGGAGAAGTCAGGTGGTATCGCATTATGGTTTTGATTTGCATTTCCCTGATCATTAGTGATGTTGAGTATTCTTTCATATGTTTGTTGGCCATTTGCATATCTTCTTTGGAGAATTGTCTATTCATGTCCTTAACTACTTTTTTTCATATGGAATGGTAAGAAAGATTAGGAATTTCATGGACCACTAACCCAATGCGCCACTATCCTTTGGGATTTTCTAACCCTATTTATACTTAGTAGTACTAAGGATCAATATGGTCTAAATTCTATCTGCTTTATTTATGAGATAGAATCTCCATAAAATGGAAATATAGAGTTATCTCATTTTGAAAACAGGTATCATCAGTGGCAATAATAAAAGTGTTTAAACTAGTCCAATTCAGTATTAGGCAGTCAAAATAAATTTTAGACCAACTAGCATGAATATCATCCAATAATAATCATGGTAGCCTTCCTAGTACTTTCTTCCTGAATACCAGACCTCTGTATAGTACCAACATGGCAGTTTAGCTGGCTTTGTTAGCTCTGGCTGGTGGGCTGGTGGGCTGGTGGTATTACTGATGATTTAAATTTTTTTCTTTGCTTTTTTTTTTTTCATTATCATCCTAAGGATCTGTAACATAAATACATTCACTTTGTGACTAGAAAAGAAATAAAAATAATATTTTAAAGTAAAATAAATAGGCTTAAGGAGCAAACTCTGATTTTTTTAAATGTTATTAGAATATCTATATTTAAATGAAAACCCACTATATTAAAATTCAAGAGAAAAATACACCTACATTTTTAAAAAATTTAAAATTCAAATGTCAATTAATGAAGGTTAAGAAGTGGAAGCAGAGAGATAATGCCTGAATATATTTACTTTTATGCTTATCTTCTTTGATTATTCATTCCCATTCACTGATGTAAAGTTCAGAATTGTCCAGAAAATTATCTTTAAAATATTACATGTGATAGCTTTATTAATCCTTTTCTGTAAAGGAGACTGGCATCTTAAATAAATTGCTTTTTTTCCCACCTTTTATACTCTCTTTCCAAACTTCCTTTGCAATTTTCTTTAGAGAAAAATGAATTTTATCTATTTTTTATGTTTTATTGATTATTTAATTATTTTTCTATTGTTTTCCTGCCATTTTAAATTCAGAAGGATGAATATTTTACTCATCTTCCTAATAGTTAATTTCTTCTAACTTTTTTAAAGTGTAATTTTGGATACATTATACATTTGCATAGTCTCCAAATCAGAACAGTATAAAGGAGTATAGATTGAAAAGTACAGATTCTTCAACTTCTAACCTTTCCATTCTTTACACCTATTACCAACAATTTCGTGCTTCCCTAAAGCTGCCAGCATGTTATCTTTGATTCCATCATATTTTTCTAACCCCACCAGAAAATGCTTTGAATTGTTCTCTGTCTCTTTACTTTCAACTTTAAATATTTCCCATGGTTAGAAACTGTCCTTTGGAAACCATTCTAGAAGTGACTGTCATCAATCTTTCCATCAATTTAAAAATTTTTCTAGAGGTGTTCTTTTCCTCTCAACCCAAAATAATATATTTTCTTTCAGATACGCAGGATTCCATGTCTTTCACAGGTGTCCCATACCATTTTGCAATTTCCTATTTGTTTATTTATTTATTTATTTATTTATTCATTCATTCATTTTAATAAATCTTTATAAAATAACATCTCGCAAGTGCCTGCCAAACACTATGCCTTCAGGCAGTTTACAGTCTCATAGGGAAGGGAATTCTGTTATGAAATGACAAGGGCCATGATGGGTTAAATATGAATTTTTCTTATGTAGAATGGACATGTAAATATTCTCAGAAGGAAATGAAGTTCTTCCAAGAATAGACAATCTCTAAGATACAGGGCTAGCTAAAGTTCATAAAGTAAAAGGGCAAATGTGCGTGTGTGGAAAGTAGGTGAGGAACGAGAACACGATGTACAAAAAGCTAGCGGTAAGAAAACACGGCATGCATGTTCAGGAAACCACAATATGGCTCTAGTTCTATGATATGGTTGTAGCATAAAATACTGGAAAGGGAAGAGGTAAGAGGTGTATATTGTGAAAATCAGGCTGGAGAGATAGTCAGTCTCCAGACAGGCTCGAGAGTAACGAGATAATGAGGGCTTTGTAAATATGTTAAAAAATTTGGGTAACATACAGATAGTAATGAAAAACAGCATAGATATTTAAGCAGGTAAGAATTGTATGCTGGAACCTTTTGGCTATGTGAATAGTCTGGAATGAAGAGGAAGTTGAAACAGGAGCCCACTTCTAAGTCAGCTGCATGAGGCCAGTTGGGTGATGAAGGGAGGCTGGACGAAGAGAGTGGAAAAAGGATGGAAAGAAATGGGCCAACGTTAAAGAAATTTAGGAAGTAGACATACAGAAAGTGATAATGTGGGAAGTCAGAGAGAGTGCAGTTTAGGAAACATTTGCATTCCAGGCATGGACAAATGGGTAGATAGATAGTAGCACACCTTCCTTGGAACAGGTAACTCAGGAAGAAAAGGAGCTTAGAAGGGTTGGAGCAGATGAAGTCAGAATGAGAATTATCTAGTTGGAGGTATCTGTAAGATCTCCAAATGGATTTGAGAGTCTAGGGCTCAAGATGGGAAGTCTCAGCCAGAGTCATAATATTTTTCAGAGTGGCAGAGAAACACTAAAGGGAAAGATTTTTCTTAATTCCACGGATTGCCTACCTGGTTCAAAGATTAGCTATGAAAGCCACAGGAAAATAGATGCTATGGAATTAGAATATATTTGGCCCAGTTGTGTCTGAATGGGAATTATCCCCAGATTATTTGGTGAGAGATTACAGTAAGTCTTGGTACTCATGTTAAAGTGCTGTATGTGTTGTTTTGTATAATTCAGTTTATGTTACATTTATATCCCAACTAATTCCAGACAAGATTTTAAATAAGCTACATAAAACAGAGGACTATAAAATAAAATCACAGAAAAACCACGTACAAGAAATCAAGATTCACATTTAGGAAGAAAGGCAGTGAAAGTGATGATTTTCTGATGGAAAGTATTTGGAAGTCATAGATATTTAGTCTGGATTTGATTATGGCTGTCTGAAAATCTGGCTATTTATTTGTATTTAAAAATATTTTCATTATTATTATAAAATTAATAAATTATTTCATTTTTCAAAGTAGTGTGTATACATTTTAGAAAATTTAGAAAATAAGCTAAAAAAAGAAAGAAAAACTACCCATAAGTCAATGATCCCATAGTATAGATTGCATGAGTTCAGGAATTTTTGTCAATTTCATTCATGATTGAGTCCTCAAGAACTAGGACAACGTCTGACACATAGTAGACATTTAATAAACATTGTTAATAATCGATTAAGAGATATCATGGTTTGACATTTTATGGTACTTATTTAAGAAATAATTTTTTAAAAATAGAAGTAACTTAGCAGTACTTTTCGTTCCCCCAAACATGTATGAACCACCTTTGTATACTACAACCACTTTGTCAATCATTAGGATTAGTTGCACAAAAAATATTAAATAGCCTTTTTCTTTAAAAAGCTAGAGGCTTACTGACTTCTACTAAGCCTATTATATAATAATGTTTTCACTTTTCCCTTATTATCCACTTCACTCCATTTTTTTTATTCACTCAACAAATATTTACTGCATGTGGATATAGCAGTAAAATAAAAACAGATCAAGTCTTAGACATATAAAGCTTACATTCTAGAGGGTGGAGGCATAGATGATAAATAAAGAAATGCATAAGTGTTAGGCAGTATTAAACGTTCTGAAGAGAAAATAGTACATGGCAAAAGGACAGAAAGTGATGGTTGAGGGAAGGGCACATTTTTAAAAACATGTGAGTCAGAGGAGAACTCTAAAAGGGAGCCATTTCAGCAAAGGCCTAAATAGAGTGCAGAAATGAACAGTGTATTAATAGATAGTAGGGAGAAGAATATTTCAGGCAGTAGAAACATGCACAAAGTGTGTTTGAGCACCAGCAGGTGGCCAGTGGGCCTGGAGCCCGGGAGCTGGGTAGTAAGAGCTGTACTTGCAGATGTAGCCAAAAGCCAGAATATATGAGGGGACTTCAAAAAGTTCATGGAAAAATTGAATTAAAAGAGCAAAATAAAAAATGTAAACTTTATTTTTCAAAATAATTCTAATCGAGTTCAAGACAATTTTGTGAGTGATGATACCAGCCATTTAGTCCATCCCTGAAGAACTGAGGGTCCTGGGGCTTTAACCATGCCAATGCAGTCTTTTTAACATTATTAACTTAAGAAAAGTTGAGGCCTTGTATAGATTTTTTAAGATTATGAAATAAAAGGAAGTCAGAAGAGCCAAATCAGGACTGTAAGGCAGCTGCCTAATGATTTAATATAGAAACGCTTCCAAAACTGACATTGTTTGATAAGAAGAATGAGCAGGCGCATTGTTGTGGTGGAGAAGGACTCTCTGGTGAAGTTTTCCCAGGTGTTTTTCTACTAAAGCTTTAACTAACTTTCTCAAAGCACACTCACAATAGGCAGATGTAATCATTCTTTGGCCCTCCAGAAAGTCAATAAACAAAATGCTTTGAGAATCCCCAAAATCTTTTACAACAGCCATTGCTTTTACTGGTACTTTTGCTTTGACTGGACCACTTCCACCTCTTGGTAGCCATTGCTTTGATTGTGCTTCATCTTCAGGATCATACTGGTAAATCCATGTTCCATTTCCTGTTATAATTCTTTGAAGAAATGTTTCAGGATCTTGGTCCCACTTGTTGAAAATTTTCATTGAAAGCTCTGCTCTTAGAGGCAGTGATTTGGGTGCCATGGTTTTGGAAAATACTGAGTGAAAAGTTTGCTCAACTTTAAATTTTTAAAAGAAACAGAATAATCATTCTCAATGATAATGGCATAAGCTGAACCAATTGAGATGTCCATGGTATTGGTTATTGTTTCTGTTGTTAATTGTAGGTCTTCTTCAATTTGAGCACAAATAAAATTAACTTTTTCCTTGAAAATTGGTCTGCTGCTTTGGGCTTCTTCACTATCATCTCTTCCCTTCTTAAATGAGTTAGCCATTTATAAACTGCTGATTTTTGTGGGGGGCATTATCCTCATAAACTTTTAATAAGGCATCAATGATTTCATCAGTCTTCCACTAAAGCTTCACCATAAATTCGATGTTTGTTCTTGCCTCAATTTTAGCAGAATTCATGTTGCTCTGATAGGGGCTCTTCTCAAACTGATGTCTTACTCTTCTTAGTGCCTCAAATTAAATCCTATTCACACAAGTTATAACAAGTTACTAGAACTTTTTTTTGGTACCAAAAAGGAAATCAAATCCATGCATAGCTTTTTTGTTTTCATAATACACATTTTCCATGAGTTTTTAAAAGACCCCTCATATAGGGACCTGTAGGCCCTGATAAGCACTTAGAGTTGTATCGGGTGTGGAATGGAAAGCAATTGATGAGTTTGAACAAAGGAATTACATAGTTAAACTTATGTTTCAAAAGCATCACTCTGGCTAATATGTTCAGGACAGATACTAGAAAGACAAGAGTGGAATCAGGGAGTTCAGTCAGAAGCTACTAAATAACTCAGGAGAGAAGTCATGATGACTTGGATTAAGACAGCAGTGATGAGAGTAGGAAGAAGAGGTAGATTTAGGATATATTTTGAAAGTAAGCAGACAGACTTTTCCAGTAAATTGTATAAGAGACATGGGATGAACAGAGTAGTAAGGGGCTTTTGATTAGAATAACTGAAGAATGAAGCTACTGAGATAGGGGCCATTAGGAGAGGAACAAGTGAGAGGGTGGGAAAAAATCAAATTTGTTTGGGGGCATGTTAAGTTTGAGATGTCTATGGGACATACAGTAGATTTGATAAGTGGGTCACTGAATATTTGCATACGGAATGCCACATGACAGGGTAAGCTGGAGTTATAATTTGGGGGAGAACAATCAAGTAGATGTTATTTACAGTCATGGACTGGAGAGCATTACCTAGAGACTGAGACAGAAGAAAGGAGGTCTGAGCAATGAGCCCAAGGTCACTGAAGCATGTACAGATCAGGAAGACAAGCAAGATCCTGCAAAGGTAAGTTTGTGCAGGGTTGCGCTGTGAATGTGAGGTAGGAATAGAGTCGGGAGAGAATGACAGAGCATAATGTGAAAAAGGTATTTGTACCTAGGGAATGTCAACTGTGAAACTAGTGGTGATAGATAGGTAAAATTAAGATTGCGAATCAATAATTAGATTTTGCAATGTGAAGGTCAAGAGAGGTTTTGTTGGTGCCGTGAAAATGAAAGACTGGAAGAAAATAAGTGGAGAAACTGGTAATTCTTTTGAGGAGTTCAGTTTTAAGAAGCAGAGAGTTACAGTATTGCAATAGCCTCTAACTGGTTTCCTTGTTTCTACTCTTACCACTTTGGCTAGTTAAGGTAATGGTAGTGGCTCTAACAGACTAACCCAAATTAACCACGTTAATTTATTTGTTGTTCATGCAGTGTCTTAATTAGTAAGTCCTGATTGGCAAACAGCTTTTCTCCTAGTAGGATTTAAGGACTCTTCCAGAACTATTATCTTCAAAATAAGACTTCCAACGTCACTGTCATTGTCTGCGTCCACCCGGGAAATTAAATATCGCGGAGGATAACACATAGGAGGTTTTCGTGGGACAGACTTGAAAGTGTGGTACATCACTTCTGCTCACATTTCATCGACTAGAAATTAGTAACATAACCACTCCTAAATGTAGGGGAGGCTGAGACACATAGGCTAATTTTGTGCCCAGTAAGAAGACAAAACATGTTTGGTGACCAGGTAAGAAGAGTCTGTGTCACTTCCACAGGCACCTGGCCCCACAATTAAGTCTATGCCTCTACTATTTGCTGATGGAAAAAATTCTAGTAGAAAGGGAAATTCTAGTGACTTTAGAGTAGCAGGTCTGGGAAATGAAGAAGGCCTGGGATGCAGGCCAGAAGTGAAGGGATTGGTCCCATGCTTCACAAGAGCATGGATAATTCATTCTTTGTATTAGTAGGGACTGCAGAGCAGAAGGTTGGCAGATTTGGAGGTGAGAGTACAGAAAGTTAACGAGAGGAGCTCATTTCTTTGCCTGAAAATACATTCGAATGAGTCATTAAATATTTCTGTCTTTTATCGAAATTTTTCTGGGGCAGGATGAAGAAAAGGAGGATGGTTACGGTTTTATGTTTTAAAATTGTGTATGACAGTAAGTCAAGAGAACATATACAAAATACATGAAGCTAAATACTTCATGTGCTTTTAATAAACCACAAACAAAATTTGTCACTTAAATGACTGCAAAAACAATCCATATGAAGAAAATGTAAAATGATTAAAATTTAAAATTTAAGAGTACATATTCTTTCAGCCCTTGATGGTGTCATTTAGCAAATGATTGCTGAAATCCAACACTCAATGATGATCTCATGGCATGAAGAGTATGTACTCTTCTTATCATACTTAACTATTCATTTTTTAATCTATTATCTAAGAACTTTTGATTTTTAAAGTGAATGTGAAAGGAACCGCCTTACAAATAAGCTTTCAATCTATGCGGTAAAGATTGTTCATGGAGATTTAAAAGTACTGAACAAATCGATAGCAAGAAAACAAGTAATCTGACCTAAAAGTGGTCAAAGAATCTGAACAGATATTTCTCAAAAAAAGACATACAGGTTGCCAACAGGTGTATGAAAACATGCTCAACATCAGTAATCACCAGGAAAATACAAATTAAAATCACAGTGAGATATCACCTCACACCTGTTACAATGGCTATTATCTCAAGGAGGAAAGATAATAATCTTTGGCAAGAATGTGGAGAAAGGGAAACCCTTGTACATTATTGGCAGGAATATAAATTAGTACATCTATTATGGAAAATAGGGTGGAAGTTCCTAAAAAATGAAAAACAGAATTACTGTATGATTCAGCAGTCCCACCACTTGTTATATAGCTAAAGGAAATAATGTTGGTATGTCAAAGAGACATCTGCACTCCAATGTTTACTGCAGCATTATTCACAATAGCCTAGATATGGAAACAACATAAGCGCCCACTGACATATGAATGGATAAACAAATTGCAATATATATATATGTATATATTATTCTACTCTCTATATTTACATATATATACAGTGTATGTACAATAGAAAATTCAGCCTTTAAAAAAAAGAAAATCTTGTCATGTGCAACAACATAGATGAAATTGGGGCACATTATCGTAAGTAAAAGCCAGGCACAGAAAGACAAATCCCGAACGATCTTACTTATATGTGAACTCTAAAAAAGTCTAATTTGTAGAAGCAGAGAGTACAATGGTGGTTGCCAGGGGCTGGAGAGGGCACGAATGTGAAGGGGAGAAATGGGAGATGCTGGTCAAAGAGTACAAAGTTTCAGTTAGACACGATGAGTACATTCTGGAGATCTATTGTACAGCATGGTTATTACAGTTTTTGTACAGTGCTTATATTGTATCCTTGAAAATTGCTAAGAGATCTTAAATGTTCTCACCACACACACACAAAATGATAATTATGTGAGGTGATGGATGTGATAATTAGCTTGATGGTAATCGTTTTACAATGCATACATATATCAAAGCATCATGCTGTACCTTATAAATATATACACTTTTTATTTGTCAATTATACCTCAATAAAGCTGGAAAAAAATACCAGACAAAAACTTGACAATCTCCTGTATCCTATCTACGCCTAATATTGCATAGAGTTAGAATGCTTTCAGAAAGGCTTAGCTGGGAGGAGGAGTGTAGAACTCTTTTAACAGCATTTCCAGGATTTTTTAGTGACTCATAGTTCTAGGCATTCATGTGAATTCCCAACTTGCATTTAAACTTTACAATCATTTAAAAAGAGAATGCCTTCCAACTTTTCATGATAATGAGATGAAAACTTCTTCATAGAAAGCTTTAAAATAGCATTAGTTTTGCATTCCTTTTCTCCCGTCCTCACATATTGATATATTCAATCACATTATTAGTGGAACTGCGTCTTGAATTTCAGAGGAAAAACAGCGAAAAACAGTGTGGGATGCAGAATATTGGCACCGCTGAAAAATTAACTGGAGTTTTGCCCTCGTTTTTGGGAGATGCCATAATAATTCAGGTATTATGACATTTTCCTCATTGTTTTGATCTGATTTCCTCCCTTGGTATGTGTATTAGTCAGGTTTGCGTGGTAATAAGTATCTCATTAATTTCAATGGCTTAAACATCAAGTATTTATTCTCATTCACACTACATGTATGTTGCAGGTCAGGTAGTTTGAGCTCTACATAACTCTTCATTTTGGGACCCAAACTGAAAAGACAGTTCCTGTCAAAAATAAAATGGGATCAAGTTTAAAAAATTCAAAGTCTATTGCGCATACAAAAGAACAGTTCATCAACAGGGAAACCTCATACTGAAAGTGTTAAGAAGCTCAGAGGCATAGCATTACAGGCTAACTAATGAAAATGAGGAAGTTATTTAACCTTTGTAATAACTGGTTATTACAATGGGGGTTTTCAGATAGCAGAGCATTGATACAAAGCGGTCATCTTATACCATTTTTGGAAGGCGATTTAAGTTTTATTCATGATTATCAGAGGAATTTACAAGAAATAGCTAAGTTTTGCTTGCATGGCCTAACTGGTTTTGTCTGCCCGGGGGATTCTCAAGAGCTTGTGGTCTCCATTTTATTTTATTTTAACACTCCTGAAAGAAACACCCAGTTCCATTTAAGTATTCTGCTCAAACATAATATTTGGCAGGGTACCTCATCTTCCATTGTTTAAAATATTTCATAAAACCAAGCCCAACATCACAGAGGCAGGAACTAATACTTTTCCCACAGGATACACTAAAGGTTTAATACAGAAAGAACAAATAACAGCAAAATATAATCCAATATACCACAGTATTATAGAAGGTGTGACTCTTATTTTTCAAGCTCAGATGTACAAATACAATATTTTTTACCTTCTATAATAAAATTTAATATGGATCTTTGGGTCCCCAGCTATGAACAGATAGGACTTTATCAGTTTTTTTCTTTTATCAGGGTTCTTCCCATTTCTACTCAAATCTAGATTACATCCCTAATCTTCACTAGGTCAAAGTGTCTGCTAGCATATGGATCTCATTTTTTTTTTGTTTATATGGGATGTGGCTGAGACCATCAGATTAAGGTCACTTCTTCATGCCTTTCAACCTTCTATACCTTTTATGCCAAACTTTGGACATGGATATTTTGTGATTTGTCTATGGTCTTGGTTGCCTAGGCACACCATGACACCATTTCTTCCTGAGAATCTTGCCATAACACTGTTGGTTTTTTCCAAGAAACAGGGTGTAAGCTGCTTCTGCACCTATATCATATGAAACGTTCAGATCTTGAAGCATTCCTGGTTTCTCCAGTCTAGGAGTAGATGCAGGCAATCTGTCTGCCTTAAGATCCATGGGCTTCTTTGTTTGTGTCTTAGTTTGGATTTCCCAGGATGAGATCCTGAAACAAGGATTCAAATTCAAGAAGTCTATTTGGTAAGTGCTGAAAGTACCAATAGGAATGTGGGGGAAAATAATGCAGAAAAAGGAAGACTGTCTAGAGTATGCTATTAACCCAGTGGGAGTCTGGAGCTGCATCTTACACAGAAATGCTGACAAAGGATTATCACATTGGAGGGAAGAGGGAACTGGGATATTTATACACCGATTCTTGAGAGGTTCTTCTATATCCTTAGAAGACGAAGGGAAACACACAAGTAAACCAATGACTCTTAGGGGTTTCTGGGATGGAGTTGATTCCTCCACACTTTCTGCCTGCATTTGTCATGGGGCAGTCAGGCTTTCTTCAGTTCTGGAGAAACAAGCCCTTAGGTACAGAGATGTAGATATTGCCATATCTAGCCCTAGTCAAATAAAGTTCACTGACAGGGTGAAGGTTAAGGGCAGGAAAAACACCTCTGCCACAGCTTGCATCATCTTCCATACACCCTGGCCAAGCCCTTTCTAATCTTTGGGAAAGACTTTTCCTTCATGTTTTTGGCTAAAACATTTAGCCTGATAAACTCTAATAAACTCTCTCCTTTTCCTAGCCTTGGCCTTTTGCAAGTCAAACAAGGAGAATTCATAGGCTACTTTGTTTTATTGCTCTGCTGTTTTCCCTAGTCCTTAGACCATGCCACCTTCTGATCCCTGAGGCAATGTCCACAGGGGTTACCTACCTGTGGAAAGGAAAGGAAAGGAAAATGGATAAGAAGAACAAAACAAGAACTAAAAGAAACACAGGTTATTATCTCAAAGTTGCTTTTGTTTTTTTTGCAATCTTTTTATCTTACAGAGGTATAATGTGAGAGGGCTATGTATCTGGTAGACTAACTGCTAAATAACAACCCAATTTCTCAGTGGCTTAACACAATACAAGGTTACTTCTTGCTCACAGCGTAATGAAACACGGGCCCACTGAAGGATGTGGCTGGTGGGGACTGCGCCCCAGTCAGTGATTCAAGAACCCAGGCCCAGTCCATCTTGTGTTTCCACCCCTTCTGGGTTCTCAACTACATCTCCACTAAGTTTTCAGCTAGGAAAAAGCCTGGAAGGATTATGCATGAGAGGATTTTATGGATAAGTGTTAATTGGAGTTGACTTATTCCCAAATTCTATTGGTCAAAACTCATCATATGGCAAATCAGTAAATCTAGTTTGTTTATATGCTTAGAAGAAAAAGGGAAACCAACAGTTTATAACTGTTTTGCCACAGTTACAACAGTCTTTGCCGCAGTGTGCCAACTGGTTTAAGAGCAAAGTACCAAACAGGGACTTGGAAGACATTAGTTTTAATTGCATTTCTCTACTACTATCACTATGATAGTTAGCAAGTAACTAAGCTAGTTACTTGACATTCAGGACTCAGTTATTGATCTGGAAAATAGGGACAATAATATCTCTTCCACTTGCTTAGACTCATTGACTGTTGGAACCAAAAGGGGTATTAGAAATTTAGGGTACAGCATGCTTCTCCAAGCATGCTACCCTAAGCAAGCTGATACCTAAGACCACATGAATTGATTATTTGAGCAACACCAGGACCTACTGACAAAGAATCTCTGATGTAGAAGGGCTGTGTAGTATCTGCATTTTATAATTTTCTCAGGGCATTTTTATACATATAAAAATGTAAGATCCATTATCCTGGTCAAACTTTTCATTTTACAGTTAAAAAAATAAAATCCCAGGATAATATACAGTAACTCATCAGATAGTGCTACTTAGTATTAGACTAAGGCTGAAACCTCTTTCTTCTGTGTCACTACTGGATTTTTTTTTTTCTAAAGTACTTTGTCCAATGAGGCTATTTTTGAGGATCAGACAACATAATGTATGTAAACACGTTTCCTTTGAACTATAATTCACCATATAAAAATATTATTTAATTTTGTAGCTCCTGGTCAACAAATATTTCCTTCAGTCTTTATCTAGCTTTGAAAATAACATTTTACTTTTAATAATTACATTATATTATGAAAGATTAAAAGCAAAAGGTGGGAACACTGAGTTAGTTCTGGAACTTAGAAATTTCCTGATTATTATTAGGCAAGTCTCTCCTTCCTAAAAAGTGCTGTAGACCAAGGTAGCCACAAGTGAATGTGTTTCTGTATGTTATCCACTTCCAGCCCATCTTAGGCAGGCTCCTGTCTCTAAGTTTTGAAGACTTCCTGTATCTCCCATCCACAAAACACAAACTCAGCCTTGGGTCTGTGGCTGATTTTACCTGAAGGGCCTCTTCTGGTCAGTACAACATCCTGGGCTTCAAATGGCTTCCTACCCTTCCTGCAGAGGCAGAGAATTTTTGCTTTTCCCTGCTGCCCAGAGGCACTGAATTTTGCCTGTGTCTAGGTTCATGAGAGGCTTTCCTCCTCCCTTTCCATGGCACACAGGTCTTCCTTGTACCTCTTCCTCAGAATCAGAAGCAGGGCATTTTTCCCTGGGCCTGGGGAGCTGAGCATGAGTGTGCTCACAGCTCCTCCCCAGTGGAGGAAGTCTCCACTTCCTGTTAGATGTGGGTCTAACAGGAAGTGAGTGGGGCTTTGCACCTGGCCCCCAGTAGATACTGTTCTCCTGCATGCCTCTCAAGGTCCTTTGCCCTCATCCCAAATCTTCCTCATGATGGAGGACCATGGAAAAGGGCTTGTGATAGAGTTCACACTCTATCACACTTTCCTTGTTTCTAGGACTCCTAGCTAATTCAAGTTATTTTCTAGGGCACACTTGGCCGTTAATAATTCATTAAAATTTTAGCTGATTTCATTTACCTTTTGTAAGATCTCTACCTGTCCTGCTCTCTGCTAAAGGTGAATTTCTCTCTTTCTTTCTCTCTCTCTCTCTCTCTGTGTGTGTGTGTGTGTGTGTGTGTAGTGTGTGGTATCTCTTTGAAGGGGCTTGTTACTCGGATTCAATTTATTTGGTTGCTTTGTGACCTCAGTGCTCTGATGGACTTACAAAAAGTTATGATTTTGTAGATTATTCAGCTTTTTTTAATTAGTGTGTGATCAGTATTCTCTGTGACTTTCTGCAACCTAAGCAGATGCAGAATTCCCCCTTATATTTTTTATTATTACTGCTGCTGGTGGTGATACCAGTATCATAGTGTTGATAATATAATATAATATTACTGATAGTAGTAGTAGCACAGTAGTAGTAGTAGTAGTAATAATTTGTTGTTAAATTTGGCCCTGAAAGCCATTTGGTTCTAGGACACTTTCTATTTATAAAATACAAATATATTGTGATCCACTGTCAGCCTGACAGAGACATCACTGTGGACAGTTTAGAAACACTGTCTTGGCCCAGGTATAAATTGTTACTGTGATTTTATTCTACGTCCAGACTATTCTTAACCATTGCATATATTTGGGCTTTGTGATCTGCTCTGTGAGCTTCATGGTCTGTATTGTTGTCGCAGGCACAAGGAAGTCACATGTGGCCTGCCCAGCTTTGCAATATAGCCTGACTGAGGAAGCCTACACAGATATGCCCTAGGTAAGCCTAGCGTCTTCCAGGCCCATGGTAGCCTTTGTGGTAATGGCATATTTTACATAATGTTGCCTAGGTCTGAAAGACATAATGAGACTGAAGAGTTGAATTTGTATAGCAAGCAGGAGCAAGTACCCATGGGCGCAGCATTAGGGTGATGGTAGGAATGGGCTTCTCACTAGCCCATAGGTCACAAGACCTATAACATTACTGGGCTGTTGTAAGGTGGACTATGACTTTTAATGCTGTTTTGCCTACTATGTTCCAACATGAAGAAGAAGAAAGGGGTGGTCACGTTGAGCCCATGATTTTACTGTGTGACCTTAGGTGATTTACTTAACCCTCTATTGTCTAAATTGCATCATCTATAAAATAGGAATGTTAATAATAATAATAACAATAATGTTTATCTCATAAGGGTATTGTGAAGACTAAGTGAGTTAATCCATGTGAAATGTTTACGAGTACCTGCCATATATTAAGCCCTAAATAAATATTAGTTGTCATTAAATAAAATGCAAGTGATTTTGTTCCTTCAGATTTTGATATTTTCAAGTTTCCTATGGCTTTATTTATTGTTTTTTTCTTTCTGCTTTCTGATTCTTTTTTTAAATTTTTGAGATGGAATTTTGCTCGTGTTGCCCAGCTGGAGTGCAATGACATGATCTTGGCTCACTGCAACCTCTGCCTCCCGGGTTCAAGCGATTCTCCTGCCTCAGCCTCCCGAGTAGCTGGGACTACAGGCGTGCACTACCACACCCAGCTGGTTTTGTATTTTTAGTAGAGATGGGGTTTCTCCACGTTTGTCAGGCTGGCCTCGAACTCCCAACCTCAGGTGATCTGCCTGCCTTGGCCTCCCAAAGTGCTGGGATTACAGGCATGAGCCACTACGTCCAGCCTCTGATCTATTTTAATAAAATACCTCTTCAATATCTGCACCTTTGTGTCCTAAGTAATTTTCAAAAAGAAATTTATAAATAATCAGCTATGAAATTATTAACAACTATATTTATTCTTCAACATTCTATTTAAATCCTTGTTTGGATATAGCCAAGAAAATGCCTAATGAAAACTGAGCATTTTTACGGAAGCAGAATGAGGTATAATTCCTATAACATATAGCAAATATATACTATTTGTTTCATTTCAATGGAAAATGTCTTGCTTACAGAAAATACTGTTAATCTTTTTAAAATAATGAAAGTGCTTATAAACTAAGAAAAGACAAAAGATATTAACCTAAAAGCTATTAAACTAAACAGTAATATCTGTTAAACATTATAGTATTAAAATCAATTTCCGTAGCTGCCAGCCACTTTGATCCCAACATTTTAGCTAAGAAGAGAACATAAAGGAAAGAAACATATGTGTCAGGTAAATAATAAATGAATGCAAGAGCAAGTTTATCAAAATATTTTCTAATACATAAAATATAGTTGAAAACATTTGCTCAATTCTTCAAATGGACTCCCTTGTCAAAAATGTTGCTCATCACCACTTTTGCATCTTTGAAATTTTCTTAGAAATTTTTGGTGTTATTAACACAACAAAGTCCAAGACAAAATAGATAAGTTATTTATAAAATGAATGAAAGCATTTGGTAATTTCAGGCAGCTCAAGGAAAAGGTCATTTGTTAATTCATTTATTTATCAAAGAAACCCCATATGAATGTTGTGGGCACTGTGCTAAGGAGATACATAGAAGAGTAAGATACACTGCAGGGTACGATGATGTTCTGCACACAAATAATTTGTACACCACCAAATGAAAGTTGTGTCAGTGAAAATCACAGAAAGTGCTTAAGAAATGTGAATTTCAAAAATATGTGAGTTTCTGTTGAGAGACATAAGCACACCGAATTAATTTGATTATCAAAGTCGAATACTTTATTCTTTTATGTTATTAAGCAAATCTACTTTTATAACTGCCCTATAAATAGGAATCAGACAATAAAACTGAAAAACAGACTATATATAAATGGACAACTGAGAAAAGAAGATAGATGTGGTGAGGAACCAGTCTTCTTGAATCCCAGGTAAGAGGCAACATTCTAAAAACTGGAGGGACCCTTTAGTACCCCTACATGGCTTTGTAAAAGAGCTTGACCCTGAGTTAGTGTTCATAAAAACTGAGATAATTCTGTGAGATCTGGAACTGCTGTATAACTTTTTAGCTATTTCCTGTGAAGGTTTTCAGTGAGCTTCATGTGTAATGTAAATATTTCAAAAGGGCAGTTTAGTAAAACAAGAAATAGCCCAACTCTGTATTGTTTCAACATTCAATGAGAATAACTTATATTCAAAAGTTGTAGGAATTTAGGCGTAGAGAAAGCTACTGTCACACATTTAAAATGCACAAAACAGCAGAGGAAGTAGAGGGAAATTTAAGAGCTGAGATCTGACACAACGAAGGTTGTGTTTCTTCACAAGGAAGGCATAGAGTCTGAACTGGATTTTTTCAGTTGTTGAAACACTAGACAAGGAGAGACTTGGTATCTTTAAATCTGTGAAAGTAGATTGTTTCAAGAAATGCTATATTTTAAGACAATTTTAATCAAACCTATTTAACTGCCAGAAATATTTTCACTTGTATTAATATATTTAGAGATATTAAGATTCAAATCTGAACTGCATCCTTTCTTACTTGGTTATTTGCTCTAAATTAAAATGCTTTGTATCCTTTAATCCTTTCTATCCTTTAGTTTTTTGCTACATACAAAACTTCAAATCATGTAGAATTAGTGAGAATGTAAACTGTCTTTTATAATGGCTTTATTTTCATACTATTAAAATCTTATTAAAATGTGGAAATGTTAAAATATTAAGTGTCTGTAAAATGTGATGCTAATATTAATTTTGGAAGGTTTAATGTCTTGAAATGGATATTAATTGCTCTAAAGATTAAAGTGTTATTCTTTGATGTTTCTGGAATGTATTCATCCCTTGAGATATGCCATTACACACCTTTCTTTCCCAGAAATTTTGCATTTAGGGACATGAGAGTTTAATTTACAAAATTGACTATTTTTCTTTTTTTTAGCCATTAAATTTAAAATATGTCCTATCATCCTAATAAAATTTCTTTGGTTTCACAGAAATATTAAAGATGCTTATTTGGAGAACAAATTTAATTCAAAACATTTCTTATAATGTACTTATGATGTGCTCAACAATGACTTAGGAGTACCCCAGAAAATAAAGTACTCTCAAAAATTGACAATATCAATAACAGGATAATATACATGAAATAGATAATTACCCAAAATGTATAACTTGAAAGAAGGGTAGAATTTTGATTGGAGAAGATGATATTCCAAAACAGAAGATTCAGCATGAGTTTTATGAAAAAAGTTTCAGCCTGTACAACAAAGAGAGACCTTGCCTCTACAAAAAATAAAACAATTAGCCAGCTTTGGTTACACATGACTGTGTTTCCAGCTACTCTGGAGGCTGAGGCAAGAGGATCACTTGAGCCCAGGAGGTTGAGGCTGCAGTGAGCCATGTTCATGCCACTGCACTCTACCCTGGGCAACACAGTGAGACACAGTCTCAAAATAAATAAATAAATAAAAGAAAAGAATAAAGAAAAAAGTTTCTTTCTGGGATAGGGAGAAGTGGGTCAACGTGTTAGGTAGGTAATTTAGTATCAAATTTTGGGGGGCCATAGTGGAAGCAAACAGAGGAAAGAAGTTGATTAAAAGGAAAAAAAGGCCTTATGATGGTCATGGAAAATTTTGACTGAAATGGGGCGACTGAATTAGGTGAATTTCAGAGTGAAGTTTCAAGAGAACATTAAGAATTGAAGTCACATTATTGAAGTCTAAGAAGAAAACAGTTACGATAAATGTTGGCAGCAGGAATAGCCCACTCATCTGAGGAAAAAGAAAATTAGGGTCAAAGAAAGTTGCAGAGTAAGTACCTGTGTGTGTGTTCAGGATAGATAATACATTCTCTAAAATGTGATCAAATGAAAATCAAATATCCAACATGAATATATGGAATATACTCTTTCTCGAATATAGTGAATGAACACAATTATATGACTAAAAGCATTAGATAACCTTAGTATTTATTGTATCATGAATCCCTTTTATGTGTAAGCAGCCTTACCTTCTGAGGATGTAATCTTGATAGTAGATTTAGATTTGTTTTCTGGCACTAGGTAATTTCCAAGAACAACAATGTGCCCTTTATATTAGCAAAACGAAACAGTGTTGGGACAATTTGGTATAATTACCACTCTATAAACCAATTAAGTCTATGTTAGCACCTTCCTCCCCAGCTTCTACGGGACTGAGGTGCCTGAATGCTAACTATTCCTATTCCTGGAATGTAGAGTATCTGTTTTATAGTAGATGTTTGTTACTTTTCCTCTGTTTAGGACTTTACAATTTAGGAAATCCTCCTTTCTGACATGGAAGTGGTCAATCAATAGCCTTTAACATCCCCTAATTCCTCTCTCGATCCTACCCACCCAACACAAAAGTCATCCTCTGATTCAGCCTTGCCAATCAGATTCTTCACACTCCTAATCATAGTGATGGATGATTGGTTCAGCATAGTTAGACATGTGACCAAGTCATGTGTATTAGGCCATTCTCACCCTGCTATAAAGAAATACCTGAGACTGGGTAACTTATAAAGAAAAGACATTTAATTGGCTAATGGTTTGGCAGGCTATAAAGGAAGCATAGTGGCATTTGCTTCTGGGAAGGCCTCAGGAAGCTTACAATCACGGCAGGTGAAGAGGGAGCAGACACTTCACATGGCCAAAACAGGAGCAAGAGAGGGAGGGTGGAGGCGCCACATGCTTTTAAATGACCAGATCTCGAGAGAACTCACTCACTATCCTGAGGACTGTATAAAGAGTATGGTGTTAAACCATTCATGAGAAATCCACCCCCATGATCCAGTTATATCCCACCAGGCCCCACCTCCAACACTAGGGATTATAATCCAACATGAGATTTGAGTGGGAACACAGATCCAAACCATACCACCAGGATAATCAGAGTATTTCCAGAGCTTACACCAAAGATAGCTACAGAAAAGATGTATATTTCTATTTTCTCAGAGATTGCTAGCCTGAAAGGACAAATAAACCCAGAACTGCCAATTATATTTGCAATCATATCAGAGAAACATTCTTGAGAATGAAGCCAGCTCAGAAAAAGCAAAGCTGAGAGATAAGAAGGGATAGAGCCCTAATTAAATTCTTTTAAATTCCTGGATCCAGCCATGGCTAAAATTTTCAGTTATATGAGCCAGTACATTCCTTTTCTTTTCATCAGTCAGCTGTCATTTGCTACATAAAAGGTGCAGCTTAACACAATTGAGGAGAGTAATTGGTCATAAGCTAAGAAAAAAAAAGTATGAACAAAGAATTGTTCTCTTCTCTGAATACCTAGAACACTTTACTCTTCATTTCTACAAGAAATGCATAACTCACTCTATCATGAGTTGTGGTCCTATGTGTACTTATTTATATCTCTGGCACTAGAATGTGAGCTTTTTGAGGGCAAAGATAGTTTTTGGGTGTACTCTGACATTCTACCATGTGGCAGACACTGTAAACTGTTTAGCCCCAGTCATTCTAAGCACTTTCCTTTTGGTCACCTACCACTATGGAGAGGGACAAAAGTCAGCTATTCACACTTCTGGTCTTTCTGCAGTTAGGAGTGATGACATTGCCTAGTTTTGCTCATTGAGATATAATGGAAATCTGCTGGGAGAAATGTTTTGTTTTCCGATAAAACAAAGGATGTATTTCTGGCAATGCCTCTTTTTTCTTCGGTCCTAGAATATAAATGTACAAAGATGATGTCCTGAGCATATAATCATTAGAATCAGAGGACTTGGGTGATTTTATTTTCTACAGTTTACTAAGTATATGACCTTATGTGAGTCAATAATTCTCTATGAATTTGTTTCCTTTTATTACATGTAGGAGTAAATAACATTCCATAAGTACTTCATGGGTTGGTGGAAGGATCAAGTTGGAAAATGCATGTAAATATATTTTATAAATTACAGGGTGCTAAACAAATTAGATAGTGTGTTGGTTTTTAACTGACTCTTAATTGCCCTATGCAGAGTTATACTGATATCACATCCTTGTAATGTTAGCAACAGAGGCCTTTTAAGAGAATATTATTAATTATTTATTATATTAGTCCATTTTCACGCTGCTGATAAAAACATACCCAAGACTGGGCAATTTACGAAAGAAAGGAGTTTATTGGACTTACAGTTCCACATGGCTGGGGAGGCCTCACAATCATGGTGGAAGGCAAGGAGGAGCAAGTCACATCTTACATGGATGGCAGCAAAGAGAGCTTGTGCAGGGCAACTCCCATTTTTAAAACCATCAGATCTTGTGAGACCCATTCACTATCACAAGAGCAGCACAGGAAAGATCCGCACCCATAATTCAACCATCTCCCACCAGGTCCATCCCATAACATGTGGAAATTATGGGAACTACAAAATGAAACTTGAGTGGGGACATAGTGCCAAACCATATCATTTTTCCCCGGCCCCTCCCAAATATCATATCTTCACATTTCAAAACCAATCATTCCTTCCCAACAGTCTCCCAAAATCTCAACTCATTTCAGCATTAACTCAAAAGTCCACAGTGCAAAGTCCCATTCAAGGCAAGGCAAGTCCCTTCTGTCTATGAGCCTGTAAAATCATAAGCAAGTTAGTTACTTCCTAGATACAATGGAGGTACAGGCATTGAGTAAATACAGCCATTCGAAATGGGAAAACTTGGCCAAAACAAAGAGGTACAGGCCCCATGCAAGTCTGAAATCCAGTGGGGCAGTCAAATCTTAAAGCTCCAACATGATCTCCTTTGACTCCATGTCTCACGTCCAGGTCACACTAATGTAAGATGTGGGTTCCCATGGAACCCATGGGTTCTTGGGCCACTCTGCTCCTGCGGCTTTGCAGGGTACTGCCTCTCTCCTGGCTGCTTTCACAGGCTGACATTGAGTGTCTGCAGCTTTTCCAGGCCCATGTTGCAAGCTGTAGGTGGGGCTACCATTCTGCGGTATGGAGGATGGTGGCCCTCTTTTCACAGCCCCACAAGGCAGTGCCCCAGTGGGGACTCTGTATGGGGTCTCCAACCACACATTTCCCTTCTGCACTGCTCTAGCAGAGGTTCTGCATGAGCACCCCGCCCCTGCAGCAAACTTCTGCCTGGTCATCCAGGTGTTTCCATACATCCTCTGAAATCTAGGAGGAGGTTCCCAAACCTCAATTCTTGACTTCTGTGCACCCGCAAGCTCAGCAGCATATGGAAACTGCCAAAATTTGGGGCCTCCACCCTCTGAAGCAACAGCCCAAGCTATATTTTGGCCCCTTTTAGCCATGGCTGGAGCAGCCAGAAAGCAGGGTACCAAGTTGCTAGGCTGCACAGAGCAGGGGGCCCTGGCCTGGCCCATGAAACCATCTTTTCCTCCTAGGGCTCCTAGCCTGGGATGGGTTGGGCTGCTGGGAAGACCTCTGACATGCCCTGGAGACATTTTCCCCTTTGTCTTGGTGATTAACATTTGTCTCCTTGTTAATTCTGCAAATTTCTACAGCTGCCTTGAATTTCTCCTCAGAAAATGGGATTTTCTTTTCTACTGCATTATCAGGCTGCAATTTTTCCAAACCTTTTTGCTCTGCTTCCCTTATAAAACTGAATGCCTTTAACAGCACCCAAGTCACCTCTTGCATGCTTTGCTGCTTAGAAATTTCTCCCACCAGATACCTTAAATCATCTTTCTCAAGTTCAAAGTTCCACAAATCTCTAGGGCAGGGGCAAAATGCCACGAATCTCTTTGCTAAACCACAACAAGAGTCACCTTAGCTCCAGTTTCTAATGAGTTCCTCATCTCCATCTGAGACCATGTCAGCCTGGACCTTATTGTTCATTCACTATTAGCATTTTTGTTAAAGCCATTCAATGAGTCTCTAGGAAGTCCTAAACTTTCCCATGTTTTCCTGTCTTCTGAGCCCTCCAAACTGTTAACAACCTTGCCTGTTACCCAGTTCCAAAGTCACTTCCACATTTTTGGTTATCTTTTCAGCAACACCCACTCTACTGGTACCAGTTTTCTATATTAGTCCATTTTCATACTGGTGAGAGGCAAGGAGGAGCAAATCACATCTTATGTGGATTGCAGCAGGCAAAGAGAGCTTGTACAGGGCAACTCCCGTTTTTAAAACCATCAAATCTTGTGAGACCCATTCACTATCATGAGAACAGCACAGGAAACACCCACCTCCATTATTCAATCATCTCTCACTGGCTCCTTCCCACAACCTGTGGGAATTATGGGAGCTACAAGATGAGAGTTGGGTGGGGACACAGAGCCAAACCATATCACTTATTTTGTATAAATAAACTTCGTTCTAAGGTAACATTCTATTTAAGCAAAGTATAGCTTTCACTATATGAAAATCTTACACTGTTTTGTTTGAAAAATCACATACTTTTATAGTGATCTGTTTATATTCACCTGCTATAATGACAAAGGAACAAAAGGAATGTCTGCAAGTATTTTATTTGTGATGTAATGAAACTCCAGATTCAGTGCAGTTATTCCAACAACGCACAAATGCTAACATTTAAAAGTTAAGTGCTGAATGATTATAAACCTCATGCTATTTTGATACTGTTACTTGAAAAGTAATACGAAAGGGTCCTTGAATATCTATAGAATGATACCAGAAAATCCAATATTTGTGTAAAATGTTATAGGATCAGCTGTTTAAACAGTAGCCTGATTAAATATCAATACATGTTTTGAAAGCATTGTAAATTTTACTCTATTATTATCTCAGAACATAATTTTCAACTGGTAAACAGATTTTTTTAGAAAGCAACCAAATTATAGTGTACTGTGTCCTTGTCCCAAAATCTATGGTGTTCTACCAAAACATACTATGGAAAATAGCAAGCGCTTATCCTGCCTTGTCCTATGCACCAAAGATCTTAAGGGTCACTTATATGGTTTTAAAATAACTTCATTCCAATCAGGCAAAAGAATTTGTCTTTTCTTACTTTTACTCTTTACAAAACTTAAGTTCTCTCCATTAAGCATTGTCAAAAACAAATCACATATTAATATGACAAAATAAAAACTCTGAAAAAACATCTTATGGATGAAAACTTTTCTTCCTCTTGTCTAAACATTTTCTTGATTTACCATAAACTTATCTTGATTTCTTACAAGGTTATTATAAATGACAATTTATAACAATTTATAATAACCTTGTAAGAAATTTTTTAAAAAAACTTTGGTCTTGTGAATTGTTATTTAAAAAGAAGACATCCTTAAATTATAGTTCTTTTAGGTTTAGGACATGGTATTATTGTCTTCTTTATTTAATTTGAAGCTTTTTGACTTAGACAAAATAGTAATTCAAATATGTATGATTATAAGATCTTCCATTGTAAAACTTGTATCTTACACATATTTTGTAACATCCTTATAATACTGAAATACTAGTCTGACAACTAGTAGTGAGTCGGTAATTATTTGACACATATATCAACATGATTCAGAAACTGCTAATACATCTTATATGAAAATGACCATTATAAAAGTGAAAATTTGCAACAGAAATATTCTTTCTCTTTTTTATAATTTTTCTATTTGATTTTCACTTCGCTTCTGAGAGATATCATATTATGAATATCTATTAGTAGTATAAACTCTGAAATTTTATTCAGTCAACTCTGGTTGATATAAATAGATAAGTAAATGTGTAAATGGACTTTCAGAGCAGTGATAAGGGATTGAGGATGAATTTTTTTTCATTATTGATACTAAACTGAAAATCAATAGTGTTTTTTGCCCAGAGAGAAACAAAATTAAATCAATTTCAAGACTAAATTGGTATTTATCTTTTTTCAGTTCTGAAGAACTGATTTTAATTTTACTCATAAGAGAAATTTATTTTCTTATAATAAATTGTTTTCCAACTTGCACCCACCAGCCCCCTGACCTTCAATCATCCTAATAATACTAGAAGATACAAAATGTAAACCAGACTTATTTTTATACTAGTTAGCTTTGATATATACATAGTGTTAGAATCCTAGGAGAGATATTGTGAGTATTCATATTTTAATGTAACATGTAAATATTTTATAAAGATATATTTAAAAATTGATTTAGTGTTTCTATACCATTTTGATGTTCTTCTGCAAAAAAAACAGCAAAAAAAAAAAAAAGAAAAATGAAAAAAATTAGTGTACTCACCAGACTGCCAAGAATTCTACTTATGAATCTATGCAATGCTTCTAATTTCTAATGGATTGCTTTTGTAACTTTTGGAGTATTGCCATTGAGTTTTTGACAATTGAGAAATTGACAATAAATTTCCCTTAATTTATTGTCAGATGGTTTCTAGTGGATTTATCTTAGCGGTTTGCTGAACTTCCCCCAGAAACCTGCTCGGAAGTCACCTGAGCCTTAGCCAGCAGAGGACTCTTTTGATCCATGTCCTTAGGCTGTTGAGCTCAGCTCAGGGAATTGCTCCATCCAGACCACCACAGCTCTTCCAGGTAAGACCATTCTACTGCCAAAGAGTTGCTGGACCTCTCCCAGCACATTGGCAAACTCTGACTCCTGGACTGGTCCCAGTGAACTGGCAGAGTATAATCAGTTGGCTGCTGCTGGTGGAAATGTGGCCCACACTACTCAAAAGATGACACCTTCTTCTTATGAGGCAATTTGGTGATGCAGGGAAAATAATGTAGTCATGGTTATAACAAAATAGTGCTTAGCCTGGGGAAAGCAATTGCTCACTACAAATCTTAATAAAACCACAAACAAATTTACAAATTAGAGCTGAATTACAGATACTGCATTACATTTTTTCTTTCCTATTCATTTTTTTTCTAGGGAATTTGTCTAGAATTTTAGTCCACAATTCTATCACCAAAACACATCTTATCATTTTAGATTTTTTTTTTTGGTGAATATGGAGTTACAATTGAAGTGAACACTTTTTACTAGTATTGTTTCTACATTTCCACAGATTTATTAATTAGTAAAATAGAATCTCCACAATTTTATTTTAGTTTGATTAAAATAATTTTAAACAAGCCTTTAGTAAGCATGAGTTGGGCATTTTCTAAAAGTCCTGGGCCGGAACAATTCACTATTCCCTGGAGTTTCCTAGTAAGTTATCTGAACAGATCCTGAGACAATTTAATTAAACAGGATACTTAATAGGTCAAATAACTAAATCCTCTTTATGTCCATTTTCAGAGGCAAGAATGCTGATACTACCCAACAACTCTACCTTCTCTAGATCCCTCTATTTTTTTACTTGAAAACTAGTAATAAAAATACTATGATAAATATAAAAGAAATCCAACAACCTATTACCACTACCTATAATTTGAAGATTTATCTTTGGTGTCAATCCATATTACTTTGGGGTTTCAAACCCATAAATAGTCCCAATAATATGTACTATTGGTATTTAAGTTTTAACTTTTTATTTTTACAGTATTTCAGACTTATAGAAAAGTTCTGAGAATAACAGAGAATTCTCTTAGACCCCTTACCCAGATTTCCCAAATATTAGCTTTACATTTTCTTCACAATTCTCTTTCTGTCTCTCTAAAATATATGCACGTTATTTCCTTTTAACATTTTCAAAGTAAATTGCAGATGGATCCCTTTACCCATAAATACTTCTATTTGTTTTTCTTAAGAGCAAGGTCAGTCATCAATTGGCAGACTTTATAGTAATAATTATTGCAGACAAAAATCGCAAATGGATGGTAAATTAGTAGGCAAAAGTATGATGAGAAACAGGATATATGCATATAAGACCATAGAGTCTCAGAATATCTATCTCTCCATCAAAGATTTTGCCTCTATGCAAAGAGCAGCCTGGCTTCTGTCCCTGAATTCTGGAAGTTAACCTCCAAATTCTTGGAATATTCTGTGCAATAGGCATTTCCTTGTTATTGATGGGGACCTTTGCACCATACCACCTCTGATTGCTCATGCTATCCATGTAACTCATGGTGAGCTCCTAGTTTTTGCTAAGCAGATGACTCATGGTGGGGGCTGCTACCTGGAAGCCCAACCATGGGATTAGAGGGAGAAAGGGAAGAGGCCGGAGATTGGGTTAAACCATATGAGCGATGATTCTAACAGTTGAGCTTACATCATAAAGCCCTAGGAAAAATTCTGCACCATGAAGGAGCTTCCCCGTTTGGCAATATTCTTTTATTTATTTATTTATTTTTATGTTTATTTTTAATTTTTTTTTTTTGAGACGGAGTCTAGCTCTGTTGCCCAGGCTGGAGTGCAGTGGTGCGATCTCGGCTCACTGCTGCAAGCTCTGCCTCCCAGGTTCACGCCATTCTCCTGCCTCAGCCTCCCCAGTAGCTGGGACTACAGGCGCCTGCCACCACTCCCGGCTAATTTTATTTATTTATTTATTTATTTATTTATTTTTATTTTTAGTAGAGACGGGGTTTCACCATGTTAGCCAGGATGGTCTCGATCTGACCTCGTGATCTGCCCGCCTCGGCCTCCCAAAGTGCTGGGATTACAGGCGTGAGTCACCGCGCCCGGCCGCAATATTCTTTAACTATTGTCACACTTCCATGCTGGAAGAATCATGTGTCCTTGCAGACGATGAAAAGTTTCTGTTTGGCATCTTTCCAGGCTTCGCACTGATTCACTACTCTTGACTGGTTCTAATTTGTATCCTTTCCTTATAATAAGCTGTAAATATAATATATTTCAGTGATACCTGTGAGTCTTTCTAGCAAATTATTGAACACAAAGGTGGTCTTGGGAACCCCTGAGTTTGTAGCCTGCCAGTCTGAAGTGAGGGTAGTTTAAGAGATTGCCTAAATTGTGCTTGATATCTAAAGTGAGAACACTCTTGTGGAGATTGTTTCTCAGAGTTTGCAGTTTGAGAAACTCATTGCATTTGGTGTCATAAGTCTTCAGCAGACTTGGCAGTTTGAAGAACTGTGTCTTTAACCTTGAGTTTGGCTTAACTCTGGATAGAAATAAGGATTTTTTTTTCACCGGAGAAAGCTGACAGACACCACCTTCACCAAGTGACCAAAAGTCGTATCTCCTACGATGACTAACATTGATCATGTACCTCCTCATATGGTATACTAGAGATGGCACAACATCTCTTCTGCATTATTCTCACCAAAAATGCTTGAACTTTAATTTAATCATGAGAAAACATCTGATGACCCCAATTTAAGGGGTAGTCTGCAAAATAACTGGCCAGGACTATTCATCAACATGAGACACTGAAGGAGACTTCACATCTGCAGACACAACTAAGTGCACGTGGGATCTTGGGTTGTATTTTGGACCAGAAAAGCGATTTAAATAGGAACATTGATAAAATTTGATTAAGGTCTGTAGATTAGTTAATAGTTGTATCTATGTTAATTTTCTCATTTAGAAAATAATGTATTTAGGTAAGATGCTATCATCATGTAAAGGTGGGCGAAGGACTTGTAGGAATTCTATTATTTCTTTCTACTCATTTTTTTTCTGGCTCCTAATTCTCCACACTTTGTAACCTTGAGTATGTTATTTAATTTATCTGATTCTCAGTTTTTTCAAGTGGAAAATGGGAAATTTAATACCTATTTTGTAGTTTTTAAAAATTGTGATAAAATGCAATAATATATTTGAAGCACCTACCAGAGTCCTGGAACAAACTAGGGCCTCAACAAATGTGCTTTTTCCTTTCAGTTCCCAAAGTCAAAGCCTTATCATGTGAGGGCCAGTCTCATGCATCTGCGGAGTAGACTGTAACTCACATGACATGATTTGCCATCTTCTCAAACATATCAGCCTCCGAATCCCCAGGAATTTCCTTCTACGACTCATCCCTTCATGCTTATGCATTCCACATCCCACCATGTTCTATTAAGACACACATGCATTACCTGAGTAAAGGGCCAACACAATTCATTATCATTTTTTGGTTTATGTAATGATCAGATTATCTGGGCATGGGATTTGGTGAAGAGTTTGAAGAGGGCAGGCCTGGAAAGAACCTCTAGTGGTTACTTGAGCAGACAGGTGATCCTTCCAGTCCCTGAGGACCCGGAAGACAGAAAGATCCTCAAAACCAAGTTAGATGTGCAGAAAGAAGGATGAGAAAGAACCAATATTAGATTCTGAAGAGTTTTTACATTTGTCTGGACTAACATGAGCGTGACCCAAGATTTTGTGTACTTTCCTTTTTTCTTTCCTAAAAGTAAAAATTGCTGTCCTTTTCAGTGAACACTTCTGCTTTCTCCTAGGTGCTCTAAGCTAGATATGAAGGTGAGGCCTAGAGTAGAATGTGACTAAGGAAAAACACTAGGGAATTATGAGAAAGCACCATCTACCCTGGTCCAAACATTAGGCTACAGGGTGTATGATGTGTTGACTCTCATAGAATCTACTGCTCATAATTGCACTCTGTCATTAATTTTTTTGTTTTGCCAGCCGTAAGCCTTTTCTGCACAATTATTTTTATAATTTTAGAGCCTAGAACAGTGAATGACACTTAAGTTAGGTGGATGTGATGGTTAATTTTATGGGCCATGGGGTGCCCAGATACTTGGTCAGGCATTATTCTGGGTATTTCTTTGTGGGTGTTTTTAGGTGTTATTAACATTTGAATCAGTTACCTGCATAAAACTGATTGTCCTCCCTAATGTTGGTGGGCCTTGTCCAATCAGTTGATAGCCTGAATAGAAAAAAAGGTTGACTGACTCCTCCAAGTAGGAGACAGCTCTTCCTGCCTGACTGCCTTCAAACTGGGACACTAGCTTTTTCTTGCCTTCAGATTTAAACTGAAACATTGCCTCTTCCTGGGTCTTGAACATGCCAGCCTTCAGCCTGTAACTACACCATTGGCTCTTCTGGGTCTCCAGCTTGTCAACTCACCCTGTAGGTCTTAGGACTTGTCAGCCTCCATAATTGGGTAAGACAATCTTTATGATAAATCTCTTTAAATACACACACATACAGAGACACACACACACACTCATCCCATCTGTTTTGTTTCACACACACACACACACACACTCATCCTATTTGTTTTGCTTCTCTGGAGAACTCTAATACAGTGGTCAATGATTTTTTGTTGTTGTTCTTCAATCAATGAATGAAAAAGTAAATCAGGCAAGGTAAAGTCACCTCATCGGCAAATGGTCTGAGGTAAAATGGCCAGTGGATGGTAGAAGTGGGATTTGAAGCAAGGAAGTCTGAGGCCAAAACTTAACTATTCAGCCACTGAAATAAAGGACTTAAAAAAAGTGGAACCTATGGTCTTATCTCACCAGGATCTTAAAATACAGGACATAAAAATACTAGAAATCCAATTTTGAAACTTCATAAAACAGGGTGAAAATACACTGTCAACTAATTATGTGTATTTTCCGGACCAGGAAGGAGCCTTTCCTGATTGCCTGTTAGTGTGCAGGTGCTTCATATTTATCCCCTAGCCCTCCCCACACTCCTTCCTGCACTACACTAGAGAGTCGGGCACTCTCAGTGGCAGGTAGGGTGCTCAGGAGCTGTCCTCCTCAGAGCCCGCATCACATTTTATTACAGGGAGTCCTTTCTAATTCATAATCTATGTCTAGTGGATTGAAACCCCTTGAGGGCAGGCACCATTCATGTTTGTAGATCTAGTGCCTAGTGGAGTGAAATTAATTTGCAAAATGAATAAATTAACTAGATATTACACCTACCTTTACCACTGAGGAATAGTTAAAAGTAGAAAAATAAACAGAAAGGCTATGGGTTTTGTTCAAGTGACATGGTGAGTACCCCAGGGAATGAACAACGATCATGGGCCTGTTTGCATCTGCATCTTGTGATCTTCAGGTGAACTTAAGCAAGATGAAAACAATGTGGTGAGGTGAAGTAGAAGCCTGTGTCAGGGCTGAAAGAAGTGGGTGGTGTAAAGTCATAAAAGTTCCTTATTCTAACTGAAAAAAAATAAAAACAGGCTTTTTGCTTTTTGGGGGGTTTGTTTTTGTTTTTGTTTTAACCTCAGGGACATGAAGAGCAAGAAATGGAAACAAGCGAGCCCCACAGAGAGTTCGGATTAATGTGCAGTAATTGCATCACTGATATCTGTGTCCAGTCACAGTTGGCATTCAAGATTCTGTTGACTTTTACTGTTGAAGGCTTCCTTTAAGGGAAGCAAACACAAATAAAAAGGCTGCCTCTCCACTGTAGCAAAGCTAAGTAAGATCACTGTCCAACCCAGGATATCCAAATTCATGGTCAAAAATCCAAAAGGTAATGTGGTGAGTTTCATGTTTAAATTTACTCTTGGTGATTGGCGTGGAGCCTCCTTTTCCATGTCGGATTAACTAGAGGTTCACCCTGGTCCTCCTGGGCCCTCATACTTCCCCACAGGGCTCATCCAGCGCTTCTGGAGCAGCAGGGAAGCTTTGCCACAGGATCCAGCATCTCAGGGCACAGTATCTTGCATGGCTGACTTGATCTCACTTTCTTCCTCGGAGCAGCTGTGTGGCAATTCAGAGGTGAAGAGGCAGATAATTGGACAGTGGAATTGAGTCCTGTGTGATACAGAGCTAAAAAAGAAATTCCTTCAGTATCAACAGCAGTGTGGAAAGAACCCAACAAACAAAACTCTGTATGTACAGCAAATGAAGCCAAAGGGTGGCTTGAGAACAGTGGAGTTCTGCTTGGATGTGACGAGACCACCAGCCAGAAAGCTCAGAGGCATTACTCATGATGCAAGGCTGCTGTCAAGTAATGATTTAACTTAAAAATGCCATCTATTCTTTTCCCTACCTGCCTACTCAGTACATTGCAAATTAACATGAAAAGTGACTTCAGCACAAATTGTTTAATTTGTTTTTGTCAGGGTAAGTAGTTTTTAATTTCTGCAGAAAATTTCAGTAAAAGAAAAATATTTTCTGAATTCTGACTCTCTGGAGTGATCATGTATGTTGCCTAAGTTCACAGATAAATTCTTGACCTTCTACCTAGTTCATTTGTGCCGCATCAAAAACAATACTTATTGCACCTTAAGTCAGCCAAACACAAACAGAAGTCTGGCACACTGAATAGCCATGTATTTAGAATCCCTGGATAATGGGAGAGCAGAGTATATTTGTTAAGCCATATTTATAGAATTTACCTTACAAATCAAATGATAATTGTTATAAGTGTTCTGTGGGCAAGGCATTGTGCTAGGCACTGTGGAATATATGAGATAGAATTTCACAATATCTGACTCAATATTTTTTCTGATTTATTAATCAAATTTCATTTGTTGTTGGAGAAGCCTAGTTAATTTAAAGCAAAATTAATCACAAATTTACAAAATTGATCAGACTCTATCTTGTCCAAAGATGAAAAATACTAATATTCCAGTATTGGTGTCATTGTTGAGAAGTAAACACACAAAAATGGAAAACAAAACAAAAACGCAGCTCGTTTAATATGCTGCTTAATTTAATCCCAAAATGTAATTTATTAGATAAACTTTAATAATGAGCCCTTTCTTCCTAGAACTTGGTACCAAATTTTATATACGCATTTTCAACATTGTACATATACATTTTCAACATTGACTTCTCACATGACAACATGAGGCTTTAAAATACCCTGATGGACCCACAAACTGTAGTATGCCAAAACCACACAAAATAGATGTATTTGTTTTTATCACTTCCTTAACAAATTACCAGGAATTTAGTGGCTTAGAACAACACGCTTTTATTATCTCACATTTTTGTAGGTCAGAAGTCTGACATGGGTCACACAGGGCTAAAATGAAGGTGTTGTCAGGGCTGCCTTCCTTTCTGGAGCTTCTGGGACAGCATCCGTGTTTCGTCCTTTCTTATTTCTAGAGGGCTTGCATTCTTGGCTTGTGTCACTTTCCCTCCATCTTCAAAGCCAGCAGTGTCACAGCTCTTTCATGCTTCAGCTCGTTACATCCCCCTCTGATCACAGCATGGAAATGTTCTCGCTTTTAACAACTCATTCAATTAGAGTGGACCCACCTGGATAATCCAGGATACTCTCTCGATTCCAAGGATCCTACCCACAACCACATCTGCAGTCTCCTTTGCCATGTACACATTCACAGGTCCCAGGGAGGAGGACACAGACATCTTTGAGAGGGGCCCTTAGGCTGCCTACCGCAGTAAAGCTTTTTGTTTTTTGTGATAGAATTTTAAGTTCTAACGCATACACATGACTCTCTGCTATTTCAACTCATTTTTATTGATTCATTCATTCATTCATTCCTTCATTCACATATTTAGGAAACATTAACAAAACATCTATTATAAGTAACATACAACTGCAGATACAGACAAATTAGTTTAGTGACTCTTGCCTGTTCTGACCTTTGGTTTTCTATCTCCAGGCTTGTGTTGGAATTGTTCCCTCTGCGAGAGATACCACCTTTTGTCTAACACACATAAGTTCCCAAATAAATTTGTCAAGACTCATTTCAAATACTGCCTCCTCTATAAACCCTCACTCCCCTGCTTTTTTTTTTTTTTTTAATAATCCCAGCTGGAAGCAATCTCATCTCAACTTTTATAATACTTGCTTTTACAATTTAATGACATTTTAGCTTGTTTGTAGTTATTTGTATATATTCCTTTCTTTTCTTAAGGATCATAAATTCCTTTAGATCACGGACCATTCACATCTTAATACAGGAGGAACCAAGCATAGCAATCGGCATATACTGACATACTATTGATGTGGAAACTTTCTTTGCATAAATATATTTGTTTATTCTTGATACTGTAGAAGATACATTAAAATAATTTAGTTTAGTTCCAACATTTTACCATATTTCTACAGGAATAAAAATTGAACAAAGAACAACAAAGTAAATTAATTGGAATTTAAGGCCCTCATAGTAAGAAAAACCGTGTGATCTGCCAATTTATGAAGCCAAAATGGAGAATTATGGAGAAATTTCCCTGCAGATCTCTTGCTGCTGCCAAAGCCAACAGCCAAGATGAGGTTTATAGTCACTCATATTTTTCAACGATGTGTCTCACATTGCCAATACAGAAATGCCTCTTCTGTGACCTTGAAAATGGTCTCTTTATCAGTTTCCCACCTAGTAAAATTACATTCTTTTCTTTTACAGTAAGTTTTCACCCAAATCTCTAAAATACATTTCTATTGGTGGAAAAACACCATACATTTTTTTCCTCTTCTAAATCAGAAAACTGAAGCAATAATGAGGTGGGGGCTGTCTTTCAGACGTGTACTCTATACAAATTGCATTTGAAGGATCTCTGTGAACAACCATTCCCATTCACATTCATTCTAACACTTGTCTCTGCTTTGCTCACCTGTTGAAGATTGTTCATGTCATGTGTTCTGTTTTCTTGAATATCATTTTGAGTAAATTATGCACTTTTATCCACTTAAGAACATTTATGTGGGTGTCCATTATTTTTTTCAAAATGTGTGTCTAAATAAGGCATATTTTAAAATTTAAATTCCACCCTTAATTTAAGAAAACAGTTAATTGTCCGACGTTGACTCATATTTTTATTCTTGCTTAATTGAAAATGTATCCTGCTAAGGTTTTGCCAAGGCAAATAGTTTCATTTTGATAACAAACTAAGAATTTAGAAAAAGTTCAGGATACTGGGCAGTAATGGCTGTCTAGATCCATATTTGAAGATCATTTTTGGAAACTCAAATCAAAAAGAAATTAACCTTTGGACTTTGGTGTCAGACTTATTTTTGGCTCACATACTACCTCTGCCACTAACACTAAATATGCATCCTTTAACTGTTTATTCTTCAGTTCCCTGATTTGGAAAATAGAAATAATAAGATCCTACCTCATAGAAATGTAAAGAGCCAATGAATTAATGTAGGAAAAGTGCTTAGATAGTGCCTGACACACAGGACTAATTAAACTGTAGGTACTATTTCATCTTGCCGATAAAACAATGCCTTTCTTTGTCAAATAAAATATTTTCAAATGGCAACAAATTAAATGAAAATATATTTACCAAATTTGAACTATCTTGCTATTGATTAGATTTATGAACAAATGTATTGGAAGATATGTTTTGGATTGGTTTTCATTTTAGACAGGGAGATAATTTTACTTATTACAAGGAAGTAAAACAAGTAACAAAATTAACCTGGATTCAGAAAAAAGCCATGCACAGACATCTTGATTTTTCATTATAGGTACAAATACTCATAATGAAACTCCCAGCTCTGCACAAACGTTTTAATGTTATACTCTTAAATGGATCATATTAGTGAAACACCATCAATAACAACAAATTTAAAGACAACCAATTTGCTTTATCAATATGAAGTTGATAAGGTGTCTTTGATCTTTTAGATGTCTGTACCATTACTTTTTTTAAAAAGTTAATGAAATATATCCCCTCTTAAGAAGGAAAAAAAAACAAAACCCTGTTCCTTGATAAGAAAAAAAAAAAAAAAAGAAGAACCCAACAACTCCAGTTTTTATGTTGTGCCCTATCCAGCTGACACTGTCCTTTTGGAAAGCCAATGACTTGTTAGTACCCCTAGCAGCAGTGTGAACAGATGCGTCCCTGACAGGCGATGGATGGTCAGGGTCCATCTGGCCAGTGCAGCTCGGACAGAAATGATGTATACAGCTTCATCAGCGAATGACTGTCATCAATCCTGGGCCATGGATAGCGTAAATGACAGCTATGCTGCAGCTGAGACTCCAGGTGTGAGACTGAGGAGGACTGATTTAAGAATGCTGGGTAATCAGGAATGTATAGGCTCCTGGACTTTGTATCTTTAACCTCCTATAAATATCCTGCTATACTGTAGCAGGTATGTGTTTTTTAGTGTCTCATCACAAAATTAGCTTCAAGATGACGCCTGTTCCTTGCTCCCTTTTAACTACTGATGACTTCAGTTTCCTTCCTCCATGACCAAATGTGTGAAGTGCCCTGGCTGCTGTATTATGTGCCCACAATTTAATTATTACCTCATTGATTTTTCATGTATTTCAATTTTCTCTTCTTTAAGTCACAGTGGCTTTCCTGTTGGGGAGATGTTTGTTTTTCTTTATAAGATTTCCTTATGGAATCAATTGAACTATAAAAATGTTTTTTGTTTGCCTTCCATCCTCCCTGATCATGCTTCCATACCTCCTCAGGAATGTCGAATTGTAGTAGTTTGGAGGTAAGCCTGTCTGTGCAGACTATCCAAAAAGGAATCTTCTCAGTTGGTACAAGATTTTAAAAAGGAAACAATATTCCGCTGCTTACTCACCAACAAAAGGTACCTGGTTTTTAAATGGTCTCTCTTTAGTATGCATTAAAGATCATGCATAATTTGCATCTATTAGCATTTTATTATACCACTGGCACTGGGGAAAAGAAAATGAAAACAATTATTGTATCCTCAGAGGACACTTCTTTACTTATAACTATTTTACAATAAATCATTTTTGTTTATCAGCTTACTGGATGCAGCAAATGCAGAAACCCTGGAGACTGAGAGGGTTCTAAAAGCCTAGGAATTTACAGAGTGGCTCCACATGTTTTTACTGAAAGCTCTTCAAATACTTCTAACTCATTAAAATGAATTGTGTCAATTACCACCAGTAGATCTGGAAAACATTTGAATCTGATGGACGAGAATTACTCCCCATCCCCCACAACATACGCACAGAAATTCAGCTCTCCCTACTCCAAGAAAGTTAATGCAGCTTAAACAACATCTGAATAAAAAATAGGTCAACTAACAAGAATTCCCTCCTCAAATGAGAATAAAGTTGATTCTCTGATAGTCTGACCGTGAATTAGGGAGTCAGAGGTTTGGAGGAGAAACTCCAAACTGTCAAGATCTGTCAAGAGACAATCTGATCTGTTCCACTTCCTTCAGGAAGGATTTACTCAAAGCATCACAGACCCAAGAGTGGTTATTTTGTTATTAATACACTCATAAGGAGAGTAGGACAAGAAATAATGGTACAAACTCTTCAGGCATCCTCCCCACAGATTTAAAAAACATGATATTTCTAACATTCTTCACTGGTTCACTGGTCTTGACAATGTCCAAGCAAGCACTACAGTGCTTTTTTTTTTTTTTTCCAGAAAAGAAAGAATCCATCTATTTTTTTCTTTTACTTCTTATAAAGGTGACTTAAGTATTATTTTAGTGGCTAATGCAAAACTCACTGCATTCTACTATAAGTATTGTAAATGAAAACATATAGTTACGTAAAGTCAGAAGCAGAGAAAAATGTCCGAATAAGGCTAAAATGTTTTGAAGACAAATTTTAAGAACATGAGGTGTCAAATACTGAATTTAAAAATAGCATTAGAATACCAGAATCACCACATTAAGTTAGTATTCGTGATAGTGTTGAATGAAAGAGAGAGAAAGAAAGGGAGAGAGAAGAAATATCACTGAATTAAAAAAAATCTATATGTAGTTTGTTTTCAGGCCAGAAAAACATCTTGAACATAGCTTTAAGGATGGAATAGTAGATCTGTCACTACTAAAGATAACATACCAACTAATGCCTGCAGTTTGGAATCAAAACTGAATGAATTAATAGAAGTCTGCTTATATTACTGAACACAAATATAAAAATTTATGTTTTTAGGATGCCAATAATAAAATCAAATGATTGGCCAGGCGCAGTGCCTCACACCTATAATCCCAGCACTTTGGGAGGTCGAGGTGGACAGATCACGAGGTCAGGAGTTCAAGACCAGCCTGGCCAACATAGTGAAACCCTGTCTCTATTAAAAATACAATAAATTAGCCAGCTGTGGTGGCAGATGCTTGTAATCCCAGCTACTAGGGAGGCTGAGGCAGGAGAATCACTTGAACCTGGGAGGCAGAGGTTGCAGTGAGTGGAGATCACGCCACTGCACTCTACCCTGGGCAACAACACAAGACTCCATCTCAATAAATAAATAAATAAATAAATAATCAAATGATTAAAGAGTTTTGTTTTTTAAAAAATAGAATTAGTGTCACAGTTCTTAGTGGTGGTCTGTGGCTCACCAATATTTTATGAGCTTAGATATTTAGTAAAAGTGGATTTCTTACAATAAAAAAATGGTTATTTTTGACAACAAAATGTCTTGACTTTATGAATGTGCTAATTGTTTGATTTGGCCTCAGACGTTTGTTATTTAGGCACAGCACAGCGCATATAATTTCATTATGACAAATGTAGATTTTGGAGAACATAATTTAATAGACATTTATGGACAATGAAATGCTTATACAACTCTTTGCAACCAAATGTATCCATAATTTCTATACTGAGGATTTTCACTGTACGTCTATTAATAAGAATTAATATTTTCATCTAAGACCTTAAACATTGTTTACTAACTTTGGACCAATATCTTCTGTCTGTCTTATCAGTAGATTGGAAAATGGCTTTTCATATAGTAGACATTCACACCTCAAGGAGCTAGAGCAGCACATTTACAGATACACTTCTGCTAAGGGTCATCCCCCTGCCCTTGTTCTGCCACCTTCATTCTCTAAAACCAAATATGGATAAGGATCAAGAACAAACAGCAGAATTTTCTAGAAATACAATTTAAACATTTGATTCTCTTGGTAAGTGACGTTTTCTGGGATATTTTCCTCTTTGGATTGCTTCTTCTTTCTTTTGGTATTTCATGAAACTGTTGTTATATCTGAGATTTGGTGTTTTCTCTCACTTGGAAGGGCTTTCCTCACCTAGACAGACCTAGTAGGACTTAGTAGGACCAGACAAGGGTCCATGGAAAGGGAGACACTAAGCTCATAAAAGCTTGTTTCCATTATTGGCAGATGAGATCTTAGTGACATCCTGGTACACAGTAGGTCATGAGGGTAAGGGACAATATATGGATGTAGGGCTAATGTGTCTGCTACTAATAGCACATCTTTTTGCCTGGAGTGTCTCACTTAGGATCATGAGCTGGCAGTAGGTGGCTGATGAAGAATTTCAGATTTCAGGCAGTACTAATGCTTTGTTTCTCTATTTGAAAATGAGGGAAAATATCCATTTTTCAGAAAGCCCGAGGTGTTGTGGAAACAAGAGACCCAGACCCTCCACTGCAATGGTACCAGGTAGGTTCTTGGTTTGAAGGAACATCAAAACTATAGAGACATTTTCCAACTATTTTTAGGTCTGCATCCTTAGTTAAGCACTTGAAAGAATTGCACAGAAATATTAGAAATTCATAGACATGTAATTTTTTTTGCTCTTTTCTTGGGGAGGAATCAGAAAAATTTCTATAAATCTGTTCAACTAATCATAGACATATGTCAAGTGATTGAAAGAAATTAGCAGAAGTTTAAAGAAAATATCAAAATATGATCTGTTTGATCACTCCCTTAAGGGAAAATTTTTAATACATTATGAAGACAGACACTTTTTATTAACACAGAGACATGGAAATCAGCAGAATAAATACCTGAATTGATTATTGTAAATGCAGTTTGAAGAAATTTCAAATAGAGAGAGGCACAAACATTTGAAATCCTTTTAATTCAGTGCTTTCAAAAAAATCATAAAGACCAGTCATGTGCAGATTATAGGCAGCTGGTTTTCCTTTTGCTTTACCCTCAAATTCAAGGTGCTTCACCACAATATAGGAGCCTAATCAATATTCATTAACTGCAGAATCAGTTTTTTAAAATCCATCATTTAATTTGTTACATTAGAAGTTATGCAAATTTGTATAATTATGAAGAGATTTAGATTATAGAATTGTGTTTTACTTTGCAAATAGAAAAGCTAAGGCTGATACCAATGGCTGATTTTAGAGTGAGCTGTCTTACTAGTTCAGAATGATTACCTTTGGTTCCTATTCCAAATGATGACCAATCTTAAGACATGAACAGAACTGGTAATTAGGTGGCATACTTCCCCAGAAGATGGCAGCTACAATGCAAGAAAAATGAGGAGTGGGATCTTTACACTGTTTTTGAGATTTAATGATTTTAAAATTAAACACAGAAAAAGTCTTAATCTTATCCAATCTCCAAAGAGATTTTTTTGTTAATGTTGGAGTTGGTTTCTATCTATTGAACAGTTGAATACATATCATCCTTCCGTTTCTGAAACTTAAGCAAATGGACCAAGAGAATTGAGCACATTTAGCCATTCTTTTTTATCAGCCCAACACCCTTAAGCCAAGCACCAGTGGAGCCCAACATCATGGCACATTTCCCCACAATATACTCACACTCAACCACCACCTAGGAGGGAAAAGAGTGTGAGGGTTATTGAGCACTGAGAATTTTTCCAATGAATCACAATTATGTGAACACCTGTGCTAAGTTTGTGCTGATCCTCTGTGAAAATTTGCACAGTGCTCAACAGCCCTGAATATTTCTCATTTATTATCTCAGGTGGGGTGGTCTGCAACTGCACATTAGGTTGCAGTATGAAGCATGTAAGGACACACATCCAAGACCTCATCGAGGACCTTTTCATTCTACCTGCAGGGTACAGCTGTGCCTTTTAACAGGCTAGAGTTCTGCTTCTGAATGTCTGCTCAGAAAACTTAAGGACAAATATAGAAACCCTTCATCTGCAAGTAAAATGATTGTAGAAAATGCAATACATTTACTTACATTTCAAGAGAATCTATCATAGGATTGACATTGGGAAAAAACTAATGATCAATGATATTTTAATGAATATATAGGCTTATAATATGTTAAACTGAAAAGGTGTCAAAACTGTAAAGGATGAGAAAGAACTTTACACATAAACATACATTTTGAACGGCCACTAATCCCTCTTCTTAGGAAGTAAAAATATAGAGTGAAACTGGTCTAGATCCCCAAGAATCGGTAGGTTACTTCACTTTTGAAGTCAATGATTGGTAAGAATTGGAAAACAATTTGTGACCAGAATCCTCAAAATACTTAAAGCTTAGATGTAAGTGGTGAAATTGAGATCAGTGAATAAGCTGGATACAGGGTCAATTGTTGATTCCACAGCAGAAGTTCTGCATGACTCGAACAAGGCTTTCATTGAAACTATTCTCTGTCTTAAGAACTATAAACTACTATGAGGTCTCTGCATGTTAATACAGTATCAAGAATAGAATTTTCTTTGTAGCTCTGTAGACTTAATATTTACCAAAGACTCTTTAGTGAAATATATCTGTTACTTTGAATAATTAAGTTTAGTAGAAGATAAATTTAAGGATATGGATATAAAGACCAGGGACTACTCTGGCAGTATAAAATGTTTTAAAAGTAATACATTGGACTCTGGAACTTCATTCTACCTAACAGCATCATCTGCTTACCAGTAGGAACAAGGCACATAGTATTCTGTGGCAAATGCAATTGTTATTGAAGACAACATTGCAGTATGAGGTAACAGAGGAAATTATGAAAAAGAAATCCTGGAGCTATTGAAAAGTCCTAGGATAAGAATGTCAGTGGGTCCCTAGGTAATGGTTGTTGGTTTGGGGACACAGGAGAAAAGACTAAGGGATCTAGAGGTTTCTGATTTTGCACTGGTGTGTGGTTGGCAGATACAGGAACCCCAAGTGACTAGGCTTTGATTTGCTTTCCTTAAAATTTTTACTCATCCGGTTTCAGTCTCTGTCTCTGGTATTAGGTGAAAAGACATCTTTTTCCCTGCTGCTGAGACTGTATGTAATTAGATGAAAGGAGAAACTAGAGGCTCGGGAAAAGCATTGCTGATTTGTACCTCGGCTTAATTCCAAAGATTCTGCTTGTGAAAATTAACTTTTTCTGCTTCTAGGTCCATGGCACTCGTTTCTAAGAGGAGTTTGAAAGTTAGCTGAGTGTATGAGGAGGAGAAAAAAGGATCAGTAGGTTGGACTAGATCCATATATCACATACTTTCACCAAGAAATTAGATTTATTGGGTTTTATGAGCACCAGGCATATGCTAAGCACTTGATATATTATCTCATTTAATCTTCAGGACAGTATGAAAGAGTAACAGGTCTTATACCACTTTGCAAGATAAGGAAAATGAAGCTTAGAGAGGTTAACTAGCAGTCATGTTAGAGTCAGACTTGAACCCTCGTCTAGCTGATGGCAAAACTCAATTTTAACTACTACACAATACTGCCTCCCAGTGGCTGGAATTTGGTAAGCATTCAGCCAACATCAGCTACTGAGGTGGTGGTGTTTTTCTTAGGGGGAAGCTGGTCTTAAATCCTTTAGGCTTAAGTCTCAAAGGCATATAGAAAGAGGTCTTGCTTATCAGAATTATTAAGATGTCTACTCTCTTACATAAAAATGGCTAGTTCAAGCCAAGCTCCAAGTGTGACTGTAAGCAAACAAATAGATGACTACCTTGTTTATGAAGCATACTTTGAATTAGTTCCTAGTCAAATATAAAAATGCTTGGTGGTCGCTTGAAGCATAATTTGTGCCAACAAAATTCCACCAAGCAAAGAGATTCTGTAGTGTCAACATTTAAAACTTCTATAAATACTTCCTTCAGTTTCCACAAAGTATAAACTAATAAAAAAGAGAAATAAAAAGTCAATAAAGAAAAAAAGTACTTTTTTGGGTAGAAGGCTAAGAGAATGAATGCATGTAATATGTCTTGAAGTGTTAAGAAAATATTTTCTTTAGTTTTTAAGTAGAGTGAAGAAAAAATAATATGTGTGTAAGGAAGGACAAAATTTAGTTGTTCACAGGCTTGGCCTCAGGCAAAATTCTAAAATAGGTATTTTTCATGTACACGTCCCTAGCACACACACACATGCACAAAGTTGTTCTTCAATGCCCTTTTCTCAATGTTCAGTGTTCTCTCTCTTCAACCTCCAAAGCGTTCACTTTTTGGTACCCCCTCGGATTCCCTAATTTCATTCTTTGTTTCGAAATCCCACTGCACAGCTTCTCACAGTATAGACATTTCCTCTCTTCATTCATCATAACATTGCAGTGGACTAGCCCATTTTTTTCAAGATATTGGTAGGTCACTGGTTAGCAATGCCTATGAACAAATTATAATTAAGGTCTTAATGAATGGTAAAAGGCTTAATGTTTTATTTTACCTTGCTGTATTTATTTCATATTATGGACTTTTCTAGATAAAATGCCTCAGATCGAAATAATTAGTTCCAAATGATGGGAATTTCAAACTCTGTGATAGGTTGGTGAGAAAGCGATTTCTGCAAAGCTGTCTTTGCCCCATGTTCCTTGAAATATGTGCCAAAGGTAAATGTTTACTTTACCTATGTATAAGGTTGACCCTAGTGAACAGGTATATTGAAATATTATAATCCCTGAGAAGAAAGGTCACTGATAATGGCATTAATGCTGCCAGTCCTTACTTTCTATTAAATGATACTTCAATATGCAACATTCTACACTTGATCTCTGGTAAATGGATGTTAGTGACCTTGAGTCAACAATCTTTGCCTTCTTTAGACATTGGATAGCACTATAACATTTTAAATTTATAATTGTGTTTACTTTTAAAATGGAGTTTAAAAGTCTTTAAACTGGATAGGTAGAGAAATTGAAATGACGATACAGAAAGTCTGTAAATGGTTGGATGGATATCACATATCACACCATCTATGGCTCAGCAGTAAATGCACTGTGATGGCAGAACCATGAGGGTATATCACATTAATGCATAATTCAAGGTCTTTAAGTATCTGTGAGTCGTTGACAAGATACATTGCCACGTGTTTTACAATCCACCATGTCAATTCATTGTCTTTATAACGTTAAATGAATGTGGGCTATAGGCTTTAAAAGTTTCTGGACCAGCTTCTTCATTATGAAGAAGGTATTGTTTCTGTCCACTTGTGCTGTGTGGAACATTTAAGAAGCTTCCTACCTTCCCCTAACTTTTCTCCCCAACTATGGCCAGCAACATTATGGTCTCTCCACATATATGCCCCCCTCTTTTTTTTTTGAGACGAGTTCTCACTCTGTCACCCAGACTGGAGTGCAGTGGCAGGATCAGGACTCACTGCAGCCTCAGCCTCCCAGACTCAAGTGATCTCTCCCGCCTCAGCCACCTCAATAGCTAGGACTACAGGCATGTGCCACCACACGGGGCTAATATTTGGTATTGTGAGTAGAGACGGTGTTTCACTCTGTTGCCCAGGCAGCTCTCAAACTCCTGGAGTCAAGTGATCCACCCACCTCGGCCTTCCAAAATGTTAGGATTATAGGCCTGAGCCACACCCAGCCCCACATTTATACTTATCACAATTGCCAAAGGACAAATTCTTCCACGGAGAGGTGTGAATTACTAGAAAGGTTGGTTGTGTTGTCATTCATGTTTTGTAACATTTTAAAATGTGGTTTTAAGCAACAAAAACTTTTTTTAGTAGCAAAGAACATCACAGACTATAAAGGAAATGATTATTCTGCTTTATCTGCTAAATTGCATGACATGGCGGCCTTGTTCTCAGTTGGACAATGCATCCATGAATTGTATCATATTCATGTTCATGATGGAAGCCTATATAGTAATTAAAATAAATTAACCAATTCTAAATGCATGAACATGGATAAGTCTTGAAAACATAATGGTGAGTGAAAAAGCAAGTATCTGATATATGCCATTTATGTACATTTAAAATTATAGAACAATGTAACATTATTTATGGATACATACATATGTAGTAAACATACACAAACGTGGATGTGAAAGCTACAAACCAATTTTGACACAGTGGCTCTTACCTTTGGCAGGAAGTGGGGATGATAATTAAAGGGGGTCATGACATCACTTTTGGGTACACAGTGGTCTTCAATTCCCTTTGTATTATTTTGTTAGGAAGAAAGGCATGAAGCAAACATGTAAAATTTTATAATTCACTTACAGTTATTAAATCATAGTGAATACACGAGTGCCTATTATTCCCTGTACTTTACACTTTTGAAATATTTTATTATAATAATAATGAATTGGTAAAATAAACTTCAAGTTTAAGATGGGAATTGACTAGTAATTTTTAGTACTGTCTCTTCCAAATTTTCACTAAAATTCCCAAGGAGACATGAGAAAATGTGGAAAGCCACAATTTAAACTAGGGCAAACCAACAAGGCTAACTCTAGAATCCAGGAGGAACTGATTCATAGTAAAAGTCTAATAGAGCAGGAAGGAGAAAAACCTGTTCAGTTTTCAGGTAATAGCATCTACCGGCTTTACTTCCTGGGAACAAGAAGTGTGTATGTGTCGTAGTGGGGGATGTGCGTGGAGAATCCCAAAACAAAACTTTTGAAGGGTAAAGTGAACAATGCACATTGGAATATTTTGGAAAATATAAAAAGGGAGAAAGTAGGAAAGCAGAACCCATGATTCTCACGTGCAAAGCCAGCCAGTCCTATTTCCAACCTCAGAGCTACTGTGGCTTTTGACAGTAGGGAAAGGAGATGTTCAATGATACTTCTTTGATTGTACAATGAGGTGTTCAGCCACTGGGGAACCCTCATTTCATGTCCCCCTTCAACCGCACAGCTCAAAAGCCACTTGGAATATATATATTTTATATATATATATATATATTATATATATATATATTTTATATATATATATATTTTATATATATATATATATATATATATATATATATATATGATAGGACATTTTCTTTTTCCACATGAAATGTTTTCCTGAATCTCTTTATTGCCTATTCCTTTCTTAACTTTAGTTCCCTATAGAAACATTCAGTGTCTGGAGAATAAAAAGGAGAGAAAAAAAGAAGCTTTTTTTAAATTAAAAGAAAAATACTAAAGCATGTCATAGCATTGTTGGAAAGAACTAAAATTATATTTTGGTGTTTTCTGTTTAAATGAAGTGACTTGATTTGCATGAAGTGACATTTGTAGGGATAAATACAATACAAAAAATGAATTTCTGGATTTAGAACTTCTTCCTCTACTTTTATACTAAGATTTTTTTTTTTTATGATCAGGTCATATATTCCTCAAAAAAAAATGGTTTTAAAGGAAACTCTGGTCCACCTTTATCTCTAATGGCCCGGTTGGGAGTTGCTATAATAATCCTTTTGCTTTTATGTGGCCATCTGGAGGCCTATTAAAAGGAGTATCTAAAACAGACTCCCCAAGTGTGCTGAGTTTGTACATTTTCACCAAGTCACCAAAACAGGAGCATTTTTCCGACTGCAGGGAGAAGTGACCCTTTACAGAGAGGGGTGGAGTTGGGGGGGAAAGAGAGAGAAGAGACACAGCACCAGCAAGAGGCACAACTTGACCTTTCACTCTTGCCATTGTGAACAAGTAGTAAGAATAGTGGTTGATTCTGGTGCATGCGTTTTAAGGGTACAAAGATCTACAGCAAGGTTTCTTTACACCTCTGGGGCTCTGTGATGAGATGGAAGAGGTTAGGGAACGTGGGAACGGGCAACATTGAGAATTTAATGAAGCATCATTTTTCAACTGGATAATATTCTGTTTTGATTTGTGTGGAAAGCAAATATGAAATATTGAAATAATATTTCAAGTTCCCAGTTTTGTGGCACAAATAGACATACAGAATATTCTTGCCTTTCTGAAAACTACACCTTTCATCAAAAGTATAATCCAACAGAGTTTAGGACATAAAGGGGAGGTAGTGGAATGGAATTATATAAAAGTTGGCATTTGTCTTTAGTAGATTATTAAAATCGCTGTGGTAAGAAATCTGCTCATAAAGACAGAACAAGTTCATAGGGGCTGGATATCATTTGTCCAAAATAGAGTCTTTTCTCTACACTCATTAACTATCTCGCCCAGTAATGTGGTTGTAATCCTATTAAACCTGATACATCAAAAATTAAAAAAAAATTTAGTTGCTGTCTCAAACTGCACTACAACTCAGATCTAGGACCAAATAAGATGCATTAATTGCTTTACTGCTTCACTGCAAAGCCACTCTTAAAACATAATTCCTTAATGAAGTCCGTTAATTTGTTCATGGCAGTACACAAGCTGTTCAAAATGACACAGAATTGCACTCTGTTTTCTAACCCCTGCAGTTTCTTCTGTTAGTCACTCTGTCTTGTGTTGTTATCCCATGGATAGTAATTATTTTATAGTGGCTGTAATTAGGAGAGAATTAGGCTTGGTAAACAAAACCTGCCTTCTCCTGTTAATAGCTAAGGATAATAAATTTGGCTCTGACATTCACTATATTTGGACAAGGCTTGGCCTACTTCCAGTTTTCCCAATAAGAACTTTATTACATAATTATGCCTTGGAGGGGCTTATATTACAAGGTAATTTTTTTTTGTAAAGACACATATTGCATGGCTTCTAGCCAGTAAATGATATACTGTAATATATGCCTCCAATAAATGTTTTAAACAAAATCTCTCTAAGCAATATTCTGCTAGAGCTACACACTGCTCTTCAGCATATATTATTTACAGGGTTTGTTTGTTGAGTTTTTCATAATGTAATTTTTTTGCCCATATTGTCCAATATTATGACAAGTTTCTTTAAAAAAGGTCTAAATTATTTCTATCAGCAAGTGACATGCTTGGATCTTTAACTTTCTGTATCCCAGTTCCTAAAGGTGCATCAGAGGCTACCATAAAAGGAGCATGAAGCAATATTTTATTTTTTTGTAAAGACTGGCTGTTAGTTTGCATAAGTTATGATACCTTTGCTTAAACTGATTTATTTTCTTTTCCATTTTTAACATAAGTGAAATAAAATTATTTTGTTCCACTGCAAGCCATATCTCTGACGATGCATGTGCCTTTAGTTGATCCTTTACTGGAAAGGGTCACTCAGATATGTATAGATCACCAATAACACATGATATCACAGAATGCTAAAGTAAAGAGCACAGCATTCAAAACAGGTTCAAAATAAAAATCATAAAAATATAACCTCTACTTAGAAAAATCATGAGAAAATATGCAAAAGTGAGATTATCTTCAGGGCAAGAAATAAAAGTATTAGATTCTAAGTAAATACAAAAGACATAAATCCGGTTTACTTAGAAGCCAAGTTCAAAATTATAGCAATTCTGAATTATCTAATATTAGGCATAGAGAGATTACAAAGGAGAACAATAATATTTTAAAAGGACTTTGGAATTTTTACTCCAGACACTCAACTTATATTTAAAATTCACTGAAAAGTGGAAAATTAAGATGACCCACATGCATAAGCCCCCAGCCCCACCTTCTTATCCCTAAAAGTATGTCTCAGTCATCTGCAAACTAAAGGGAATAATTTTTCACTGGATTAGCTGGATATCTGTCTTAGTTACCCCAATTCACTCGCTTGGGTATTGGGGCTTACAAGTTACTTAAAGAGGGTACCAACTGGATTCTTAGGTGGCTATTCACATTGATAAAGGATCTCCAGTTTATTTAGTCAGGTTTTCAAAGGACTCTGCTGTGGAAGCTCATATGAATTATGCATATGCAAAAAGTCTCCCTTCAAGGAAGATGTGATCCCCTGCCTCTCTGTTCCCATTTCTGGAGAAGACAGTAAAAGGCTGCATTTATTCTTCTGCTAAATCATAACCCTCATTTTTAGCAGAGGGTGACTAGAATTGCATCAGATCTCCTTGGAATCAGAAATGTCTTTAGCCTCCATTTTCTTCTTTTCTGCCCTGGTGTTGACCAGAACGTAAGAGACCAGCCATTTCTATAATTGTTCTCTCACTTGTTGTCCCAAAGCATTGAGCATAAAAAAAAAATGAGCATTTATTATATTTGTGTGTTAAGCAGCAGGGTTTTGGCATTCAGACTTAGTGCTTTCTTTAGGAAAAATAATTATAATTATTATTCTGTTTCAGGAACATCATTCTGTGTCAGTAAGGTTAAACTCTCAAAAATGCATTTTCTAAGCATTTTTACATTTACTGAGTGCCTACTGCATGCACTGAAGCATCATGAAAATCAGGAAAATGTTAAAGGGGGCAGGTTTTATCCCCCCCACTACAAGTTTAAGTAACTCAAAGCACTTAATGCAGGGATCTTGTTTATCCTCAGAAAATCCCAGAAGAATGTCAAATCCTGTTTCCTGCACTAACAGTGGCTGCTACTGCTGTTGTCTCTTTTTTTCTTTACTCTGCAGAAGAAACAAAAGCACAGTGAGATTAAATTGCATACTCAAAATGCTGCAGTGAATCAATGGAGAAAGACTGGCCAAGACCAGTGATTCAGAAGCTAATCCTCAATCTGTAGCTCCTGCCTCATTCTGCCCTTTCCCTGTTTTATTGGAGTTATGCTGATGTAGGCTTTAATTAGACAGAAATATTAACTTTACTATTGATAATCAGTAGGTACCAAATCTTCATCAAATCTTCATTCCTCATACTAATGGTAATCACAGAAATGGGGTGAGAAAGTGGTGGGCAGATTTGTATATATCAAAATACTCTTTCCCAGTGAGAAAATGACCCTCTGGAAACTAACATCATTAAATGACAGGTTTCACATTTTAGCCAGAAAAGAAGCTATGTTTCCGTTTTTTTTCCTGTTCTTTTTTAAATAATAGGAAATGCTTTTATTAGGATACAAAAATTACTATTACCATACTTCCTAAGTGGCTGAAGTAATCATTCTGATGAGTCTGAAAATAGACTGTTAGAGAGAGATGCTTTGGATATTGAAGGCACATGTTGGCATGAAACTTAAGATTTTTTGTCTCCATAACAAATTTGAAAAAATAAAAATGATGACTCGAAAGATGACAGAGTCGTAGACACTAAAGATGAAAAGACCTATAAGTCATCTCATCTACCCCTTGCTCATGCAGTTCTTTAGAGCATATTTGTCCATTGAAGTTTAACACCATTCTAGAATTGTGTCTTTTACTTCTGAGCAGACATTTCTGTATCAGTTTCAGGAGAACAATCTTAAATCTTGACTTGCTAACCTGCCCTGGCCATAGCCCTGTACACAACAACCCAGCTAAGTAAAGGTCTTTCTCCCAACCCCCTTTCATGACCATTATGTCCTTGAAATTTTGTGCTTACAAAATTCTCTTCTAACTTCAAAGTGTACGACAGTCCTATGGAGTTGGGTCATGATTTGGCCACTCTATTAAGTTGTTTTAATCCAGTCTCATAAATCAATCTCTTTAGCTCCTATATCATGGTGGTGGCTGTTTTGTGACATCCTCTAATTTTTTGACATGATTCTCATACTGAAGTCTCTCGAGCCCAAGTAGATTTCAAGGTGAGGAATGTGTCTTGACAAGCATAAAGTCATCATAAACTCCCATGATTTTGCAGGTATTAATATACCCAGGAGTAGAAAGTGAAAGCTTTTGAATTGAAAGGGGCAAAGAAAGTCTCATATATAGTATTTTGCTGACTCTTTATCCTATACAGTGCATTTGCTACAGAAAGCATCCCCTGCCTACACCATCTACAATAATATACAGTGTGGCTGGAAAAGACAGGAAAAGTCAGTTTGTATCAGAGCAGTTAACTTGGCTTCCACAATTCCTCCCCTGCTGCTCTCCTAGTCCCACTTCAGCTGTATTTCACTCCATTAACTACAGCAATGGGTATTTGCTCTCCTCTCAGTAAATGTGTGTGGGTGTGTATCTGTGTTTGTATTTGAAAAGAGTTTATGGAGACAACTCCAAATAGCTCCAAAAGTGATTGCACAATTAAAGAAACTACTTTCCTGCTGTTGATGGTTATTTCTTAAAACATCGTCTGTCAGGCTAGCTACTGAGATTGATGTTCTGAATATATTTTTCTTTTTAAACCATAAGGAACTAACTTCTTCATGTCTTTGCCCTAACTTCATCACGCTTTTCCTCAATCTTTCTTGTGGTCTGATTGTGAGATTAATTCCCAAAGGACTATCAACATCCACTGTGGATGTTAAAGAAACGGGTTCAGGTTCAGGTCTGGTAAGGTTTTGAACTCTCTGCAGACTATTCCAGGCACTTTGAACTTAAGTTTTGAATTTTTCTATTAGCTAGTGGAAATGGTAAAATAAGCTCAAACACAGTGACTTCCAACTGCGGCAAGCTTAGCACAAATCTGCTCTGCTTACATGGGGGCAAAGGACAATTTGGGGTTTACCTGAGGGAGTTACTATAGTCACAGCATGTTTTAGTTTTTGTTGGAAAAAATAGTATTTTGGACACTGTCTTAATGCTAATAAACTGACATGTAGGTTAGATCAGTTCTCTTTTATACTGACATATATGACATGATGAGGATTCAGAAATTTTGTTTGGGAATATCCATTGTCATTATTCAATAGCTAAAGAAATAGAGAAATAATAATATCTTTGTCAATTAAAATTTGGGGATAAACATTGAGAAAACCAGCATAGTTTCTTAAGCTACCATACATATAGACGGCCAGGCCTAGGCTTTGTAAAATGTGCCTGAAATGTTCTCCTAAATGTCTCAAGAGGAAAAGATAAGTAGTGTACTGATGTCCAAATTTAAGAATTTTGTGGGAAATCTCTTTGACCAGAAAATGCCTCTCCTCTGTGCATCAGTTCCTACGGCATCCTTGATAGGGAAAAAGGCCTTATGTACCTTAAAATTTATACTGCAAATACATCCAGCAATATTTTAGGTTATAATAAATTATAAGTGGTTGATCATTTATAATGTACAAGTTTTAATGAGGAAGTATATATATCCCCTAAGAGTAGACAAGAGGTGTCATTAAGACAGAAAGAAGACACCTAACCTACTGAGAACAAACTTCACATTTTTCTTAAGCATCTTCCTCTGATCAAAGATTAGGTGGCCTTGGGCAAAAAATTACTCCTGCTCCTTAAACCTCAATCTCTGTGAAATATGAGGTTTAGAGATGATCTGTGTAGAAGTCTTTTATTTTTCCCTCAAAATGAAAACCACACATCCTTCAGGTAGCCATCTCCATCCTGTGGACTGCAAGGATGACAGCCTAACCCAAGCTGACCAAATCTGAGTCTTTTTAGAAAGGTTCAATTTAAACAGAGACAGAGAGAAGTAGAGGAGAGTCAGCGGAGTCACTGTAAAGGAGTGGAGCCCCCACCGAGAAAGTACAGAGGTCCACTGAGATGGAATTGCCACTGCTTCTGTCCTCCTGGAAATATGTAGCTTTGCAATTCCTTAAGTTGTGTTAGCTATCTCCGCAGTCTTCCAATAATCTCCTTCCTCCCTTTTAACTTAAATGCAGTGAGAATCCATTTCTGTTGCTTCCACCCAAACATTAATTGATGCAATCATCTTGTTGAAAAATACCTCGTCTGATGCAATGAGAAAAGCCTTGCCTCTATCCCTCTATTCTCAACTTTGGCTGCCTAATAGACTTACATGGGGAAAGATATATCAGAAGCAGACAATATTGGGTTGGAATCCCAGCCATGCACCCTTAGTCAGGTCACTTATTCTGTCTGAACTTTAGTTTCTTTATCTGTTTTACAGAGATCCTCATATTCACCTTGCAGTGCCAGTAGGACTATTCATTGAAGATGGTGTCTCTGCATTAGGTCCCTTTATTTGTCCACCTTCTACCTCAGAGTCCAACTCACAGTAGATTAGTTCCAATGAATGGTGGTGGTAAGGAGTCAGACCTGGGTTTCAATTCAGGTTTACTTTTTCCTATCTCCTTAGCCCTCTTCAACTTTTTAAACTCAAAAATCTTCAGTTTCCACATCTTTTAAAGAGGTGATGATAGGTACTCCATTTAAATGTTGCTGTGAATATTAAACAGTATGTTAACATGTAGAAACTGATATCATTACTGCTAACACTCATCAGTATTTGCTGAAACAATTGAAATTGAATTGTCCATTTTGAAAATTGGCTCCAAGGCTTTATCTCAACAAATATCTATGAAGTATTATGTATCAGGAACTATTCTGCACATATATTATCTTCATTTCATTGGAAAGATCATCTCTATTGATTATTCCCCTATCCCATATAGAGAAGATATTGATTATAGACTTCGAAAGGGTACATCTCACTGCAGTGTCTCTCTCCCAACCTGCCATAGTGGACTTCTGTCCTGAAAGCAAGATAAATCCAATTCAACCCTGCCTCTAGGCTTCCACGCATGCTGGTCCTATGCCATGTGCCCTTTCTCCACGTCTCAAATACCCAGCTTCTTTTCTTTATTCACATCCATCTCCAATGGCATGTCCTGGATGATCAGTCTTTCTTTTTCACTCTCTATGACTTTATTTTCTCCATTGCACTTATCCCTGGATGAAGTCACCTGTTATATATATATATATATATATATATATATATATATTTTTTTTTTTTTTTTTTTTTTTTTTTTTTTTTTTTTGAGACAGAGTCTCACTCTGTCACCCAGGCTGGAGTGCAGTGGTGGGATCTTGGCTCGCTGCAACCTCTGCCTCCCGGGTTCAAGCGATTCTCCTGCCTCAGCCTCCCAAGTAGTTGGGACTACAGGCACGCACCACCACACTCGGCTAATTTTTGATTTTTAGTAGAGAGGGGTTTCACCATTTGGCCAGGCTGGTCTAGACCAGGCTGGTCCTGACCTTAGGTGATCAGCCCACCTCAGTGTCCCAAAGTCCCAAAGTTCTGGGATTACAGGTGTGAGCCACCACGCCCAGCCCTTTTTTTTTTTTTTTTTTCCCAAAATGGAGTCTCACTCTGTCGACCTGGCTAGAGTGCAGTGGCATGATCTCAGCTCACTGCAACCTCTGCCTCCCGGGTTCAAGTGATTCTCCTGCCTCAGCCTTCCAAGTAGCTGGGACTACAGGCATGCGCCACCACACCCAGCTAATTTTTTATTTTTAGTAGAGATGGGGTTTCACCATGTTGGCCAGGCTGGTCTCAAACTCCTGACCTCAGGTATCTGCCTGCTTTGGCCTCCCAAAGTGCTGGGATTACAAGCATGAGCCACTGTCAATAACAAATTAATGACTGATGAATATATTTTTTGAGAGTGCTTAGTAGTTGATGGCTTATCAGTAGCTCGGGGCTATGAAATATAGATCTTTAGATCATAGGTCTTTCAATCTGTCTCAGAGAAAAAACAACATAGATGACGTTCTTTGCGTGATGGTATCTGGACAGAACCCAGCAGAAGGCGCAGAGAATAGACAGACCCTTGAAGAAAACAAATGTATGAGTGTGCTAATTGGTTACATCTGCCCCAGTGCTGGCAGGCACTGCAGAAGGTGAGTCTGCTGACGGTTTGAGGAGAAAATGCGGGGTCCCTGGCTTGATAAAAAACAATCCTAGTTCTTCTCTACAATCCCCGTGGGGTTCGTTCACTTGGAAGAGTGACATCAGTGCATTCAATTGAAACTACCAGATTCAGTGAGACGTGCACTAGACACAAGTGGCAACCACATGTTTCCCCTTAGTGATGGTCCTGGCTGGTGACCAATTCCAGGGAAGTGTTTTGCAGGCTGGGAACTTGAAAGGCCAGAGTGGCAGCTATCTTTTTTATGTTTTTCATAACAATAATAGAACATTGTGAAGAAGCACAAGGGAGAAAGATGACTAGCAGGGCCCTTGCAAATAAAACCAAGAATCCCCGAAGATATTGAGGTTAACAAAGGAAAAATGCAGCTGTTGTGAATGTGGTTTGTGTTCAAATATTCAGCCTGGTGCAGAAGGGGATGCCTTCATTTAGCTATCACTGTCCCCGAGCAGAGGTGAGAGGGATGCTGTTAATAACAAAGGCAGTCCCTGATGATGGCAAGTCTAATTACAGGAGGAAAAAAAAAAAGCACAGGGGAAGAAAGGATCTGGTTTCCCCAAGACGTCATTTTATTACCAACCTGACATGGCAACTTTAAGGGTCATTTCTTTACAATCACTAAAATACCAAAACAATTGGGAAAATAGCACAGAGACCATTGCCAAAGCCCCTGGTACTTCATTTCTGAAAACATTTTCCCACAATGGCAGCTTTTAAAAATTGTTTTTCCCCTTTTAATTAAAGAAACAATTTTGTTACTCTGGATATCTGTAAATAGTCAACAGGATAAAAAGAAGAGGTGATGGGAGGAGAAAGGTAAAGAAGTAAACAGCCAAGCAAGTGAGTGAAGGAAAGCCAGATTTTAAAAGCATGAAGAAAGGAAAACATAATACCATTTTTTGGAGAAATTTTCAACATTAGTAAAATGTCCCACATGTATATTAAATTATATTTTTCATGATCGAGCAGTAATCTTCTTTTAAAAAATGCCCACCTTAATTATTAAACATGCTAAAAAGGAAAATATAATGAGTTATAAATCTAGAGAAAGCCCTTTAGAAATATGACTGTTTTTCCTACAGCCTATTCTAGTTAAAATATTGATTATCATTACCATAATGTTATTATAATAATGGTGATATTATATAAAAATATGGTTATAATAATAATGGTTCTGAATATGTGGTATAATTCTAACTTTTTATTAATTCACATAGGGCTTAATTTCAATTAGTCTGAATTCATGAAGGTTTGCCATGTACATGGTGAAATATTTCAAAAAGGGGGACAAACTATAGGTTAAACATAGTATTTGGAACTATAGATATCCTCAAGATAGTAGATATGAACTAGAGTTGCTTGTAATGCAAATTTCTGCATATCAAATCCTGTAATTTCATTTTTCTTTATAAAATCTGACATGCTACTTCTGAGAAAATTTGGACTCACAGGACTTTAAAATCACATTTAATGCTACTGCAGCCTTTATTAGATGAACATGGAATAGCAAAGGGATATTTTTCTGATAAATAACAGCATTCAAATGACATAATATGATATATATTTTAACTGCAAATTATTGAAATTGTGTTTTTTTTTCATGCATGCCTAAATGGTACCACAAAATGTGGGCATAGAAGTGAAAATCATGGGTGGGTGTGGTGGTTCACATCTGTAATCCCAGCACTTCGGGAGGTCGAGACAGGAGGATTGCTTGAGCCCAGGAGTTCAAGACCAGCCCGGGCAACTTAGCAAGACCCTGTCTCTGTGGTGGCTCATGCCTATGTTCCCAGCTACTCAAGAGTCTGAGATGGGAGGATTGCTTGAGCCCAGGAGGTCAAGACTGTAGTGAGTTGTGATTGTGTCACTGCACTTCAGCCTGGTCAAGAGAATTAGACCCCATTCTTAGGCAGTTGTCAATGGAGAGTGGGACCACTATCAGGAGAGGCAAAGTTTTCTTTCTCTAAGCATTTCAATGAAGTAAGTTTTAGATTTGCTTTATTTTCTCCCTGATGTTGATATTTCATTTCACTTCTGTACAATTAGACAATTTATTCCTGCTATCAAGGTCCTATATGGAGAGAGCATATATTTTGGTTTGCAGAGCTTTAGAATTTTTCCAGTAAAAAGCTGATTTCCTATATGACTTTCCTACTGCCATTCTTGCCTCCTCTTCTCATTATTCTGCACAGTAGGGGCAGAATAATCTTTTAAAAATGGAAATGAGATCATGTGACTAGGACATGTAAAAATTCTTCCAGTGAGTTCTGATTGTACTCAGAATAAATTCCAAGTTTATCACCATGGCCAAATAAGCATGTTCCCCCAGCTTCACCCTACACCATTTGCCATTTCTCACACTGAGCCTCTGTCTTACTAAGCCCTTTTCTACCTCCAAGGTGGAGCTCTAATTTACCTTTCTGCCCGGAATGACCTTTCTTCTCCTTTATCCTTTGAGTCCCACTTCAAATATCACCTCTTCAGAGAGACCTTCCCTGATTAAACTTCTAAAGCGCTTTCTTCAGTTACTGTGTCCTCCCCTAGTTATTTCCTCCAGTTGAACTCTTCACAGTCTGTAATTTTCTTGTTTAGTAATGTGTTTGCTTTATATCATCTGCTTCCTGCAAGCTGCTACAAGAATAAAGCTCCATGAGATGAAGAACCTTGCCTGTTCTCTTTACTTCTAGATCCCTAGAACCTAGCATCGTGCTTGATATATAGTAGACGTTCAATGAGTAAATGAAAAAATGAATGATGAGAAAGCTTTGTCATGTCTTTATGAAATAACTGAGCTTCCAAAAAGGCAGAAGGGCATGAGTAAAGCTTCCTGAATACTGATTAGATCCTAGAGGCAGAGGGTTCCTGAAAGGGAATTTTATTTTTTACTAAAATTATTTTAAAATGTTAAACCTGAATCCTTTGCCTAATTTATGAGTGCTTTTTTGATGTGCTTGAGTTCTTTTATAACATAGATGTATATGTCTGTTGATTTTTAAATGGCCATATTCTTGACTCCATAAGTGCAGGGGACTTGGAGAATTGATAATAGAACTAATTTTACATCTGCAATTATTCATCAGTGGTACTGTCCATGAAAGGTTTGCTTATCAGATTTGGAATCCAGACCTTTACACAGAGTGGCATCAATGAACGTAATACATAAAAATTCCAATGTTACCTAGATATTTCTGGCAGCAACTTTTTATTGAGTGAGATTTTAGATATGGCAGGAGCAAAAACAATAATAAATTATTGAAAATTTTAAAAATAGTTTTAAATGTTTTCATTGGATACATTGAGGTTTTGATGAACTGAGGTTTTGATGAGTCGAAATCTGAAAAAACATCTCTGGATATCCCTCCTTCTCAGACTTCACCTTGTATGTCTTTTCATTTGGCTGGTCCTTACTTGTATCCTTTATAATAAAACTTTGATTTTAAGTATAGCACTTTAGTGAGTTCTGTGAGTTGTTCTAGTGGATTATCAAACCTGAGGGGGTCATAGAAATCCCCAAATGTATAGCCAATTTATCAGAAGTATGAGTGTCCTGGGGACCCCCCAAAGTGAGACTGGTATCTGAAGTAAGGGAAGTCTTGTGGAGGATTGTGTTTTTCACTTGTGGCATCTCAGGCTAGCTCCAGGTGGTTAGCATCAGAATAGTATTGCGGACCACTAAATTAGGGGTGAAACAGAACAGTTGCCTTTTCTTTCAATATCCTAAGCCTAATTTAAATTTCCCAATTTCTTCATTCTTTATCTCTGCAAGAAGTTCAGGACCTTCTCCAGTTGAAAAATTGGAGGTACTTATGGCTGTTTGTCTTTTATCAACTTGAACTCATGTTCTCTGATTAATTTTTATTCATTTGTTAATTCAACAGATTTTATTGACTACTTTGTTAAAACCAGGTATTGTTCATGATCCCAGTACTGGGGTATATCAGTGCATGAGACTTGAATGGTTTCTGTTTTCGGAGCTCACAGCTTATTGGTATAGATCAAAACACTCTGATGAACAAATATTTGAGTAATTATATATTGTGTCCCTTTATCCTTCTATGTTGTGTATTTTTCCTCAACAATTCACACCAAGCATGGCTATAGCTCTTTCTCCTTTATTTTCCAAGGTGCCACTAACAGAGTGCTTCTGTGACTTCCAGATTTTTATTATTTCTTGGGGGATAATGCAAGGAAAATGCTGCACAGGATTAGAAACAACTTCATCCAACTATGAGACATCACTGTTTCTAAAATTCCTATCATCACTACAGGGAGTCCATTTTGGACCTTCTTCCTCAAATCCCCAACATGCTGCCATGTTGCTGTGGTCTGCTCTCTCCTTTCAGAGAGTCTCACTTTTCTGCTTCCCTCATTAAACTTAAAAATTCCTGCTAACTTACTTTGAAGAGCTCCCTCCTATCTCAAACTCTTTCCTTCAGACAATGCCAAAGGAATGTGGTATAGCCCTCATAAAGTAGCAGTCTTCTTTCTATTACATGCCCCCACCACACACAAAACACAAAAATTTGTTCAGGGTGAAAAATAACATCACAGTAGGAAAAATGTATTACAAATGTTAATGCTAAAGGCTCCATTTTCCTAAAAACACTTTTTTTTAGTTGTATTATTCTTTTTCTTTTGTCAAGCTTGAAGTATCTAAGATTGCTCAGAATATGTTCAGATTGATGTTTAGTCTACATATTTATTAATAGAGATGTAACTAATCATGTTGGCAAATATGGATTGTATTAGTTCTTTTTTTCTTTTACTTAACATAAGTTATTTAAACATTTATATTTATCAATACCTATCTATATCTATCTATATTTATATTGTGAGATTCCATGTGTGTGTATATTTGTGTATATATGTGCCTGTGCCTATGCATATATATATTATTGATATTGATATGTCAATAATATATAATATTGAGTAATATATGATATTGAGAAAGCAAAAAGAAAAGGTCTTTGGCATAGCATTAGTTCATTGTTTTCCTCAGCTAGGCATTGGTTACTTCTATATGTAAAATCATTTAAACCATCTGTTTTTCCTAAATGACCAGTCAAATAAATGATTTAAATATTTATGTTTTTGGAGAAATAAACTATTGTTTGCCTTTTAGTTGGCCAATTAATATTCTTTAATATAGTTATAGCTATTTCCTTAATATTCTCCCTACCAAGTACACTTCCTATTGAGATGACGTCAAAGGACTTTGCAGTGCGGACAGACCCATAAATCTACCTAGTTTCAAACTGAGATGAAGATCTCCGAACTCAAATTCAGTATAGGTCATGAACAGTGCAATGAATCACATTCTCCAAAGGCATTTGACCTGACTGCAAATTATTTCCATGTTTTGTAGATGCAACAGACTGTATAAGGAAACTTTGTCCCCTTTGCCTGTAATCCCTGCGAGATGATGTATGACCATCCTGAGCACATGTAGTATGTAGAATACCAGATCCTGACCTGAATATCATCTCCTGGACTACAATGAGTCCACTTTTGTCTGATCTATATGAAAGACTACTTTCAGTTTTCAAGAGTATTTTTAATATGCCTAATATATGCCAGTCACTTCACTGGAAAGATTGAGAGGAAAAATATCATCACTGGCTCTTAAGTAGCCAGTAGAAAACAACAAATAACAGAGACAAGAACTCATGCAGTATTTAGGAATTCTCTTCTGTTTTGTTGGAAGTGGCTGAATAGTCACAGCCTCATTGCAGTTCCTGTCCAGTGTGATGCTCTAACAAAGTTGGTTGACAGGCACTGCTTAGCTATTATTACACAGAGCAAACAACATTTTTTAAAGCTATCAGTTTCCTGTTTTTAAAGAAATCACAGAGCTTGTATAGGGAGAGATAGAGGCTTGACATTGGATAAGGCTTTAATGCCAAAAAATGAAATACTAATGTAGACCAAAATAAACCACTATAAAATCTGCCTGTCAGAATAGGAGTTAGGTTTGGGCTCTGTAGACATAGAACTAGCCTTTAAATGTTTTCTCCTACACAGACACTGACAAAAGCCGCTAACAGCTGTGGAGCCAGTACCAAACGAATCTGATTTTGGAATCAGACCATCAAATATTTCCAAAAGAATTTGATTTATTAAAGTTAAATTATAGCTATATCTGATTTTCTTGTTAATGTGCAAATGGGGACAAGATGTCATTTCCCACCACACTCTTTCCATTTATGTAGTTTAAATGCACTTCAAGGCAGAGAATCTTTAAATGAGAGACCAAGCTTGACTGACTTTGGTATGTAATTAATTTTATTTCTTAGAGAGGGTCTCTGTCACCCAGGCTGGAGTACAGTGGTGCAATCTAGGCTCACTGCAGCCTCAACCTTCCAGGCACAAGTGATCCTCCTGCCTCAGCCTTCTAAGTAGTTGACAGTCACATGCCACCACACCCAGCTAATTTTTGTATTTTTTGTAGAGATGGGGTTCCATCATGATGCCCAGACTGGTCTTGAACTCCTGAGCTCAAGCTATCCACCCACCTTGGCTGAAATGGTATGTATTTATTTACGTATCAATTAAAAGAAAGTACAAAATGGATGGTGAATTACTCCACTATTCCATTTCTGGAAAATGAATTTTTATTTATTTTTACTTAAATCAGTTAATGAGAGACATGAGGTTTAGAAAAGGAAATATTTGATTTGGACAGCTTTTCTGAGACATTCAAAGATCAGGGGAAAATATCATCCTGCTTCAGCCCCCTGATGTGTCTGCAGCTTGAACACAATGCACAAAACTAAGGACAATTGGGTTCTCATTCTGTTTGGGTCATTAGCTAGCTGAGTCACCTTGAGGAAGATCTTGAGTATGTCTGCGCTTCTGATTTTTATTGGAGAAGGGGTTCAGTATATTGTTTTCAGTTGCACTTTAAGGGGGTCCAAAGAGAGTTTTCATAAATGTTCAAGGACATAAGCCAGAAGGCAGGGTTCCCCCAATCCCACTTTAGCCACAGCAGCCCCGCGTCTCTCAGAATCATTTATCTTGACTTCCAAATAAGATTTCATTTGGTAGGTGTTAGTTTTTGACACCAAAAAAATAATTAGAATAGCACTGGCTTGGGATGATTTCTTTCTCCTACCCTCCCTCTTTTGTCTCTAGCTCCTTTATCCATTTCCCAAGCAATTCATCTTGCCTCCCTTTCTGGTAAAAGACTTGAGCTGGGTAAAATTAAACTGAGTAGGTGGGTTTCCCTTAAGACACGATCCAGATTTCACTTGCGTAGGAAGTCATGAAAAGCTGTCCAACTCTTGGAAAAGAATTGTTAAATGCAATAAGATAGCTTTAGAGATTTTATAGTGGCTTATTTTAGTCTACATTAGTAATTCATTTTTTTTTGGCATATCAGCCCCCACTAATGTCAAGTTGTGCTCTGGGAATTTTGCAAAATAGCTCACACTTAAGCATATTTTCCAGCTCTCATAGTGATATAGAACATTTGTGTAGGCTTTTGTCCAGTCATATACACAACTGAAAAGATATATATATATATATATATATATATATATTTTTTTTTTTTTTTTTTTTTTTTTTTTGCTGCCTTAAGTATGATTAACTCTCTCCCTGCTGACAGATACAGGGCCCATTTTCGACTTCATCTTCTTCCAACTTTCTAAGTATATGTCTATGATGGCTGTCTATCATTGATGTAACATCTCATGGGATTACAATTTCCTGATTTTCTTCTTTCTTCACTGGCTGGTTCTTCTGCTTTCAGTATGACCATTAGATGCTTCAAATTATTTTATTTATTTCCTCTGATCACAGATTCCCTTTAACCTCTGTTCCCTAGCTTCTTTATTAATTCCTTGCATCACTTTATCTCTGTATAGATGATACCCAGATCCACACTCTAGCCCTATCTTCTTGTCTAGGTTCTAAAGCCTATTTCCATCTGGCTCCAGGGTCTTATCACATAGATGTTACACCCATACCTCAAATTCACCTGTCTGAAGCTAAATTCACTATTCTCCACTCCCCAACCACATACTACTTCTTCCCCTCTCATTCAGTCTATGTAAGTCAATCAGCAGTACCACAGGTTTTCAAATGTCCTTTGTTCCTAGGAAATCAGTTTTTAGACTGTTTTCTCTAAAAGCTATTACTCTCTTATTCAAATTTAATAAAATGAACTAATAAAGATGCTAGTATAATAGTTCTAGTTGAAACAATGATCGAAGGCTCCTTTTCTACTGACATTTTTCCTTCCTTCCTTCCTTTGTTCCACATCCCTGGAATTGGAGAAAAGTTTGGAGCCAACTGCCTTAAAATTCATAATTGGCTGCTGTTTTCCTTCACCTTCTTTTTCTACTTTGTCACCAAGTTTCATTTTTTTTCCCTGTAGCCTCTGGAGGGATTTTGTTTGTTTTCTTTTATTTTAATCACATTCTCCATCCTTACCCTGTTAGTTCTCCTTGGTAACACTATTTTCCAGATTCCTATAGCACTTTGTTATTTTATACAGATTGCCACTTCATTGTTGTCAAATTAGATTTTGAATGGATTAATTTTGTCTTCATGAAGTAGTTTAAGGAGTTATTTTTCTAATCCATCCATCCATCCATCCATCCATCCATCCATCCATCCATCCATCCATCCCTCATCTCTTCCTTCATTTAGAGAATTTATTGAATCTACCATAAGCTAGGCACTTTGCTAAGCACTGAAAAGATAACTGTACCTAAAGTAAGTAAAATTTATGCTCCCATGGTAATATTCTGGGTTCCCTAACTGTAACAAATCTTGTATTTGGAACACAGAAAATATGCATTTAACACTTGCTAATGAGTTGAAAAGAAACTGAGCAAAAATTTTTCTGTTTCTGCAAAATCAGGGTTTTAAAATTTTTCTTCTCACGGCCAGTTAAGTCTAAGGCAGTGGTTCTCAACTAGTTTGTTTTATTGGCTCCTTCCCCATCTTCACTCCCACAAGGGGTGACATTTGGTCATGTCTGGAGACATTCTTGTTACAACTGGAACTTGGGATGGGGAGGAGGGAGGCTACTGTCATCTAGTGCATAGAGGCCAGGGGTGCTGCTTAACATCTTACAATGCACAGACACCCCACTACAATAAAAAATTATCCAACCAAAAATGTCAGTAGTGCCAAGATAGAAATACTAGTATAAGATATTGAGTTGGCCGGGCATGGTGTCTCACACCTGTAACCCCAACACTTTGGGAGGCTGAGGTGGGCAGATCATCTGAGGTCAGGAGTTCAATATCAGCCTGGCCAACATGGTGAAACCCCATCTCTACTAAAAGTACAAAAATTAGCCAGGCATGTTGGTGCATGCCTGTAGTCCCAGCTACTCAGGAGGCTGAGGCAGGAGGATGACTTGAACCTGGGGGGCAGGAGTTGCAGTGAGCCGAGATTGCACCATTGCACTCCAGCCTGGGCAACGAGAGTGAAACTCTGTCTCAAAAAAAAAAAAAAAAAAAAAAAAAAGATATTGAGTTCACATAAATTAATTTTCTTAAACAAACTATGTTATTTTTTCCATTCATGATGTTCTCTTAATTTTTTATTCTTAGCCAAAAATCATGACATAGTTTTTTTTAATGCCATACTTTGAATTTCTTTACTCTTAAATCTAGGCACTGCTGAAATTATTACTCATCAAGCATATAAAAAATAACATTATTTTGAATATAGGGTTCTCTGGCTGAGAGCAACAGAAAACCCTGACAAACTGGCCTAAGCAATAAAAGCATACATCTATATATACACATATGTATTTGTCTTAATTTAAGCATCACAAAAAGTAAGGTGGCTCTACTATTGGTCAATTTAGCAGTTTAACATCGAAATAAAAGATTTAAGATCTTTCTATTGTTCTGTTCTCCCATGTTCATCATATTAGCTTTATTCTCACATAGCTCTCCTTTTGACTGAAAAATACTGCCATGGTTCTAAGCACCCCACGCAGACAAAAAATATTCAGTAGAAGAAGTGGGACTGTTCCCCTGTGCATATTTATTTAAGAGCAAGAAAACTTTATGCCAAAGATCTCTTCTCTTGTCATATTGTTGAGAAATGTGTCACATACTGATCCCTCACCAATCTTGGGCAAAGGGCATGAGATACCATGGTTTTCTTAAACTAATTAGAATTCACCCATGAGGTATATGTGAGATTCATGGACACTTGAACAGTTATGGTCCTGCCAGCAAAAGAGGTGGCATAGAACTGTTGGGAAGGAAGTTACAAATGGGCACCCATTTTACAGATGAGATATGTAGTTGAGGCCCTGACCATATCTTGTCCTAAGTCCCATTGCCTTCAGAGCAAAGATATTAACCTTAGTGGTTTGGCTACATTCCAAGCTCTGTAATTATCTTCAGTGTCTCTATAGTTTTTACAGTTTAATGTAAAGAAATTACTCCTTTTTCTTGATGAAATGTGTAGGAATAGAATGTCTTTCTGCCCTAGAAGTGACTCTCAGGGCTGACACAAGGGTAAGGTGAGTAAAGTGCTTTGGGTGTAAACTTTAAAGAAGCACCCACTTAAATTTTAGGAAGGGCCTTAAATTCTGCATCCAATACACCTCACTTGCTTCTCTGTTGTCCAGGCCCTTGTGGCTGTGTTTTAATGTGAGCCTTAACTTGTAATATAGTTTTCAAATATTTTGGATTAGTCTCGAGATCATTGTCCTTCATCCTGCAATAGAACTTTTTTTTCCCCCATGAGAGAGCTTTAAGCTAATTCCCAGTACTTGGAAGGACAATTCTGGCCATTGGGTATATAACAAAACATGGCAACAGTTTTTTGAGCCAGTAAAACTTGGTTTTAAATGGTTTAAATCATTTTTAAAATGATTTAAAAATACTTTTCTCTTGAAGGCCTGACATGATCAGCACTGGGCGTGACCCAAAGATGGAATGAAGAACATGAATGGATGACTGTTTCCTTAGCAACAAGAACCATATGTTTCCTTTGAAACAAGAAACCAAAAGAAAAGTTCCCATCCATTTTTCTTTCCACCAATTCAAAGACTAAATAGTAGTGGCTTAAAATTATAATGTTTATTCAATCGATAACTTACTGAAGACATATCATATGCAAAGCAATAATTATAGTTTAAACATTTAGATAAGCCTTCTTTTACCTATTATTCGTTCAGCTACATTACTAGATGCATAGGAAACTCTGTAATGCAGGTATTTACTAAAAACAGTAAAAGAGTGAATCTCAGCTTTAGCTGCATATAAGAATTGCCTAAGCAGCTTTTAAAAAACAAAGATGCTTGGCTCCAATAGAATATGATTCAGTTGCTCTCACCCAGCATCCGTATTTTTTTAAAGTGCCCCCCAGGTGATTGTAATGTGCAGCTAGGATTGAGAATCACAGCGCTGAGAAAATTTATGGCATTGATAAATCAGCTAAACAATTTGAATTACATCAGTTGGAGATTAGAGTTTATAGAAAATTTCAGAGGGTGGAGTTCAAATTTTTCCCTGATTTACTGTTTTTCAGGACAAGGTTTCAACAAACGTATAAATCAGAGTCCCCCAATTAGTCAATCTCTAAGTCTACCTTGGGTTTAAGGTAGGGAAAGAACTGATGAGATGACTGCAGCTGATGCCAAACCCACCCCAAAACCTGCCTCCTCACAGGCTTCCAGAAGCACACCTAGGAGAAGAACAAATCCAGAGCCTTTTCCTTTAGCTATGTCCTGTCTGGAAATGCAGCCCCAAGGGCTTCAGAGAAGAGTTGGCCTGGGTCACAGAGGCTGCCTGACCTGCTCAAGGTCATGCTCCAGGAAGTGTGAGAATTTGTGGAAATCTTGGCCTTCTAGTCCTAATCCAGAGTTTGGGCCACGCCTTGGATGGAAACAGACAAGACTCTAATTCTCAACCTGTTTTTATTTTTTAAAAAATACTGGTCAGGTAATAAAAGACAAAAAATATTGTCTCTTACAGTTCAGATGCCCAAATGTTAAGAAGCTGATCCTTTTTAGGAGAACTTTCTACAATTATTCATTCATCTATTGTCCCTTTCAACAGAATTTCATGGAATGCCTACTACGTGCAGGGGCTATGATAAGTGATGAGGTTACAAATGTGTGCAGTGCACAGTTTCTACTTGTAAACACTACAAAATCTAGGTGAGGAAGCAGACAGGCACACAGTGTAATACATGTGTGATGAAGGTAAGTCAGGGGGCTATGAAAATTCCAAAACTACCACATCAACCAGAATTGGAAAATGGAATTAGAAAATAACAATGCAGCTAAAGCTAAAAAAATTAAGTAGTAGGAGAGATAATGTATTAATTTAACCTACTATTAGCAGGTAAGCTGATCAAAAATAAATTGCTAAAAATAATGGAAGAGTGTTACAGGAGAATGGAGAGCATTTTGTATTCAATTAGTTCAGCCAATATTTATTAAGCATATAGTATTGAGAACCATATGGCAAAGGGATAAAAGAGTTGATATGGGGGACTTTGTCACCCCTACCACCTTTTTTAATGGAGCTTGCATTTAATGGGAAAGGCAGATGTTAATAATAATAAAAATGGCATGATATAAAAATAGTGTTGATAAAAATAACCTTTAGGTGCTCTAAAACCTTCCTACCAAATTCTGGTTCATGGAGTAGCAACATTGGTCTCACCTAGGAACTTGTCAGAAATGCAAGTCCCATCCCAGAGCTATTAAATTACAATCTGCATTTTAATAAGATTGCCAAAAGAACTGTGTGCAGGCTCAAGTTTGAGAGGCAATTATTTATTATATGCTAAATGCTTTACATGTATTAACTTCTTAAAACTGCACAACAACCTTACAAAAGAGGTACTAATTTGCACCCACATCTGATACCTGAAGATCTTGAAGCTTAACTAAGCAATGTGCCCAAGGTAACAGAGGTAGTAAATTGGTAGAGCTCTCTGATTCACAGTAAGTTGACTCTCAATCTCATGTTCTGTTTATTTGCAAATAAAATGATCCTTAAAAGGTCAAGAAAAACCAACAGCATCTTGGAAGCTGGACTGCATTCATTTTGTAACTATCAAAGATCAGAGGTGAGTTATCTTTTTATTCAAAAACCAAGCAAGTCATCTGTATGATCTCACTAGGAACTACACTAGACATAAAAGGATATGGAGATGTGTCAAAGTCCCAGTGAACCTTGGTCCAGCTACTTCTGCACCGGAGCTCCACCAGGGTTTTGAGAAGGTGAGACTCGGCTAAATCATGCCCAATTATCAAAACCCTACGCCAAATTTCACTGGCTACAGGAATCCTTGGGCATTGCTGGGCCTGTCCAGCTTAATACCTCAAGTACAGTTTATCTTCTTTCCATAATTTGTTGAGTTAGTCCCAGATGATATGCAGCATGTGAAATGACCATTCAAAATTCTATCAGCTGTCAGGATAGAGGCGGAGAAAAGGAGAATCTACCATGTGGCAAAGAAAAAAACAATTGCAAACAATTCCCCAGGTAGTTTCAGTCAGCTAGGGCATAAATGCTTCTAGATAAAATCAAAACAAAATAGTTTGCAAAAGTGTCTTCTCCGTCAATGGTAGAACCTTAAAATTTAGTTTTCCTAAGGTCTTTTCAAGTTCAAGAGGTGACGTGGAGAAAAAATATGTCACATTCGTTTGCTTTTGAAAAGACAAGGCAGCCCTCACCTAGTGTGGCTGCTTTGTTTTCAAGCTTGTTCCTAAGAGTAACTTAAAAGAAAGATGACTGTAATAAAGGAAGAGATGTGATAAAATTCTCTAATGAAATAACATGTTTTACTCCTCTCAGGCTTAGAGGAAGTTAGGTTGGATAACCTGAACACTTGCTTTTGAGACTGAACCATCTACAAATGAACCACAAAAAAGGGCTTTTTTCTTTATAATCACAATCCCCTACAGTTAACATCTCTCTCTTCCATCTGGGTTTGCTGGTAGCATCGATAAGGATGTAGCTCGATATTTCCTTTAATAGAGAGATTCAAAAAGGTTTGATTTGTAGGGTATCCTAGTGATGTCAGATCCCATTAAATTGTTTCACTTCTTCAGGGTTAAAAGGGACCTTTTCCATTTATTTTATTTTATTTTATTTTATTATTATTATACTTTAAGTTTTAGGGTACATGTGCACAACGTGCAGGTTTGTTACATATGTATACATGTGCCATGTTGGTGTGCTGCACCCATTAACTCGTCATTTAGCATTAGGTATATCTCCTAATGCTATCCCTCCCCCCTCCCCCCACCCCACAACAGTCCCCGGTGTGTGATGTTCCCCTTCCTGTGTCCATGTGTTCTCATTGTTCAATTCCCACCTATGAGTGAGAACATGCGGTGTTTGATTTTTTGTCCTTGCGATAGTTTGCTGAGAATGATGGTTTCCAGTTTCATCCATGTCCCTACAAAGGACATGAACTCATCATTTTTTATGGCTGCACAGTATTCCATGGTGTATATGTGCCACATTTTCTTAATCCAGTCTATCCTTGTTGGACATTTAGGTTGGTTCCAAGTCTTTGCTATTGTGAATAATGCCACTATAAACATATGTGTGCATGTGTCCTTATAGCAGCACGATTTATAATCCTTTGGGTATATACCCAGCAATGGTATGGCTGGGTCAAATGATATTTCTAGTTCTAGATCCCTGAGGAATCGCCACACAAGAAAAAAACAAACAACCCTATCAAAAAGTAGGCGAAGGATATGAACAGACACTTCTCAAAAGAAGACATTTATGCAGCCAAAAAACACATGAAAAAATGCTCATCATCACTGGCCATCAGAGAAACGCAAATCAAAACCACAATGAGATACCATCTCACACCAGTTAGAATGGCGATCATTAAAAAGTTAGGAAACAACAGGTTCTGGAGAGGATGTGGAGAAATAGGAACACTTTTCCATCTTTAAATATGGCTGCAGTGAGGGTATTTTACAGGTGGTTGATAAAGCAATTACTTGGAATTGTTTCTGTGCTTTTAATGATGTAACTAACACGGCATGACATTGGGGATTATTAAATACTCAGAAAAGTGGCCTTTTGAGAAAATTATGAAAAACTGTGGAGCTTTAGATTTGTACTTCTCTTTTGTATGGTCAAACAGAATGGCAGCCTCAGAAAGGATACACACATGATGTATGGCAAGTTGAGCAAACTTGTCCCAACTTAAATAGATTGTAGTGGCCGTGGTGAGTTGTACTGATGATCTCAAACAATTTCAGAACTCTGAGGATAAAAGCTCAGCGATCAATTAGTGATCTCTGCCATAGGCAATTGGTGTTAGGAGTGGAGCAGGGGTGGTTACCCTCATTCCAGATGATTCATCATATCTCACCTAGGTTCTTGCTTCTCATAGGACCATGGAAGACTAGAAATACTTTCCCTTTTCCAAAAGGCTTTTGCAATATTATCTGCATTATGCTCTTCCAACTTGATATGGTTTGACTTTGTGTCCCCACGTAAATCTCATCTTGAATTGTCATCCCCAGATGTTGAGGGAGGGACCTGGTAGGAGCTGATTGGATCGTGGGGCAATTTCTCCCATGCTTTTCTCATGATAGTGAGTGAGTTCTCATGAGATCTGGTGGTTTTATAAATGATTAGAAGTTCTTCTTTCATTCTTCTGTCTCCTGTCATTTTGTGAAGAAGGCGTCTGCTTCCCCTTCTGCCACGATTGTAAGTTTCCTGAGGCCAGCCCAGCCATGCAGAACCGTGAGTCAATCAAGTCTCTTTCCTTTATAAATTACCCAGTATTAGGGAAGTTCTTTATAGCAGCGTGAAAATGGACTAATACACCACTCTTACATAAATGAGTCAGGAAGCCATCAGTAGATTAGTAAGAAAACAGTTGATGCAAACTGAGTAGTAAAGGAAGATTTAATTATCTTAGTGGGCTTATGCCTAAAAGAGTTTGTGAAGCCTTTCATGTACCTAGCATTATACATAAACTCTAAATTTCTATCATTTTTCATGGAAAAGAAAAATTGATAAGTCATTTGGATGATACAATTGGAATGAAATACATCTCCTTCTTCACCTACAGCATTGCAGCCAATTTAGGTAGAGACTGAGTGACCAGAGATAAGAACTCTCAACCAATATGGGACCAGCACCTCGGTGGCAGTGGGAAGGGATCTTAGCTGCACCCCAAAAGTAAAGTCCATATAACCTGAAACAGAGCAATCAATATAAGTAGTGAATACCAGAGGACTGACACAGGTGACAGAATTAGGGTGGGCTGGGGAGGGTATTGGCTAATGGGTCAGAATTCAGGAGAAGGGACAGGAGCTCTTCAAAACGTTGATTTCTACTTTAGGTCTCTACTGTTAGTTTCCTTAGCATTTGTGGTCAACAGTTAAGGTAATGCTAAATATTTTAGTTTTGGGTTACAGTTGCATCCCAATTCCAGGCACACATGTCTATAAAAGTGAAAGTAGTACTAACTGATGCAACCAATAAACCAAATCTCAGTGAATTAACTCGAGATTTTTTCTCATTCACTTAAAATTCAATTGGCAATGAAAGAAGTTACTAATCTCTTCTTGCTCACATTTCATTGTTCTGAATTCAGACGCATGGCCACATCACATCACAAGGGAGGCTGGGAAGTGTAGTCTAGCTGTCTGCCTAGAAGGAAAGGAATCAGGTTGAACATCTAGCCAGTCTGTGCACAGAAGTGTAGACAGTTTGCTTTAACCAGCTAGCCAAGAAAATTAATCCTTATCTGTATATTGTATAAATATATAGTGTCTTATACAAGTAGTTGTGTCATTTTGTTGTATTGTCTGTTGGTTCAGTTAATTTTCTTGCTGCACTTTCAGCTCATTGACTTGTGAAAAACATGGCCATTCTTTGTATTTTGCTTTGTAAAGCATATAGTATGGCTTCACAACAAAAGAGAAGATAAATAATGTATTCTTTATGAGGAAGGTAGCAGGATACATTCCATGAGTAGCACATGTACAATTCTGCAAATGTCTCACTATGCCATTTTTCACTTGCAGCGCTTTCAAACTTGAAGGCTTTTGCTTTTTACTGTCTCAATTTTTTGCCAAGAAATTAACAGGTGATACCCAAGTATCCAAAAATAATCTCAAAACAGTATGCCAGAGGAATGTCAATATAGTTAGAAGCAATATAAATGTCGGCAAAAGTTGAATAGAATTGAAATGCTTTCTCCACCTCATTCTCCTTTTCCTCCCATTTCTTTCTTTTTCCCCTTTTGTCTTCCTCCTCTTCCACCTCCATCATCATATACCAGAAATAAATTCTTGAGGAAAGCCCTGTTTGTTGCCAGGTGGCATAACTTTGGAATATCCTGAGAATAAAATGCAGAAAAGCTGACACTGTGACCAAGACTCTTCTTATTTTGATTGACATGGACGTGACTTGGAATGGATCCAACATATAGCAAGCCAAATAGTTTCATAATTTTTCGTTTGAATCAGCTCAGTTCCTCTAGCATATTAGATCTGTGCCATGTCTTAATGGAAGCAAATAGGTAGCTTAAGGCATCCAAGACTAGATTTGTCGTGATCCACAGAATTGGGAAAAGTAAGGTATACTTAAATTGTATAGTATGTAAAGAACTGGTTGATTGCCCTTCTTTCTATCAGTTGTAACACAAATCCTTTTTTTTTTAAATTTTTTGAGACAGGGTCTTGTTCTGTCATCCAAGCTAGAGTGCAGTGGCATGATCATAGTTCATGGCAGTCTCAAGGTCTTAGGCTCAAGCAATCCTCCCACCTCAGCCTCCTGAGTAGCTGGGATGACAGGCAGGCACCACCACGCTCAGCTAATTTTTTAATTTTTATTTCTGTAGAGACTGTGTCTCCCCGTGTTGGTCTTGAACTCCTGGACTCAATCTCTCCTTCTGCCTCAGCCTCCCAAAGTGCTAGGATTACAGGCGTGAACCACCACGCCTGGCTGGACAAATGAGTTTTAGATTAATATTGTACTGTAAATATGAATGAACTCATAAAAATGTGTAAATGTAACACAATCACTTTGAAAAGTTATTATTTTACTTTAGAATGTTCATAATGCTTTTCATCAACTGATTTGTTATTCTTTGGGATATTTATTCATTGAAAAATAAAAACTAAATATTTTTTAAAGTTGATGTCTTGGTTATAGTCAGCCCCTAGAGTTGCTTTAAAAATGACCCTGCACTTTCCAATTCCTGACCAAAATCTAAGTGAGTGTACACTAGAGATTTACAAGATATATCAGAGGCTTACTTTATTTAAAAATGATTTTTAATGGTTTGATTCTGGAAAGTAAAACTTAAAACATCTTGTCAAGTACTTCTATGATGGTTATTAAAAATACATTTGTATTTCAGGGTATATTTAAACCATATGTTCTTATTTGCTTCCATTTAGCACATTAAACTACTAGTTTGCAAGAGACAGTCAATATCCAAGAAACCACAAAAGCACCCTCTTAAAAATAGTTTCACATATTTCTTCTTTTAGCACAAAGTGACACTTCCCCCCGCCCACCCCCTCCCCACCTGCCAGCATTGAGCACACCTGGAAGGCTTTATATTTAACCGAAACTTAGACTTCATAAAATTAGAGTCACTTCTAGACTCGGCAAGTTTTTATTTATTTGAATGAGGATCAGTTAGAAGTTAGAACACTGTCTTAAATTTCTTTTAGCCATTTTTTCTTCTGGGTTTTTCCAGTGATTTAAACAATTAGAAGATTGGATATCAAGCGGTACTTATCTAAGTATTTTAAAATTGTGCCAAAATAAAAGCTAATCATTTTGTAATCAGTATGCATAGAAGAGAAGCAGCAGCAGTAAAGCAGTTGCTGCATGTTTGCTGACAAAATATTTAATCCAAACATTTAATTTCAATCTGCCACTGTTCTCAGTCAGTATAATTACTTTAAGCAAATACCACGTTGGAAAAAAATGGTCCCAGACACTGAAATGTAAATAATACAATATAATCATCACCACACTCAAATTCATATACTGTAATTTCTTTGTGTCACTTTCATAAACATGGATGTAATAATGTTGAAATTATTGTAAACATGCAGATCTAAGCCATACTTATAGAAGTTGGTTTCCTCTTGTTGGCTATACACACCTGACATAAAGAATTGCTGAACAAGAAAATTACATGGCTCTTCTTATAATATTAATTGGGAATGAGCAAAATTAATTTTGTACATTTTTGTCATGTAAAAGTTAGACAAAGTATACAATCTAGAAAAACTGGCAAAATCATTTATCCAATGAGTGTTTGTAGAATATGTCAAATATGAGATGTTAAGTATGATAAATATACGTAAAACAAAAATTTCTAGAGGCTGGGCATGGTGGCTCACACCTGTAATCCCAGCACTTTGGTACGCTGAGGCAGGTGGATCACGAGGTCAGGAGATTGAGACCATCCTGGCTAACATGGTGAAACCCCATCTCTACTGAAAATAGAAAAAAATTAACCGGGTATGGTGGCATGCGCCTATAGTCCCAGCTTCTCGGGAGGCTGAGGCAGGGCAATTGCTTGAACCCAGAAGATGGAGGTTGCAGTGAGCTGAGATTGCACCACTGCACTCCAGCCTGGGCCACAGAGCGAGACCCCGTTCTCAAAAAAAAAAAAAAAAAAATCTAGAAACATTATAGAAACAGCAGATAGAGTCTCTCTCTTAAAAGAGGTCACTATCAAGAAAAGCATTAATTGATTTTTAAACACAAGAATCAATATTACAGTATAAACATAAATAAACTCTGCTAGAACGAGACTTTATTTTATTTATCTTTGTAGCCTCAGCATCTACAAAACGCTTGATTCAGATAAGGTGAAATTACGGGATTTGCCCATCAAGCACCCAATCTGCTCTCTCAGCCATTCTTGCTGAATCTGCCTTACTCACGCTATTCCCCCTCAGGCAAACAGTATTTAATATTCTTTGTGAAGAGGAGGTCAACTACAGGACTAAGGTGGCAAACCTGACACAGGCTATTCCACAAGCCATAGGGTGATCTGATAAATAGGGATTTCTGCATAGAGCTCTGAATCAATCAGATAAGGTACCTCTAAACTTAACTAAAATAATGATCAACAAATATTTGTTTAATTGATGTCATATACTTTAAAAGACCTCCTTAAAAATCTAAAACTGTTAAAAGATTCTTATTTGGGTATCCAGGATTTATTTCAAAATAATATGGGAGCAGGGAAACAAGCATTTTAGATGAAAAAAATTGGGCATATATTGTTAATTCTTAAAGCTAGGGATGGGTTTATAAGAATTCATTACACTATTCTCTCTACTTTGTACATTTTAATTAATTTTCCATCTTAAAAACTCAATTCTTATGCCTAACATTAGCCCCAGGCACCAGAAATATAGGGGGCCCTTCTCCATAATCCAGTGAGTATCTGTTGGGATAAGATTCCAATATCTTCTAGTTGTACCTCTTCTTTTGTATTTCCTCCGTTTGTGGAGTTAAGAGACCTGAATCAATGCCTCCAGCTGCCTATTACAGAACCTCTAACTAAATGTAGTATGTACAATAAGGACCTTTGTTTCTCTCAAAATAAGATTTGTGGAGATAGATATTTCTGAGGGCAAACATCATCAAAGGCAACTTGAAATCTTTGTGCTTTACCATCCTTAGTGTTATTTAGTAAAAATTTAGACCTCATCAGTTAGACTTCTATATCAACCTCTCAAGATGACTGTCAAAACTCCTGCCAGATCAAAGAAGAAAGATATTTTTTTCTGTTTTCCTTTTTTTCTAAATTCTGTCCCATAAGACACAGAAGAAATTCCTTAATATCACATTGCACAGTCACTAGACATAAGGGAGACTAAAAAATTAGTATTTGCCATTTCAACAATCAAAGAGGGGTCCTGCAGCAGGTAACATGATGGGAACCATTTGTACTAGATCTCGGTAAATGGCACTAACGTGGCATCTGTATCAGTTACCATTGCCACAATAATGCTGGGTAACAAACAGCAACAAAAACCTCAGTTGTATACAATAGATCTGTTAAACCACAGTTCTGCAGAGTTCACTTCATTCAAGATAGACTAGACGGAGGCCATTTGGCCTCATTCATTCATGAATCTGCAGTTAGCTGCCGGTGGACAGGTTAGCTTGGCTGATCTTGGCTGGGCTGCTCACATGGTTGGTTTGCCCCAAAACGATGACTTATTCCTCAGGTCTCTTCTCAAGCGTCCCTTTCCAAAAAAGTCTTGCTTGACCTTTATGAGAGCCAATCACTGTAATGTATACTTATCACAAAGTAAACAGTCCCCTTTAGAATGGTCTTAAAGTTTTATATCAGTTTGTGTATCCTCTTAAATAAATTTAATATTTTGAAATCATTTTAGAAATACAGAGGAGTTGTAACGCTAGTACAGAGAGTTCCCATGTACCCTTCGCCCAGCTTCCTTCAATGTTAACATTTTTACATGGCCATGGTACAGTTATGAAAACTGAGAAATTAACGTTGGCATACTACTACTAACTAAAATACAGACTTGATTTCATCAGCTTTTCTGGAGTTAACTAGTTTTTCCATTCATGTACTTTCTCTGTTTCAAGACCTAATCTAGGATACTATGATGCTTTTCCTTGTTCTGGCTCTTTAATCTCCTCTAATTTGCAACATTTTCTTAATCTTTCCTTGTACTTCATGACATTGTCAATTTTTAAGACTCTGGCCAGATATTGTATAGAATGTTCTTCAATTTGGATTAGTTTGGTGTTTTCTCATGAATGGACAAGGATTATGGATTTTTGGAAAGAATATCACAGATATGCCATGTAATTTTATTGCATCGTATCAGGGATACATGCTATTGATATAACTCATTACTGGTGATGTTAGCTTTGATCACTTGGATACAGTGAACTGCAAGGTTTTTTCTTGGTAAAGCTATCACTTTTCTCTTTCCATACTCCATTAGTTAGACTTGATTCACTAAGTCCAGCCACATTCAAGTGAAGAGGAAGTAAAATTCATCCCTTGGAGGATAAGTATCTACAGATATGTACACATATGTTAAAACCACCACAGTAAATAAACATTTGGGGGAGATGCTTTGTTGCTATGCGAAGTTTCTCCTTGAAGTTTTTACCACTAATTTCAGCATTTATCCATGGATCTTGCCTGCAGCAGTTACTACTTTGAGGTTCTCATGGTGATTTTTATTTACTTCCTTCATTTCTTCTATACTTATTATTTGGTATTCTTCCTTCTGGTATGAAGACTTGTTTCCTCTACTCCATTTATTTATTGAGTCACTCAATTATATCAACATGGGTCCACGAATATTTATTTTATTAACTCAGCGACAATCCAATTCTATTGGCATTTATATTATTGCTTAAATTATTTCAGCTTTGGCCAATGGAAGCACTTCCAGGAAGGCTCCTGTGTTACTGCCACGTGCCCCCAGCCACCATAATTTTTTAAAGTGTTTGCTGTATAACTTTATATTGTGATTTTTGATTTAGTTGTTTGAATAAGATAGATATAAAATTGCATGATACAAAGTAAAGATATAAATATAAAAATACATGAAAAATCTGATAATTTTATTTCCTCCTTTCAAATTTTTATTTATTTACTTATTTTATTTTTTATTTTTTTAAATTTTTTTTTTTGAGATGGAGTCTCACTCTGTTGCCCAGGCTGGAGTGCAGTGGCATGATCTCGGCTCACTGCAAGCTCTGCCTCCTGGGTTCACGCCATTCTCCTGCTTCAGCCTCCCAAGTATTTGGGACTACAGGTGCCCGCCACCACGCCTGGCTAATTTTTTGTATTTTCAGGAGAGACGGGGTTTCACCGTGTTAGCCAGGATGATCTTGATCTCCTGACCTCGTGATCCACCTGCCTCAGCCTCCCAAAGTGCTGGGATTACAGGTGTGAGCCACCGTGCCCGGCCCAAATTTTTATATCCCTATTTTTTTCTCTTGCTTAATTGTATTGGCTAGTATCTGTGGCACAGTTTTAAATAATAGAGGGAATAATGGCCATTTTTCTTTTCTTTATGAACTTAGTCAAAGTGGTTTTGTTCTTTCTCCATAGTCACACAATGCTATGGTTCAACTGAGATAGACACATTACTCATGTTATACTCACATTTATATATTCCCATTTGATTGATTGCTTTGTGATGAATAGTCATTGAATTTCTTAAAAATTCGTTTTCAGCATTTTGCTGTTATATCTATCCTTATGTTCATGTTATGCTTCTTATCTCTGTTATCATATTTCATCAAATTATATGAAGTTTTAATGCTGACACTTTTTTCATGTTAGTATAATATGTCAAAGGAAAACTTTCATATAACTTAATTACAACTACAAACAGCAGGTGGTAGAAAGTGTTAATAAAGCCATCGATTAAAAAACAAGATAATTCTTCAATGTTAGAATATGAAAAATGAATCTTAAAACTGATAAAATAGATTGTATGATACTTTTTTTGCATTCCTTCAAACAACTTATTTTAATATTGATGTACTGTTTTTATTGGGTTGCCAAATCTGCTTGCTGTTATTTTATTTAGGGTTCATTTTGTTTGTTTTGGTTTTGATTTTTTATTTTTGTATGTGTAATGGTAAGTGAATTTGGTATATAGATATCTTTTTGTCAGACTTTAATACCAATGCCCTATTCATCCAATTGAAAACAAGTTGTTCATCTTTTTTTGTGTGCTTTGAAACAATTAGATGTCAAATAATCTGCATTTCAAACTTCTAGTAAAATTTCCCTGTGAATCTGTTTAGGCAGTTGTTTATAGAAAGTCTTTGGCAACTTTTACTAGTCTCTTTAGTTTTGTTTTTGTTTTTGTTTTTGTTTTTGTTTTTTTCAGATGGAGTCTCACTCTGTCGCCCAGGCTGGAGTGCAGTGGTGTGATCTTGGCTCACTGCAACCTCCACCACCCGGGTACAAGCTATTCTCCTTCTTCAGCCTCCCCAGTGGCTGGGACTACAGGTGCCCACCACCACGCCCAGCTAATTTTTGTATTTTTAGTAGAGATGGGGTTTCACCATATTGGCCAGGCTGGTCTCAAACTCCTGACCTTGTGATCTGCCCGCCTTAGCCTCCCAAAGTGCTGGGACTACAGGCGTGAGTCACCATGCCTGGCCCAAGTATCTCTTTAGGTCTTGTATGTAATTGGAGGTTAATTTTAGTAGATTATATATTTTATCCATACAATTACTTATATTATCCAGATTTTAAATTATTTTATAGAGTTAAGAGTTGAGCAAGGCAGTTTTTTATTTCTGTGGTTATTTCTCACTCTTCATTTCTTATTTTATATTTTATACTATTTCCTTTTTGATGAGGTTTGTTAGTGCTCTATGTTTTATAAAATAAGAAAGATCTTACGATTCTAAATCAAGAATATCTGCTTTTATTTTTAATAGTTCTGTATTTTTTCTAATCTTTAGATTTTAACATCTTTTTTAAAGTTTCAAAAAATTGATGTGAGTTTTAAGACAACAAATTTTCCTATGTGCTCTACTGTAGCTGTATTATGTAAATTCAGCTATGTACTCTTTCCAACACTCTTTAGTGTTGTAAAGTATCATCTTGAGTCATTTATTTTATTTATTTTTGCCGAATTAAATGACATCAGAAATTAGGATTATGATCCCTGCATCTTTTGTTGAATTTCCCAGATACAGCTTGGTCCATCAGTTTATTTTCAACTTTTCTAAATCTCTTTGTTTTAGGAATGTCTTTGTGCACAATTAGATTTACTTTGGGAGCCAAAGTGAAAAATCTGCTAATGAATGAGCGCATCAGCTATGGAGGCGTGCTAATCAGACATGTTATGAAGAGAGAACCTGTAGGAGGAGTGTGGTTGGTTAACTCCCTCTGGCTGTCACACCTTTGGGATCCACTGCAGGATATACACCTATACCATGCTTTTTCCCTGCTGCTTCCCAGGCAATGGCTGACACAGCCAGGAGAATTCTGCTCAATGAGAGACTACTCCAATGTCCTGTCTTCAGTGAGATTCTCCATTAACCAACATGAAACTTTCTCAAGGCTGTAATGCAGTCTAAGGTGTTTCCTGCCCAATGTTTCTCTTCCTTCCATTCATAGGTGTCTGATCTGCATTATGGCTTGGAAGCTGTCCTTGTTTATTTCTGCTGCCCTTTCCCTTTAGGCACAAGCATTTTCCCTAGTAAATCTCTTGAACTTCTGGTCCCATGATGACATCTGCTTCCTTAAGGACCTTAGCTGGTAGCGAGTTTTCCTTTACATTTATCAATATGGCAGATATTTTGTTCTTAGATCTTTCCAGGGTTCTACCAGTTTATGTTTTATCTCTCCTTTTTGTAGCAACATCTCTTTCCTGAATTCTTATATTTCTGTTTGTGGTTTTCTTTTATAAATTCATTTACTTTAAATACATAGTGGAATAATCACAATTTTCATCTGCTTCATTCCCCTTTAACTGCTAATAAGTTTTGCTTTATTTTTCATTTCTCTTCTTATGCTGCTGTTTTTTTTCCATTGCTGCTGTGTTCTTCTTTCATTGTTCATCTCAAGTTTTTTTTTTCTAGGATAAGCTACGGGCAAAAGTTTGTTTCTCTCTCTCTCTCTATCTCTCTCTGTGTGTGTGTGTGTCTGTGTGTGCACGTGTGTGCATGTGTGTGTATTACTTGACATAATAGGCTTCAAAACCCAATTTAACCCAATTTAATTGGGGTTACAGGCTTGGAAACCCAAAGGTATTTACCTGCTCTGCTGGCACACAGAGAGAATGGCTCCTTTAAATATGACTCTGCTATATTATTCTTCCTGAGGACCTGGTACTACTTAAAAAAAGAAAAATCAAACTGGATCTAGAATAACTCCTTCTGATAACCCTGCACTCTCAATTCCTGCAACAGTATTACAATTGATGAATATTTTGCACTTCAGAGTACATCTCTCCCATAAGAAAGTATACTTTTAGTTTATGATTTTGCTTTCTGATTTTTATTGCAACCTGAGTCTCTAAGCTTCTTCTCTTCCTCTTTCCCCTCTGACTAATCTTGGCTAGTTTTAAAGTCTTTCCACATGCTTGGAATCTACAGACTGCTGTCTTATTATTACTCTTAAGATGGAGTTTCTAAGCGATTTTGTGTTCTCCTTGTTTCTGTTTGTATGAATTCCAGAATAATTTAAAAAATGCTGACTGAGGAAGCCATGCTCACACTGGGAGTCCTTACCTGAGTGTCAGTCTCTTCCACTCCCAGGGATTCTCAAACACACCATTATTGACATTTTGGGCCACATGATTCTTTGCTGTGGGAGCTCTCCTGTGCATTGTAGGATGATAGCAGCATCCCTGGTCCTCTACTAACTAGAAGCATGTTGTGATATTCAAAAATATTTTCATTTATTATTAAATGTCCCTCAGGGGCAAAATTGCTTGCAGTAAAGAACCATCCCACTCAACTAAAATCTCAGTGAGAATTGTGACAACATCTACTTTGTTAAACTTTCCATTTCCATTATCTAAAATGGTCTAGCCCACAGCAACAATTCAACGTCAATATTTTGATGGTGTGGATGATGAACCCAAGAGAGTATCATTCAGATTATTTGCCCTCCATTCATTCCTCATATATTAAGGAATAATACCTTGTGATGCATTGCATTTTGGCCAACTGCATGTCTTTCTCTAGTGAAAATGTACATGGAATCATTGTATTCTAGATATGAAGAGTCCTTAGAGATTGTCTGCTACAAAGCTCTTATTTAATTGATGAAGAAATTAAGATTAAGAGAGTCTGTGATTTATTCTCCCCCATATAGAGCTTTACAGTAGAGCTAGGCTGGAACCCTGAAAATGAACTCTCCACACACCAGAACTCTTTAACAATACCATGATGTATTATTTAGTCCAAAATTGTACATATTTAGTAAATACATACTTCATAGAATGAAACCTTTGAAAAATAAAACAAAATGAAACACTACTAATCTCTCATTTCATGATTCAGAGAATGTGAAGATAATACCACACAAGAAATGTTTTTACTTAGTTTTTAAAAATACTCAAAGTACTAGCTTTTTAAAACAGACTAAATTATAAAGGAGCATTTTCTTCTATAGTAAAAACACAGTAAAAGCCTTTCTCAGGATCTTGATTATTTTCTCAGGATCTTATTATTTTGAGAAAGCCTGAGCTCTCTTTTCATAAACTATTCAATTTAATAGTACTAAGGGTAATAAAAAGTTGTCTTGGAAATATACTAATATATTTAAGATAACAATGAATTATCTCATTACAAAATGCATTAAATTGAGAAGCTCTGTTTAAAAGTAGTTCAAAAACACCAAGCACTAAAACAGCCTATGGTACTCGCAGAAGCATTGCACTCTGTTACTGATGTGGAATGGGACAGTGTTAGGCAGGCTGACTAACACAGTCATGACCACATAATATGTAGATGCTATAACATAGGTCATGTAATGTATGTCATTCGCACTTTTCTGCACTGCAAAGTTAAGGTGTGAAAATAAAGATGGACTCTTCTCAGCAAAATATTGACTTATTTTATAATTACTGAGTCATAAAAATGCTTTTTTGACATTTTTGTGGGAGCTAATATTTAAACGTAAACCACTGGATGTAACTATTTATTTCTCATTGATTCACTTGATTGAAATAGGTAGTTTGAGAAACTCACAAAATTAGTATTTTACTTAAAGTGCTATATATGGACATGTAACAATTTCTAATTGACAGATATTAAGACTTGCTTATAAATGGTGCCAGTAAAACATCACATGTGTAAGAAGGGAAACTGCAATATTCTTTTGAACATAACCATGATAGCGTTATTGAAGGGTTTATAGGAAGATGAAAACCCCCAGATGTCTTATCAAGCAATAACAACTTCAAGGTCAAGGGGAAATGTTGATTATATTAAGGATGAAATGAGAAGACAACATGTGTACTGCAGAAATATACAAAAAAACTATGAAATATAGAAAATGAAAGTTATGGTTAGTATAAAGCCAACTATTGGAAAACAATGCCAAAGTTGTGAGTGCCTTGAAGGGAGAAACTGTGTTTAGATGACTCTGGATTTTGGATAATGAAGAGATAGGCTGGCATTTAACAGGCATTGGATAAATATTAATAGAAATAATGAATAGGTAATTAAGTTGTCAATAGATTTCTGATGTCATCTTTTCAAAGAGAAAATATATCCTAAAAGTAACCTAATTTTGAATTTCTTTTACACAAATAACCTACTTTCATTGTAGCAAAATTAGAAATGACAAAAAGTGAAACAAAAATTACCTATATGTTACTATCTGGATGTAACCACTGTTAATATTCAGAAGTATATTTTTCTAGACTTTTTGTTTTCACAGTTAGCTCTTACAAGTGTTTCAAAAGGAATGCATGACGCCGGGTGTGGTGGCTCATGCCTGTAATCCCAGCACTTTGGGAGGCTGAGGTGGGTGGATCACTTGAGGTCAGGAGTTCAAGATCAGGCTAGCAAACATGGTGAAACCCCGTCTTTGCTAAAAATACAAAAAAAAAAAAAAATTAACTGGATGTGGTGGTGGGTACCTGTAGACCCAGCTACTTGGGAGGCTGAGGCAGGAGAATCACTTGAACCCAGGAGGTGGAGTTTGCAGTGAAGAGAGATCACGCCACAAATTAGAGGAAAATCAATAGTTTGGAACACCTACTGTCATTCATTCATTCAGGAAAAGCTTTTAGTTGAGACCACTGGTGAAGGTTTGCCTAGAGGAGAATGCAGGAATTAAAGGAGAAATGATGTACTATGCCTCCTCCTTTGGTAGGCTTCCTCAGTTCCCACAATAATAACTATTTTCTTCTTTAAGAAGTGTGTAACATTACTTGCAACCAGTACTCAGGAACAGACAGAGAGAAAGAGAGAGAGAGAGCCTCTCTAAAATGATAAGAACCACTTGGATTTAAATTTCTGCTTAAATATAATGTCTTGTTAATAAATAAGAGTATTCACTTATTCTAAGTAAAGCAAATGGAAAACATCCCTTAAAACTTTCTGACCTTATTAGTAATTGAAATTAAACAGATTTTACCCAATTTCTTTGTTTTCTCCTTTCAGCAAGACTGTATCTAAAGAATGCCTGGGATTTGCATCTCACAGTGCCAGCTATTGTAGAGTCAAAAATATGTGAACAAGTACAACTAGAAAATATCAGGCATATGGCATGAAACACATTTTCATTCTTTCTCCAGAGGGGGGAAAATACATTTTAACAGAATGCAAAATATTGTGCTCTGCCTTACTTGCCAAATAGAGAAAAGTGTGAATTTTAGCAAGAAAACCAATGGCTAGTTTAAATTGGGGGAGGTTACAGTAATTGCTTCTACAAGCAAATAATTGGATGGGTTGGGCGTTTGGATGTTAAAATTTAAGGAGAGCTCATTAGAGGCTACTTGATTTTCCTTTTCTCTTGATAACTGAAAGATGTGTCCTGATGAATTTGACTTCTGTAGCAATCCCAACATTTGCAGACCATAAAGCAACAGAGCCAGTGCTGTGTGTATATATATATACATATATATACCCTTATACTCCCTTATTATTGGAAGATTTCTAGGCTATTTTGTGTTTGTGGTTCTATGTAGTGCCCTACATAAAAGAGATATTCATCTGTGTTTATTAGCATCTGTTTACTTCGAAATAAAATTGTAAGCAACCTCAGTGTAACTGGAGAAGACTGGTTGACATGAAGTATTAACTCAGCTTTCACAAATCATCAGGAACAACCAATTTTTCCTAGTTAACAGGAAACCTATCTTCCAACAGTAAAAAGACAAAGTGAGCCAAGCCCACTTCAAAAGCCTGCCTAGGAATGATGTTCCCTCCAGAAAAATTACTGGCCAACCATAATTCTCAGAAGTGAAGACTTGCCTCTATTACAGGTCAAACATGTGTGTCAAAAATGACTGCCTGAACAGCAATGGCTTTCTCTTATCAGATTTGTTTACATGGCAAAACAGAACTCTTCTCTCCTGAAACCCAGCACAGAAGAAAAGACTGCAACTCTAGTAGTGAGCAGGATAGGAACAAACCGACAAGGGCAGGCATAGTTCTTTATTTATTGCTCCCAGCAGGTGTCAGATGCCATAGTTTCTTCGCAACCAACAACACCCTGGGGCTTTTTAGTTCCGCATTCAAGACAAGGAAGAAGGGGGATGGCGACTAACCCCAGGTGATTAGGTACCTGAATCTTATCCCAACTACTAGCCGACTCCAGCTGCGTTTAAATGTTTTTTGAAGAATTTCTGATGCTCAGTGGTTGCTGATTACTTCTAGATTTTAGTTCTACCCCAGTGGAGATTTGCTACAAAGAGTTTATCTGTTGTTGTTAAAATTGCAGTCACTACAAGGGAATGTCTCCTCTTAAACCAGTTCCCCAAACAAGCACTGTTACAACAGTTACACAAACAAACAAAACAAAACAAAACAAAGCCTACTACTCTTTAAAAATACTTTCATCACACTGATCAGGGGATGCGTCGAACTATCTGGTAAGACTGGTGACATTTGTTAGGGATTCTCACCAAACACCCTCAGTGTGATTGAAGTTCTTGTATTAACACCTTTAAGGGGCTTGAGTACATGGTCTTGATTCAGTTATGTCTAAACTGACAGACCAGATTTAACATTTGAAGCCAGAATAATAGCCTAACTAGTAAAAGGGGCATACATTATTCAGACTCCCCACCCCTTTCCCTGAGTTTGTTTAGCATTTATTCTCTCAATAGCACACAAAACAAAACAAAAAATACTCAAAACACTGAGTAGTTTACAATATTTCATCAAATTTTCTGTTGACATATATGCAAATATGTGTGTGTATGCATGCCTATGAAAATGAAATCAAAGGCATACACACATACCTTAGAATACATGTAAGCAGGCTGGGCGCGGTGGCTCACGCCTGTAATCCCAGCACTTTGGGAGGCCGAGGTGGGCGGATCACGAGGTCAGGAGATCGAGACCATCCTGGCTAACACGGTGAAACCCCATCTCTACTAAAAATACAAAAAATTAGCCGGGCGAGGTGGCGGGCACCTGTAGTCCCAGCTACTCAAAAGGCTAAGACAGGAGAATGGCGTGAACCCGGGAGGCGGAGCCTGCAGTGAGCCGAGATCGCGCCACTGCACTTCAACCTGGGCGACAGCGAGACTCCGTCTCAAAAAAAAAAAAAAAAAAAAAAAAAGAATACATGTAAGCACACACTTGACATTTTCACTTGAAGATGAGACTTAAAAACACCCACATGCACTCAATAGATCCTTCCATCATTCAAACTTATATTGAATACCTCTTGGTTTACAAATGCTGCTTCTGTTGTAGGGGCTGCTGCTATTTTTGGAATCATGGGTTGCTAGAGATAACTGCCTCTTGGAGGCCTGCTCTGCCTGAAGGTTTTCCTCTAGAAAAATTTCTTCATCCCAAATGTCAACCAGGCCTATCAGCTGCTGCTCTGCTGTTGTTGACAGACAATTTCTGTCCTTCAAAAAATATCCCACACACATCATCTATGGATACTAAGCCTTAAATTGCCCTTTTGGTTCGCTTTCAGCCATTAAAGGACAAATATTTGACTAGGTCTGATTCCATTATGCTTACAACACAACTGTACAGTGTGAAAAAATGGAATTCACATATACACATCCAAAGTGAAGACAAAAATTGAGGTAACTGGGCTGATTATGACCATTCTTGTTTTCATCACTCTTCTATGAGAGGACCCAGCTAACTGGGGAAAACTGTGGCCTCCTTTTTTAAATGATTGCCTCAATTAATTCCATCAGTTTTCACAAACAGATAACAATGTCATCATTTAATAATAAATCTTTTCATGTCCTCACTCTTTCTTGCTGTATCCTCAAAGTATATCACAATGTTCATACCCAGGGTAAGCATGCTAGATATTTCCTCCTCTTCAAAGCAAGCCTGACCCAATTACAGAACCTGGAAGAGACAATGTTCTATAAGAGCCCACCTTTCCTGTATAATCAATTCTTATTAAGTGCTATCTATGATTTCTAATGTTATGATGCTTGAATTTTCCAAGGAAAGAATTGTACTATAGTCCATCAATCATATTACAAACTTCTGTACCAAGAAGTACAAATATAGCCTTGTCGTTGCAATTTTTCACACTTCTCTGTGTTTTATAGCTTATTGAAGTCAATTCTCACAACATGAGCCCTGCACCTATGAAAAGACAACTTGTTTTTTATTAAAAAAATCAAGAGCTGAAATGAAAATGCAGTATCCATAATTTCTGCAGGATACTTATCCCATGATTACCAGGATAATCACATTCATGATTATATTTTACTTATATTTCACACCGCATTACGTATTATCTCTAAACATTCAAAAAGGCAAGAGAATCCAATGAAAATTTAAGGACACATTTATTTAATGCCAACTGTCTTCAGATTGGGTACTTGAAGACAACAATAATGATTGGGACATGGCACAGATGTGTAGAACTCATGGACTGGTGAAGAAGGTAGGCATATATATAGCCGATGATTATATGAGGCAGATCATGAGATTGCCAAACTCAAGCTGGCACCAGACAGCTATGTGGCATAGATAGGGGGCTGGTGAACCAAATGGGGAATTACGGCTGGCTTCACAGAAGAGGAGACATGGGAATTGGGTCTCATACTATCATTGTTAGACTGATAGTTGTATGAGCCATAATCTTTGGTGGTTAGTGACAAACCCAAATCAGACTAATTTGGGTAAGAAGACACAAGCTTATTGCTTTACACATTGAGAACTTGCAGGGTGAAACTGAAGATTAACACTGAAAGAGGAGCTTAAAGACAAAATGTATTTCTCTCCACATCTCATTTTGCTTTTCATTACAGGTCAGTTTCATTCTTCCAAAACAGCCTTTCTCTGGGGTTACAACCATAGTCAAGATTTTTTTTTTTTTTAAGCTCACACAGTTACCATTTTATGACCAGAGAAGAGAGTGATTTTTCTATCCTTGCCACATTTTGAAAAAATTAAGTTAAAACTCTTCCTGGGCCAGCTTGCATCACATGCCTAACTTTCAGACCAATTATCAGGTTAGGGGAGGAAGGGTATTTAGAAAAGGCAAAAATATTTTCTACCACAAAGAATTTGAGGAAAGTGGGAATTAGATTGAGTAGTTAGAAATGCTTGTGGTATAAGGCTGGAGATCGAAAGGAAAAAAAAAACTGAAAGAAGTAGTGCAAATAACACAGCAAAGAAATTTGGGAGGGAGATTATGGGGCATATTGAGAGTGAGTTAGAGATTAAACATTTTTCTATAGAGGATAGGGACACATAAAATTTATAAGGTCATGATTAACCCTGTCATAGACTGTAGATTTTGAGGGTTACATTGACAGGGGAAGGAACAAACAGAGAGAAGATTATCAGGAAGAATATCAGACTGGAGCTCCAAAAAAATGGCTTCTAGTCCTGGTCTGCCATCTTTGACTTATCTGACTTTCGGAAAATTGCCTCTCTTCCCATCAGGTTCCACACTAACAAAAATGGAAATCAGAATCTCTCTTCTATTTCTCCCATAAGGTTACTAAAAAAGAATGAGTATGATTGTTTTTGAGTAACTAAAAAGTACTAAGTAAGTGCAGGGTGTTATTATTTATAATATCTGTGCCATTCAAAATTTCATTCTATTAAAAAAATACAAGGCCTGGTTCAAGATATGTCACTATGGATAGTCATTACTTGTCTAAATTATAAACTTATCTAGGCTATACATGAGATAAAAGAAAATAAAGTTTCATTGCAAATTAATGAAAACAAGTAAATAATGTCTGATATCAATATCTCATTCTAATTCTTCAAGAATACAAGCCATGAACAAGAAAAAATGTCAATATGATGTAATGGAAAAATCCTGGACTTTGGCGATATACTTGCATGGTATTTACTACCTGCTCTACACCACACTGGTTGTGTTTCCTTGGGAAATAACCTTTCCATGCCATGAACAAATGGGAAATAAATTTATTGCCTTGGGTAATAAATTAACCTCTCTAAGCCTCATCTGCAAAACAGCAATATCTTGCAGGGAATAAAAATTTAAAAAGTACTAATAAATTATCTGTCATTTAATAAATGTTAGACCCTCCGTATTCTGGTTCATTACATTGACCTCAACTTTCCTGTTCTAGTCTTTCACTACAAATGTTAACTAAATATAGTAAATAAAATTAGTATTATAAATAAAAGCTAGCTATTCATCAAACTGAGAACTTTCCAATGGTCTCACTATACTCCTTCAATCAAAAGTATTATTACACATCTACTATATGAAAAGCAATGTTCTCATTGATATGGGTGTGCTTGTCATTATAAAGTAATCAAATAATAGTAATTTCAGGGCATAAAGTCAATAAATATAACAAATCAAAGAAAAAAATAGGTAGTAAATCCTTTTTTTGCTTTTTTCTGGAAACAAAATCTTGCTTTAGTTGAGGAAAGTGTTGTATAATTGTGAAATTGTAGGTAAAATTTGGTGTTTGATTTAAACATGTATTTTCCTGGCAAAAGAAAAACTATTACTCTGAGTCATCAAAATATCATTTTGTTTTCAGACATACAAGAAATCTAAGAAACTATTATTAGGTGATCTTATTGAAATGATAGGAAATAGAATAGCTGAGTCTGAAGTTTGGCCTGTTCCTTCCCACCTTTTAACTTTTTGATTCTTGTTTAACATTACACAGACAATGATTATAAACTATAATATTTTCCATTGTGTAGGGCACACTTTAATGGTTGTAGAGGTGGTGCTTATTGCAAACTTTGCTGAACTTTTGAACTGTTTTAGTCATTTGGTCAAACTTTGCCAATATTACAGTTTTCTACTTTTGAAAATACTTTTATAGTCTTCATTGTAACTTGATAGTTCAATGATGTTGAACTCTGGATGCTAAATAATATTTGAGGCCTCAACATTTTTTTACCAAATAGATGAGTGGTTTTTTTTTAACTTATAATAATGGGCTGTTCAACCTCAAAATATAATCCCCTTGGAAGAGTTATATTAACTTTTTTATGGTCTACCACAACATATCTATATTTAATTCTAGGATGCAGCTATTTTTTATTGGGCATGAACAAAATAAAGAAGAAGAAAAGTATTACCCTAGATTAACTTTTAACATATTATAATTGTTGAAGTTCTTTCTTTATATATACTTTAAGTTCTAGGGTACACGTGCACAACGTGCAGGTTTGTTACATATGTATACATGTGCCATGTTGGTGTGCTGTACCCATTAAATCTAATCACTTCATCTGATGTTGGGAAGATGTTGTGGGCAGAGAAAAGAAAATGAACGAAAATTGGAAAAGAAAGAAACAATAAAATAAAATTCTCCATTAACGTAAGACAAAAAAATGAAAAGAGAAAAAAAGGAACAGAAAGAACATAAATGGATACTTTCCATAAGCATAACTGAATTTCTGCTCTTCCGAAATTCAGTTGAAGCTACTGAAAGAAGAAAAGAAACTTTTGACTCCCTTTCTCTCTAACCTCCCAGGTTTAAATTTTGGACACATGTTAAATAATGGAAGTTCCTAGAAAAGGTTACTTTTGATTCACAACGTGGGCAGGAAAGTGCTGGGTAGAGAAGGGTGTGGTCCCTGGGTAGGGCTCCACCCCAGGGTATAGGCTGATAGACCTAGGTGAGAATAGGCATTTCTGTTTTCCTGCCTAAATGCTGCATTTCCCAAGACCACCCTGGCCTGCCACGCCCGCATCGTGTGCCTGTGAAAACGCCGAGACCCTAGTGGTCTAGCTGGACGTGGAGAGGAACGCTGCGGCGTAAGGACACGCCAACAGATGCTGGCAGGCCAGCAGGCCATTAACTGGCAGAACGACGCGAAGTTTGGCCAGGGCTGTCAGAGGAGAGCCCGGGCCACTGAACAGCCTACTCCAGGGGAAAACCATTTCCCTTTTGTCTCCCCCATCTGTTGAGACCTGCTTCCACCAATAAAAGCTTGCACTCATTCTCCAAGCCCACGTGTGATCCAATTCTTGCAGTATACCACGGCAAGAAACCCCGGGATACTGAAAGCCGTCTGTGCTTGCGATAAGGCAGGGGGTCTATTTGAGCTGACTAACACCAGCTGCCTACCGAGGGCTAAACTAAAAGAGCACCCTGTAACACACGGCCAGTAAACATTCACCCCTAGACACTGCCATAGTGTGGAGCCCCATAACCTGCCTATCTGCATGCTCCCCTAGAGGTTGGAGCAGCGGGGCACCGAAGAAGTGAGCCACCCCCATCGCACACCCTGCCAGGGGGACAAGGGAGCTTTTCCCCTTCACTTTCAGAGCCAGGCAGAGGAGAGGCTTTAATACCTGCTCTTCATAGGAATCAACAACAATAAAAAGTAACTACACAATGACTCCCGGCATGCCAGAGCAAGAATATCATGCAGCTGTTTGAATGCATTGCCACGGGTAAAGTGATGCCCATGAGGACGATGAATTGGTATGTTTCCGAGATGGGCTGTAAGGCAGTGGCGATGACATGGTCTATGAGCAAATGCTGTTATGCCAGCTCTAAGATTTGAATATTCTCATTTGGAACGGACTTGTTTGAGGCTTGTCGATTAGTAACACAGCACGATGATAAAGGTAAGCTTTTGGGAGCTAGGCAGACATGAGCTTCATTCTGTCACCACCAATTATTGCTCATGTAACCTTTTACAAGTAATTAAAACAATTTGAACCTGTTTATTCGCTAAATTGGGAAAAAAGTACTTAGCTCACAGTACCTTTGTGAGTATTAGGTATAATAATGTGTATAAAGTAATCGCTATGTAATAGGTTTTCAATAACTATTCATGCATTTATTCCACCCACTCCCACTCCACTGCACTGTGTTTAAGTGTACCTACTCAAGGGTAACTACCTACACGGTAGTTAAGAGTAGGGTCTACAGACAGATTACCTGGATTCAAATCCTGGCTCTGCTTAATTAACTCATCATTAAAAAAGGCGGCAATAAGGGTACCTTCTCTGTAGAGACATTACGATGAATACATGGGCTGATATGTATAAAGTGCTTAGAAGAGTGGCAAATAGCAGGATGTAAATGTTTGCTATTCCTATTATTTAACTGGGTTATTGGTGCTCTGTTAATTCACAAATACTCTCACAACCATTTGGCTTTATGTTCCTTTTTCTTATTGAAATTCAAATCATTCTCCTTTTTGTTTTATTCACAAGTATGACTTTGTTTTCAGCAGCTTCCTTTTGTAGAAAACCTGTTTGGAAGGGGTATTGTGGCAAAGGAAGACTCAGACCCATGAACAAAGAAGCACACAGTAACACATTCTTTTGGACTGATAAATCCTGGGAAGGGCAAAGCTGGTTCCTAAAGTGGCTGAGGTCCTAAAATAAGGAGTGTGTACAGGAGGAATCAAACCAAAAGTTAAAACTTTGTATCTGTTGTCTTCATCTATTAACCAGGGATAAGAATATCAATCTCACAGGGTCATTATTTAAAAATAAATAAATAAAATATTTTTTGTTAAATAAATGCAAACCGTTCAGCTTCTGTGTTCTGCTTGGTAGCCCCCATCTCTCATCATGTACCCTATAATAATGTTTTGGTCAATGATGGACTGCATATATGACAGCGGTCCCATAAGATGATAATATCATATTTTTACTCTATGTTTTCTATGTTTAGATATCTTTGGATACACAAATACTTCTCATTGTGTTGTAATTGCCTACAGTATTTAGTACAGTAACACACTGTAAAGGATTGTAGCTTAGGAACAATAGGTTATGCCATGTAGCCTAGGTGTGTAGTAGGCTACAACACTGAGGTTTGTGTATGTAAGTATGCTCTAGCATGTTCATACAATGACAAAATTGCCGAACGAAGCATTTCTCAGAACATATCCTCATTGTCAAATGACGCATGAATGTTATTTCCCTTAAAACAGCAGTCTCCAGCGTTTTTGGCACCAGGGGCCAATTTCGTGGAAGACAATTTTTCCTACTGATGGGGGAGTAGTTGGGGGATAGTTTTTGGATGAAACTGTTCCACCTCAGATCATCAGGCATTATTTAGAGTATCATAAGGCTTGGGCAACCTAGATCCCTCACATGCACAGTTCACAAAAGGGTTCATACTTCTATGAGAATCTAACGCTGCCACTGCTCTGACAGGAGGTGGAGCTCAGGCGGTAATGCTCATTTGCCCGCCACTCACCTCCTGCTGTGCGGCCCAGGTCCTACCAGGCCATAGACCAGTACCAATCTAAAGCCTGGAGTTTGGGGACCCCTGCTTTAAGGAATTGGCTCATCCAACTGTAGGCACTGACAAGTCCAAGTCCATAAGGCAAGCTAGCAGTGTGGAAACTCAAGCAGGAGTTAAAGTTGCAGTCTCCAGGCAGAATTCCTTCCTCTCCAGGAAATCTTGATATTTGTTCCAGGCCTTCAACTGATTTCTGATTGGATGAAGCCCACCTACATTACAGAAAGTAATCTCCTTTACTTAGAGTCAACTTGAAGTAAACAAATGTTAACCACATCTCCAAAATACCTTCACAGCAACACCTAGATTAGTTTTTGATTAAATAACTGGGTACTATAACCTAGCCTAGCAAAGATGACATAAAACTAATCATCATGGCACTCTCAATGGACTCTTTTCAAGTGGAATCTAAGTTTTCTATGAGAACTGTGGTTCATTTGCTTAGCTAATAGTTATTGTTACCTATGAGAGGCATCATTAAATCATGGGCTCTAGGGCTGGATTGACATTGTCCAAATCCCGGCTTTGCCACTCAGTTGTGATATGACTCTGAACATGTTACTTAAACTCTTTATATCTCAGTTTTCCCAACCGTAAAATGGGGATAATAATAATATCTATCTCATATTATTGCTAAATCAGCTAATATTTATAAAGTACTTTGACTAGTGCCTGTTACATAATAAATGCTCCTATTAAAAATTGTTAATAGTGCTGTCTAGACTTTGAGGGCATAGGACCACTAGGAGCAAAATAAAGTAAGAATGACCAGTTGTGATACAAAGTGCTACAATAGATATCAACAAATTATATGGGATTGAAGGAAACAGCAGTTAATTCTGCTTGGGTACTAGTAATGGGGATGGTCTCTAACAGCGTCTGTATACGTAAGCAGAAGAATACAGAAATGGCAACATATGGGTGAAATTTGTATGTTTTGAGATTCTTATGAAATTTCTAAAACTTGATAATCTTTCTCAACATTTATGCAAGATACATGTAAAGACATAGTTAAAACTTTCTATCTGTTAGAGCACATTGAAGACAAAAATTGTGTTTCCTCTTTCAGATCATATACTGATCCAAAATGATGCTCACTGCTATTTACGTGAAATGTAACTATTCTTTTTATACCAGAAAATAAATGATATAGCAGTCCTGCCACCAATCACAGGAGGGGAAATATTAGGGGGATGCAGATGCACATTCCAAATTACTTAAGCCAGAGTTTCAAATCATGCAAATGTCTGCCCTTAGGGACACATTCTGGTCACCCACTGAACTCATCCAAGTGGTCCTGAAGCCAGTCTTAAAACTGCCTGTTATTTTGCACATTGTCTTTGTTTATAAGGACCACCAGTTTGAAGTACCTATCAATTTATTGAGTTATTTGTTTACTGTCAATTTTCCTTTCTATATTGAAAGCACCATAATGACAGTAGCAGTCATAGTGCTGGGCTCACAGTAGGCAATAAGTTCTCATTTAATTAAATAAATACATTCACATGTTTTCCGAATGAGTCTTTATAGTAAAAAGTTTATCCACTTGTCATAGACTAATATTTATTGAGTTATAAGTGGAGTAAACCATTTTTAAAGGACAAATTGTCTTGAATTTGTGAGATTATCTCTGTTGGACACCAGAAGTCTAAAAATACTAGTTTAAATCTAAAGCCTTATTCTAAGCAAACACCTTTTACTTTATTACTTGGCAAGTGTGTGTGCTCAAATTATCATAGAAATAAAAATACAGCATTTAGAAATTTTCATGAACTGTCCCAGAATATGTCCTCAGATCTCTGGTGGTTCCCAGACATCAGTATGGGAAATGCTAGTGTAGGCATTTCTGAGTTCATACTGGTAATGATGCAAAGGGAGGGATATTTTATTCATATTCTAAAGCACATATAACAGGGACCAGAGGTTGATCCAACCCTTTAATATTTTTGGCAGAGGTTGAAAAAGTGGAGTAAAGTGAGCTTAGTTTGCCTGAGGTTAAGTGGCTTACGTGATTAAATAACTTGAGAAAAGCGTCTTTATTAAACAGGCAGTCACCATCCCATCTTTATCATTATTTTATAATCATTATTGGAAACAACATTTGACCAAATCATCACTGCTTTAAAAAATTGTCCTCATCTCATTGATATGAAAGGTAACTTGATACTTCCAATTTTATAATAGCAGGGGAAGAGCAACAAACATTAGCCAATCTAGTAAAGCAATAGCAGGAAAACATCTCAGATAAAATTGAAATGTAATTTCAGTCATTTCTGAAAGGTCTAATGAAAGCACTTTAATAATGTCAACAAAATGTATACTGTTTACTTAAATGATGGATCTTTATTTTAAAGAAATTAAAGTCACCTACCTTTTAAATATTTGAATGTGTATAAAAGATCTTGAAGCAAATTTATATTTATGTAAATTAAAAGACAGGTTTCCAGACCAGAAACACAACTTATAGGAATAAATAGGCAGAGGGAAAAATCTGGATACTTTTTTAAATAGTCTCTATTAGAACAAATAAATACTGAAAAGATAATTTTCCTTTCAAATTTTAAGAAATCCAATAACCTTTGCATTGTTTTCACTGCTATTATGTGTTTTAAAGGCTCAAAATATCCTGTCTTACAGAACATAAAAATTTTACAGGAAGAGGAAATGCATGGAAATAAAGTAAAAATATAATAGCAGTAATAATTAAGAGAATTAAATCTTTATATTTGTTTAAGTGCTCTGTGAACAGCTTTACTACTCCCTATGACAACACCAAGAATATAGAGAAGGAAGCTGATATCCAGCTGGTTTCTTAGCCAATGTGCCATCCATATTTATTTATTCAAATATTTCTGGATTGCTTAGTTTTGTCAAGAAATTACAAGGTAAACTGAGGTTTGCAACGATGAATAAGATAACGTCTTTGCCTTTTGGAGGGAGTGGAAAAATCACTCATCCATAATTTCAAAGGAAAAAGTTATAAATGGCATTATACAGGTAAAACCAAAATTCTGGGGAAAGTTTTGGGGAGTAGGCTAAGGAAATCATATAAGGCTTCATGAAGGAGGAGGAGTACATGATCTGAACTTTGAATGGTGAGTCCAATTTAGACCTTGGTGAAGGGCATATCAAGCAGAAAGCTATTGAAAAAAGGATAATATATGAAAAGGAGAAAATTTAGTAGGGTTAGAGTATTGGTTTCACACCAGAAAGCAGAATTGTACTGAAACCATAACTTGAAGCTTATGTGTTTTAATCTAGTACCTCTTTAAACTACCACACCATAAAGTTATCTAATGCTGTATTAAAAAACACCACAAACTTAGTGAATTATAACAATAACCATTTTTTTTTTAAGTTCACTATCCTGGGGTTGGCAATATAGACTTGGCTCAGAAGGTGGTTCTTCTGGTTTGGGCCAACCTCCAGTAATTAGTCTGTGCTTCCTCAGGAATTTGCAGTCAGCCAGCAGGTCAATTAAAGGCTGCCTAGTCTAGGATGGCCCCAGCATGGGTGCAGCTTTCTACTCCAAGTGCCTCTTATTCTCCAACAGGCTAACCCAGGATATTCACATGAGAGCTGGACAAAGATTTAAGACAGCCAATGGAAGTAGGCTCTCACTTCCATCACATTCTCTTGGCCAAAGTAAATTCAAGAGGTGGAGAAATAGAATTAACTTCTTGATAGGAGGAGCTGCAAATCCACATCACACAGCATGTAGAAACAGAAAGAATAAAAATTTGGGACCATCTGCAATCAGTCTACCACATATGCAGTTAAAAAGAAAACTTACTTTAAAATTTTTATAAACAGTAAATTTTTCTAAGCTAGATGCTAGAGACTTTAATCCTCAGCAAGAATAGGCATTCATAAACATATAAAGGCAAACGCATACAACCAGTCTAGACTCTTATTCTCAGAAAATTGGACACTGCTACTCTCTGCTTTATTTTACAGCTAATTTTTATCTAGCCATTGCCAGAAGCTGTAAAGGACTGGGCAGAGCATTTTGTTTCCCTTCTTCAATTCAGTGTCTTTTAACTTATCAACTGCCATTACAGTAAAGGAACATCAATTAATGCTAAATTACAAAGAGATTCTTGTGGGATTGCCTATTACAGCTGCCTTGATGCCAGAACCATTCAAAGTGATGAATGTTTTACAGCGAATACCAAATACACTCATAATTACTTTGCCATTTACTGAACGTGTTGCCAATCTACCTTTGATTCTAAAGAAACCGCACATCTTTATCCACGTGAAAATAAAATCTTGTGCTCATGATATCTACACAAAGGCCCTTTTATGTAGGTCAAAAGGATGCTTCCCCCATGCCCATTTAATATGTTTTCTCTGAAGTTCTCTATGTTGCCCTTAGGGCCATCCACATACTGGTGATAAGCATGTAACTTGCATAGCAAACTCTCTTCCTCTCAACCTCACATCACAATATTCAGAGTTCAGTATGTCCCATAATAAAATGGTATATTTTTGTATGCTCTACACATACTTCCAAGGTATTGCTTTGTGAATAGAGCCCTACAACATAGACACAGTTTACCAGGAACTTAGCATTTAAATGACTTTCATCTTGACAATGACTGACATGTCTCGCTGAGAATATTATATATTTAGAAGATTTTTTTGAAGGCTCTGTACTTAAGAATCATGTCTCATCATATTCAGAGAACTTATGAACTAAGTCTTAAATGTTTAAAGAAGGGTCACAAAGCCACTCTGCTACAAAAGTCTGCAACTTGCACCCAACTCATATCACACAAGTAATTCATGCATAGAATATTTTTTTCTAAGTTTTCTTTCGATTAAAAAAAACCCTTCTACTTTTAGCTTTGAATATTTATTACTGAGATAAGAACCTGGGCTGAAATCAAACTAAGTAGAAGACAAACTCTAGGGAGGGAAAGTACATCCCATTCTTCACAAACTTTGTAAGGATTTCTTCAACACCCGCTTCTCCATTTATACAACAGATCAAGGAAGGCTAGAATCCAATTTCAAATCAAATAACCCCCATATCGATGTGCAAGATAGTTGACAGTGCACTCTCATCAACTCTGTGCTTTTCTGGTGGGTAATGTGCACAGTGTAACTTAGAGTAGCCATTTGGCGGAAAACTGCTCTAGTCAAATTGAAATAGCCTTTCGAGCCTTGGTTAGAATGGAGAGCCATAATGTATGCTTGTCATTTGATGAAAAATAGTGTGCTTAAATTAAAGGGAAAAAAAATCCTGTCGTCCAGATCCAAGCCTTCACAATGACACAGGTGTCAAGATCTTATTTAAAAGTGTTAAGGTACAGTACTGCTCAGCAGCACAATTTGTAGGGAAACATGGGATCATGTGCTGGGGACTGAAGATTTGCTGCCTGATACCAGCCACAGGTAGTGATAAAATATGTTTCTTCCAGATAATTACTTGCTGCTCAAGGAAAGTGGCATTTCTAAATTGATACTTCAATGCAGCATAAACAGATTATGTTGCACAGGAAGTCATGGGCTAGTTTTTGTCATGTGATTAGACTCGGAATCACTCAATGCCACCTAAAACTAATTTTGTTTTATGCTTACAAAGCAATATGACTTCTCGAGAATTAAGAAAATGTCCACTTATATGGATATAATGAACGATTTAGCCCTTAGATGGCAAAATAAAAAAGTTTTATTTTTTTAATTTTGACTGTTTAAAAGGATTCTATGAATATTCATGCTAGATAAAGCTGTATAAACATCTAGAAATGAAAGCAATTCCATGGTATTTGATGAAGAAATAATAATTTACTTTCCAGGTACCACGCTAAAAGATTTATACGTATCTTATTTAATTCTTAAAAGTCCCTAATTAATTATATAATATTATTTTTCTCATTTTATGAGGGAGAAAATTAAGATGAAAGAGGTTAACTGACTTCTATAAGGTCCTATAACTAGTAAGCTGTGAAGCTAGACTCCAAACTCAGGTACTCTGGATTGGAAACCTGTGTTATATAACGTTATACACTTCAAATGTACACAAGTAGGATTATTAAGAAATATGTTACAAGCTTGTTATCTATGAAAATAAGCAAAAATATTATAAGCAAAAAATACTAGAAAAGATAACTTTTTTTCCACTGTCATCCTAATACCTTTGTTTAGTAAAAACTAATACACAACCATGCTAAATACTGCAAATTTGCAGTTTAAAAGAGACCCCTGCCTTCAGAGCCATAGACAACTGCCTTATATATAACAAATTTATATATATATATATATACACACACACATATACATATATATAAACAAACCAACAAAAACTTGAAAGGTGGAGTAAAATATGTAAGTACATTTTCACCAGCATGGAATGAAAAATGTGATACTATCTTATTCAATATTTGAAGAAACACAATTCTGCACTCACCACAATTTCCCTTTCAGCAAAACTTAAACTAATGGATCTTTTATTTTATATTGCAAACTTTCCAGTTTCAGATGTTGTTTGAGGTGGGTGGAAGGCTGGAGTCTACTCAAGTTGCCAAGCGCTTAGAGCCCAATAGAGTAAGGGAGTTGGCGGTCTCAGCGTTCAATAAGTAGAGTGTCACTTAATGCCTCTGTTTTGGTAAGCTTTCTTGATTCAGATGTGCTTAATCTAGTTTTACAATGATTTGGCAGAAGCGCTCACTACCTCAAGAATCAGTAGAAGAGCTTAACTGTTTCTTATGCAGACTTCACAAAATATTCCTATTTCACTTTAATTCCTATCATGTGAGGTCCCTGATATTTTCAATTTCTAATCATACCCATGATTGTGCTTTGCAAATCTGCTTGCTTTTTAGCTTTCTGCTTTGCAAGCAGTTAATTTTCAGTTTTTTCCCAAACTGTCAAATCAATTATGGTTCATTCACCCTGTTCTAGTTTCCAAATTGTGTTGACTTCCTTTACAAACAAAAGAATCTTCTTCTGTCTTCTCTGCTATGACATTATCTTCATAGATTTTGCCTTATATATTTTTTTAAATTGATCGATCAAACAACCAAACAAACTTTCCTGGCATGTTGTTAGTGAAGTTTTGGAGGGACGAGAAGTAAATATATATTCAGTAAGTGAGTATGCATTTTTCTCTAGGAATTTCCTAGAAATGATATCAAAGATAATTCATCATAGACAAAGATGTCAAATACCAGAGAAAAATTATGCCTTTAACTTGAATCAATTCCTTTGGCTAATAATGTCTCAATCAATGAGGCATCACATTATTAATACAACAGATTTTCAAAATCAACCTTTCTAAATATTTAGCAATACCTCTTCTTCCTTTTATCTGACTTTTATCCCATTTCTTCAAAATGTAGTTGCCATTCTGTGCCTAACTTCTTTCAGTTCTTCAAAGCTTAAGTGAATTTCTTATAATTTTTCTAGCACTCACCAGTTAAACTGCTCCAACTCCACACCTATTCTCAGGCATTATTTTATGTATCCTCTGAACATTTGACACCTTCTGCCATGTCTCTTTGGAAGTCTTTTCTTCTTGTTTTCCATGACAGTCTATTCCTAGCTCTTATCACTGCATTTCTGCTTCTCAAAGCTCTGCAATTTGCTGTCTACTTTTCTGCCACTCACTTCCTAAATTAAACAAAAATCTTTCTCCCTCTAATATCAATTAGTTATTAGATTAAATATTAGGCCCTCTCATACCAATTTTATACTGTAGTCTAAATTACAATCTCTAAGCAGTTTCCTTCCAAAGCCTTTTCCTTAACGCCTTGGCTCACTACTTCCTTATGCTCTAGATTACCTTATCTTGCTAAATCCAACCTTGCAAATTTACCTGTGCATCATTATCTGTTTTAGATCTGGTTGGTGTACAATGGCCTCAGTATCATATTTGGCAGTTGGTGCTGGCTATGAGAGGTGTGGATTGAGGTGACCAGGCCATGTATTACCAGCAAGGTTGCACAGGTTTGTTTACATAGTCACGGTCTCAGAATTCTCAGGAGCAACAAGACAGGATATACCCCAAAGCATTAACACTTTTCAATTCTCTGCTTGTGTTGTTTGCTATTTGTCTTCCTAGTCAAAGAAGGTTAAGTGGCCAAACTTAGAGTTTACATCAGAAGAGACTAATCAAAGACCTGGATACAGGAAAGCACAAGCACACTGGAGATCATTACGGCAACAGTCTGCACCACTGTACAGTATTTCTTCTTAGGCTTAATATTGTGCCATCTTCCTAATCTCTCCACATATGAAACTTCCATATATTTTACCTCCTCCAAAGCATGCCCTGAACTTTCCCACTCCCAGTCTTAGTTCATGGACTCCCAGAGGTTTGTTTTAAAGATGCAGTTTCCAGTGTCTCACTCACATCTTTCAATCCATAATCTCAAACCTAGAACTCAGCAACAGACAATTTTGACTAGGTCTATAGAATATTCTCGTGCACAATATAGTTTGAGACCAGGAAAACTTTAAAAATATAATCTATGCATAATATTTTTAACAACCTTGAAACTCAGAGATCTTTAGGCGATCTATTGATGTTCCTCAGGGAATGCATAAATCTCTTAAGATAGCAAACATTGTGAATGTGGGTATAAAGATCTTTTCAGTGTCCCTCATTTGCATCTGGCCTAGCCCGATTCATCTGTATTGCCATTCCTCAGTTGGCTTCTCAGGCTCAATCATCCACCAAAGCTTATCTGTTTACAAGTTTAGAACAATGTTGCAGAGAACTCTAGCTTTATTCTATTCCTTACCTCATGTCTTCTTCCTTGCCCTTCCCACTTTAGTACTCAATCACAAAACCGTCTTACATTTATAAAGGAATTGAAGTTGCAAAGTGCTTCTATGTGTATTAACTCATTTGATTCTCAAAAACCTCTTTGTAAAGAATTAAAGTAATTATAAGTACAGATACTCCTTGACTCATGATGGGGTTACATCCTGATAAACCCATCATAAGTTGAAAATATTAAGTCAAAAATGCATTTAATACACCTAACCCACTGAACAGCATAGCTCAGCCTAATCTACCTTAAACATGCTCAGAAAAATTACTTTAGCCTACAGTGGGGCAAAATCATCTAACACAAAGCCTATTTTATAATAAAGTGTTGAATATACTATAAAATTTGTTAAATACTGTACTGAATGTAAAAAATCTGAATGATGTTATGGGTACTTGAAGTATAGTTTCCACTGAATGCATATTGCTTTCGCATCATCGTAAAGTCAAAAATTCTTAAGTGGAACTGCTGTAATTTGTGGAATATCTAGATAAACAATCATGTCGTCTGCAAACAGGGACAATTTGACTTCCTCTTTTCCTAATTGAATACCCTTTATTTCCTTCTCCTGCCTGATTGCCCTGGCCAGAACTTCCAACACTATGTTGAATAGGAGCGGTGAGAGAGGGCATCCCTGTCTTGTGCCAGTTTTCAAAGGGAATGCTTCCAGTTTTTGCCCATTCAGTATGATATTGGCTGTGGGTTTGTCATAGATAGCTCTTATTATTTTGAAATACGTCCCATCAATACCTAATTTATTGAGAGTTTTTAGCATGAAGGGTTGTTGAATTTTGTCAAAGGCTTTTTCTGCATCTATTGAGATAATCATGTGGTTTTTGTCTTTGGCTCTGTTTATATGCTGGATTACATTTATTGATTTGCGTATATTGAACCAGCCTTGCATCCCAGGGATGAAGCCCACTTGATCATGGTGGATAAGCTTTTTGATGTGCTGCTGGATTCGGTTTGCCAGTATTTTATTGAGGATTTTTGCATCAATGTTCATCAAGGATATTGGTCTAAAATTCTCTTTTTTGGTTGTGTCTCTGCCCGGCTTTGGTATCAGAATGATGCTGGCCTCATAAAATGAGTTAGGGAGGATTCCCTCTTTTTCTATTGATTGGAATAGTTTCAGGAGGAATGGTACCAGTTCCTCCTTGTACCTCTGGTAGAATTCGGCTGTGAATCCATCTGGTCCTGGACTCTTTTTGGTTGGTAAACTATTGATTATTGCCACAATTTCAGAGCCTGTTATTGGTCTATTCAGAGAGCCCAAAATCTCCTTAAGCTGATAAGCAACTTCAGCAAAGTCTCAGGATACAAAATCAATGTACAAAAATCACAAGCATTCTTATACACCAACAACAGACAAACAGAGAGCCAAATCATGAGTGAACTCCCATTCACAATTGCTTCAAAGAGAATAAAATACCTAGGAATCCAACTTACAAGGGATGTGAAGGACCTCTTCAAGGAGAACTACAAACCACTGCTCAAGGAAATAAAAGAGGACACAAACAAATGGAAGAACATTCCATGCTCATGGGTAGGAAGAATCAATATCGTGAAAATGGCCATACTGCCCAAGGTAATTTACAGATTCAATGCCATCCCCATCAAGCTACCAATGACTTTCTTCACAGAATTGGAAAAAACTACTTTAAAGTTCATATGGAACCAAAAAAGAGCCCGCATCGCCAAGTCAATCCTAAGCCAAAAGAACAAAGCTGGAGGCATCACACTACCTGACTTCAAACTATACTACAAGGCTACAGTAACCAAAACAGCATGGTACTGGTACCAAAACAGAGATATAGATCAATGGAACAGAACAGAGCCCTCAGAAATAATGCCACATATCTACAACTATCTGATCTTTGACAAACCTGAGAAAAACAAGCAATGGGGAAAGGATTCCCTATTTAATAAATGGTGCTGGGAAAACTGGCTAGCCATATGTAGAAAGCTGAAACTGGATCCCTTCCTTACACCTTATACAAAAATCAATTCAAGATGGATTAAAGATTTAAACGTTAGACCTAAAACCATAAAAACCCTAGAAGAAAACCTAGGCATTACCATTCAGGACATAGGCGTGGGCAAGGACTTCATGTCCAAAACACCAAAAGCAATGGCAACAAAAGCCAAAATTGACAAATGGGATCTAATTAAACTAAAGAGCTTCTGCACAGCAAAAGAAACTACCATCAGAGTGAACAGGCAACCTACAAAATGGGAGAAAATTTTCACAACCTACTCATCTGACAAAGGGCTAATATCCAGAATCTACAATGAACTCAAACAAATTTACAAGAAAAAAAAAAACAACCCCATCAAAAAGTGGGCGAAGGACATGAACAGACACTTCTCAAAAGAAGACATTTATGCAGCCAAAAAACACATGAAAAAATGCTCATCATCACTGGCCATCAGAGAAATGCAAATCAAAACCACTATGAGATATCATCTCACACCAGTTAGAATGGCAATCATTAAAAAGTCAGGAAACAACAGGTGCTGGAGAGGATGTGGAGAAATAGGAACACTTTTACACTGTTGGTGGGACTGTAAACTAGTTCAACCATTGTGGAAGTCAGTGTGGCGATTCCTCAGGGATCTAGAACTAGAAATACCATTTGACCCAGCCATCCCATTACTGGGTGTATACCCAAAGGACTATAAATCATGCTGCTATAAAGACACATGCACACGTATGTTTATTGCGGCACTATTCACAATAGCAAAGACTTGGAACCAACCCAAATGTCCAACAATGATAGACTGGATTAAGAAAATGTGGCACATATACACCATGGAATACTATGCAGCCATAAAAAATGATGAGTTCATGTCCTTTATAGGGACATGGATGAAATTGGAAACCATCATTCTCAGTAAACTATCGCAAGAACAAAAAACCAAACACCGCATATTCTCACTCATAGGTGGGAATTGAACAATGAGATCACTTGGACACAGGAAGGGGAATATCACACTCTGGGGACTGTGGTGGGGTCGGGGGAGGGGGGAGGGATAGCATTGGGAGATATACCTAATGCTAGATGACACGTTAGTGGGTGCAGCGCACCAGCATGGCACATGTATACATATGTAACTAACCTGCACAATGTGCACATGTACCCTAAAACTTAGAGTATAATAAAAAAAAAAAATTAAAAAACAAAAATAAATAAATAAATAAAATAAAAGCTTTGAGAAGCCCTAGATTAAAGGAAAAAAAAAAAAATTGTGGAATATCTGCATTCTATTTTATAAAGCAAGAAACTTAAAGCTTTGTAACCAGTTGGCAATAGAGTCAAAAAAACTCAAGTCTCTTGACTTTGTTAGCATATGACTGCTAAACCCTATGGTCTGACTTGAGTCTTTGAAATTTGCACCTATCTCAAAAGTTTTTATTTTTCAAATATGGGAAAACAGTGGGGGGAAATTAAAATTACAACATTAACACTTAGCTTTTAGTTCTAAATTTGAGATAGTCCACTTTGAGAAATGTATGCTGAAATTTATTATCTACTGTGAAGGATAGTTGATAACAGAAGTTTCAAAGCAAAGCAATTGCTGCACAGAAAAATGCATTAAAACTTATGACATTAAACGTATGGAAAGGGCTGGGTCTTTCTGCGGTTTGAAAGTGTCTCTGTTCTGACACTACTTCTGTTCTGTTTACAAAGAAAAGAACAAAATAATTGCCTACAAGTGGAACTTGCTGGACTGTATCCGAAAGCATATGAAGCATGCTACGAATCTACATCAACTGTACAAACAATTCAAAAGGATGGTTTTTTACCCAAAGGACTGCATGTTAGGCTGCAAGTAAAGCTTAGTCAAGCAGGCAGCAAGTGGATTTATTGGTCTCTCGTTAGCGCAACTACACTCTTCTTCTTGTCTTGGGATAACAATATGCAGAATTCCACTGGAAACCATGTTTCTATAAACTTTGAAAAAAAGATATAGATTGGCATTTCTTGGGCTGTTTACAGTTAGGAATTATATATTTGACAAATGAAAAATCACAAAAAGTCATGTAGGAGGAAAGGCAACTGGTAGCTCTACTCAAACACTCCAATATCAGCTAAAAAGAAAAAAACCTGAGCATACATGCTAAAGAAGTTTCAATACGCACTGACTTGTCTACAATACTGTGATGTTAAATCTGTGATCTTAGAAATAGCACTTGGATCTTAACATCAACAAATATCTCATGAATTGTTGAGAAAGAAATAGGTGAGATAGAGACAAAATTTACTTCATATAGTAATTAAATACAGGGGTCAACGATGTCTTGAACTCTACTCTAGGGCATGCCACCAGTGGTGACTTTTATGTGCAGAAGACTCTGGCACACAGGCTATATCTGATCCAGAAAGGCATTGCATTTTCACTGTGTTCAGGAGTTTTCCTTTTAAAAACAATAATTCTGGCAATATAGGGCCTCTATTTCCTCTGTGGTGAAGAATGAGTGCTTCAGTTTGCCAGAATTCCCCACCCAGCCTGCTTCTCTCATTTAAGTTTGCCGAGCTCCTATGTCTTATTCATACCTTTTTTTGTCCTTGACTTAAGATAGTTAGAGATCCAAGTGCCCTAGCATTTTTTTTTCCTTTCACCCATATAACCTAGTTGGTAAAAGATTGTTACAAAGATTGATTTGAAAATAAGAATGTGTATGTATAATGATTAAGTTACAAGATATCAATCATTATGTTGGAAATTAAGGCAAAGACTGGACAAAAACTTACAAAAGAATGGTTAAATACAATATGAGATATCCATAAAATAAAATACAACACAGCCTTAAAATGATTTTTTCAAAGGAACATTTGTTGACAGGAAAAGTTATTCTTGAAATACTGTTGAATGAAAGGCTACCAAGAACACGTGGGGTTTCGATAGTATGCTGGAGCCAACTCATACTCACACATAGGAACTAGTTGTGCACATCTTGTCTCCTTCTTCAGTGACTTTACATTGACAGCTTTAAATCAACTGTGGTGAGTGTATTTCCAACACAGAAATTGCCAAATGTTTCAAATCGGGCTTCGTTTTTCTTCTTTTTCTGGAGAGTTTGTCATTAAACATTTGCTAGTACACCACTGGGCATTATCAAATATATATATATATATTATATATATACGTATATTATATATATATTCACACACACACACATATATGTATTTTTTAAAAGTTAGGAAGATATATATGAACACAAGAAAAGGGTAAAGGCAGAACACCCTTCTCTAAAATATTAATAGTGGTTGTTTGTAAGGGTGGAGTTATGTTTTCCTTTTCTGCTATTTGCTTGTCTTTCTTCAGCAAATGCATGTCTTTTGTAATTTTGTAAAGTAATGCAATATGTTTAAATAACAAGTACTCCTTTTATAGCAAACTTACTAAAAGGCAACTATTTACCTAGTAGTTATTTCTACATTTATAAATTTGTCAAATTCTGTCATACCCTTGAAAACGCCTAAGATTTATCTAGGATTTAAAAAAATCACAATCCACTTTCACCTATTGCTCTGAAAATTTTCAGTAACACCTAAAATTCAATGGATCAGCTGTAAGGAGGGAAAGGCTACAGAGGATAAAGAGAACATTCTTCTCTCAACAGTGCTCAGGGCTCTGAGAGAGTCTGGTTTTGGAAAAAAGGCCTAACTCTAATAATCAGAATGGTTTTAGATAACCTGGAAGTGCTAAAATTGGCCTGGTTTCAAGGTTTTTGGAATGTATCAGACCAGCAACACTGGCACTACCAGGTGGACAAAGGTAGTCAGGATAGAACAGGCATAAGCATTTGCATTATTTTAGTAAGCTTTGTGATGGCTTCCTGCCTGATTACTTCTGACATCAGTATAGAGTTGGAGTCTAGCATGTCCTCTGCTAGACCTGGACTTGATAACTCAGTGTATGTTGTGTATTAACTATATGCCCAAGTTCCTATATCTAAATGCAAATTTGTTAGAGTTTTCCTTATATAGTTCTTTTCTTTTTTCTTCTTCTCTTCTTCTTCTTTTTTTTTTTTTTTTTGAGACAGAGTTTTACTCTTGTTGCCCAGGCTAGAGTGCAATGGCACCATCTCAGCTCATCGCAGCCACTGCCTCCCAGGTTCAAGCGATTCTCCTGCCTCAGCCTCCCAAGTAGCTGGGATTACAGGCATGGGCTACCATGCCTGGCTAATTTTCTACTTTTAGTAGAGACAGGGTTTCTCTGGTCAGGCTGGTCTTGAACTCCTGACCTGAGGTGATCCGCCCACCTCAGCCTCCCTAAGTGCTGGGATTACAGGCGTGAGCCACCGAGCCTGGCTATATAGTTCTTAAATACAAATATATTGGGGCGAGGAAAAGTGATCACAGGTGCCCTGAAAACCTTTTAAAAATGCCTTTAAAGTAACATATCCAGTTAAAAAATTTCAAAAGTTTTGTGTGCTAATGTATGTGTGTGTCTGTGTGTGTAAATCTTTCTCTATTGCTAGAAGTATGTAGAAGTAGAGAAAAACTGGTAATAGTTTTAAGCAAGGTGAAAAACATGACATCTTTATTTAGAATCTTGATACTATAAGCCTTTTTTTCCCTGTTGGGTAAGAACTCTTACATTTTTGAATTTTTACTTTCACTAATCTAAATTCAACCTTCAGAGAATTAGCCTTAAATTTGTATCCCTGAAATGCTCTCTAGTGGCTGGCATGGGAGTTCACAGTCCTGTGCACTAGTGGTTCTTAAATAACCTCAGGGAATTCTTGTTTGTTTGCTTGGTTCTTACTGTTTGGCTAAAATTTCTTATAGAAATTACTTTATCTTTCTGTATTCCCTATTTGGTTTTCATTGACTGTGCTGCTTTTTGCCTCTTGTCATAATTATCCGTAATGTTGAGTCAATTTTGAAAGTAAGCTCAGCTTTGCCCTAGAGGTGGCAGAATTTCTGTGGTGGGTAAGTGAAATGATTGCTCCATATAACTTTATAAAGTGTAAAGACCTCTGAGATGAAAGGAGCTATATAAATGTAAGGCTGTCGTTTTAAATTGCCATTACCGTTTGAAATTCTCAAGAGAAGCATTACTGAAATCTGGCGTATGCACCATATTAGATTGCTTAATATCATTAAAGCATGTGCAGCAAATGAAAATACCAATTTCCTCTCATATGTAGCTCATGTTTAAGGCCGCATATCTAAAGCTAGCATGTTTCGCAGATCGTTCCAGCATTTTAATACTCACTGAAGGGAGCAGGAGCTAACAAAATATGAAGACAATGATGTTTCTCTTGCCTGGTGATTGCTTGTTTGTGTAGGTTTGCATGTGAAAACAGAAACAGATTTGAGACATTAAATGAAAGGAGAAATATACCAGAGAAGGTTTGATACGACCAGCAGAGAAGCATGGACAGAAACATATAAAACATATCACTATATGATTTATGTTAAACTTTGGCAGTAAGGAACCCCCAAACATACATTTACAATAGCAGAAAGGCATTGAAAGAACAGAAAAATTACTGGCAGTGAAAATGACCTTCTCTCTAATGTGAGACAAGCTGTTCTGGTCTCCGTTTGCAAGTTTGTTTTAGGAAAGGCGAATGCTCCGTATTATTGGAACCACGAACAACCTAGCAAGACTGAAATGCTAAGAAATAAGCAAGTGAGAGCGAGGCATCAGTGGCAAATTGGAATCTAAGGCCTTTTGTGCTTGTTAAATGGTGGAATGATTATAATTGGAAAAAGTGATGTGCATTAGTTCTGAGTGAATGTACAAGAAATGACAAGCGTGTAACTTAATGATTACTTCACAACACTCAGGACTGCCTTCTAGTCTCGCACCGAAGAGTTCAGCCCTACAGCAGAGAAAGCCACATGCTTTCTCCTCCTATTCATGAGTATTCTCCACAGGTCACATGGAAATAACCCTGAAGTGATAACTCTTGGTTTAGGAAGTCTGTTGCTTAAACTAGTGTAAGTCATTGTGACAAAGAATGGCGGGATATATTTTTTCTTTTCCTTGCAAACCATTACAATAACTGGCAAGCAAATGGGCAGGACCTTGTTTTAAAGGAAATAGTATATGTTTACTCTCCCAGGGGAAGGAAGGATATAAAAAAGTTTTCTGAGAATCAAATCTAATATTCAGATGAGTGAGAATGTATCATCTTTCTCTTCTCTTCATACTGTGTCTATGCAGTATGATTTCATAATAGCTTCAGAAATACATTTTTACTTTCTCTGAATGAGAAAATCTGGACTGACTGGAAACATTCATTTGATGAAATAACTCATGAAATGTTGGGATCCTTCGGCTCTTACTAATGTAAACTTTTTAAAAAGTAATTTTGCAGAGATTGTCAGTAGGAAGGGAGGTTGACTACAAAGAAGCAGGAAAGGGATTGAGGGGGTGATGATGAAACCATTCTGTATCATTGTGGTGGTGGCTACACAACTCTTTATGTGTTCGTCAAAATCGTGGAACTGAATACCACAAAGAGTGAATTTTACTGTATGACAGTTAAAAAGTGAAAAGGTGAAAAAAATAATTTTCAAAATATCTTTACATTGAGAAACATTGTTGCAATTTTTACAACCTGAAGCACAAATAATAACAACATAAATGTTAATAATAGAGTCAAATTATTCACTTTGATTTTTATATGAAAGTGTTAACATGCAGTTTCTGTTTCATTTTTTCTTGAGGACTGGTTCTGAAATTTGCAGCTTAGTAAGCTTGCCTGGATGACATTTTCCTAAAACCCAAACAAAGTCTACTGGTAGTTATAAACACAGCTTAGAGACTGGGATAAATTTGAGAAAAACATTACTTACCAGAGGAAAATATTATATAAATGACAGATGTATAAAATTCTTTCACATGTCATGTAAAGGTTGAGGGTTATTCAAGAGTTGTACTTAGAGCTTGTGTATGTTAGGGGTACCTCACAAATACTTACATTGAAGTAACTTCATTTGTCACTAGATGGTGTGTGTTGTGACACAGTCAAATCAGGAATGCTTCATTGAGGCCTACTTTGGATCTAGTCTAGCAAGAAATCCTAAACTAAAACCCAGGAAAGTCATAGTCATATTGTACTCTCCTTAATTAAAGTTACATATACCTATATATTTTTACAAACATGTCTACAACAACATATCATCTCTAAAATGCTTTGCAAACATTTTGAAAAGATGTTCTCTTCTATTACTTTGAAAGCCTCAATAATGTTCTGTGTTGCAAAGTTTCACAAGAAAGTTCTTTATTATCTTTTTTTGGAATGTAATCTTCATTTAGATATATGATTTACTGTGGAAAGGTTTAATAAAAGAGCTTTTTTTTTTTTAACATCTATTAGTAGGATGGAGCAAAGATAGTTACAGTGAAGAATATATTATCAAGACCACCGTGCAGGTAATATCCTGCATACTGAGTCTAATCACCCATTTAAGTTAAAGTAAGAGTTGTTAAGAATATAGAGAATTGCATTCTAATGATTAGTGATGAGAATCACCTAGATAATGAAATTAGTATTGAGAAACATATTTTTAGGCAGAATGATTATCCTGGGAGATTGATTAAAAGGATAATTGAAGAACAACGTAACCTTTTTCATAGTTATCAGGTTGAACTTGTTTAAGGTAATTTATCATAATAGTGTAGCTATGCCAAATCACAAAAGGACTGACCACTGTTGGAAAAGATGTTTGTTATATATTAGTCCAGATAAGTTGTCATACCAATGAAATATCTCCAATAAAAAGGTGGAGAATAATAAGTTTAGCTGAACAATATCTCAAACTATCTCAATAACTTTCTAGAAGCAGCTGAAATGTAAAAGTAGTTTGCAATGTATAAAAAGAGGGTTGCTAACAAGGAATCACAATTTAATGTCTCAGTCTTTTAGTAACAACAGAAGAAGCTGCTGGTTCAATCTTCTCGGACTATTAACGAGGACTGCATGATAATAATTTCCTTTCTTGCATATAAAACAAAAATCTAGTTTTCAGTTTTCATCAGTTTTATGAATGGGTTGACAGAGGAATTAATTAACTAATTAAAACTGGAACATAGCAAATGGCAAGGCTTCCTTTGCAAAAATTTGCATTGGCCTTATACCTTTTCTCACCAAGCTTCTTGCCACTTTTAATTTCGGATAATTAAATTGCTATAATTTCTATGTTTCTTTTTACATTTCTGGTTTTGAAATTAACATATAGTAAAATTGACATTTTTCTTTAAATTAATACTTTTTTTAACTTTTAAGTTCAGAGGTACATGTGCAGGACGTGCAGTTTTGTTACATAGGTAAATGTGCCATGGGGGTTGGTTGTGCAGATTATTTTATCACCCAGGAATTAGAGGATTTATTAGGGAGAAATGGGTTACATGATTACAAGGAGAAGTCCCACAATAGGCCATCTGCGAGCTGGGGAAAGAGCGAAGCCAGTCGTGACTCAGTCCAAGTCTGACAGCCTCAAAATCAGGAAAGCTGATAGTGTGGCTTTCCGTCTGTGGCAAAGGCCTAAGAATCCCCAGTAAATCAATGTTGCAAATCCCAGAGTCCAAAGACTGAAGAAGAGCCTGGAGTCTGAGGTCCAACAGCCCATATGGGAAATGGTATTTTTCCCATTCCGTGTTTTCTAATCAAGAGGTTTGAATGAATATAGGTATATTTATTTACATTTTGCCAGTCTCTCTGGAGATATCCTGTAGAGCAGGAGTCCCCAACCCTCATGCCGCAAACTGATATGGGTCCATGGCCTGTTAGGAACCAGGCTGCACAGTGGGAGGTGAGCCCCAAGCCAGCAAGCATTACCACCTGAGTTCTGCCCCGTCAGACCAGCGACAGCATTAGATTCTCAGAAGAGTGGAAACCCTATTGTGAACTGCGCATGCAAGGGATTTAGATTGCACACTCTTTTTGAGAATGTAACTAATGCCTGATGATCCAAGGTGGAACAGTTTTATTCTGAAGCCATCCACTCCCCGAACCTCCAATCCATGGAAAAATTGTCTTCCATGAAACTTGTCCCCTGTGCCAAAAAGGTAGAGGACCACTTCTCTACAGATAACCTCCTATCCAGCTATGACTAATTAGACAAGGTGTGGGCTCCTGCCACAGGGCCGTCACGTAACCTTACTCCTTAGGGTAGAATTAATTGGCTCAAAGATAAAACTCTAAAGAATGCTGGGTTATCATAGGCTTTTGTAAGGTTTTATTATTTTGTTCCAATAAGAATCAGGCAAGTATATTCAGTTCTTCTCTCCCAGTGAAACTATGTAGCCTTAGAGGACTGGACATGTCCTCTCACATATGGAAGAAATAGTACAGTAGGAGGAAAAAGAAAGTCAAATAATGTGTACTGGGAGCAAAAGGTTCCTAATACCACTTGTCCCTATGTGTTGGCTGCTACCTATTGGTTTAAATGTGTAAACTCATATGTGTCCCTTTTGCATAGGTGAATTTTCTTTGGCTTTCAGTCACTTGCATCAAAAAGGAATATAAATAATATTTAGAATCTTGTTTTGTGTTGTTTCTGAGATAGCAAGAAGCTCTCTATTAAATGATGCAGTGAAAGAGTAATAAACGACTAATAGGAGTACAACTACACTTACTGTAAATATAAATAATATTTAGAATCTTGTTTTGTGTTGTTTCTGAGATAGCAAGAAGCTCTCTATTAAATGATGCAGTGAAAGAGTAATAAACGACTAATAGGAGTACAACTACACTTATTGTAAATATAAATAATATTTAGAATCTTGTTTTGTGTTGTTTCTGAGATAGCAAGAAGCTCTCTATTAAATGATGCAGTGAAAGAGTAATAAACGACTAATAGAAGTACAACTACACTTATTGTAAATATTTATATTTTATGCTTTCATTTTATTGTATTGTACATGTAATACGGTATTATTATATCCCATGATATATATTATATTTTGCCTATTTCTGTAAAGCCTTAAGTTTGTATTCTTAATGATGTTTATTAAGCACATAAGCTCCAAGAAGGTAAAACACGAAAATGCTAAAATTACTCTTTATAGTGGCTATTCATACTCTTGAGGATGCTTATTGTTTGAGAAAACATTGTGGAGAACAGCAAAGTTTCAATTCTTAGTCTAACAAATATTTACTATGTACCTACTCTGTGCCAGACAGGTGATAAGCAACATAGAAAAGATTATTGCATTAGGGAAATTATAAGCATGTTCTATAAGACAATAAATGAGTAAGCAATAAATAAACTAGATTATTTCAAATGTTGCTAAGTGCTATGAAGGCCAGATATGACAGAGACCTAATGTGACAGAGAGTAACGGAAATGGAAGAGTTTTGGACTGGAAAGTGAGGAAAGGCTTCTTTGAGAAGGAGAAAGGCAGGCAGACAATGGAATGGTAAGAAGGAGCTAGTCTTTGGGAGAGCATTCCAGATCCCGAAGCTGTAATGAACTTGGTATTCCGGGGAAACAGAAAGCTAGAGAGGCTGAATTATACTAAAGGAGGAGGAGTGTGATACAAATTAATAATACTATAGCTGGTCCCTGGACTAATAGAGGAGAGAAACTAAGAAGAAATTTGAGAAATAAGAATGCCCCTGAGCACTCCTAAAAAGATTCTTTGATTAAATGAATCTGAGACAGATAGAGAATAGAAAAAAGTCATTCTTAGTTATGTGTTTTCATCTTCCTATAGTTGGGATTGTCTTCCAATTATAAAATTAGCAGCTCTTTGTCAAAAGCTTTATCTGCTTGGAAACATTTTATAAACACCTCCCAGTGTTCTTTACATCACCTAAATTGCCCTCAAATATCCTCAACATCATGTAAAACGTGATGTTATTCTGTACTTCCTTGCCACAACTTGCTAGAGTCCTGATAGAGACAGAGCCCTAAACTCTAAGAATGTCAAGGTGGGAAGGAAGCTTGATCGGCTGATCTTGTGTTTGTCAATGAGGGGCATGCATCAGAATCCTTTATGGAACATTTTAAGATTATGCAACTGAGCTCCACTTTCTAAGACTATGATTCAGACAACCTAGGCATGAGATCTAGTAGTGTATATAGCAATTAAACAGTTTTAAAGCTAGAAGTGTTACATATTCCTAATTGAGAGACTCATTTTTCAGTAATAAAAAGAGCAACCAGAGTTAGAACCAGAACTTTTACCTCCTGATTTTGAAGTTTTCATCACCTTCCCCCCCAATTGTACATTTTATTCTTCCTAACAGTCTGTATTGAATAGTTACAAAAAATGGACTTATAGCCCAAAGATTCCCACTTTAATTTTCTTTAGCATCTTTGGATCATGCAATTTTAGAGTTAGAAATCTTTGCAACATCAGTTATCAGTGTGGGCAGTCAAAGAGAAGAAAGGAAGAAAAAGGACTTGAGTAGTCCAAATAGATGAAATTATTTCCCATGGTCATGCAAGTTTCCCTTAGGCCTACTCTAGGCTTTTGACCACTTTTGTAACTTTTCATAATGACCCAGTGTAGAGAAAAAACATGACATATATTTGACTAGTATGGAAACATTTGTGGATTGAGGAAGTGGAGAAGAAATGGTGTTTACCCTTCAACAAAACCTAATTATAATTATGCTTATTAGTTAATGTGCATAATGCCATTCTTCTTTTACCTAGACAGGGACTAAACATTAATTTTTTTCTGAATGAATAATTCTCACCTTGTGTCTGAATACTTAAAGTGACTTAAAATATAGAGGGTTTTCTATGCTGGACCAAATTTCCTAGTCTCTTTTTGGCTGTCACTTGTCCCTGCCTCTGAGAAATGAAGTATAAAAGCAGCTAAGAGTCTGCTCATTCCTCTGAAGCCAGAGGTAGAAGCTATTTGGAAGACATTTTGTTTCATCTCTTTTTAAACTTCTTTAAAAATATTTCTAGAGAGGGTAGCTAATAATAAGATAGGTAGGTGGACGCCAGGGAGTTAACTAAAATGTTCAGAATAGCACTGAGTACAATCACATTTAAAAATAGAGAGAACAAGCCAGGAACAAAACCCCACTAACTCAGTATATCTAGTTCAGATGTGGCTAATGTCCCTATTTAGCATCTTCAAGTTGCTCACATTTTCCTCAGCAAACTAAGAATGCGTCTCTAGCACTGCGGAGCCTGCCAAGTCCAAGGACATGGGAATGTGAATTATCAAACAAGCTGGGGATGAAAGGTGCTGAAATCATCTTTTTAGAATATTGCCAAAAAGCAGCTTGAGTTTTTAGGGTGCTAATTGCTGAAATATGTTTTAACTTCCGAATTCATTCTAAGCTTGTGACCCACTAACCAAAAAGTAAGAAGGATGTTGTCAAAAAAAAAAAAAAAAAATTTAAAGCCCAGCAATAAGAGGGAGCAGGGTAAGGAAGGCTTCCTGGAAAGCCACTTTATACCAAAAGAAGTGTATTTTATATGTGCCATATGGCTACACAATTATAATTGACCACCACAGTAATTCAGTCCTTTACTGATTTTCTCAGCCTATGTCTTTTCTGAACAGGGATAGGTTAGCCACGATCTTGAAAGTGAGGCAATTTGATAGCCAATTTGAATTCATTGTTCTTCTTATTACTGTATCTCTTAACTTTTCTCAAAAGTTATATATGCCCTTTACCTCATTTCAACCTCACAATAATTTATTAGAGCAAGTAAATATCTCTATGTTTTTCTGCAGATGAAACTGAGGCACACAGAGCTGGAATAAGTTGCCTTAAAAATAATATCTCTTGTTAGGGGCAGAATCTGAGCTGAACTGGAATCTCTTGCCTCACTGTGAGACTATTCCAATCCATACCACTGTCACTAGCCTTAAAGGTTCCAGGAATATATTACAAAAAGAACTTGGAGAAGTTTATTTTGATTTTTGAAAGAAAGCTCCAGCTAAATGATATTTCTGAAATAGTTTATTAGACAGCTCTGTGAGAAAGGAGCAGTACCAGATAAGGGTCTCTTTCAGCATTATGAATTTAATATCACAGAGGGATTTGCAGGATGAAATTATCCAGATTCACTGCAGACACAAGCAGGCAGTCACTAAATATATGAATTAATGCTCAGCTCTGGATTGAGTAGATATAAATCGAAGTGTTACTAGTCAAATATACCTGAATGCCTTATTTCTGTTTAATTTATTGGAGAAGTTTCATTTTAAATGTGACATTTCCTCATAACACTTTCTAAAAAAGACTTCTGAGGCATTTTCACACACAAGATATGGTACTGGAACTTCACTTTGAAAAACACTCTTTCTAAAGCAAAACTTTAGAATTGATTAGTTAAAATAACATATGAAAGGACGGAACCAACTCCCAATTACCAATAATAATTAACTTTGTATTTTTGTAAGATCTGTGTTTAAATTTTATTCCAAAGATAGAGGCTCTGTTATTTAGCTAAAGAAAAGGTAGGAAAAATAGCTGGTTGAGAGATCTCTATATGTTCACACTTTGATCCACCCTTTCTGCTCCCAATACATAATACCAGGTAAAATTTGAAAGGAGAAGACCAAAATATATATCTCTGCTTTAAAAGAAGACAAACACGGCTGGGCGCAGTGGCTCACGCCTGTAATCCCAGCACTTTGGGAGGCTGAGGCGGGTAGATCACAAGGTCAGGAGATCAAGACCATCCTGGCTAACACGGTAAAACCCCGTCTCTACTAAAAACACAAAAATTAGCTGGGCGTGGTGGTGCATGCCTATAATCCCAGCTACTCGGGAGGCTGAGGCTGCGGTGAGCTGAGATCGTGCCACTGCACTCCAGCCTGGGCAATAAGAGCGAAACTCTACCTCAAAAAGGAAAAAAAAAAAAAAAAAGACGACAAACACTTCTTGGAGACAGTGGAACAGAAGTGCAAACTGGTGAGTAGAACTGAGGCCTGTTGAACTTAGGAGTTCAGGTACAGGGGAACAAGGTGGGTTAAAAGTGTTTCATCTGGGGCAATAACAGGACATGGGAAGTGGATTCACTGCTTCAAGCCAGGAGCTTAGGCAGGAGCCCACTGCCCCATTCATAAAATGAGGCTAAAAAGAAAAAAAAATAGAAAAGGAACAGTTGCTACACACTTCCCGAGGAGATAGGAGGGCACAAATGGAGTCCCAAGATCAGGAATGAACAAAACTGTGTAACTTCTCCTTGGACATGTCTACCATGTCCTTAATATCTCCACCGACCAGGTACATGAAAGGATCATTGAAATACTTGGTTCCAGATCAGAAATCCAAGGAATTGTGCAGGGTCAACCATAAAAACAATTAGAAAGGTAAATGAGGATGGGTGCATAAGAAGCTTAAGGAAGAAAACAAAGTTAACAAAATAGTTTCAACACAAAGTAAGTCAGAAAACAAACATCTCAAACATATAAAAACATCTAAGTTTAAAAGAGATTTTTAAAATGCTAAAGTATTTGATCAGAAACTCTGAAACCTTACTACATAATGTATCATCCTTGGACTAGAAACATCAACATCACCTGTGAGTTTGTTAGAAATGCAGAATCTCAGGCCTCAGCCCAGACCTAGTCAAAGTCCACATTTTAATATAACCACCAGGCAACTCATATGTACATCAGTGTTGGAAAAATGCTGCTAGAGAAGATAATATATTTGTTAAATTGTCTGACAAATACTTTAACATAAATATCACTACATTTCTCTGAGAGATGAAGGAAATAAGTTTCACTTAAGAAAGAGCAAGTAATTAAGAAACAAAAAGAGGCAAACATGATATAGTTGCTGGTGGATAAAAAGAACCAGCTCAGAGTCTTGAAAGTCAGAATTACAGTCTCTGGGGGGAAAATCAATAGCTTGTATGTACTGTTAATAGATATAAGTGAAAAACATTAGTGAAATTCATGAATTAAATACTGTTATAGGGTATTTATACGAACATGGTCTGAGAGAGAAAGAGAGACAGAGAAGTTGAAATACGTAGACTGAAAAACTCAAAACTCCAATTTATACCTAAAGTTCTAAACGAGACTGAAAGGAATAGTAAGAGTATTATGTTTTGAAGTTATAATTTTTTAGAATCGAAAAAATATATATAAGACTTCACATTGGGAATATATCCTGAGTACTAAGTAGAATAAATAAAATGAATCCACATTTAGAAACATTGCAGTTAATCTTCAGAACATCAATGATAATGAGCAAATCTTAAAAACAATGAAGAAAAGAGAGATGACCTAAATAGAAATAATAGCCTATAACATGTGAGTCATCAGCAATAGACACAAAAGGGTAATAGCTTCCACATGCTAAGGTAACACAACTGATGCCAGTTGGAGAGGATTTCATTATTGTCTTCATTTTTCATTCTTTCCTCTAACCATGCCCTGGGCCATGTACCTTTGCAGTTTGTCTCAGTAAACAGATGGAGTATATTTCCTTGGTCCTTGACTTTGGGTACAGCCATGTAACTTCATTTGGCCAAAAGGCTGAACTGGAAGTGACAGCATGCCACTGCGAAGCCTGGGTTTTAAGAGGACTTGCTTGCTCTTATGTGTTCCTCTCATATTCATGGGATAAACATGTCCAAGCTCTCCTACTGGTCACACAAGGAAGATGAGGGACATAGGAAATACATGAAGTAGAATAGCCCCAACTAAGCCACCTGACCCTCAGATGCATGAGCTAAATAATTGGTTACTGTTGAGACTGTGAGTGTATGTTACACTGTAACAGCAAACCTATATGCCCATTCAATTATATAATTGAAGAATATGCACAAAATAATGACATTTTGCACGGAAAATAGTTTCTCAATCATAGACCCTTACCAAAAGTACTATTGAAGTAGTGGGATGGAAAAAAAAGATTTAAAAAGGTAAAAGAAAGTGAAACTAAAGGGGGAAGCATGAAATACAAGAAACACTGAACATGGAGCTTTATAAAATATTGGTAAATTTAGCACTGACTATGTGTATCTTTAAAGGTAAAATTAAATTCTGAAATATTACAATAAGATTGGACTGTTGGGTGTCCAGTTGTTAAAGTATGATGAAGTCTGTGTCACACTAAGAAGGAGAATAGACATACTGAATAATTTCAATTTTCTTGAGAATAATTAAAATTAGTATGTAGGCTAAAATTTAAGAATAAAAGGAAATGCCATGTAGTGCTTCCAAATAAACAAATGAGCAGAGGATTTTGAAAATTTAATTGAACAAAAGATGTAAAAGAAGAAAATCAAATCAAAAGTAAAGAATCAAAGAAAAAATCATATGATAGAGATGAGTCTAAAAACTTGTAATAACCTCAAACTATTAAAAATCAGATCATTGTACAACTGCCAATTAACATATTCAACTTTCACTAGCTAACAGGAACATGCATATAAATCCACAGAGATAATAGCATAACAAAACAAAAATGACTATAATAAAAGCACACTCATCACAAGCAGAATATTTAAGCCGAATGATATCAAGTATTGATAAAGATTTGGAGAAATGTAGACACCTTATACACCGCTTGTGAGAATGTTGAGTCAGCCAGTTTTGAGACCAATTGAAATTATCTAGTAACATTGGTGATTGAGCAATTCCACGTCTCAGACTATACCAAAGAGAAATTGTAGCGCATTTGTACAAGGGAACATTTAAAGCATGTTTGTTACAGCATTGTTAATAAAAGTAAAATTTGTAAGTAACTTAAATATACATCAGTGGTAAAATAGGTAAGCATTTTTTCTTTTATTCATGTGATTGACTACTATTCTGAAGTTGAAATAAATGGGTCAGGTATTCATTTGATCAAAGCTCAAAAAAAGTAATGTTATAAAAAAAGCAAATTGCAGAATAAAATACACGCACAATGAATACAGCTACATAATATTTGAAAAGATGAAAGACAACACTTTATATTGTTTATTATACATATGTGTGTATATATATGAATGTGTGTGTATATATGCATAATAAACAACAAATTCAAGAAAAAGGTTTTCTCTGTGAAAGGAGGGGAATGAGTTTGGGGAGGTGGTCATAAGGAGCTTTATTTGTAAATGCAGCATTTTACTTTCATAATATTTCATATTTTAGTGTTTGACCATTTCACAATTTTTAAAAATAGTAACAAGAGCTGAGGGAAGTCAAAATGACCATGATTCTTGTATTAACTTACTCGTTACTGCCAAAAGTCTAATACTGATTTTAAATAAGAAATGTATTTAAATGTCTCATATTTATTAGAAACATTTATATTTTTAGCATTTAGTGCCCAGAAGACCATATATCAGGCACGGGAAATACAATGAACAAGAAAGACACGATTATTACCTCTGTAAAGCACTGTCTAGCAATATTTGAATGAAAACACATCCTTTAAAGCAGTGGTCCCCCACCTTTTTGACATCAGGGACCAGCTTCGTGCAAGACAATTTTTCCATGAACTGGGCAGGGGAGGCGAGTGAATGGTTTTGGGATGAAACAGTTCCTTGGCTCATCAGGCCTTAGTTAGATTTTTGTAAGGAGCCACAACCTAGATCCCTTCACAATAGGGTTCACGCTTCTATGAGATTCTAATGCTGCTGCTGCTCTGACAGCAGGCAGAGCTTAGGCGGTAATGCTCACTCACTAGCCACTCATGTCTTGCTGTGTGGCTTGGTTCCTAATAGGCCAGGGACCGGTACTGGTCTGCAGCTTGGGGACCCCTGCTTTAAAACAGTTATTTAGAACATTTTGGGCACTACTAATCTTTTGCAAAGTCATTTATTCATGCAACAGTTATTATTATATCCTATCATGGGTCCTTGTTTCTTGAGATACAGGTGTGAACAGCAACAATAATGATATTCATTGTAATAATGATAATGGTAATAATACCTAACATTTCATAAGTGCTCACTATGTGGGAAGCACTATTTAAGCCATTTACATGTGTTTGTTTATTTCTGACAATACCTACAAAAAGAAAATACTGTTATTATTATTCCAGAATAGATGTTCAATCTCATTTTTATTTCTGATAGCCAGCTTCACATATCTAAAGTTGTCTGAAACAGATTCTTCTGAAGTGTGTGTGTGGGGGTGGGAGAAATCCTTCGACCACCTCCACATACTCTGCCTTTATTTACTCTGAAGTGTGGTGGGGTTTTTTTTCCAATTTTTAAATGGAAACATTGTAATTATACATATTTATGGAATACAATTTGATGTCTTGATACATGTATATGTTGAATGTAATCAAATCAGAGTGGTTAGCATCTACATCACCTCATGCATTTTTCATTTTTTGTGCTGAGAACATTAAAAAACTTCTTTTCTAGCTATTTTGTAACATACCTTACTGTTAACTATCATCACCCTACTGTGCAATAGAAACTAGAACTTATTCCTCCTATCTAACTGTAATTTTATATCTATTGACCAACTTCTCTCCATCTTTCCCTCCCCTTCTCCCTACCTAGTCTCTGATAATCACTGTTTACTTCTATGATATCAACTATTTTTTTCTTTAGATTCCACATATGAGTGAAATAATATACTATTTGTCTTTCTGTGTCTGGTTTATTTAACTTCAAATGATGTTCTACAGCTTCATCTATGTTCTCACAAATGACAGGATTTTTTTATGGCTGAATGATATTTCTTTGTATACATATACCACATTTACTTTATCCATTCATCTGTTGATGGACACTTAGGTTGATTCCATTTCTTGGCTATTGTAAATAGTGCTACAGTAAACATGGGAGTGAAGATATCTTTTCAACATACTGATTTCATATCCTTTGGATATAACCCAGTAGTGAGATTCTGGATCATATGGTTGTTCTATTTTTAATTTTTTTTAGGAATCTGTTTTGTGAAAACTCTGTTTTCCATAATGACTGTGCTAACTGACCATCCCACCAACAGTGTGTAAGTGTTCTCTTTTCTCCAACCTAGCCAACACTTGTTTTCTCTTCTCTTTTTGATAATAGACCTTTCCTACTGGAATGAGTTGGTCTCACTGTGGTTTTGAACTGCATTTTTCTCTGATAGGGATGTTGAACATGTTTATGTCTTCTTTTGAGAAACGTCTACTAAAGTCTTTGAACATTTTTAAATCAGGTTTTTTTTTTTTTCAATTAAGTTCCTTACATATTCTGGATTTTAGTCTTTTGCCAAATGTATAGTTTCCAAATACTTTCTCCCATTGTGTAGGCTGCCACTGCACTCTATTGTTTCCTTTGCTGTGCAAAAACTTTTTAGTTTGATGTAATCCCATTTGTTATTTTTGCTTCTGTTGCTTGTGTTTTTAAGGTCCTATTTTAAGAATCCTTGCCCAGACCAGTATCATAAAGCATTTATCCTAAGTTTTCTTCCAGTAGCTTCATAGCCGTGGGTTTTACATTTAAGTCTTTAATCCATTTTGAGCTGATTTTTTAAATATGGTGAGAGGTAGGGGTCTAGTCATATTTTTGTGTATGTAGCTATCCAGTTTTCTCAGGACATGTATTGAAAAGACTGTCTCTTCCCCAGTGTGTGTTAATGGCACTTTTGTTGGAAATAGGTTGGCTAGACCTGCATGAATTTAATTTTCAGCTATTTTATTCCATTTGTCTATGCATTTGTTTTTAATGGCAAAACTACGCTGTTTTGGTTAGTATAGGTTTATAGTATACTTTGAAGTCACATAGTGTGATACCTCCAGCTTTGTTCTTTTTTTTTTTTTTTTTTCCAGACGGAGTCTTGCTCTGTCACCAGGCTGAAGTGCAGAGGCGTCATCTCAGCTCACTGCAACCTCTGCCTCCCGGTTTCAAGCAATTCTCCTGCCTCAGCCTCCTGAGTAGCTGGGATTATAGGTGTGTGCCACCACACCCGCCTAATTTTTTGTATTTTTATTAGAGACGGGGTTTCACCATGTTAGCCAGGATGGTCTTGATCTCCTGACCTTGTGATCCACCTGCCTTGGCCTCCCAAAGTGCTGGGATTACAGGCGTGAGCCACCGTGCCCAGCTTTGTTCTTTTTGCTCATGATTGCTTTGGCCACTCAGGGTCTTTCATGGTTTCATATGAATTTTAGGATTTTTTTTCTATTTTTTTATTTTATGTATTGAATTCTGCAGCTCCCAAATTTCTGTTGGGTTCTTTTTTATGATACATATCTTTTTGTCGAATTTCTGATTCAAATAATGGACTGTTTTCTGATTTCACTGTATTCTTTTGTATATTACTGAGTCTCCTTAAGATCATCATTTTTAAAAGGCCAGGCATGGTGGCTCACACCTGTAATTCCAGCACTTTAGGAAGCCCAGGCAGGTGGATCATTTGAGGCCAGAAGTTCAAGACCAGTCTGGCAAACATGGTGAAACCCTGTCTCTACTAAAAATGCCAAAAATTAGCCTGGTGTGGTGGCACCTACCTGTAATCCCAGCTACTCAGGTGGCTTGGGAGTCTGAGGCATGAGAATCGCTTGAACCTCAGAGGTTGTAGTGAGCCAAGATCGCACCACTGACTCCAGCCTGGGTGACACAGGGAGACTCTGTATAAAATAAATAAATAAATAAATAAATAAATAAATAAATAAATAAATAAATAAAAAATATATATATATATATCCTCTCAGAAATTTTGTAAGTACGGTTTTCTTTGAGGTCTGTTTCTTGAGAATTATTGTATTTTCTGTGACTGTCAAATGTCCTTGCTTTTCATGTGTCTTGTATCCCTTCATCGATATATGTGCTTCTAGTGGAACGGTTGCATTTTCCTATTTTATAGAGTAGCTTTTGTAAGGAGAAACTGTTTCCTGTAGACGGGTCCTAGGCTGTTGGTTGGGCACGGTACTGACTTTGGTTCTGAATGGACAGCAGCTTGGTCACTGGACAGTCTCTTCAGCTGTAATACCCGTCAGTGATGTGTGCAATTGCCTAGCGGCCTGGGCTAGGGAACTATGCAACCAAGATAGCGCGGTTTGCTGGGGGGTGGGCACAAAGCAGGTTGCTGTCAGGCGGCGTGTGAGTGGGCATGGTGGGCCCATGGGCTGTGCGGTGGGCTTTCGGGGAGTGGGGTTCCTGCCAGTTTAGTTGTTGAGCCAGGTGTGGGCAGGGCTTCCGGCTGGCTGTTTGGCAGCTTTCCCCTTGTACAGGTCCACTTGCTCCCTGGGGATGAGAAGCACCACGGGGGTTCAAATACCGGAATCCCACGTTCTGATGGTTATATGCTCCAGGCAGCCAGGGACGTGGGTCTGCAGAATGTGGCTGAACAACGGCAGGGCCTCAGGATAGGGACAGGCTATGGCTGCCCGCCCCCATCGCAGGGGCGCAGTCAATGGGGCCAGTTTCAAAATGGCGCCAAGGCGAAGTGGCCTCAGTCGCGGGGGTGCGGGGACCACAACACGGGCTGCTGCTCTAGGGCAGTGCAGCTGCGTGAACTCCGGACACCCTTCACAGTCGATTCAGGCCCTGTGAGGACCCAAGGACTCTCTTAAACAAGAAAGGCTGGTGCCTGTGGTGGTAATGGGGACCGCTAGGACCTCCAGTTTATCTTTCCTCCAAAAGGTGACCCCCTGGCTCCGAGTCGACCCAGCGGATGCCTGGCTTTCTCTCTGTGGTACTGTTCTGGGCTTCTATGCTCCTCAGGGATTTTGCCATTCCCCTGGTTCTCTCCCGCTTACTTCCCCAGTCACTCCAGTCAAAATATACTGGTTTATTTGTTGTTTGGGTCGCTTTTTTGTCGGGGGGAGGAGTGCTAGGAACTCTAGTTGGCCATCTTGCTGACTGTGTGTGTGTGTGTGTGTGTGTGTGTGTTTTCTTCATTCTAGCAGATCTTTCTTTTTGTACTGAGCAGCAAGATCAAAGGAGCTCAGAACGTATTCGTACTTAAATACATCTTTTTTTTTTCCATATGTGCACCAGAGGCCTGTGGAAATATTATTTCAGTTGATTTCAATTATACCCTGAAGCTAAGGGTAGGGCATGGTACCACACAGTACAGTACCTTTAGAGTACAATGCAGAACTGCCATATTATTGCAGCTAGAAAAGTTTTCTTCTTTCAAAATATGGCTATAAAGTCATCTTAGGGAGATAAGTAGATTTTATTGTTTCATATAACAAGATAGTAAAATGTAAACAATAGTTGTCTTTATTTTGATGGAGGCCTAAGAATAGGTGGTATCCATACCTCCATTTCAAAACAAAATGCTAGATCCCTAAGCAAGACCTCCCAAGGAGAGGTTCTGAGCAAGCATTGCTGCTGTCAACTGAACCTCTGCTTCCAGGCTTTAAAAGGTATTAGGTAAATTGGAAGAATAAGGTTGTAAATTGGAGAAAAGTTTCTTTAAAGAGAGTTGTGTGTATTCCTCTTAACCCTTTCATCATAGTGGAAGAGAGGGGAGTCACCCTTTCAGCTTAAGCTAAGTGAGAGGGGTTTCAAGACCACTCTTCAAAAAGATTAACTAGTCTTTCATTCAGAATCTACTCCTGAAAAATTTTATAAAGGTGAGAGACTGAGTTGGCTAGTTTCTCTAATGGTAGAGCAAGGAGCCGTAGCAGCTTTCATGGGACTATCTGAAATAAATGGATGAGTTAGTGTTTTCCACGGGTGCAGGTGGGCATCAAATGGGAGAGAGACAGTTTGGATACAATTCAAAAAGACTCTTCCCAGTGTGGCACTGGGTGAGACCCGGAGAGACAGAGTTTGTGTAGAATAGACCATAAGAAACTGGGAACTGGTAAGGGGATAGTAAGCTGGACAAATTTTTTTTTTTTTGCCTGAATTAAAGGAATGAAATATAATAGTTCAGAAGTCTCCAGAACTGAAGGATCCCCCAAAGAATTTGTGAATATACCACAAAAAAAAAAGGAAATGACTCAAATTTAAAACATCTGCCCTCCCAGATGAAACCGATGCCAAATTATCTAGTTTCTAATCATGAGTGATCTTTGCTGTCCTTTACCACTCCCCCTTCCCTCCACTTTCAATACTGAAGGGGCCAGAGCTATTCACTGTGGAAGAGGAAGAAGCTCTATGAGGCTTCTTCCCTCAATCAGGCCTGGGGAGAAGATTTAATTGAAAATGAACTTCAAAGTGTTGACTGTTGAAAGCACAGGACATTTTCATTTCTGAGCTAAGGCTATTTTTTGTGGTTTAAAGATGTTTATGATATGAAAGTGATCATAAAATCATGAGATCACTGCTAGCTTTCACCCAGGAACAGGGAGGAACAAGCCCGTAGAGAAAGCTTGAGTAAGCAGTGGTCAGGGATTGGCAATGGAGGAGATAAAAAAATACATGTTTCCTTATCTACTTTTGAGTCTTGCTTGTTCAGTCAACTGACTGCTTAATATCTTTGACAGGGTAGTTTGAAAGGAGAGGTGAGCAAAGTTTCAGGAGTAGTGCAGATCTCTGGTGTCATCTATAGAGAGGAAGCAGCTCTGCAGAGGATAGTGGGAGAAAGCCTGAGGAATTTTTTAAGAACAGAGGTGTCTACGATTCAGTTTTAAGTCATGCCTGGTATTATACTATGCTATAAACCCCTCTATATACCCAGACACTGAGTAAAACTCTAGTCCTTCTACAGCCTCTTTTTCCTAACTGATGGGGGAATTACAGTCTGTGATACACATACCTTTGGATGAGCACCAAGTGGGGAGAGAGATCAGCTGCAGGTAAGATCAAGCAACATCTCAAATACAGCAGAAGCAAGAAGCAGGAGAAAAAGTTTACCATCAAAACTAAAGACTCAGAAAATCCCTGATCTTTAAAATTATTTTATTAATGGGTACCAGGTTTCCAGCATGCCTAGGATGAACTTATTTGTATTTAAAAACTAAAGAAGAACTGGACTCAGAATTCTGGAAAATTTAGGCATACCCAAGTGATTGTCACCTCTCTTAAAAAGATAGAAAATATTTTAGAACAATTATTAGTGAAGAAATAGGAGCAGATTTTAAGTCACTTCCTAAACAAAATAGAGTTTAATTCATGGTTGGCACATATGCCCACTTGATACTTATATTATTTAACATGTATTTGATCAGCCAGAAAGCAAATCAAACTGAAATTATTGAGTGATAAGGTACTTACTTATTTTTTCTTATGCTTTCAATAGTGTTTTGGCTGCTGTGTACTCTTCATGAGATTCAGAGATGCTAAGTAAAGCTAGTTTTCAAGTGTCACTGTTGGCAAGTGAGAGAGTCTTTTTATAGAAAAATCTGCTGAGCATTGACACTTAGACTGAAGTGTGTGTCCACATATTTGCTATAATGTGAATATGTCTTTGTTCATTCTGACTCACAGATCTTTCCATCAACAAAAGTGCTTTACAGATGAGCAATTCAAGATTGCAAACCCAAAGGTGCTATGTAAAACATCTTTTCCCAAGGACCACTGATCATCTTACCTGGAGAAACCAGTAAATCAGATGTTGCTATTTAGTTTCCAAATGTCCACAAAATGTTTATGCATTGTCATTGTCATTCTCATTCTCTGAGAACAATGTTTGCTGGAGACTGGAGATAGCACAAAATGCATCCAGAGTTTGCTCCATATGTCACTAACTCTTAGGAGAATCATCTCTTTTTTTGATCTAGTATGAGTATAAATTATGAGAAAGCTTAATTTCTTTTTGAGGATTTTATGAAACTCTACATTGTGAGCTGACCTTGGCCACTACGTTATTGATGATGATGTTTGTTAATATATTTTTTAAACCATAACTTCTCCACTCAGGTTCTCATATGGTACTGTCTTCCATTTTTAATAATAAAAGTAATTTCAAAATAGAAGTATTTGACACATTTCAATGCCTCAGAATTTATGACTATGTCCAGGTAGTCACACGATGGCAACATTTTTAATGATTTTTCTATAATTGATCAGACCAAAATGATATTCATGAACAAACATAGTTTTACATTCTGTCCATGACATTAAGTTCCAAATCTTAAAGGATTCAAGAGGTTGGCAAATTGTTAAAATAGTGACTACTCTAGCTAGAAGGCAACTTCCAGAAATATTTTTGTAAATATCAGAAAGTCTCTCAAACAACTGTAGGTTCAGTATTTTGGCTTGGGTATCTAATCCCCAAGCAACATAGGCCATCAAGGAAACAGCCTGCATTTTCAGACATCATAGTAAGGAAGAAGTTATACCTGTGGCCAAGTACTCACTTTCTTGCATTGCATGTCAAAAACTACCTCTCTTCAATTTAAAGGTGCCCTAGCCTAATTCAGCAGGTCTAAGGTCCTAATTTCTAATTTGCTAAGTAATTTATCACATATTACCTACACCCTCGCAAGTCAGATCAAGTGCTACACCAAATCATGACAATGAATTTAGACGTGGGAAACTTTGTGATTAATTCAGTGGGAGGATGTGTTGCTAAATATTGGAAATGTATCTTTAATTGGAAACATTAGGTATATACTCAATTATATAATCATTTACATAATATTGGTTTAAAAATTATGTAAACAGAAACAGGGCAAAGCCTAACATGTCTTTCCTAAAAAAAATTGAAATTAAATTAAATGCTACTTAGAATTTAGATTCAATTAAGACATCTCGTGGGTTATACATAGAGGTAGTTGGGAGCTCTTGGGAATTTTGCACAAATCTTTCCAGATAGGAAGATGTTCTGAAATAATAGACACCATGTCTATATTTAAGAAATACAGGAGATTTCCTCTTTATCTTAGCTACATAAGAGGACAAAGGCAGACAGAGAGCACATTATATCCCAACTGTTTGCTCAGCAAGAACCACTGGAACTTATAGATCACCACCTTGGAATCAGACAGTGTGGGTTCATATCCCTGCTCTGCCACTTGTTAATTACTTAGTTTTGATAAGCCTCAGCTTCCTCATCAATAAAATTAGGAAATTATAATACAGTAATAATAATTGTAACTGCCCCATAAATGTGGGGATTGATTGATTACCATCCTATTGGTGGTTATTTTTATTATTAAGACAAACAATGATATTTATAGTAAAGATGGTGATGATACAAACCCCTAAAGCAAGGTGTTGTACTCATCAAGCAGAAATAAAAATAAATTATGAGATGCGGGAAATTGAATATTGTAATATGTGAGCAAACAAAGAAGGTAAACTATTAATGAGGATCCCTAACAGTTAAATATGTGTATCTACATCTAATACTGTCTGTCGGGTAAAATACTAAGCACATAGTGCCAGACAGAAAGTATTTTTTTAAAAGCTATTCATTCATTTCCTTAATTTTCTCTCACATAATTATCTAACTAATAATTTAAGAATGAAGTTATAATAATAGAAACTAATCAAATACCAAAGTATAAGTTAATCCCTAAATCTCTTTGAATAAGCCGTGTAGTACAGTGACATTAGGACAATCTTTGAAAATAGATTTGAATTCAAATTTCTATTTTTCCTGTTATTACTTTGCATAAGTTACTTCTGAGTCTCACTATTCTCATTTATAAAAAGGGCAATCTAATACCCGCTTTGTTGAGCTACTATGAAGATTGGATGAAATAATGTAGGAACACTCTCAATATTGTATCCACTCATGGTAGAAATTCAATAAATGGTAGTAGTAGTTATTATTATCCCTGCGATTGATATTGTTATCATTATTATAATCAATAAATATATTACAGAAAAATTAATTCTATCATTATCAGGGATAAAAGCCTAAGAATTAAAACTGTGTTTATAAACTCAGCTTATTTTAGTGGCAGTAAACATTAGTGTATCCTTTAAATGAATTTTATTGAACATATCCTGTGTGTCAAGCACATGATGGTAAGCAAAATGAACTTGGTCCCAGCTCTAATGTTGTTTTAAATATGGTGAGGAGATTAAATACCTGCAAAAAGGCAACAAAAATAAATGGTAATTAGTGCTTCTCTTGAAAAAGTAGGGGTGAGACAAAACACTTAACCTAGACTTGTGAGGAAAAGCTGAGTTTGGGTATGGCACTGAGAGGCACCCAAGGAAAAGGAAGGATAAGGCTTTTCTAGAAACAACACTGAAAAGCCTCAGAAGCCACATAGATAGTGATACATTCCAGTAACAGAAAAAAGAAAAGTATGTTGAGATTTGTAGAGTGAAAAAAAAATAGTGGTAATAAATGGGGTTAGAGAGATGATTTTAAGCCTTATCATGCTAGGTTTTGTGAATATTAAGAAAAAGGGGCAGGGTGCGGTAGCTCACACCTGTAATCCCAGCACTTTGGGAGGCTGAGGCGGGCAGATCACCTGAGGTCAGGAGTTCGAGACCAGCCTGACCAACATGGAGAAACCCCATCTCTATGAAAAATACAAAATTAGTCAGCGTGGTGGCGTGTGCCTGTAATCCCAGCTACTCGGGGGGTTGAGGCAGGAGAATTGCTTGAACCTGGGAGGCAGAGGTTGCAGTGAGCCGAGGTCGTGCCACTGCACTCCAGCCTGGGCAACTAGAGCAAAACTCCATCTCAAAAAAAAAAAAAAAAAAAAAAAAAAAGGAAAAGAAAGAAAAAAAGGGACTCTATCTTGAAAGTAACGCACAAAGAACAAACAGAGTTTAATGCTCTTTTTTTGACAAAACTTGTTCAGAGGCACATTTCATAAATTCAGCATGCTTACATGAAACCCAAAGTTTGGTAGGTCTTGCCATGTAATGAGGCAGTAACACAGGTCACCAGAACTTGACGCTTTAAAACCTTTCAGATCTACACAATTCAATATTTACTTTAAATTTTTTCTCTTAATATCCAGGTGTGCCAATGGCTTTTCTAATAGGTTAATGGTGTCTACAGCCATACCACCCTGAACACACCCCATCTCCTCTAATAGGTTAATGGTGTCTACAGCCATACCACCCTGAACACACCCCATCTCCTCTAATAGGTTAATGGTACCTTCTTTCTCCTCAGATGGAATGTATCAAAAATAATATGGTTTCTTTTGTGAGTTGGGCTATCAACAGAACAGGGATAGACTGTTCAATTGGGAGCCACTCAAAATGGTGACATCGAGTTTGAGCACAAACAAATGCTGACCTCTGCCTTGGTTCTAAAATGCTGTTTCCTCTCTCCACAGCCAATAAAGCAATATTTTTATTTCCTTCAGTAACCCATGATAGGTTTCAGTGAGTGAAAGTACTTCTGCAACAAATTCCACAAGCAAGGAATTGAAGAAAATGGGAGGTCCTGTCTATTAGCTCATTTTAAGCCAAGGATAAAAGAAAAGTGTGGCTTTAAGAAGAAATAGAGACATTGGACCAAACTCTTTCTGGAGTTTAACTTTTAAAAAGTCCCACTTTCTGCTGATCTGGTTGAATAAAGCCTTTTGCCCTCTGCCTTGCACTTTTTTTGTTTCTTAATTTTTTTGTTGTCACTCTGTTCTACACACATGAACCACATTTGTTGTGAAATAGTCACTGATTTTTACAGGGGGAAAAAAAGCAACTATCTGACACATCATCAACATGTTGAGCAATTGATAAAAGTGTGGGACTTGGAATTTTGCTTTCTGAGATCTTATGTGTTAACTCACTTTAGAACACATGTAAACATATAATTTTCTGAAGAATATGATTCAAATCTTACAAAATTCCCTTTTCTAGTGTTCACAGTAATCAGATTATTTTATCTTTACATGCCACTTGTTTTTTTGTTTTCTGAATCATCTTAAATTTGCTTTTATACCTATTCTTTCTTTCAATCTCTTAAAGCCTTTTCATAAATTGTTAATATTTCCAATTAAGCTTTAGATTCTGTTCCAATAAACAGATTTGAATTGAGTTGTGAAAGACTTTGTTAATTCAATAAGGGTTATTTTCAACAGAAAATAATGGGAGATTCCTAACGTACCATATGATGGTATGCTTAGATTTAATATCAATACCTATACTGGCTAACCTCCCTTTTGCTGATGGCACCCCTTAACCACAAATTTGTTCCCTGTGTATTAAGGATAACTCAGTTGTTTCTGTGATGCCTAGAGAAAGAGGGGCATATGCTAGAGAACAATATACAGTTGGAAAAGCAAGGAACATAATTTTTCTCTTAGAAACTTCAGCTTTGTAGTAGAATTAACATTAAATTTTTACCAGTGGTCCTCAACTTTCTCCAAACATCAGGATCTTTAGTAGATTTTCTTCTTTGTCTAGTTTTAAAGCATATGCTTTCACTTCTCTTGTGACTTTTTCTCTTTAGGTTTACTCACTTTAAAAACTTATTTTAAATTTTACTTATTTTATTTATTTATTTATCCTTAAATTAGATTTTTATTTATCTTTTTTAGAGACGCGGTCTTGCTCTGTCATCCAGGCTAGAGTGCAGTGACGCAATCATAGCTCACTGCAGCGTCAAAGCCCTGGACTCAAGCCATCCTCCATTCCTTGGCCTTCCTAAATGCTGGGATTAAAGGTACGAGCTACTGCACCCAGCCTAAATAGTTTTTATTCACCTTAATAAATACAACAAATAATGGCTGCATCATTGGTCAAAAATTCATGGCTCCAACTAAGAAAAAAAAAAGAATAGACAGAAACAATCATAATTCAGACAGATTATATTAACAAATTAAAACTATCCTGATAAAACCATAATACTTGTATCATTAACTTGTAGTGGTTGATTGGATTAAGAATTGCCCATAAATTTAGTATTTTCCAATAATGTTACAAAAACAAGATAACCTTTAAAAGTTTACTTAAACTCTTCTTTAAGAACAGCTCTGCTTTATTTTTCCTTTCGTTTCTTATGAAATACTGAAAACATGGAGTAGTTTTCTCTCTTTGAATTTACCAAATATAGGCAATATTTCACTGAAGTGAACTAGAATTTATGATTTTAAATTCTCAAGAAATGAACTGACTTAAATTTACACAAAATAAGGAAAGGAAAAAATTAAAAGACCTGGTGTTCTCTCTCTCACATTTATGGCAGAAGAAAAGAGAAAAAGAGAAGAATGGGAAGCAGATAGTACTATCAGCAACCACCATTCAATAGTGTCCATGAAGACAAAGTTTTTAATATATTACCTTTCAAAGTTGTATTTTGACATAGCATCTATGACAAGAAATGAAAAAAAAATTGCATTTTATTTTCTTACTTTTAAAAGAAGTAGAACTATGCTGTTACAGAAAAGTGAATTGCTTCCTAGCTGTACGAGCATACTTGTGTTTAGGTTCTTTTGTTCATTTGGTGCGACTATGCTTATATTTCTTAGTTTTTACTGTCATAGTCACAGTGTCAGAGATAAATTGAAATTGTTTGCACCTAAAGAAGCTCCAGAAAAACAGAGGTGGAGATTGAAGAAGGGGAAAGGAAGAGAAAGCTAGAACTTTTTTGTAATTGTTTTTGCTCAAAGTGCCCTGATTAGTACAAATGAAATATGCTGTATTAGCCTTAGTTTATAGCTAAGAATTTCTAATGCTTCATAGCTTCTATATACAAAGAGAAATTGCTGTGACTTATCGATCTTTGTGAATTACTTAACTCTTCATAGTCTGGAACATAAAGTAGCTCCACAACAAAAAATTGCCCAATGTCAAAAGCAGACTAGAAACTATAGTGAGTCAGGGTGTTCTAGGTGCTTGATGATTGTTTATAATCAACTGAAAGCCTGATTACATGCTTTCTTCACACTTCAAGAAGCTAAAGAAGCTATGTTGTCAGATGAATTTCCAAACTGAAAGCATTCATTCACCTTTTGATTCTCTAAACTGACCCCAGTGTTTCTTCCAAAGTTACTCGGAAAAAATATTTCTAACCTTCTTTTCTCCTTCAGGTCATTTATGATATAGCCATCTGCTGCATTCCCTGTGTCTGGAGTTACCAAGCCATCCTTATATTATCTCAGTACCTGTGACAAAGTACCTAACCACTTGACTTTGTATTGCCCATTATGATTTTGGATTAACCAGGTGGAGTAGTGGAAAAGGTTAGGATATGCACAATGAAGTATTTAAAAATTAGAGAAACCAGAAGAAGAGCTTAGAATAAAATTCCTTAGTACACCTCATTTCCCCTTTTCAAACCAAATTAGCAATCCTTTATTCAACACCCTTTGGCCAGATGTGTTTCAGAATAAAGATTTTCTTTTTCAACTTCAGAAAAAGCAATATGGTGCATTCACTACATGTCAGGGAACACTCACAGTGGGTTCTAGGAGGACACTCTGTCATCAAGCACATTAACATAACTGCAACAAAGTAGTTTAATAATCACATAAAGTAGAATAAAGACTATCAATGGCCACACAACTGCTCTGGTCCAGTTTTACTGCCAAATAAATTATGAAATTTTTTTGGCTTTCAAAGCTATTTGAATACCAAATTTTGGATAGTGGATAGACTTATAATTATTTTTCCTCTTGATATTTTAAAGGCAGTGCTTTCATAGTAGCTGCAAATATTGATATACCATTACTGAAACAAAACAAACAAATAAACAAAAAACTTGTTGGCTTGATTCTTTTATAGTTATTTGATTTTTAAAAAATAACTCTTCAAGTGGTTTGAAAATTATGATACAGGGACTGGAGCAGCTATTCTGCACTTCTAAAAGATAGGACTGATTGAAGTGATATGACACTTCAGGAGATAAGATTAGGAGAACATTTACTAACCACACTGTACCTTTTGGAATTGTTAGACATTAAAGGAAAATGATCCTAGAAGATGAGAAAATAGTCCTCTCAATAGAAAGAGAAAACACATACAGACAATTGTGTAAATGGAATAATTATATTTGGTTTCTACTCAAGGGCATGAGCGCCCGTATATTTATAATACTGTGAATAACATTCTCAAACTATATATCCTGACTGTGACAGACCCATCACTGCCATTTCATTAATACCAATGATTTGCTTTTTCCTCATTTCATCCATATCCACCATCCAGAATGTATTCACACGATGCCTTAGGTATAAAGTGGCAGCTTGTCTACTCTTTTCAGTTACAAGTTTCTATATTTATTGACTTTACATGTGGTTAAATTGTCTTATTTAAGAAAAATATATTGTTGACAATAACAGTAATTACACAGTCATTGTTTCAATCTGGCTGTATAAATCATTGTGATTTAACCTACAGTAGTAATAAAAATAAATGATATTGTTTTTGGTTCATTACTGCTGATCTAATAAAATGTAATGAATTAAGAAATTTCCTGAGTGAAACAGTCTCATAAAAATAACAATTTACTAATGGTGCTGTAACATCCCATGTGAATGAATGAAGAAAAAAATAGCCATTTTAATAAAAATCTATCTTTAAGAAAATGTCTTCCTCATTTTTTTCATCTTCTTTCTTCTAGTCCAAATGCATGTTTTGATTGCATCCATAGGCATTATTACCAGGAACTATGGTCTCAAAATGATTGCTTGTTTATATGAAAATTTTAATAAAATTTCCAGGAACTCCTGAGTTTCTGGGTAGCCTGTATGAATTTAAGGAGAAAGGCACATTCCATTTTCTGGGAAGGCCTATGTGCCAAGAACTATTTCTTCTTAATGAGCCAAGAGTTATTCAGAAAAAGAACTACCCCACCCCTCCATTTGTGGTGTACTCTGGGAGGACCACTCCAACTTTCTCTTACTGGTGGCTCATTTCCAAACTTGCTTTCTCCCTCTCTTTCAGCTTCTCTCTTCCTTAACCTCTCTCCTCCCCTTTTGCACATGCACTCACAAACAGTAGCAGCAGGAACACAGACACTGCTCCTTTTCATACCAAAAATGAAGAAGCTAGTTGAAATGTATGTTTTAATATGGCTTTTACTTTAATTACTTGAATTTCATTCAGTATGATGTTTCTAATCCAACTATTGCCTTCCTTTATAAAAGACTGATCTTTTTTCTTATTATAAAAATAAGGCATGTTACTTGTGTAAGAAGAAAATAAATATCACTCAAAATTCCACTACTTTGAAAAAACTACTTTTAATATTTGGCATATTTACACTCTTTCATGCTACACATTCAGATGTGCAAAAAAATACTGCTTTGTTTTTCTTTAGTAACTACTTCACTCATGACTCAGAGTCCCTATTCCACCAGACTGATAGACTTGACCTTGGTTCTTCCTCAAATCCCCTATCTATCTACCCTAGGGTTCTGTCGTGGTTCCTAGATCATACACAGCAATAAGACATCAAGTGTCCCACTGGTCATTGGTAATTGATTTACACAAAAGACTGCTAAAAATTGATCAGGACTGATTATTTCTCTGATCATTGAAAAAGTCACCAATAATAAAAGTCATATGCAATGACACATATATACCTAAAACCATTTACTTTAACTGGAAAGAAAAGAAAACTGCCCAAACATTTGACAACATTTTGTCATGAGGCCAAGGCTTTACCTATGACTATGCTCATCCTTGTAGGAAGTTTCATATTACCTTTCCTGTGTAGCCTACACCTCCAGCATTGCTTTCTTAAAAGTGATGTGTAAAAATGTGAGTAATCTGAATAAGAATTTTTAATTTTCACATTACCCTACATATTTTAGTATTGCATCTCCTGTGCATAATTCTATAGCAATTTGTTTTTAGACTCACCTTTGTTTAATCTTTCCAAGCCACAGCTTTGTTTTTGCAGAATAACACTTTCTTTTCACACTCTAATTCTATCAGTGTATGTAAAATTTAATTAAGTTATTTAATTATGACAATATATTCAAGTGGCATAAAGGGATTTTTGCACATTTAATGTAACTCACTCTTGCTAAGCAAACAGTTTACCTGGTGAGAGTAAAGCAGTCTTTGCCTGATGGAATTTGGTGACTAATATTATGAAGAAAATAGTAATATTGGGTTAACCTGGCTAGTCAGTTAAATAAAGATCAGCTAACAAAATTCTATTGTATACTCCTCCTTAATTGAGTTATTGTTTTTACAGAATTCTGTCTTCTTCACCTAATATTATATTATCCATCTCATAGGTTGAAATAGCCTTACAACCCTGATTTCTAATACATTTATGGGATTTCTTTAAACAGTTACCTCAAACACAATTTAATCATTTTACTACTGATGAAAATTTCAAAATTTCAGGAATAACACGTTTCATATTGTTGTTAAGATAATTTTTAGAAGTGTAATTGCTGAAACAAATAGAATACATATTTTTAAGTATTCTTAGTACATATTTCCATATTACTCTTGAGCAAAAACTATTTAAACACCCATTTTTAGGGGTAGAGTACATTCATGGAACCCCTGGCCAGGCATTATTATTTCGTATACCTTTTATAATTTATAAGAAAAACCCTTCTCTTTATCTCCTAATTCTCATTTTTTATTATTTGTGAAGTAACATTGAAAACTGTATTGAATAGTGTCTATTCGACAACTTGTACATTTTTCTGCTGGAGTTTTTATTAATTTTCTTATGGATCTCTATATGCTTTGTTTATGTATGGAAGGTTAAAATCTTTGTCTGCTATTTTGCAAGGAACATTTTTTTCAGAAATTTTTATTTTTATTTTTATCTAATGCTGTTTTTAATGTTCAGAAATATTTCATATGGTTAAATTTGTCAACTTTCTCCTTGATGTTTTTTCAACTTACAGATTCCAGAATTTTTATCAAATAGACATCCATATATTCTACTCTAATTATTAAATGGTTATAGTGTTACATTACTTATTAAAATAGTAAATTAAGTATATTAAATGTTATTTCATTTTAGTTATTTAATTCACTTGAATTTTATTTTGCTTTATTTTAATTCAGTGTCACTTAGCTACTTGTAAGCATAATTGTTTTTGAACCAATGAATTGTGATTTCATGATTAACTATGATAGTGGTGATGGTTGCACAACGTTGTGGATGTAACTAATGCCACTGTATTGTACACTTAAAATAGTTAAAATGAAAAAGTCTCTGCTATGCATATAGTCACAATAAAAATTTTAAAAACAGCAAAACAAAATGAAAATATCTAAATTGAATACAACTAAGCAGTTCTTATTTTTTAAAAATTCACTCAATGAGTCATAAGTTCTTATTTTTACTTTTGCTGATTTTTTAAATTTTTTTGGATTTTCCAGAATTATGTTAACTTCATTGAAAGACATTTTACATGCAGTTAAATTCACTATTTGTGTGCGTGTGTGAAAAAGTCTATAAAGTTTGACAAATGCATACCATGGTATGACCACTACAACATTCAAGATGGATTCCTTATCCAATAAAACACTTCCATCACTCCCCTAAAAAGTTCCCTCAGGCCCCTTTGTGTCTTTTTAAAAAAATTGCTCATTTTTTCTAGGTGGTAAAATTTATTGGCATAGTTTTAAAATAATAATCCTTTACTATCCACTTCGTGTCTGAAATGAATGTAGATATTTTCCCTTTTCTCCATTTTTGATAGTGCTATTTTATGTATCTTTTCTTTCTTTTATTGTCATGCTGGCTACTGCTTATGAATTTTATTGATTGTTTTCCTAAATGATCAGCTTGGCTTTCATTGTCTTGTTTTTCTTTCATAACTTCTCTTATACCGATTACTATTCTTTCTTTTCCTTGTTTTTATTTTCATTTGCTCCATCTTTGTCTAGTTTATTCAGATGGAAGCTTAGATCATTGATTTGAGGACTTTCCTTTTTTCCAACATAGGCACTTACCTCTATACATTTTTCTTTATGTGCTGTTTTGTACATCTCACACATCTTGATATGTGGTATTTTCATTATTGCTCAGTTCAAAATTTTCTAATCTTACTTAGGATTTCTTATTGTATACAAAAATTAGTTGAAAGTATATCGTAAATTGCTTAATTTTAAAATATTTGTGGCTCTAGGCTATCTTATTTTTCAATTTAATACCCACTTGTTCAGAGAGAGAAATCTGCATCATTTCAATCTTTCTGAATAGAAACTTGTTTCATGTCCCAGAAAATGGTATATCTTGATAAACTTACTATGTGCACTTAAATGTGTTTTTTCTTGTTAAATTTAATGTTCTAAAAAATATCAATAGTCTAGTTGGTTGTGGTTGTTATTCAACTATTTTATGTCTTTACAGATTTTATTCTGTTAACCTCAACTGCTGAGAGATTTATGAGAAAAATCTCTAACTATAATTAAGGAATTGTCTATTTATTCCTTTAATTTATTAGTGTTTTTCATGCATCTTGAGACTATTATTGGGTGCCCACACATTTATAAATTGACACTTTTCACTAAGATGTATACTTCTTTATCTCTGGTTATATATTGTTTTATAATTTGTTTTATCTGATATTAATACAGCACTATAATGATCTTTTGTTTATTAAATTCATGATGTGTTTTTCTATGTATTTTCAACTGGAAAACTGGAAACAATATGCGTTATGGTTATTACATGATGAACATATGTGTAGAAATTTTTGTGTGATCAAGTTTTTTTACTTTTTGGAAATAAATGCCAAAATTACAATTGCTGTGTCATGTAGTAGCTGTATGTCTGATTTTATAAGAAATTGCAAATCCATTTTCTAAAGAGGCTATACCATTTTATATTCCCATCAACAGTGTATGAATGATCCAGCTTCTCTGCCTGCCACCTGATGCTGAATAATAAATATAGCTTCCACATAAATATTAGGACTTTTTTTAATAGTTGCAGGATCTACTTCTTTGTCTAACAAAATTTAGGCCTCTAACATTCTACTAGGCTCCTAGGAGTAAGGTGGGGATGTGGAATAACGACCTAGGAGTAAGGTGGGGACATAACATGATTCCTCCAAGAAGACATCATATAATTTTAACCCCAGAAATTATTGTACTATGTCATGTTCCTAATGCTATGTTTTAACCTGCTTCTATTATTATTGTATCAGTTATCTCCTCACTTTCCAGTGGTATTTTAAAAGGCACTGAAACGCTGTTACTGGGCCAAATTTTAAAAATTATCAGGGCCGGGTGCGGTGGCTCACGCCTGTAATCCCAGCACTTTGGAAGGCCAAGACGGGCAGATCACGCGGTCAGGAGATCGAGACCATTCTGGCTAACACGGTGAAACTCCGTCTCTACTAAAAATACAAAAAGTTAGCCGGGCGTAGTGACGGGCGCCTGTAGTCCCAGCTACTCGGCAGGCTGAGGCAGGAGAAAGGCGTGAACCCAGGAGGCGGAGCGTGCAGTGAGCCAAGATCGCTCCATTGCACTCCAGCCTGGGCGACAGAAAAAGACTCCATCTAAAAAAAATTATCAATGAAGTCTAATTTATTGATTTTTCTTTTTACGGATTGTGCTTTAGTATCATGTTTAAGGCATCTCGAATGTAACCCAGAGCCCAAAAACTTGATTCTGTTTTTTTTTCTAACTGGTATTATATTTTTAATTTCAGTGTTCATGTGTTTATTGCTATTGTTTTATTACTACATCTTTAACTTGTGTCTTGTGACCTTGATGAACTCATTTATTAGTTCTGAAACTTCTTTGTTTTGTTTATATTGTTTATATCTTAGATTCCTTGGAATTTCCTATGTAGACAATCATGTCATCTGCAAAAAGGATAATTTCATTTCTTCCGTTCCTATCTACATACTTCTCATTTCTTTTTCTTGCTTTATTACACTGGCTAGAGAGTCCAGCATTCTACTGAATTAGAATTCTGAGAGCAGACATTCTTGCTTGGTTAAAAAAATGGCCTACTGAGGTTTTCAGTACCTTTTAAAATACCAACTGAAAATAAGGAGATAACTGATACAATTATAATAGACACAGATTGAAATAAAGCATCCGAAAGCATTTAGTCTTTTGCCATTAAGTACAATGTTAGCTATAGATTTTGGTAGATGTTGTTTATCAACTTGAGGAAGTTCCCCTTTTCTCCTATTTTTCTGATAATTTTATTAATGGCTGTTGAATTTTGTCAAATATTTTTGCATTGGTTAAATGATTACATAATTTTGCTTTTTCAACCTGTTAAATGGTGGAATACATTGATTAATTTTTGAATATATAACCAGCCTTGCATCTCTAGAATAAACTTCAATTGGTAATGGTATGTAATCTTTTAAATGTATTGCTCAATTCTATTTGCTAATATTTTGTTAAGAATTTTCACATCTATATTTATACAGAATATTGATCTGTGGTTTTCTTTCTTTTTCCTTCGCTGTTATGTTCTGTGTTCTTAATGTTTCAGATTTAATTGTTCTATATTGTTAAGAGGTGTTAAACTTTCTGAATAAAATTGCATATTCATCTATTTCTTCTTTGGTTTGATCTGTTTTTCCTTTACATACTTACATAATATTGTCACTCTGTTGTTTGGTGCATACACATTTATGATTGTGTGCATATACATATATGCTATATATATATAGTATATATATGCTATATATATAGTATATATATGCTATATATATAGTATATATATGCTATATATATAGCATATATATATGCTGTATATATAGTATATATATGCTGTATATATACTATATATATGCTATATATATACTATATATATAGCAATCATAAATACATATTATTCTTTGTCTCTAGTAATATTCTTTGTTCAGAAGACTACTTTATCTGATAAATGATATTACCACTCCAGCTTTCCTTTAGTTACTATTTACATGATATATTTTTTCCATCATAGGTGGTCTGATTTCATCTCTTCAGATTTCAAAGTCTTATGTTTCTTTTATTAGGGATTTTAATTGTACTTACTGGGGTAAATAGGAAAAACTATCTTAGATTTTTCCATTCGTGCTTTTGAAAACAACATTATTGAAATATAATGCATATGCCAGAAGATGTTCCAGCGTAAGGTGTACAATTTAATTTTTTAGCATATTAGTAGAGTTGTGGAAAAGTCAACACAGTCTATACAACATTTTTATTTCCCATATAGTAAATATTGTATACATTATCAGTCCATTCATTTTCCCACTAACTTCCCCAGCCCTAAACAACTACTAATCTATTTTCTTTTCTTTGTTTAACAAATTTGCCTATTCTGGTCATTTTATATAAATAGAATCATACAGTGTATGGTCTTTAATAACTGTCTTTTATCATTTAACTCAATGTTTTCAGTGCTAATCCATGTTGTAGCATGTACCATTACTTCATTTCTTTCTATTGCCAAATTATATTCCATTGCATGGGTATACTACATTTGATTTATCCATTCATCAGTTGATGGACATTTTGGCAGTTTCCTCATTTTTGCTATTTTGAGTTATGCTGTTATGAATATTCATGTAAAAGGTTTTGTGTGGACATATGTATTTACTTTTCTTGGGTAAATACCTAGGGGTGGAACTTGAGAAATGACAAATTGTTTTTCAAAGTTACTATACCATTTTATATTCTCACCAATAACGTGTTGTGGTTCCAATTTCTCTACATTCATGCCAACACTTTTTATTGTCTTTATTGTTTTTATTAACTCCACCCTGGCGAGTATGAAGTGATATTTTATTGTGATTTTGATTTACATTTTCATAATGACTAATAATTTTGAGAAATCTTTTCATGTGCTTATTGACGATTCATATAGCTTCTTTGGAGCAAAATGTTTATTCAAATCCTTTGCCCATAATTTAATGAAGTTGTCTTTTATTACTGAGTAGTAACAGTTTTTTTATATAATGCGAATACAAGACTGTTATTAGAGGAAAGCTTTGAAATATTTGCACCCATACTGTAGGCTGTTTTTTCGTTTTCTTAGTGGTATTATTTACAGCAAAAGTTTTACTTTTTGTGCAGTTGATTTATTTATGTTTCTTTTGTCATTTGTGCTTTTGTTGTTATGATAGAGAAATCATTGCCCAATCAAAGGCCACAAACATTTATTCCTCTGTTTTCTTCTACAGTTTTATAGTTGTAACCTTTACATTTAGGTCCAGGATCCATTTTGAGTTAATTTTTTTGTATAGTGTAAAAATAGATGCCCAACTTTGATCTTGTGCATAGAGACATCTAATTGCATTGGCACCATTTGCTGAAAAGACAATTCAAGACACTAAATTGTTTGACACTCTTGTCAAAAAACAATTAAATAAATATAAGGGTTTATCACTATGATTTCACTTCTGTTCTATTAATCTGTATGTCCATCCTTACGCCAGCACCACAGCTGACTCTCTTGATTACTATAGCTTTGCACTAAATTTTGAAGTAGGAAGTGTGAATATACCAAACATGATCCTTTTTAGATTGTTTTGAATTCTGGGTCTCTTATCTTTATATAAATTTTAAGATAAACTTGTCAGTTTCTGTAAAGAAGACGGCTGAGATTTGATGGGGATTGCACTGAATTCATGAATCAATTTGGGGAATATTGCCATCTTAACAACTTTAATTCCTCCAACATATAAACACTGGCTCTTTCCCTTCATTTAGGTGTTCTTTAGTGTTTTCAGAAATGCCTTCTGGTTTCCTGAATATAATTTGTGTTCTTGTTTCGTTAAATTTTTATTTTATTTATTTATTTATTGAGACGAAGTCTCACTCTGTCGCCAGGCTGCAGTGCAGTGAGGCAATCCCGGCTCACTGCAACCTCCGACTCCCTGGTTCAAGTGATTCTTCTGCCTCAGCCTCCCGAGTAGCTGGGATTACAGGCACATCCCACCACACCCAGCTAATTTTTGTAGTTTTAGTAGTATTAACTTTAATTATCAAAATGTTAACTCCTTTTGTATAGACATATAATCTTTTGTACTTTCTTCTGTCCTACTCTTGCTGAACTCATTTGATAGTTCTAACAGTGTTTTAATAGATTTATTAGATTTTTGTATATACTAGTACATTTAAATGCAAATAGAAATTGTTTTATTTCTTCCTTTCTATTCTGAATGCATTTTGTTTTTAATTTTTAAAATTTTTAATATTTTTTCACTCTGTTTACCTAAATGCTTTGGCTAGAATCTCCAGTGTCATATTATATAAAAGTGGAAAGGGCATATATTTTTATCTTTTTCATTGTCTTTGGAAGAAATCTTTCACCAGCAAGTATGATGAGACTTGTGGGGTTTTTTACAGATGCCCTTTATCAGATGAAGGAGGTTCCCCTCTATTCTAGTTTTTGACAGTTTTGATCGTGAAAGGTTGTTACATGTTGTTGAATGCTTTCTCTGCATTTGATTATGATAATTATATAATTTTTGTTCTTTTTTTCTATTAATACGGTGCATTATATTAGTTGATTTTCAGGTGTTAAATCAGCCTACATTCCTGGGATAAAGCCCATTTGGTCATAGTATACTACCCTACTTATATTTTATTGAATTTATATATTTTATTGAATTCTGTATGTATATTTATAAGGAATATTGACCTGCAGATATCCTGGGATGTTTTGTGTAGTTTGAGTGATATTGACTCATAAAATGAGAAGTATTCCCTCCTCTTCTGTTTTTTTAAAAGGTTTGTGAAGTATTGCAATAATTTAACTCATGAAATTACAAAAAGCAATTATTAAAATCTTCTGGAAATTGCCCTAAAGGCACACAGCAAATAGAGAAATATACATCCAAGAAAATCTACTAAACCTCAATGGGAACATCAAGAGGCTGTGGCATGTAAAGCATGGTTTTCTCATTATCTATTCCTAGCCCTGTGTTACAGAAGTTCTACCCCAGGAACATGAAGCCAAGAAGATGGTTCTTCCTTCCCCACCAACTCCCAGGCTAAGGTGATGATTCACCCCACTCCTCCTACTAAGCCCTGTGCTGCAGGAGCTTCACTCCAGGCAGGCGTAGGTGAGAGGAACAGGCCTCTTCTCCACCATTCAGCTTCTACTTGAATAACAGAAGTTCTGCCTGAAGTACATCAGGCTGAAAACACTGGGGCCCTGGTCACCTCCGCAAAGCTCACTCAAAGGGTAGAAGTTTCACGTCAGCAGAAGCAGGCAGAGAAGATTAGAGAAGCCCACCCACCCCTCAGTGCCGCTCATGTTACCTCAAGGAAAACAGGTAACAGGCCCTGGCTCTGGTGTTGTTCTGCAGGGGAGGAGAGAGACAGGAGCCTCTAAGGACAAAAATCTCCACAGCTCTGTCTGAGGGAACTAATTTTATTTACAAAAGAGTACAGAACTCCATGTATAAGAATGTTGTAAAAAAAATAAAAAAGGTCATCTTGGTGAAGAATTAAGAGGAGCCTGGTAGCTATGATACAAGCAAAGCAGCAGAGCAGCGAGAAGTGTAATAGATGCCAGCAAGAAGAAACCTCCTGTGATCATAGACAACTGTGGAGGGTTAGAAGGCCTCTGTGCGTATGCTAGACTGCACCCATTCAGAAGCAATCAAAGCAGGACATTGGGCAGATGAGATAAAGTTCCTCAAGCCATACACAGAATCATCAACATAAGGCTGAAGCCACACAGCTTAAGAGGCTTTAATACAGCCTCTTACCGAACACTGAGCAATAAGCTACCATGACCCAGCGGTAACTCACAGAAAGCTAGATTTAGAAATAAAACTACACTCATCCCTAGCAGGTGCATATGCAAAACTATATACACCCTTGCCGTAGAAATCAGAGGGGTAGGCTCTAAGCTTCTAGTTTCTGGTTTAACATGAAGAGGAAAATAGACTCTCTGAACAATTATAGCAACTTTTTTTTTTTTTTTTTTTTTGAGACGGAGTCTCCCTCTGTCGCCCAGGCTGGAGCACGATCTCGGCTCACTGCAAGCTCCGCCTCCCGGGTTCACGCCATTCTCCTGCCTCAGCCTCCTGAGTAGCTGGGACCACAGGCACCCACCACCAAGCCTGGCTAATTTTTTTTTTTTTTTTTTTTTTTTTGTATTTTTAGTAGAGACAGGGTTTCACTCTGTTATCCAGAATGGTCTCGATCTGCTGACCTCGTGATCCGCTTGCCTCGGCCTCCCGAAGTGCTGGGATTACAGGCGTGAGCCACGGCGCCCGGCCAATTATAGCAACTTTTAAGCCACACATCCAATGATAAAAGATAAAAATCTAATTGCCCAAATGTACATAAACCTCTCCTTTGACCAACAAGTGGCTTATGCTGGCTCATGAAAAAACCTTATCAGATAACTTTCTGGGCTGAGCTCAAACTGCAAACTCTTTTTCCTGTGCAGCAGATGCAGCCTCTGTTCTGATCTGGGTTTAGGTGGGCAGCCCAGATGCTGTTTCTCACATGCATAGCTCAAGTCTCAGAAGAAGACGTGGGTAGACAGAGTTTGGGTTTCTTCTCTCTGGCTCTTTCCCTTATGGGATTATTCAACTCTCTTCAGCATTCAAAATGTCTTAGTTTCTTCTTTCTCCTTCCCCAGGCCGGGAAGATTGAAAGCTTTTCCATGTGTGACCTTGTCTTTTCTGCCTGTACATCTTGCCTGGTACCTAGCCACCGACTCAAGGTCACAGGGGTGGGAACTTATATAGCTGCCTGTTCTCCTCCTCCAAGCAAGTATGAACTCCCTCCCTAAAACAGCCTGCTTCTGTTGCCTTTCAAATATGTTCAGGTAGCCAGCTTTTGTAGCGTGTCTTGATTTTATTGTCATTTTCTGCAGGCAGTATTCTCTAGTAGAGTCCTATTATGTCATAGACAGACACGGAAAACTCTTATGGGAAGATTTGTAAACAAAATTCAATTTCTTTTATAAGGATAGTGCTTTCATAGATGCGATGTTTAATAGTAATATAGCATTAAAAATTAACGTTAGCATGTTGTACCTTTTCTCGTTGTTTTACTTTCAACTTTTCTGTGATCTTGTATTTAAAGTTTTTGGGGTTTTTGTAGCCAGTAAGTAGTTTGGGCTTTTTTTTTTAATCCAACATGGTAATGGTTGCTCTTGTAGTTGTTTGAACCATTTTCTTTAATGAGATTACCAATAGGGTTCAATTTAAATCTTGCTATTTAAATTTTTTCAATAACTGTTTTCTCTTACCTCTTTTCTTGTCTTGATTTGTGTGAATTAGTTTTATGATTTCATTTCATCTTCTTTATTGGCTTATTAGCTATGTGTCTTTAAAAAAAATGCTTTCAGTATGGCTCAAAAACCTTAGAGATCAACACTTTCATTTCTTTACTCCCAGCCTTTGCTTTGAACAGTGAGTTTTCTCTAAAATGTTTTTTGAAAAAATGTTTTAGTTTTATATTTTTCTACCACTTAATATTTGTCTCACACATTTGTCACTGCTGGCTTGCTTTCTACATTTGTGTAGATATCTGCCATAATTTTCCTTAATGACTTCCTTTAAAGTTTCTTATAGTGCTGGCCTGTTTGTCATTTTTACCTTTTACCATTGGAAGTGTGGCTTGAAAGTTGCTATTATTGTTTAGGGAGTCCACTTTTTTTTATCCGCATAGTCATCAAGAAACTAGAAGCTTGGAAGCTGCTGGTGGTGAATTTTCTCAGCTCCTGCGTGCCTGAAATTTTGCATTGATTTTATAAAATTAATTTTTGTGAATGTAGTATGCTAGTTTTTCTTCTCCTCTATCCCCTCTTCTTCTTCTTCCTTTTTTTCTCCTCTTCCCCTTTCAGTCTTCCTTTTTTACCTCCTGCTCTTTCTCTTTCTTCTCTACTGCCACAATTTTCTGCTCCTCCTGCTGCTTCTCCTCCCCTTCCTCGTCCTCCTCTTGTTCTTCTTCTATTTATTCCTCCACTACCCGTTATTATTTCTGCAATTTAAGGATATTCCTTTATTGTCTTATGACTTATCTTCTTTCTCATAAAAACTTCTACCATTTTTATATCTATTCTTCTATAGATAGCATCCTTTTGTCTGGATGCTTTTAAGGGTTTTCAGCAATTTGTTTATGGTGTGATTTAGTATAGTTTTATTTACGTTTCTTTTGCTTAGGATTGATTGCACTCATTGAATTTGTGGGTTTGTAGCTTTCCACAAATTTGGAAGACTTTCGGTCACCATTTCTTTAACTATTTCCCCCTGCTTTCCTTATCTTCATCTGGGGCTCAATTATATATATGCTCAATGTCTCGATATTACCCAGCAGCTCACTAATGCTCTGTTGATTTTCAGTCTTTATTCTTTTTATGTTTTATTTTGAATGGTTTCTAATGCCATATTTTTGTTAAATTTTCCTTCTATCATATCCAATCTGCCACTAATCTCATCTATTATATATATTTCTAGTAATGTATTTTTCATCTCTAGAAGTTAAAGTTGGGTCTTTGGTGTATCTTCTACTTGTCTCCTTATCATGCATACATTTTGCTAAACCTTCTTGGTTTAATATTATTGTCTATTACTTCTATCATCTTCACCATTTCTGGGTCTGTCTCTATTGATTCTTTTTTGTCTTGTTACAAGTTCTATTTTCCTCAGCAGTTCTTCACAGCTCCCCAGCCCTACCCCCTTTCTTTCTGTCTCTCTCAGTCTCATTCTTTCAAGTCTCTCACCATATGATATTTTGCTGCATATTTCAGCCAACTTTTCCTCCCTGCCTCCCAGCATTTTGAACTATGTCCCTTAAACTAAGCAAAACTGCAAGATCTGTTCAGTTTCCCCATTCTGTGCTGCAGTACGGAAAACTGCATATTCTACACAGTGAATTGGGCCTCACCAGATTTGTTTCCTTTTACTTTTCAGGGATGACTGTCTTGTTCTGCTGGTTGTCCAGTGTCTAAAAATTGTTGTTTTATGGATTTTGTCTAGTTTTATATTTGGTAAAGATGAGACAGTCTGAGAAAAACAAACAAACTTTTTTCCTGCTCTCTCACATAGTCACTCAACACAACACTTCTGATACCGGTCATGGAACAGGAGGTTTTCCCACACACTGAGCAATTCTCCAGCAGACACCATCTGTTGGCCTACAATTCAATTTAATTCTGACACTATGTCTAGGGAGATAGTGTCAGATCCTATAGGTTAAGGGTTCAGTCCCACAAAACACCCCCAACTTCAAATGCCAATCACCTGTACTTCTGACCAACTGATTATAAATTAAGGATTCCCATGATACCTTCGTTGTGTTTAATCCGTTTGCTAGATTGGCTCATGGAACATAGGAAAACACTTTACATGCTTTACTTACTTATTACAAAGGATATTTTCAAAAATACAAATGACCAGCTAGATGAAGAGAAACACAGAGCAAGATTTAGAGTGCTCCAGGGTGAGATTTCGAAGTGTCCCAAACTCAAGAGCTTCTACCCAAATGGAGTTATGACATGCTACACTCCTGGCACATGGATGTGGCTTTTTTGTTTTGTTTTGTTTTTTTCATCACTAAAAGTTCCCTGAATCATGTCTTTTAGATTTGTTATGGAGGCTTCATTACCTAGGCATAATTGATTAAATCATTGGCCATTGGTGAGCCACTAAACCTTCAGCCCTACTGAAACAGGAAGGCTGATTGGTTTCCTCTTTTAAAATGGACTGTAAGAAAAGGATAAAAGCCCCTCACTCAAGCTCTAGCTTATCTAGTTCTGAGCCAATCAATAACATAATACCCAAGAAGCTTCTGTTTCAGTGGGCTGGGGACTTCCCTGGAGCCCCACATGCACAGTCTCGCTCTGTCATCCAGGCTGGAGGGCAGTGGTGCAATCTCGGCTCACTGCAAGCTCCGCCTGATAGTAATTCCTTATTTGACCGACTTACTTGGTACTAATAATGTTTTAAAATATCCAAGAGGTTGAACTGGGCTAATTTATAATTGTTCATTTCCACTTTCTAAATTTAAGAATTTATTAAAGTATATTTTGTGACATACTCTCATCTAAAAGATTAAATTAAATACATAAGTTCTGTTTGTGCATTCGTGTGTGTTTGTGTATAGGTGTGTACACATCTCCAATTTAGATTATTCAAATTCTCCTCACTCTTCACATCTTATTTAATGTTTCATGGAAAGTCTACCTCTGAGATATATCTTCTCTCCACCTGTACTACAACTTTTCCACTTGAACCCCAAGCCAAGGCACCATCAAATCTTGCATAAGTGGCTGCAAAGGCTTTCCACATGCTCTTCTCTACCTTCATTTTATTTTTTCCCCAACAAACTATTTTCCATATATAACCCAAAATAATCTTTATAAAGTAAAGGCAAATCCTATTATTTACTTCTTGAGATATTCTTCATTCATTCATTTCTTGTGCCAGTGCTGCTATGACAGCTCTAATCAGCCATATGCATGTACAATCTTCCAATGCCTAAGCTAAGGCTTACACCATCAGCCTTTCACCTCCTGCTGCTGATTCTGTGATGTGAGATGCCTCTGGAATCCACTCACTGTTCACATATGCACAACTCGGAAGTGTAAGGATATCACTATCCTGCAGGGAAGATACTTGGTAAGTGGGAACTGGGAAATGATGGAGAAATGGTGATAAAATGTTTCCCTTAGCATTTCCCAGACAGACTGCTCAAAGACACATTCCATATAGTTCTCAGATAGTCTCCTGGTATCTAGCAAGCAGTCACCCCTAGTGTTGGCCAAATTAATAATGCATTATATTCTTGTATTAGTTCTTCCTTATTCTTTGAATTGCTCCCATGTTTCTCCTAGCTGCTTCCTGAATCAAATTCTCCCCTGAATCACCCACATTTAAGTTTTGTCTCAGATTCTGCTTTCTGTGGAAACCTCTAATGTCTTCCAGCACATGAGAAATACTATCCAAGCTACTTTCCCTGACTTATAAAACTCCACATGTTCTGGCTTAATTTCCAGTTATCTTTTTTTTTTTTTTTTTGAGACGGAGTCTCGCTCTGTCACCCAGGCTGGAGTGCAGTGGCGGGATCTCGGCTCACTGCAAGCTCCGCCTCCCGGGTTCACGCCATTCTCCTGCCTCAGCCTCCCAAGTAGCTGGGACTACAGGCGCCCGCCACTACGCCCGGCTAATTTTTTTGTATTTTTAGTAGAGACGGGGTTTCACCGTTTTAGCCGGGATGGTCTCGATCTCCTGACCTCTTGATCCGCCCGCCTCGGCCTCCCAAAGTGCTGGGATTACAGGCGTGAGCCACCGCGCCCGGCCTATTTCCAGTTATCTTAACACAATGCCTTTGTCCACTAGGATTCAGCCATATTAAAGTTCTTTCCATTCCTTGAAATTACTAAGTTTCTGCCACTGAGATATTGGCGCTAAAATATTCCCTTATAATGCTCCCCCTTCTCTCAGAAAGACGGACTCCCTGCTGTTTGTCTCTCAGGTTTACGTAATTCTTTCAGAGAGAACTCCCGTCACTACCTGCTTCTAAAGTATTCATTCTTTTACTTTCTATTATCTAATTTATTCCACTTTGGCTGGGTGCAGTGGCTCATGCTTCTAGCCCCAGCATTTGGGAGGCCGAGGTGGAAGGGTTACTTGAGCCCAGGAGTTTGAGACTAGCTTGGGCAACATGATGAAAGCTCATGTCTACAAAACATACAAAAAAATATAGTGGGGTGTGGTGGTATGCCCCTGTGGTGCCAGCTACTTGTGAGGCGAGGTGGGAGGATTGCCTAAGCTCAGGAGGTCAAGGTTGCAGTGAGCTGAGATCGTGCCACTGCACTCCAGCTTGGGCAACAGAGCAAGACACCATTTCAAATAATAATTATTATTATAATTTACTCCACTTCTAGCACTTACCATTATCAGCCATTTTATTTTATCTGAATTCCTCACTGTTATGTAAGCTCCTTAAGATTAGAGACCTACATTCTGCTGTTAATTGTTGTAACTTATTCACAGCTTACACATTATATGGCACAGAGGAAACCTCAATAAACATTTGGTCAATGAGTGAATGAAATAACCATCTGAAACTTCATCATCTGTGTAGAATTCAAAATCAGCTGCTATAGCTCCCACTAGCTCTGTAAAGGTGTTGTCCAGAGTTACTATCCTTTACTATGATATCCAAATCTTTGTTATATTTCACTGTTTTCATCTCATCATCTCCTCTTCTTGTGGATTTTGGCTCGTGTTTCATAAGGGGTTTTATGATTGTTGTGTTGTTAGTGAGTCCTGCTAATGGAGAACGTTAATAATATTGGTATAGTGTTTGCGATGCTGAGGGCAACAGATGCTATACGTGACCTTAATTGAAGACATCAAACAGTTTATAAAATTTTCTTCTAGACCTGGTTAAATTTGTTTAGGATTTGCTCCCGATCTACATAGCACTGTGCTGTCTGACTCCTCTCCTCCTTTTCCCCCATAAGCTGCCTATTGTTTTTGGTTTATTCAAACTCAAATTTGCAGAGGTCTATCCAAATTCAGTGTTTATTATGAAACATTGTGTTATCTACATAACATTTTCCCCCAAGTCTGACAAATTCAAATGTTCTCCCAAACTCAGATCGAGATGTAGTCAGTACTTTGAAGTGCACATCTTCCATCACAACTTCTGTCTGTAATCTATTCAGTTAGCGTAGGTGATAACAACCTGACATGATCCCCTACACTCTTGTAGCTCAACACTGTGTACAGAGGCAGCACATATTAAATTACAATCCTTAGTATGTATTGTATTTTCAAGGCCCATTCTAGCTATACATCTATTTCTTTTTAATCTCCTAACATTTTCTATTACTCACGGTTCTCTAGTGGGACAGACTAAGTTTATTAAGTATTAACTCACATAATCACAGCATCCCACAATAGGCAGCCTGTAAGCTGAGGAGCAAGGAAAACCAGTCCGAGTCCCAAAACTGAAGAACTCGGAGTCCCATGTTTGAGGGCAGGAAGCATCTGGCATGGGAGAAAGATGAAGGCTGGGAGGCTAGGCCAGTCTAGCCTTTTCACATTTTTCTGCCTGTTTAATATTCTCTGGCAGCTGATTAAATGTTGCACAGAGATTAAGCATAGGTCTGTCTTTCCCAGCCCACTGACTCAAATGTTAATCTCCTTTGGCAACACCCTCACAGACACACCCAGGATCAATACTTTGCATCCTTCAATCCAATCAAGTTGACACTCTGTATTAACCATTACAAGTCTACCCTTTGTCAACTTAAACCCATACACATCTCCTGAGAAAATACATCATCTTCAAATAAAGACTATAATAAAGTCATGATTACGCCTAACAGAATACAACTATCCTTTATACAACCAGAAATGCATCAATCCCCAACCCACATGCTATTACATAAGGTTAACAATACTTAAATGAAGTCAATATATCTTATGTCACATGATAAAGGAAAAAGGAAATAAAATGAAGATATTTTCTTAGAACAAGTGTATACATTCACAAACATGTTTTTAGCAAAATAAAGAGGAAATACTCATGACAATTACAGTCCTCATTTCTGTAGCTAGTTATGTGGTCATCGCTGGTATTGATGACTACCTTCTTCTACTACCCATTCTATATTTCCTTTGCCTTCAGCAGGCATCTCAGCAAGTTTATTTTTTTCCTTTTTTTTTCCTTTTTTTTTTTTTCCTGGTAGAGTGAACTAAACCTTCATTCCTGAAGGGTCTTGGCCATTTGTAGTCCTGCCTGGATTGAGCTGTTGTAGTTTCCCATTGACCTTAATCACAGGGCACGGTAATACCAAGAGACGCCCTAATGGATCTCGTGTATTCCATGCATACTCTTCCTTACCTCCATTGTGGAGTAGTAGACTGATTTCATCTTGATATTCCTGGTCAATCACCCCAGCCAACACTGTAACTCACTTCTTAGCCTGTTGATTTAAAGGTAGGAGAAGCCCAAGGAGTCCAGGTGGCAATCTTAATTTCCAGTTTAGTGGAATTGTTGTTGTGTCTCCATTCCTCCCACTGGAGTGTTCCTCCCTCTGGAACTAAGACCTCTGGGCCAGCAGAATGTAATGCCACAGGAATAGGAAGCAAAAATTTTGCTAGTGGATCACTATGGGTGATGGTGAATGGTGCCACTTCCACTTTCACCTCTTGATTCCTGGACCCATGAATCCTGGCTAAACAGTACTATATACAGGGAGCTGATTCAGAGCCTACATGGCCTTCTGGAAAATTTTTCCTCAGCCGTGCAAAGTACTCTCACCTAGTTGGCATTGGAATTGTGATTTCAAAAGGCCATTCCACAATTCTATCATTCCAGCTGCTTCAGGATGATGGAGAACATGGTAAGATCAGTGAATTCTATAAGCATGAGCCTACTGCCACACTTCTTTAGCCATAAAGTGAGGGCCTTGGTCAGAGGCATTGCTGTGTGGAATACCATGACGATGGATAAGGCAGTCCATGAATCCACAGATGAATCCACAGAAGCATTGCATGCAGGATAGGCAAACCCATATCCAGAGTAAGTGTCTGTTCCAGTGAGGACAAACTTCTTCCTTTTCCATGATGAATGAGGTACAGTATAATCAACCTGCCACCAGGTAGCTGGCGGATCTCACCAAGGAATGGTGCCATATAGAGGGTTCACTGTTGGTCTCTACTGCTGGCAAATTATGCACTCAGCAGTGGCTGTAGCCAGGTCAGCCTTAGTGAGTGGATGTCTATGTTGCTGAGCCCATGTGTAATCTCCATCCCGGCCACCATGGCCCCTTTGCTTATTGCCCCACTGGGCAATGACAGGGGTGGCTGGGGAAAGACAGTGAGTGGTATCCACAGAATGGGTCACACTGTCCATTTGATTATTAAAATCCTCCTCTGCTGAGGTCACCCTTTGGTGAGGACTCACATGGGATACAAATATCTTCACAGTTTTTGACCACTCAGAGAGGTCTATCCACACACTTCTTCCCCAGATTTCTTTGTCACCAATTTTCCAGTCAGGCTCCTTCCAAGTCCCTGACAACCCAGCCAAACCACTGGCTTCAGCCCATGAATTAGTATATATACGCACATCTGGCCATTTCTCCTTCCACGCAAAGTGCACAACCAGGTGCACTGCTTGAAGTTCTGCCCACTGGGAAGATTTTCATTCACTGCTATCCTTCAGGGATGTCCTGGAAAGGGGCTTTAGTGCTGCAGCTGTCCACTTTTGGGTGGTGCCTGCATATTGTGCAGAACCATCTGTGAACCAGGCCCTAGTCTTCTCTTTCTTTGTTAACTGACCATAGGGAACTCCTCATGAGGCCATTGGTGCAGGCTGGGAAGAGGAGGCAGGGTGGCCGGACTGGAGACCATGGACATTTTAGCCACTTCCTCATGTAACTTACTTGTGCCTTCAGGACTTGCTCAAGCCTGATCACATACATACCTTTTCCATTTGATGATGGAATGCTGCTGCGCACAACCCACTTTATGGCTAGATGGGTCAGAAAGCACCTAGTTCATGATAGGCAGTTCAGGTCATATGGTGACTTGAGGACCCATAGTCAAGTGTTCAGTTTACACCAAAGCCCAGTAACAGGCAAAGAGCTGTCTTTTCAAGGGAGAGCACTTATCTGACAAAGATGGCAGGGCCTTGTTCCAAAACCCTAGAGGCCACCACTGTGATACACCTATGGGGGCCTGCCACAAGCTTCAAACAGCATCCTTATCTGCCACTGACATCTCAATCACCATTGGATCTGCTGGGTCATATACCCCAAGTGGCAGAGAAGCTTGCACAGTAGCCTGGACCTGTTGCAGAGCCTTCTCCTGTTCTAGACCACACTCAAACTGGCAGCCTTTTGGGTCACTCAGTAAATAGGTGTGAGTAACAAACCCAGTGAGAAATGTGTTGCCTCCAAAATCCATAGGCCCACTAGGCGTTGTGCCTCTTTCTTGGCTGTAGGTGGGGCCAAGAGCAGCAACTTATCCTTCACCTTAGAAGGAATATCTCAACAGGCTCCACACCATTGGATCCCTAGAAATTTTACAGAGGTATAAGGTCCTTGAATTTTAATCGGATTTATTTCCCATACTCTGGCACACAAATGTCTCACCAATAAGTCCAGTGTGTTTGCTACTTCTTGGTCACTGGATCCAATCTGCATAATGTCATCAATGTAATGGAACAGTGTGATATCTTGAGGAAGGGAAAAATTAACCAAGGTCTCTCTGAATAAGATTATGACACAAAGTGGTAGAGCTGATATACCCCTGAGGTAGGACAGTAAAGGTATATTGCTGGCCTTGCCAGCTGAAGGCGAATTGCTTCTGGTGGGCCTTATGGACAGGAATGAAGAAAAAGGCATTTGCCAAGTCAATGGCTGCATACCAGCTACCAGGAGATGTGTTAACTTGCTCAAGCAATGAAACCACATCTGGTATAGCAGCTGCAATTGGAGTCACCATTTGGTTAAGCTTATGATAATGCACTGTCATTCTCCAAGAACCATCTGTCTTCTGCACAGGCCAAAGGGGAGAGTTGAACAGGGATGTGGTGGGAATCACCACCCCTGCATCTTTCAAGTCCTTGATGGTGGCACTAATCTCCACAATCCCTCCAGGGGTGCGATATTATTTTGGATATACTATTCTTCTAGTTAAAGGCAGCTCTAATGGCTTTCATTCTGGTGGCTTTCCCACCATAATAGCCCTCACCCTACTAGTCAGGGAGCCAATGTGGGGATTCTGCCAGCTGCTAAGTATGCCTATGCCAATTATGCATTCTGGCACTGGGTAAATGACCACAGGATGAGTCCCTGAACCCACTGGACCCACTGTAAGTTGGATCTGAGCTAAAACTCCATTAATTACCTGACCTCCATAAGCCTCTACTTTAACTGGAGGACCACAGTGATGTTTTGTGTCCTCTGGAATCAACATCAGCTCAGAGCCAGTGTCCAGTAGTCCCTGAAATGTCTGATCATTTCTCTTTCCCCTGTGAAGAGTTACCCTGGTAAAAGGCCAGAGGTCTCTTTGGGGAAGCAGGGGAGAAAGATTAACAGTATACATCATTGGTAAGGCAGTGGGGTCCTTCCTCAAGGGGACCCGGTCTCCCTTTCATTCAATGGGTTCTGGGTCAGTAAACTGGCTCCAGTCTGGAAATTGATTGAGGGGCTGTGATTCTCTGTTTTTTATAATTAAAATTAGTCTTTTGTCCATTCTACCTGGAAGTTTTCTGCTTATATAAATTAAGTAGGAATGTAGTAGGCTTCCTATCAATTTCACTTCTAGGAACACTGTGATTAATTAGCCAATGCCAGAGCTCTACATGAGTCACACTATTCTGATTGCTGTTTTGCTTCTGCTGTCCTTTACAGTAGCTATGACCACCTTGCCTTTGATGGTTGATTGCTGCCACTTGGCCCCTGCCACCTCGGGATCCAATTATTCCAATTGTATTTAAATTTTGTAGTTGAGTGACTGCGGTTCCCACTGTTAGATATGACATACAGAGAAGAGCAGTTACAGCACTCTTCAAAAATCTAGGTTCTGCCCTCACAAATCTATTTCACAAGACATTGGTCAAGGGTATATCTTCTGCACCCTCCCAGCTGGGATGAGTAGGTCTAAAGTGACTAACTCACTCCATCATCCCAATCTCCCTAAGCCTTTGGATCCCTTCCTCCACATTAACCCAAAGGAGATCAGGCATTTCCAGCTTGCTCACAGGGGCCATCTTTTAATCCATATTTCAGCTAACCAAGCAAATAAACTATTAGAACCTTTTTTGACTCCTCAAGCTGCAACATTAAAAGCAGAGTCCCTACTTAGTGGGCCCAAATCAATAAATTCAGCCTGATCCAACTCTATGTTCCTTACACCATTATCCCACACCCTTAATATCCATTCCCATGCCTGTTCTCCAGATTTCTGTTTACATAAATTAAAAACTCAAAGAGTTCTTTTCGAGTGTAGCAAACCTCCTCATGGGTCACACTCTCAACCTCACCTCTAGGGGCCCATAGGGACTTTAGTCCAGTTATAGGTCTAGAAGCAAATGGAATGTTGGGGGTGACTACTGAGGAGAATCAACATTATCTTGCCTGGCAACTGCCTTAGGGGAGGCCATCACTGTTGCCTCAGGCAGTGCAGGGTTTATTTCCTCTCCTTTGGCAACACCCTCATAAACACATCCAGCATCAATACTTTGCATCCTTCAATCCAATCAAGTTGACACTCAGTATTAATCATCACATATTTATTATGGTTACTATGCTGCCAGGATATATTTTACCAGAATGCCAGCTACTTAAAACAAACAAAAAAACAAGCAAGAAAGCAAACAAACAAACAAAAAACCCGGCACCTTTATAGTTGTTTTGTTTGGCAATGACCTTGTGTTTCTGAACCAGGAAATTGAGTATGAGGAGAGAAATTAAAGGTGTTCCTGACAACTTTCGAGAAAACAGGGGTGCTTCTTTCTCAATTATACCAAGACAGGGCTATCAACTGTTTGTTTCAGTGTAGTTTTATCAGTCTTAATGTTCCTAAATATGTTGTCCAGATTTTGACAATAGAGTGACAGGCAGCTATAGTTTTTAGGATTGTTATGAGTTTCTATTTTCCTGTATCTTATATATTTTAGTGGGTTACATCCAGATGGTCAGCTAGAAGAGCTTATTTTAAATTAAAACTTCAATTTTTCACCTTTTTGAATGAGTATTTAATTACCCATGGAGATTTCTTTTTCTTTCCTGTATTTATTTCTATTCTATTTTCCAAACTTAATACTTTTCTCAGCAAGATGTAAAAGTTAAAATATGTAGTTTCTATATGTAGCACATGTACAAACTAGAAAGAGAGAGAGGAGAGACAATCACAAAAGTTGTATTTTTTTAGTTGGTGATATGTGCTAAGAATAGGGCTATATGAGTTACTTTGTTTCATTCTCATTCATTTCACCATAGAGTTAGGTGATATTAGCTCTCTATCACATTGAAGAAACTAAGGCTCAAAGAGATTAAGTAATTTTTCAAGGCCACACCATCATTATTATTTATTTATTTATTTATTTATTTATTTTGAGATGGAGTCTCACTGTGTCACCCAGCCTGGAGTGCAGTAGCACCATCTCCACTCACTGCAAGCTCCACCTCCCAGGTTCACGCCATTCTCCTGCCTTAGCCTCCCGAGTAGCTGGGACTACAGATGCCTGCCACCAAGCCCAGCTAATTTTTTGTATTTTTAGTAGAGACAGGGTTTCACCGTGTTAACCGGGATGGTCTCGATCTCTTGACCTCATGATCTGCCTGCCTTGGCCTCCCAAAGTGCTGCGATTACAAGCATGAGCCACCACACCCAGCCTTCACACCATTATTTATTAGTTCAAATTTGGCCTGGGAGTGCTCTAATAAAATAGATCACATATTATTTAGCATCCATTCATTTCTAACCCAAGGCTCTCAGTTCCAGATTTCAAATGAATTGTTTAAAATAAGAAAACAAAACAAAGCATTCTCTGCTCTCAGTTTCAGATTTTAAGTAAATTGTTTAACAAGAAAAAAATAAAAACATTCCTTCTTTCTAATACTTTTGCTTTAATTTAGAGAGACTGTCTTCCTTATTTTGTGATAGGGACCCATGCATGACATGTAAATAGCTATATACAAATAATTCTACACTCCATATTGAAAATAAATGTTCACAATATCTGTGAAACTATGTAAGAGTCCTGCTGCATCCTAGGTTGTAAAATTTAGGATTCTCATTTCTTAGTCCATCAATGAATCTCTTGGTTATGGACTGAACATCTAACTGGCAAGTTTATAAAAGGACCCCAATACTCAAGAAGCTTACAAATCTAATAGGAGAATAATTCCCCCATCTCCATCATAAAGAAAAGCACACTTATAGTCTCAATAGCCCTGACTTCCTCAGGGATTTCCTTGAAAAAAACTGACTATGGGAAGCTTTGGAGGAGGCCCACCTGTGCTTCGAGTGAAAGGAAAGAACCTGTTGAAACTGAAAGACAAGAGGCAGGAGCATGTGTGTAAAAAGTTTCAGAGAAGAACTAGAGTCAGTAGAAGAGGAACTCACTGTGAATCAACTCAATAGAGAAAGCTTGGCCAGAATAGTCTTGATGGCCTCAAGATTAAAACGAATAAGTGGATTGAGTCCTTCTAATGGACAACTTTGAAGGCAACAGTCTGGAATTTATCCATGATCTAGAGGGCAATGGATACCATTCCTGAACTTAACAAATGGGTTCTTTCACAGACAATGTGGTGACTATGCAGGGCTGTTCTATGACACGTGTACTCCTGGAATGCTAGAAGCCAGCAAAAGGGAGGAGAAACAAACAGGCAACTAAATTCAATGAGGAGAGGAAAGCAGTCCATTTCATGTCATAGATTTCTACAGTTTGTTCACCTGTTTGTTGAGGGTTGTTTCATTTACTTGCTATTCCTTTTTTTCACTGCTCAGCACTTCTCTCAAGTACTGCTTAGTTATTGACTGAGTGTGACACTTTCTGTGTAAGTTAGGCAATTGGGGAAGAAGGGGTATGTAGTGAAGGACAGTAGGCACTGTTTAGTAAGTTATTCTACTCGTGCATAAAAAATTCATTGACCAGAAAGGGTTAATGCCCCTCCAAATGGCTTAACTTAATCCCCAAGTGCAATTGGCTCATTTGAAGGATCTGGCCCATTGAGTGCGTGTTAGCCTAGAAGCTGATACACCTCTTCACCAAGTCCGGTGCAGTGAGGTTAAACCCAAAGGCATGCAATAGGTCAGTAGCAGAGTCAGGAATAAAATCTCAGCCATCTGAACCCTTTAAAGTGCTCTCTTCACACGACTAGGCTTTATTCTCTTATGAGGTACGAGTAGAAAATATAAGAGGAGGGAAAAATTAAGGCATAAAATTAAAAAAAAAAATTTGCAGTAGATATTTTCAGACCTGTAGGAGGAAGAAATATGGAAACAGATGAAATAAACTTCAAGTACAAGTTAAGCAAATGCTTTATAAATACTTAAAAGGCATCAGAAAAGGCCAACCAACCCTGTTTTGGGATTGTGCAAGGAATACAGTTATGCCCTATAATGTGAACATAGCTCCTTCTCTTTTAGTCGACTTGAGATATATTGAAATTAACATTGTTTCTGAATTACATATAAAATACACATACTGGAAAGATGTATGAAAACAGAAATTTTGAAAAATAAAAATAATGGTTATGAAGAAGAGAACTAAAAATTCAAAGAATTGTGCCTTTTATATGCCATAAGGGTGGTATAGTGGAGATGTTAAAAGCTCAGGATAGAGAACCAAAAGCCAGAGCTTGCATTCCCACTCTGTTGCTTTTAGTAGTGGTGATCAAAAAGTCATTCAATCTTTTATGCCTCAGGTTCTTTATTTGGAAAAATGGGAATAATAATAAAAGTAGTTACTTCACAGTGTTCCTTGAGATTTAAATGAGATAGTGCATATAAGGTACTTAGGACAGTTCCTAATATGTGGTAAACCCACCATACATGTTAGCTCTTATTCTAGTTTACCATGGGGCTATCTAAATTGGAATCATCGTGAATGGAGGACATGTGTAGGTCTATGGGGACACGTTACTACATTGCCTAGCAGATCAGTTCTCTCTTCTATCTCAGATTGTAAAATTGTGTAATTAAGGGACCAGTTATGTGGTAAAAATGGGAAAAATTAGACTTTTAGGAGATGTGATTTTTAGACCAAAGCTTTGTCCATGGGCAATATGGATTGAGAACTCATGACTTTGATCCTTAAAAATATTTAATCAAAAGATAACGGAAGTCAAACATTTCTTTTTCTTCAAAAAGATTTCTGGATCCAGATTATCCATGTAACTGCGCACACTCTCTATTTTGATGCTACAGTTTTATTTAAGGCATTATCCCACATAGCAATTATGAAAGAGAATGCTCTAACTCTTACAGTCTCTGTGGGCACGGTTTCTTGTTACTCAGACTTTTGACCAATAACCTTGCTTTATCCTAGATCAATAGTCCATGAAGCCGACTAAAACCCTAGACAAAATTATATGTGCTTGTGTATGTATGTTCACGCATTTCTTTGGGAAGAGGGTATATACAGTTTGTCAGATCCTTGAAATATTTAATGACATCAAAAAAGTTAAGAGCCCTTACCTATTTGGGTCTTCATTTTTAACCCAATTTTTTTTAATCCAATTTCCATTTTGCCCTTTAAATGACTTCTGTTAATGGCCCCATGATAAGGTCTAGTCTATTCTCTGTCACTGTACACTTGGTTCTCTTATTCCTGGTTTCTTGTCTTATCCCATAACCTTAGCTAGCCAAGGCCTGTTACTGATAGGATTTTTCTTTTCTGATATTTGACTGCACAGCTTCTGTAGCTACACAGGTATTAGGCTTTCAGACGGAGGAAAGAAACAAAGCAAGGGCTTTCTTCACTTCAGGGAGTTAAAAGATAGATTCCAAAAGACAAAAGATGAGGACTGAATTGCACTGAATCACATCCTGCGTGATACTGATATTGAACTTTTTATGGGTCTATGTCATAATGCCCATATTTTTCATGACAGAGAAGATATAGTTTAGATGATATAGTACAGACAATTTATAATCCCCCACAATATCTAGAATTTTCTGTGTATAGGAAACATGTAAACACTGGGGGGATTAATTTGGTAATATTCACCCCCTTTATTTTTTTCCCTTTTTTGTCTTTACCTTTCTCTGCTAATTCTTATTAATAACATTCATGTGAATACTGATATTTTCTGAAATAATCATAGAAATGATGGCAATTTTCTTTTTTCTTCCTCCTAGGAACATTCATTTTTCTTCTGACAATGCCTGAGTTATTATTGCTTAGAATTTTGTTGTACTGTGGCCAATCTGAAAGGCACTTTTCTAGGATCTACTTTACAAAGAAGTAGTCAGAGAACTTAAAATCTAGTGGTCACTTTCACTGGCTTGCTAGTTTTCAGTAATGGAAAACACTTACTGTTTTTTCCTCACACTTCCAAGTAAAGAAGCCTTTAGGCTTCTCGGCCAGGGAAAATTCTACATTTTCACTCCCACCCCAGTCATTTGGCAATAGTTAGATACATTTTGGTTGTCACAACTAATAGGGGTGAGACTAATATTTCCTGGGTAGATACAACGCATAGGACAGCTTCCTACAACAAGGAATTATCCAGTGTAAAACGTCAATAGTGCTGCAGTTGAGAAACTCTGCCCAAGAGTGATGTCTTCAGTATCACTCACTACATCTTACATTCTCTTTCCTGGAGAAAAGGAGCAGCTTATTTCGTTTGCAAGTATAAACCAGACATGCCTGCCGCAGCCTGTCCTTTTGCTTTTCTTTCTGGAATCTGACAGCCTACAGAGTAGGTGGATTTCCACCTGCTGTCAGCCATGTGATAAAGTTGGTAGAGCAGGCTGTGCTCCTACCACTGCAGGACTGCAGGGGGTTTGTTTGTTGTCTGTTCGGTGGTAATGGGAAGGGGGGTGACTTCAATTCAGAGGAGCCTTAGCAAGCCTATTAGGACTTATCTAAGCTATGTCCTTCACTATTGCTTTTATCAGTAATAAAGCTGACATTTTGATCTCTAACTGTCTGACTCCTGTATCATTCTCTAAATTGGTTCTGATCTCAGGTTGGGAACAGTGGTGTTATTTTTGACCCCCTAAAACCCAAAATCTGTTACTGTCTGATGGTTCAGGATCTTAATGGCTTACCTCCAGGATTCTTGCCCTTTTATGTCAAAGGATCTCACTCAGACAAAGACTGCCAAAATACGATGCTAACTAATTAATATAAGACCCACACATATGAGGGCTGAAATTATCAAAATAAAAATACTAGATATCAATTAAGCCTTCTTTTTTGAACATCATATTTTGCTTTTTGTAGGTAACATAAAATAAAATGTATTATAAAGATGTCCCTATGCGATTTTTTTCCTAAAAATGGCAGTGAATTCCTTACTTAGAAAGTATCAAAAATCTTGATATAACTGTAGGCATTTTCTATCCATCTTCAAGAATTTTATTCACTGGTAATAGATGTACAAGATATAGTGAATCTTGAGTAATAAGGAGCAAGGCAAAAGCTAACATTTAGGTTTTGTAAAAGATGAAGGTGAGTTAAAGTTGTTCAATAAGATAATGTGGTCCTAACATGAAATAGAGTCTACAAGGTACTGTCATAAAGTAATGAGATTGATTGCCTAAATCCACACATAAAACCTAGCTCCCTGGTTTTTGTTACACCCATGTGTGAGAAGAGTATGTTGTTCTTATGACATTGTAGAGGGCAATGCTATTTTAAGTGATGGGAAAAGGAAGGATGTTGTTTACAGTGTCGACTACCCTGCAACTTTCTCAAAACATGCTCTGTTAGTCAGGAGAGACAGTACAACTAAGTCGTTTTGGGCTCATGCTACATGCCCAGTGCAGTTCTCAGGGATCCCTGTGTTCCTTGCCGTTATGCAGAGACACAGGCTGTCAGAGATTCACCTTCACAACCTTGACAACAGAAGTCAGAGAAGATGGAAAGTCACCTACTGGTTCTTAACCCTTTTCCTCAAGTGAGATATATGTCACTGCTGGCCTAAGCAAGTCAGTGACCACATCTAACTTCAAAGGTGGTAGTAATCTCACCATGTACCTGGAAGGAAAGGAAAACTGAAAAGTTACGAATATTGCGAATAGTTCTACTGATTACTACACATGTCATTACCAAAATTCTAGAGCAAATCAATTGTACTTGATAGCTAATCTTTAAATATACTTTTTATTAATGACTATGGCAATTTACAAAGTGCCCTAAATTTACAGAATAATCAGGATATCCAAAAGTACTTTAGTAGGGTGCAGTATTTAATATTCAGCGTTTCAGACTCTCTGAGACCTGTACAGACACAGTGATTCCAATCTCTGTTCATGTCAGGCACTGTCATGTACTTACACAGTGTACAGTGTAATTTGGGAAGACCTACAGCACTGTAACCCCATATTCTCACAGGTGCCCAGCTTAAGCCACTGCATTGTCTGATGGCATCTTCCTAAGAATGTCTTAAAGGCATTTACAAAAATACTTCTTGCTACATTTTTTAACTTGTGTCTTTACTTTCTGTGTAATAGATTTAGAATGAATACTATGGGAAATGGTAGCTGCTGCACAAAGACTACAGGGAAATGAAAGATTTTTCTTTCAAACCTACTGAAAAACCAGTTCAAATTTCCATGTCACTTTAAGAAGATTATTGAATATATATAAAATAATACTTAGGGGACTCAGGTTATATTTTAGACTGTGTGTCCTTTGGGCACACCTCTGAACCTGTATGAACCTCACTTCTTTTCTTGCTAAATAAGGAGAAGTGTTAGTCCAATGTTGTCCTCGTTTATATCATTCACATAAATCTCAATTGTGATAATTTCTGTCGAGATATTTGGGGCAGCGTAAAGGCTGAAGATGAGGGAGTATTGATGAGTAAGAGGGAAAAAAGGAGGCAGAGAAGATGTAAGTGTGGAAAAAGAAGAATGGGGAAAAGAAAAAAGAGGACAAGGAAAAGGAGGATAAAATAATGAGCATGCATGCTCGTGGAAGCTATGACACAGCATGAGAGCAAATACAGGCTGTGACATAGGAGACATAAAGATTTCATGAACACTGTCCAATTTTAACAGTGGGTAAGAAACACAATTTTCCAAACATCCTTTGAGAATGTAAAGTTTACGATGGTTTTAATGTGATGTTCTAAATCATAACTTTTTGCCATTAAGCAAATGTTGCATGATAATGTGGTGACTTTATACCTTTCTTGTTTAATCGCCTAAATCTGGGCACTTGGATATCTCTATGTACATGAGGTGCATCACTCTACAAAGTCTTTAGAGATGCCGGACACTCAGAACAGACAAATCCTTGCTGTGTTCTTTAACAGTGATAAAAGAAACATTGGAAGCAATGGGATCAGGGGAATTAGAGGAAATGCTCATTAAAATGAATTTAAAAGGTCTAATGATTAAAATATTGATTAATTAGCCAAACATCGATTAGCAGTCACACTTTATCAACTACAAAGTTTATAATTACTGCACCATTATTCCATAGATTGACCTGTTCTTTCCTGTCACTTATGATGAAGAACAATTTTTATTAAGTGGGTTTTGGATTTTTGACCTGTAAAATTTTAATAGGGAGTATGAAGTGGGTGTCATGTGTGGTTTGGCATTATATTCACCAAGGGACAGATAGTTACTGTCTCTACTTAACCAGAAGCGCAAGAGTGCAGGAGGGACACGAACACTAAAGGATTAAAATCTTACCATCTTTCCAATACAAAAAAAAGCTACAAGTTCATCCACTGAATGGGAAAAGGGGAAAATGTTTGCCCTTCTTGTTGTTCCATATAAAATGAATGATAAGAGAACTCTCAACCACAGTGTATAGATTACAGATTGGCCAGATTTGGAGAGACCTTATGAGTGATACAAAATAAAGGATTTGTTACAGAGTTAATTTTATGCAATTTGGGAGCTGGTTAAACCATGTATAGAAGATTGTTGCTCCTGTATCTTGTACTGGGCATGATGTCAGCAAAGTAAACAGCTGGGAATTAATAATGAACAGGAAGTGGAGAAGAGCAAGGACAAACTGGAACTGGCACCTGTCTCTCGCTGCCTCCAACATCACTGATCCAGGTGACCTGATGCAGTCTTCACCTTGGTGCTGCCCATGCACATGATCCGGGATTCAGAGAAGCTAAAAGAGGAGATCCTATGGGAGCTGCTAGAGTTGCTGGTGGCCCAGTTACTGCCCCACACCAATGGGGCGAGTCAGCAGATCAGGGCAATGTGTGAACTGCAACAATCATTCCCAAAGTAGAAATGGTTGCTCCTTTACTTCTGTCTTCCAAATCTTGTGTGCAAATTATTATCGTGGTCAACCCTAACTCACCACCATCAAAAAAGGCAGTTCTGGGAAACAAAGCTCTAGCTTAACTCAGCTGGCACAGTGCAAAGCCATCACAAAAAGCAAAAAGGATTCCAACCTGCAGTTCCATAGACACCAGCAGCTGAGCCTATGGGGATGTATCGATACAAGAACAGACATCAAGTGACAGTGGTCTACCACTGAACCAAGAAACTTCCTTTTCTAGCAAGAATATTTTTTTACAGATGTGAAGCAGGCAGACAGAACTAAAACATGATTCACGCCAGGCCAGTGAAAATACTCCATTTTTAATATTTCAACTGGGCAATTTCTGGACAACTTGCAAGGAAGATCCTGTTGATCTCAATAACTGTCTATTTAAATTTGCTGAGGCAGGGCTTATGTCTTGATTCACCAAAAGAAAAGGCCAATACGCCACGCAGGGTTACAAGCTCAATATAACTGTCTGGAAGTGCTGCTCCAGGTTTACCCCTGATGAGATCAGCTCTAAGGCCAGAAAGCAGATTTACAGCATGAACATAAATGAGCAGGGGGCACACCTTTTTGATCATACATATGCTTGACAGGCAAAATGTGCTTACGACCTTATTGTCAAATAAGTAACAGCACATAAGCTCCTTGAGGTCTGTGGAAAATGACATCCTGAAGACAATTCAGAGCAGAGCATTAGGCTGACGAGACCAATAACCATAGTCAGAAAAGGGCCAGTATCGAGGAGGTTGTGCTCGGTGTATGCCTCGCAGGGGAGAGACTCCTACAGACTTGGCTGCTGGGTCCTACTGAGGGACCATGTTTTAGAAACAGCTGGCTTATTCAGAAGCAGTTGAAAGGAGGACTGGCATTATGCCCAGATAAGAAATGCCTTACCTGCTTCCGCATGTGAGGAGGCAAGAAATCCAGAGAAAACATACTGCAAGCCTATAAGCCAAGTGAATCAGCTCGTGTTCTGAAGAGTCCCTGATATTTTCACCATTTTATGTATCTCAATGTGGAATAGCACCCAGGAAGGGAGGTTCTTTCTCTACTAGACATTTTATTAATCTCTTGTAATTTACATAATAAATTTTGTCCATTAGTAATCCAAGACTAAAAAAAAAATGAAAGGAAGCATTTAGGAAATCAACTGGATAACTCTGGTCTTAATTTTTTCAAAATTCTTTGGGCAATTCAGTTAAGGTTTTTTCTGAACCTGAATTAAGATTTCCTATTCCTGACTATTTAGATTTGCATATATGGCAAATATAATAAGATGTGTAAGTAAATGTTTACTCCACATTGTATTACATGGAGCAAGTCTAAATATTAATAGATGAGCAGTTGCAACGTTACCTTACGGTGAAGGGTCATAGTACTTCCCCATTTTTGTGTGTGTGAAAATACGGAAACAGTATAAGAGAAGTAATATAGACTGCAAAATTTGAGGCTCCTTGCGGTATAATTTTTAGCCTAAATCAGGAAACAAATGAAGAAAAATCTTGATAACAATTCAAGAAGAATATAAAATATTGTATTATTATTTTTAAATATCTTGTTCCCATTTTACAATTGAGTTTTGTTCATGTTTATAAATTTGGAGAAATTCCTTGTGTATTAAGACTATTAAACCTTGCTTTATCACATTTGTCATAACCATCTCTCTGGCTTCTCTTATATATTGGCAATGACCTCAAACATATTGATTTTTCCTTTTTGGCTCTTTGTGTAATTTTTATGCTTGGAAATGAGTCCTATTCAAGTAAAAGTCTTCCTACTTATAGAAAAAAGAGTGTAAAGACAGAGCAGAGAAAGACGGGGAGACAGACAGATAGACACACACACACACAAACACAAACACACACACACACAGAGAATATGAGAATGAATAATGTTTATGGCAACATATCCTTTGGTTTCCCCCAGAAAAGCATTCAAGAAATTCTCCATACATGATTGTTGTTTTGAAATAATCTTTTTCCCTCATGCTAAGACTTTTAAAGACATATTTAATATTTCATATACACATATGGCTATAAATTATAATGTATGATTTATAAATCATTCACATCATTGAAAATTGTTTGATATCTTCATTTATGACTTAAATTTGTCAAATTTTTCTTTGTAATTCAGTTTATTTTTCTGTTACTTATTTTTAGGCTACATCATTAGCTGCATACAAATTCATGATTTTTATTCTTTTTGGGATGACCTTTTTTGTTTTTTTTTCTGCATTCTTTAACTCTATTAATATGTTAGTTTTGCTTTTCTGTTTTGCCAATGTTACCACTGCCTCATCAACTTTCTTTTGGTTATTGCATTGCTGGTCTACAATTTTCTTTTCAGTTGTATTACTGTATTGGATTTTTAAACTCCAATCTGACAGCTTCAGACTTTTAATTGGTGAGTCTAAGCCATTTACATTTATTATAATTGTTAAAATATTTGATCTAATTTCTATATTGTTATTTTATATTCTCAGCTTACCATGTTTTCTTTTATTCCATAATTTTCTCCTTTCCTTCCTTTCTTGGAAAAAAAAACTATTTTAATTTTTTTTCCTTAAAAGCTTCCTTAAAAGCTATTTGCCCCACTTCTATTACTTTAGTTGTTACTTTTAAATTTGCAACATATATGTAGAAAAAGTTATCTCTGAACCATGGTGGGAGAGTAACTTTGAATGCTTTATTGACTACAAATGTGTCTGAATTATTTTCGTACATTCTTTTCCTCTATTTAAAAAGAAAGTGTAATTTCTGTTTTTATAAAACACATCTTAGCTCTACAAATCAATGTCATTAATAGCTAAATAAAATTCTATGTTCTCATGAGTCTTATATTAAAGGAATTTAATGGAGTCAACCTGTGAAAGTGAGCTAAATAAGAATGAATCAGAGTCCGTTCTCAACATTCTCAACTTATATTTATTTTATTTTGCCAGTATAGGTCATTCAATCTTAGAAAGCTAAATGATATTCAATATCTGGTACATAAAAGATTAATGCTATTTTCGTTTTCATTTTTCCATTTTTTTGAAATCCATCTAAGTTTAGATTAGCTTATCAAAATATGAAGATGTTCATCTTTTAAATACTTTCATTGGCTTAAGCAATTGTTGAGGGGTCGTTTCACACCCAAACCATAATGTAAAACTTTTTATATATCCTGTGACAGAAGACTCTTGTTCTCATTGACGTATTTTAATGACCAACTCATAAATCCCTCACTGAGACCCCTTATTTAGCTACCTCTATACCATTTGAAAAAAAATGGAAGGTATGGAATGCTTCTGGGTTTACTTTTAGCTCCAGAATAAATTGTATCAATGAATACATTTTAGACACCGTATTTTGAGGACTTTTGAGGCTTACCTTAAAGCCTAAAATAAACACATCATCAACCAAAGTTAATTTAAATACAGTTAATATGTAAAACTGAGGTTTCTGTTGTCAATTGAGCCCTAGAATTTAGGATTGGCTTATATGTGAGATCAAAATTAGTGTGCTATTTTAAAAACTTGGAATGAGATCTACATTTTTCTGAAATTGTATTTAAAATCAATTGCAACTATTTGTTTATTCCAAATAGGACAAATTATATAATAATTATAAAACAACTTACATTATTCTATTACTAAAATATATTTTATAATTAAGAAATAAACTCATGTATATATTAGGACTTTAGGTTGTATGTAACAACAATTTAATTCATGTTTTAATTGAAGAAAAAAGAGAAATTTATTTTAGGGATACCATGACCTTCACGAAGCAAGCACAAAATAACAATTGCATTCAGGGACAAAAGTAGTATTAGGATTCTCCCTACATATCTGTCTTCCATGGTCTTTGGACATCTGATTTCTCCTTTCTTCTTTGCAGACCAGCTATCACTGCTCTTCCAGTCTTCCAAGCAGAGGACATGGCGAATGACTTCTCATTCATTGCACATGGTACAGCATCAAATTCCCAGAGAGAAACTGATTTTGCAGACATTTTTCTTTTTCTAAAATTCTGGGACAGTTCTTAATGGGTTCAGCTTCAGTAAGGTATGTACTGATGGATAGCTGTTTGTAGCCAGGGGACAGTAACTAGAGAATGGATTGATTTGTCTTACTTGGATTAGGAACGCTTCCCTGAATCAGTCAACTGTGGTCAGCAGTTGTGTGTCATCATACTACACGGTAGCTGACTACATTCAGATGAAAGAAGTGGAAAGATGGGGCTAGATTTCAAAGAAAGGGAGATACTTTCTCTACAAAATGGGATGGTGGCCATGCTGAATCAATAAAGTCAATTTAGTAGCATCTATATACACACTTAAAAAAAGTGTTCTCCTTATGAACTAGTAAGGAAACACAGACATAAGTCTTGCTTAACTTTTTAAAAATTACAGTCTCATTGTAACTTTTTAAAGAAAATATTTTTGAGCCCACATTTTTGATAAGATAGTGACTTAAATAAACCACTGTCATCTTCACAAGAAATAATTACTAGTTCCATTTTTTTTCTGAAGAGAAAACTGATACGACTTTGCCAAAGTTGCTCAATGAATTTGTTAGGATCTTTTGGTTGCAAGTGACGAACAACCCAATTCAAACAGAGTTAAGTAGAAAAGCGGATTTGTACAACCTCATTTTAACTTTTTAATGGACATTTACAGCAAGGAAATGAACTTGATTCAATGGGGGATGTGATATTGAATCCTTGGCAACTGGGAAGCCGCAGTAGGTAACAAATTCACCATCCTGAGCTAGGCAGAGTGAATGTGGGACCCAGCAACAAATCTGAGTAACAAAACGCTATAGAGATAAACAATGTAAAAACCAGGATAAAAATGTACAGTCTAACTTCCTGCTAAATTTATCTCCTACTTGGAGAAAATGACAAGAAGCTCATCAATAAAAACGATTTGGCAAGCTTCACTCTTTGAGTCTGGTTGAGGTTTTCAGAATTGAGATAGCACCCTCTTGGCATACCTTTGTATTTGCCTCAGCAACTCTCACATCATGGAACAAAGAAACGTCCTGAGTGTTGCAGGGAGGGTTGGCTCTGCCTGAATCCTTTGAGAATCACCTTTGGCAGTGGCACAGTCGGCAGAAGGGTAGTGAAGACAGTAATGAAGAAATTAATACTTGCCAGGCCCTTAACATAGTCAATTAAAGTAAAAACAGTTGTTAGACTCACATTGAATCTATTGATGATAATATACATCTGGAAAATGGTTTAACGTTGTTAATACACAGGGAAGACATTATTTCATCTCCTTTGTTCCTTTCTAGTTAGATTAAAGCATATAGAAATATTCCTTCAGCCATCAGCACCCTTCCATCAGAGAGCCTAAATGGATGAAGGGGGTCCTTATAGACTTGATTATACCCTGCTTGGCTCCAGCCTGTTCATCCCTATTACGTCTGTGCAGCTAAGGACAGACACAGAGCTTAGGATCAAGGGTTCTCTGACATTGCAGATGTGTGCTCTGAGTGACCAATAAAATGCCACTGCCAGTAGCCTTGGCTTTTACAGCTATGCGGGGAAAGGAGGAAAACAAGATTAAGGGGAATTGAGAAGTTGTGACTCAGAGCCCCTTATATTTTCCAAAAAGGCCCACAAGTCTTTAAAATTAGAAATATACACATGTGTTCCGAACAAAACCATTCTTGCCAACATCAATGAAAGAAGTTTTGAAGGGACCGTACTTTGGCACTTGACTGAATACGACTGAATAATTTCAGGTGCTGATTTGTAAACTAACAACTTAAAAAAAAGCTCTTTGTTGCTTTACAAATGTGAAGTGGTGTGATTCCTCTGGGAATTCTGAGCAAGCAAATATTTTTGTTAGACATGACAGAATTTTCCAGGCATGTTATTATCACTAGTTTCAGTGCAAATCCTGAGAAGATCTCTTTTTTGCTTAGCATGTAACGGGCTTGGCAAAACATCCCATCAGGGGTAAAGAAATCAGTCCTATTAATACGAGAATTATACACAAATCCCTAAGGCATGGACGGGAGAGTAAACTTCATACTCTGCATATGCAGCAGCTATATTAACATGATAGATTTTCAATGCTCTACAAGCTCCATTACTGTGTTTTGGGCCAATAGTCCATGAATTTGAAGGATTTATACAATGGACCATAACAGCTCCTTAGGAACGATTATGTCCCATCAGATGAAAAAATGTCTTTTTAAAACATCCCTATTAACCTGTTTGCTCCGTAGACCATAAGCCTTTGAAGGTTAAATTATATACATAGCAAAATGGGCCAAATCACCTCGTTTTGTGTTTTAAAATATATTTATGATGAGAAAGCTCTCCAAAATGAGAGAATTGAAATCGTACCCAAGAGTATCATCAAATCAAGGTGATTTTTAAATGTGAGCAACAGGCACTACTTGCAATTTCTGCTAAGGAGAGAAATCTTGTTAATCCAGAGATAATAATATGTACCGATTTAGGTACTATTTACATTCACAATCATCTAAAAATAGCTCAAACAATTGAATGCAACCTAAATAGTCAAATACCATGGGACAACAGCTCTCCAAACTTAGGTAGCCACAAAGAATTATAATAAAGACATAAGCTATAAAGTGAATGACAAAATATTGTTAAAATACTTTATATGGCCGTGTGTGTTATCAATGATTGGAAAATAATATATGAGAAAAGTTAGATTACATGAAGTTTGTATTCTTGATATAAATTTATTCTTTTCACAAATACTGTTGTATCTAGTATTTTGTGGAATGCATGCTAAGTATTTAATGCATCTTAGTTAATGTATCAGTAGGGTCCAAATCATTAATTTGATATATCTCTCACATAATAGGAACCTTGTGGTAATGCTGCTTTAGACCATAAAATGAACTATGAGGGGGAATTGCTGAGGACAAGTGTTTGACGATCACAGCATTGTTATGTCTCCATGAGAGTCTGCAAATCAGCCTCTCACCTTAACTACCTAGAGCAAGTCCTGGTAGAGAAAGATGCTCTCGTTTCAAAGGTGAGAACTTGGAGTATATAGATATTTAAAATTTGGAGTATGCAGAATAAATTATTCAATTAAAAACTTTTTAGAGCAGAATAGTGAGCAGTTTAATTCAGAGAAAATATAATGTGTTTTTCAACTTGAGTACCTTAGTGAATGATTTTCTGCTATTATTCTTGTTCTGTTTAATTCCTTTGAATTCCTGTTAGTGATGTCAATTATATTCCCAAACATTTTTGGAAAAGTGCCTTAAAATCCCTGGACGAGATGACAACATAAATCTAAAGTGGGATAGAAAATAAACATCTATGAATGTATCCTAAATTGTCTTCTCTTTAGTGAATACACAGACTCAGAGCAGAAGTAGTCAGAAAGAATGAACAAGGTAATAGGCTGGGCACAATGGCTCATGCCTGCAATCCTAGCACTTTGGGAGGCCTAAGAGGGCAGATCACCTGAGGTCAGGACTTTGAGACCTGCCTAGCCAACGTGGTGAAACCCTATCTCTACTAAAAATACAAAAATTAACTGGGCTTGGTGGTGTGCACCCGTAATCCCAGCAACTCGGAAGGCTGAGGCAGGAGAATCACTTGAATCCAGGAGTTGGAGGCCACTGCACTCCAGCCTGGGAGACAGAGTGAGATTCCATCTCAAAAATAAGTAAATAAATAAAAATAAGCAAGAAAACAGAAAGGTTTATATTCTTTTGTATATTAATTAAAGTACTATTCACAATAGCAAAGACCTAGAATCAAACTAAATGCCCATTAATGATAGACTGGATAAAGAAAATGTGGTATATACATACCATGGAACACTATGCAGCCATAAAAAATAATGAGATCATGTCCTTTGCAGCAACATGGATGGAGCTGGAGGCCATTATCCTTAGCAAACTAACACAGGAACAGAAAACTAAGTACCACATATTCTCACTTTTAAGTGGAAGCTAAATGATGGGAACTAATAAACACAAAGAAGGAAACAACAGACATTGAGGTCCACTTGAGGCTGAAGGGTGGAAGGAGGAAGAGGAGCAGAAAAGATAAATATTGGGTCCTGTTTTAATACCTGGGTGATGAAATACCCTGTACAACAAACCCCCATGACACAAGTTTACCTATGTGACAAACCTATACTTGTACCCTTGAACTTAAAATAAAAGTTTAAAAAAATCTGAAAACAATTTTTTTTAAATAAGTGAGATAAGAATCACATCCTCTAGTTAAGACATTTCGGTTTTCTTACTTTAACATTAGTCTTCTGCACATTATGTATATCTATCAGCAGATAGAGAGTCGTATTAATTTATCATGACTATCTTACTGTGCAATTCTCCTGTAGATATGGATCTGTAAATAAATTTACTTATAATATGGATTCTTTCTAATCTATATGCTATGACATCTCTTTATGAACCTATCCATTATTAAATGTGTTGTGATAATTAGGAAGCCTACACATTTAAAGTGATCCTTACCTAACCTAAGTATAAATAACAAGTGCAATTGCCTTGTCTTTCCACATATTTCCCCCTAATGGTAGAGAGATTAAAACTGAAAAACCCAAATAATTTTTTTCCTTCTCTTTTTTGAACATGGCATGAAAGAGGCCCATTTTTAGTCAATTCAGCTTTTCCTTTTAAAGATATATGATGGGAGTGGGGTGGCTGAATTGCTATTTGATATGATTTGGCTGTGTCCCCAACCAAATCTCATCTTGAATTGTAGCTCCCATAATTCCCATGTGTCGTGGGAGGGACCCTGTGGGAAGTAATTGAATCCTGGGGGCAGGTTTTACCTGTGCTGTTCTCATGATAGTAAACAAGTCTCACAGCATCTGATGGTTTTATAAAGGGGAACGTGTCCCCTGCACATGCTCTCTTTGCCTGCTGCCATGTAAAATATGACTTTGCTACTCCTTTGCCTTCCACCATGATTGTGAGGCCTCCCCAGCCATGTGGAACTGTGAGACAATTAAACCTCTTGCCCTTACAAATTACCCAGTCTTGGGTATGTCTTTATTAGTAGCATGAAACCAGACTAACACACTATTGTAAAGACTGCTAAGATTATTGGCTGCCTCTGCGTCTTCTTCACTTTGAGCTAAAGGCTCCATCTCACAGCTTTGTAGGAAGATGCTCTCGAACACTCTGTCTCACTGGCCTTCTATAATCAGATCTTAGGAAGCATACCTGACGTATGGACAGGCAGAGCCACACGGGTAAAATGCTTTGTGGCTTATTCTGATTCCTAAGTTGTAGTTGGAGTTATGTGGAAATCGACGAGAGGAATTCTTTTCTCCTTCCTTGCTTTGGAGGCATCGTGTTTTCAAAAGGCAAGGACAAAATTAAATTGGATTTTATTTAAATCTGCTTCATGATATTGAGGTAATGTTATTTCATCTCCAAAATGACCACCCATGCAATTAGGCGTCAGATTTTTCTAAATAATCCAGTTGTGGTATTTGACAAAGGAAATGCCCGTGGATAAAAAAATCATGAATATAAAATGGTATCTTTTTTTTAATAAGATTTTACTCTGTCACCCAATCTAGCATGCAGTAGCATGATAATAACTCACTGCAACCTTGAACTCCTGGGCTCAAGCAATCTTCCTCAATCAGCCTTCCATGTAGCTAGGACTACAGGTGCATGCCATCACACATAGGCATTTAATAATTCCTTTAAATTTTTAGTAGAAATGGGATCTCACTGTGTTGTCCAGGCTAGTCTCAAACCCCTGGGCAATCCTCCCCACTCAGCCTCCCAAAGTGTTAAGATGACAAGCAGGAGCCACCAAGCCAGCCCTAAAATTGTATCTTTTGACATTAGACCTGACACAGCCTGCAAGGGGAAAGCTTCCATAGAACAGATTTCAATTTATTTTATTGTTTTATAATTCACTAATAGCAATAATTTTTAATGAATTAATCTCCTGAAAGATATAACTAATATGGGAGTTTTGTGTACCTCCTACCAATTTTTGTCATAATTTTACTTCAATATTCAACTTTATTCAAGGACAATGATATTAAGGGTTTAATGCTAAATGCCTCTCAATTTTTATATTTCAGGCATTCAAGATTGTGACCTAATTTGAGCTCCATGCACCAGATCAACATATGGGTTGTGCAAAGCACTGCAGAGGATAACATATTAGGGGGAGAGCTAACCTTTCTTCCTCGTTTTCTCCCAGACAAAATCATGCATTGGTCACACTACTGAGCATTAGAACAACCTAATGTTGCCTTTGATGGGAGAAAGAATATCAGGTTCATTAATATTGTAAATAATATAATCAGTTGGGAATGAAATGTGTCAACCATGCATTAAAAACATTTGCTTTTAAAATCTCTCCCAGCAACTACACACTTGATATTTGAAAATTACAATCACACATGCAGATCAAGGAAACTCACTGGAGCAATTACCTATGCATGAATGATTTCAACTTTCTGGACACTAGTAAAAGTAAGACATCAAAAAAAACTAGTTTATCTTTTACTGTGGTGTGGAGATTGAGAGCTCAAGTCATGCCTGAAAACTGGCATTAGTGGTCTAGGTTAAGGTCATGTGTCAATCTCAATAATTTACAATAAGTAAAGTAAAATAAGAAGAAAAAAAGGAAGCAAAGGACAGAAGAAAAATGGAAAAAAGGAGAGAAGGAAAGAAAAAAGATGGAACCACTTCCCTTTCTTGATGACAGCCAGCAATGAATTAGTCCAGGAGACTCTATAGCAGGTGCCAAAAAGCTGCTTGCACTTTTAAGAAACAGGTTGCAGAAATCATTGGAAGATAGCATCAGATCCCTGGTTGGAGCTACTTTCCAAACCAGAGTCTGAAGACATGGTGTGTACTCCAAAAGCATGCAAGTCCCTTATTCCATATGACAGGGTTATGCCAATCATGTTTAAGATTTCAGACACAGACTAGCTTGCATGAAAGAACAATTGTACAGACTTTCCTCCTTTTACTTTGGGTTAAAGTGGGGTGGGGCTTAAGGATGAGGAAGAAGAATTAAGGTAGACATATTGAGTCATTTGGAAAAGTACTGGTACAAATATCCTGTGACAAACTGCTCAATTGCAGAATTTAAGTTCACCGTGAAGCTTCCATAGCTGTGATTGCAAGTCATTGTAATAAAGCATAAATGATTTAAAAATACATGATAATGTTGATGCTGCAAGTATCAAGCCACCCAATAATTATTGCAGGCAGTCAATGCAGCTGAGTGGTTAAAAAACAGCAGTCACAACTTTACTCCAATTCCCTACAGTGTTACCTTGCTTCCTCCATGCTCTGAATGTTTTATCCTGCTAACTCCCAGGCCATTTCTATAAGGAGAAACACAGTAGATCTAAACAGATTATGCAATAAGTTAGGGCACTCTAATGGCTCAGTTAGGTTCAAAAATGGATGAACCAATTGATTGTAAGATATTTTATCTGCTCACTCAATTCTTGCTCCAGCCATATTTGTCTTCTTCAAACTTGAGGAGCTCACAACCTTCTCAGGGCTTTGTTCCTGCTTCTTTCTCTGACCTGTATGTTACCCTGTTAGGTCTCTTACTCATATTCCAATGACCCTCCCTCCTACTCAAACCTGTCACACCATTCTCTTAGCCATGCTTTTTTTTTCCTGAATAGAACTTACTGTTCTTTGAATTTATCTTGTTTATTAATTTGTGTACTAGAATATGCATTATATGAGCTGGAACTTTATCTGTTTTGTTTACTGCTTTCATCCTCAGGATCTGGCATGTAGAAGACATGCAATCCATAAATGGTGAATAAATGAATTTACTTATCACCCATACTTAGAAAGAATCTAGCAACTAATTATTGATTCAATGACTGGTTGTCTTTCTGGTGGTAGTTCTAAAATCTTAGGACACTTGTAGTTTTACAGACATTCTTATTGCAATAAACTCATACACACTTCTCAAACGTAGGCAACGTGACCTTTAACACTGGATATAGGAATACGTATCAAAAAGAAAACAATGTGAGATGTGAGTGATGGTACTATGTAAAGCAGCTGACTGGTTTGGACCCAAGATAATCGAAACCCCATCAAAGCCTTTCCTAATCAGAGATGTATCTTCTTCCCATTTTTGTAAATACTCATAATCTGTTTATTTACTTAGACAATATCTGGATTGAAGGGAGCCCCACCTTCAAATTTTATCAGTTTGCTTCATAACCTTAATGTTATTTAAAGCTTTCCTTCAGGAGAATCTATTTAAAATAAAAATAATTACTTAAGAACAGTGCTTATATTTTGAGATTTTGAAAATGTAATCAGGATAGACAGCTATTACTTTGTGTTACAAATCTGAATGTGAAATTTCAGAAATCCTCCTTGCATTAAAAATGAATTAACTGTGTGATTATTAATTGTGCATATTCCAATCCCTTTGTGCTGTACTGCATGTTTCTTGAATCTCATTTGAATCCTTTGGCTAAGTAATGTGTCAAGGGGGGTACGAGCCTGAATGCCTGAGTTATTTAAAAGGCAGGACAGCACTTCCAGATTAGAATACCAATGAGTGGGGTTAAAAAGGCTCTACTGTAGTTGGAGGGCAGCTCTCAGTCTGAGAAGTACCTGAAAAGGACCTCTATGGACTAATTTTCAGAATCACATTGTAATGTGGGCTCATGTCAATCATCAGAACAGACAGCTTCATCCCATGATATAAACTAGTTATACATTCAAGAGCTGCCAGAGGATCTTCATTAAAAAGGGACTTAGCATTAAAGGAAGAAGGGTGTTTTATTATAATACTTCAAACACAGTTTTTTGTTTTATATGTTCTCAGAATTCTTTTTTGTTCTTTGCTACAATATCAAAAAAAGTACCACAGAAGAAGGAAAACATTAAATATTCCATTTTTTAATAGGAATCAAGGAAGCTTTCTGGTTTAAGGCATTAAAATCATACACATTTTCCTAAATTTATTCATGGCTTTGAATAACAAAAAGAAATCTCTAGATGTAATAGGAGGATGTTTTTAATCTTTTGTGGGAAGGGATTTGCAGAGCTGACTACTCAAGGTAAAATATCTACTGGCAAAGTATATCAGTGAAAGCTTTACACATATAAATTTGTATAAAACCTTTGGGGTATCCACAAGCTTCCAGATACCAGTTAGATATTACAATTGATGTCATTAAAATTTAATATAATTGTGTTCAGAGAAAAACAGCAACAATATCCATGTAAGTAAATCATTGACACTATAATCTAGTATTTAAAGAAAACTTAATGAGGCTTTAATAAAGTAGATCTATGTATCTTTTTACCTATATTCAAAAGTGTTATATAAATACCTTAATTTAAATATATTTGTACAAGTCAAATAACCTCTTTAAAATAATCAGCATATATACATATATATCTAGAATATCTTATTTCTATCATGAAAAAGTCAAAGCAAATGGCTTATTAAGTGAAATTGAAACAATTACATAATAAAATCATCTACGTTTGCAGATGATATGATTTTATATTTAGAAAACCCTCACAACACCATAAAAAACCATCAGAAATGTGAATTCAATAAGTTTTCAGGGCAAAAAATTAACACACAAAAATCAGTTACATTGTTGCACACTAAAACTATCTGAAAAGGAAATTAAGAAACCATACAATATACCATAGCATCAGGAATAATAAAATAATTAGGAATAAACTTAACTAAGGAGGTGAAAGACCTGTACACTAAAACATGAAATGTTAGTGAAAGTAATTAAATAAGACACAAATAAATGGAAAGATATCCTGTGTTTATGGATTAGAAGACTTAATATTGTTAAAATGGCCATATTATCCAAAGCAATCTACTGCAAATGTCAATGCAAACCCTGTCAAAATTCCAATGGCCATTTTCACAGAAACAAAAAAAAGTCCCAAAATTTATATTGTACTACAAATGCCCCAAATAACAAAAGCAATCTTGAGAAAGAAGAACAAAGCTGAAGGCATTACAGCCTCTGATTTCAGAATATACTATAAAGCTACAGTGATTAAAACAGCATGTTACTGGCATGGCAAATATATAGACAAATGGAACTGAACAGAAAGCCCAGAAATAAACCCATGCATACACAATCAACTGATCTTCCACAAAGGGATCAAGAGTACACAAAGAGGAAAGGTTAGCCTTTTTAACAAACGGTATTGGGAAAACTAGATATCTACATGCAAAATAATAAAATTGGGCCCTACCTTACACCACACACAAAAATCCACTGAATATGGATTAAAGACTTAAAGTAAGAGCTGAAACTATTAAACTCCTAGAAGAAAAGACAGGGGGAAATCTTCTTGACATTGGTATTGGAAATGATTTCTTGGACACAACCTCAAAGGTACAGGCAACAAAAGTAGAAATAGATGACTGAGACTATATCAAACTACAAAGCTTCTGCAGAGCAAAGAAAAAAAAGTAAAAGTAACCTATGGAATGGGAAAAATATTCATAAACCATATATCTGATCACAGGTTAATATCCAAAATGTATAAAGAATTCATATGCCTCAATAGCAAAAATACAAATAACTTGATTCAAATATAGACATAGGAAGTAATAGATGTTTATCCAAAGAAGACATACAAATGGCCAACAGGTATATGGAAGATGCTCAAAATCACTACTCACGTAAATGCAAATCAAAACCTCAGATGTATTATCTCACACCTATTAAGATGGCTATTGTCCAAAAAAAAAAAAAAAAAGATAAGATGCTGGTGAGAAACCCTTCTACATTGTTGGTTGGAGTGTAAAATAGTGCAGTCAAGATGGAAAACAGCATGGAAGTTCCTCAAAAATAAAAATTAAAATAGAACTTATATGTAATCCAGCAATCTTACTTCTGGGTATATATCTAAAAGAATTGAAATCACTGTCTTGAAGAGCTATCTACAATCCTATGTTCATTGAAACATTATTCACAATAGCCAAGATATGGAAACAACATAGATGACCATTTAATGCGTAAATAGATAAAGAAAATGTGGTATATACATACAATGGAATATCATTCAGCCTTAAACAAGAAAGAAATCCTGCCATATGGGACAACATGGATAAAACTGGAGGACATTATGCTCTTTGAAATAAACAGTCACAGAAAGACAAATACCACATGATTCTATTTATTTGTATGAGATCTCTAAAATAGCCAAATGTATAGCAGCAGAGAGTAGAAAGAAAGGTGATTCCCAGGGGCCATGAAGAGGTGGAAATGGGAAGTTGCTATCTAATGAGTATAAAGTTTCAGTTACATGAAATGAATAAGTTCTAGACATCTGCTGTACAGCCTTGTGCCTATAATTGACAATATTGTCCAGTGCACTTAACAATTTATTAAGAGAGATGTATCTCATGTTAAGTGTTTTTCCTACAATAAAAAAGAGAAAGGAAATAGATAAATAAAACAATTATACAGTCTATTGTAAATAATATATTTGCCTCATAGGCCACAAAAAGCTGTTTTCTGTCATTCACTTTTAATGAAAAGTATGCAATACTATAAATAATTTTCTCTTCTGAAACTGAAATTGCCAATTGCAGAACACATAATCTCAAATAATTCTCATTATTTTAAAGGGTTCTTGATAGAAGTATGTGTATTTACTTACAGATAACTCATTAGAAGCCACAATTTTCAACTTTTTCTTATGACACATTTATGTTGTATGTTAATTTCCAGTGCTTCTCCTCGGGAATCTACCTACAAGCAGAATCATTAAATTTACTTGTAAAAGCCAGGGAACTCTCCTGGTGGGGAAGTTCTCCCACCACCAAGAAAATAGAGCTCAATTAAAGGTCTTCTGATGCTCAAAGACCAAGTGTTTATGATGAAAGAGTATGTCAGAAGCCTCTCTCTTCATTCTACTTCTCCCATGCAATGACTTTTATGCACAATTACTCATTTCTTTCCATCATACTCATATAAGCAGTCTCCAAAATCCATCCTTTCAATGCTTTACTATTTACGGTACTCAGAGCATTGCAGGTGATAATTTTAGCAGCCAAAATTTTGAAAAAATTGAGAATCAAATTTTTGTCTGGTCTCACAGTACTATGGAGAGGTGCAAGATGGACAATGGAAAAAAGGAAAATTGTATATGTGTAATGCTTTTACTTTTTCTGTCTTCAGATGGCCCAACTTTGTTGCTTTATACCACTGACTAAATTGCTGTTTCATCTATACCCATACTATCTAACAAATAATAGGAACTCATTAAACACATTTTAACAAATTTTTTAAAAATCACACAAGTAATATAATAAGGTACACGAATACAATTTTGATAGTAATTTAAAAGATTGGCTAGTAACATGTAGAATATAGCTGCATATTAACTGCTCTTGAATTTACTGCAAAATTCAATGGCAAGAAAAGTGATAGCTCATTAAAATCTGTTTCCATTCAAAACCTTTCAATAAATAAATCGTTTAAAAGATTAAATCCTATTCATAAGTTATATAGCTGGAATTCATAGTTACAATTTACGATTTGTGGAGTACCTAAATAAATCAAATTTTATTCTAACTAGTTTATAATATCTAGCTTATAATAGAAAAAGTTTATGTTATACACATTACAGTTAGATTTTCAGCTCCATAATAATGTATTTTCTGAATTTCTAAATTAATTTTCACCTTTAGAGTTAAGGGTATTTTTATGAACAAATAGTCAGTGACTAAATTAAAATATTTTCCTAAGTTATTATATTACACTTTCATGTTTCAATATATTGAAATAATTTTGACTTTAAAAATATTAGTTTATTAGCATATTATCTTTATTCTTGTCTATTTTTCCCTATTCAAACTTCTAAAGAAAAATGAGATAAAAAATACAATCTTAACACTTAGTGATTCTGTTCTACATTCCATCTATCATCATATGGGCTCTATCAAAACTCTTTTAACTCTGATACATAGATCTGATACCTGAACTTCAGTTGCTAGGAAAGTATATATCTTGAAGGCCATGGCATTTTCATCATTAACATAATACGCATACTGGTCAATCTGAAATTTTAAATAAACAGTTCAAGAACTATTGTCTTTAGCATTAGAAATGAACCAAAGTCTTATATCATGTAAATAAAAAACATTTTGAATACCAATGGCTCAGTTTATTATATGATTGCATCTTCCAAGAACATTTCAATGCGTTTTCTTTGTTCCTGTAGAGCTTCTGTCTCCTGTTTTAGTACTCTGGCCTCTCCTTATGAATTACTGTTATGAAATAAAAGCTATAAGAGGAATGAATCTATTCACTTTCCAATTATTTAAATGACACAGCCAAAACCTGGCCAACACGAAAATAATGCAACTGACTTTTATGAATCTTGGGATGATATCACGAGCATACTTCTGGGTTTGTCTGGATTTGTGAAAAGAGGCCAGTATTTGCAGAAGTTACACAATGTGTTGAAATACATGATTGGATCAGTGCAGATTAAAATTCCCACTAGAGGAAGGAAGAGCCTGAATGCCTTTATTCCATGTATGATGCATTTATAAAATATCATATAATATGTACTTCATATTATATGTGTGAGTGCATGCGTGTGTGTGTGTTTAAATGTGTTTGTGTGGGTGATTTATAGCTAGATCTGTCTTTCTTTCCCTTTTTTTTTTTTTTTTTTTTTTTTGTGATGGAGTCTCGCTCTGTCACCCAGGCTGGAGTGCAGTGGTGTAATCTCAGTTCGCTGCAACCTCCGCCTCCAGGGTTCAAGCAATTCTGCCTCAGCCTCCCGAGTAGCTGGGAGTACAGGTGTGTGCCACCACACTCAGCTAATTTTTATATTTTTAATAGGGACAGGGTTTTGCCATGTTGGCCAGGGTGGTCTCGAACTCCTGACCTCAAGTAATCTGCCCACCTCAGCCTCCCAATGCGCTGAAATTATAGGCATGAGCCACCATGCCTGGCCAGGTAGATATTTCTTAATCTCTGATTTCTGAAGCACTTTCTTGGTATATACTAGACACGATTAATTTTGAGTAAAATTATATTTTTCCTGCAACAAAAGAAACACACATATATATACACATTTATTTTAGGAGAACCATATAAGTATGTGTTTTTTATGTGTGTAAGTGCATATAAACTTTATATATAGAGAGATTACAAACATACAGACATTTTAAGTTAAATAAATATGATATATTAAATAATTATGTGGTCAAAAACACCAGTAGTTTCCAAAAATTAGGATGTAGGAAGCAAACCAAAATATGTTCATGTTTACTCGTGTGTCCTTGTGTGCCTACCATAAAAATATTTCCAAAAACTTCACTGTCACAAATTAGAAAGGAAAAAATAGAGGACAGAGGTAGGAAGGGAGAGACAGACACCGAAGCAAATAAATATAAACATTGCTGAAACAGTCTGACAAGACTTTCCTGGACTTCAGGAGATTTTAGATGATAGTATTCAAAAAAAAATGGGTTCCATGGAGCAGCAGTGAAGACACCATCAACAGCCACTTCAGACATTTCAGATAGAGCTTTTCTCTGAGGATGGAAAAAAGTGGAAAGTAAAATGCTACTAGAGGCATCAGGACTTAGAAAGTTTTCTCCGCTTTATAGATTGATGGCCAAGTTGAAAGAATGTGCAGCAAGGTGAGAATCTGGCTGGTGAAACAAAAACCCAAGGAAAGGCAGTCAATAAAAGGGTGGGTAGCTGGGCAGTTGTATGATTAGCAACTTTGAAGTTAAATGGCATTTTGCAATTCACTGTGAAAAAGAGAACAAAAAACGCTGAGACTGAACAAGAAGAATCTCAAAAGAATTATCCATTTATAAATGTGCCTACAGAAAAACTGAACATATAAAAAGTACCAGGCTTCAAGTCTGATTATACTTCATCACAGTCTCCAGATCAAAAGTGAAACATTGTTTAATCTTCTATAGACATTTTTTTTGCATGTGAGTAATACAGTTGAAAACACTTAAGAGCTTTTTAAAACCTAAACATCTGGTATAGTGTCAATTTTTCCTTAAGTCAAAAAACAGTATATCATACTAATAAGGCTCTTTTAAAATTATTATCTCCAAAGATACCTTTTCTAAACTTAGGAACAGAGGAAGTGATGAAGATGAATTTCATGCTCCTGGAATTATTCTTTTGTGCTCTAAAGGACAGATGTAAACTGTGACATATTTATTTGTTTATGTAAGATGTGTGTATTTATTTATTTGGACTATGTCAACACAATGGTATGAAAATATATGTAAGTACTACTCTTGTAAATAAGTGGCTGGATTTTATTTTTCACCTTTTGTGAAGTGGCCAAATTTGCTTTGTGTTTTGATTATTTTGGGGAGATTGTATTCTCACCTAATCAATGAAATTGATCATACTAACCAAATATGGACTGAAAAAAGTAGTTACTGTCCTCTTTTTTATTTCATTGCAAAAAACATGGTTATACTCAACTTCCCTTTAACAGGAAAATACAATATAATATATGTCTCAAATATTTAAGTCAACTATGACAATGTACTTTGAAAAGAATGTTTTTCAAATTATAGCATTGTGGTTTCCCATAATTCTACTGGGACAGGGCTGCTATTTAAAGAAACTCTGTGGTTTGAGAAATGACGATATGACAAAGAAATGTACACAATCCTGAAGGGAACCAAAAGGACAGATGCTGCAGGCTATCTGAGCTTCTGTTAAATATGAGAACCAAGGGGCATGAACTTAAGCTAGAGAATAGCCTAGCACTAAAAACTACTTCAAACTCTTTTTGCAATTGCCCTTTGCAGAATAAACAGCCCAGAAAAATATAACAAGCAACATACACAGCAAGAAGGTAGACGAGTGGCCGTGGACAGTGCAATGGGCAACTTAATGAATAGAAAATCTTCTGTATTCTATTTTTCAGGTTAAGCAATGTATATTAATGCTTCTAAAATTGTTGCTTTTGTTACAGGAATAATTTCATGAATATTTTAGGAGTTTAAAAATCACACTTTTAAAGGCCAAATATTTCATCTATAAAAAATTTGTGGCTAATGGAACACCTTTTGGAAATCATCAAGAAATAAAAAATGTTTCTATCTGGTAAAATTGTTTCTACATACATATGATTGTTATAATTTTTATTTTTAAAACCCTATACAGTTTAAGTCCTCAAATTTAATCCACCTATTAAAAGCGAAGCTTTTAAAAAGTAGCCTGTTATTCAATTCCATTCCTCTTAAAAAGTATCCATACAGCAGGGAATGTTAGGGAGTTAACAAAATAAAGCATTATCTTCACCTTGTGAAAGAAACATATAGGAAAGCATCAGGAATCACAACTTTTTAGACTTGTGATAGCTGGACAGGGTCTTAGAATGGACTCCTCTCATTTTAGAGACTTAAAAATAGAGATGTAAAATATTCTACTTCTAGTTTTGTGATTGGAACATTCAAATTCCCAATCCATCATTTTTTTCCTTTCATTAAATATGATGAGACATACAATGTTCTTACTTCACTGCCTGGCACAGAGATAGTGCCTAATAATTGCTGCTAATGCTATATAATAGACAGCAACAGATAGACATGAATATACACATAGATGGATACACAAATGCATACACAAATGTTGAGGGTAAGAAAAGAGGTGAAGTGGAGTTACAAGGTAGGGTTAATGAGTTTGGGGCTATTTTCCAAAAGTATTTAGACTTTCCTTTAAATAATCAAGCAATTGCTCTTTTTGGTAATTCAACACTAACCCAGCTTGCAACTTATTCTTCCACCTTGATGAACACAGAATTTGCTTCGATACCTACTTATTATTATTATATATCAGACTAGGTGCTTTTCTGAAGAAGAGACCATGTCTTTTATCTTTGTACACCAATATCCCCTCACATAATAGGCTCTTAATAAAAGGTGCTCCATAAAGGAAAACTTTATGGCAAATAGGCAATCATAAAGTAACAGGAAAATTCTAACTCAGAAAACTCGAAGGTGAATACTAAGGAAGTGTTTTTCACAAATGAGGAAATGCAGATTGCACTCCTCACACCCTTGCAAATGTTTTGCCTATAGTTATGGACACAGATAAGTTATTCATGACTGTTTTGGGGGCCGAAATTTATCTTCTGGTACAAATGAATGTGTTTGTGGGCAGGTTCTCCCTGGTCTCTCATTAGTTGTCAAGAGTGACCTAAGGTTTTTAACCTTAAGGACAGAGTCTTTCATTTACATAGTTTTGTCCTGATCTCTGTCCTAATACAGTTCGCCTTGTTTGACTATCCAGCTCGCCTGCCTGGGAGTATAGGTGAGCGAGGGAAAAAACCTAATTAAGCTAGTTTATACATTTTAACAGGTCTGGAAAATGGTAGAGTTAATGGCCGCAAACCATTTTCAATACTTTAGTCAAGGAATCTTTTTTTTTTCATTTATAAAATGTGCCTATGGGAAGGAAGGAAAGGAAGAGGCCTGTGAATTCAGCCTCTCATATCCCTTTGCAGTGGCTGTTCAGCCAGTGCATTAGTGAGGAGGGAGAAAGGATAATAGGATCAGTAATTGGCAGGGCTGTCCAACTACACCTCTCCTCTCTCCCACCACTTGGCCCTGCCCAATTTATCTCTTCCATAGCCCCGTGATGCCTTGTCTCTTCACCAAACTTTTACAAAGTTGCCCCCTGTATCTGGTGGCTTGTTATGTAAGGATTTTTCATCAAAGCTTCAACCTGAATGTTCTTCCACTTGTTAAACCAATATTAAAACAAGAAAGAACCCCTAGTTTAAAGCGTCCGTGTTGCTAGTCCCCCAGCTGGATGGCCACTGCCAAAGGTAAGTGGTGAGGGAAAAGTATAATTAAAACTTAACTTTCAAATAGATCGCATAGTTTATACCTGGCAAGAAGCACTTTTCGCCACGTGAACTTTCAGGTGGCTGTTCTGAACAAAATAGGTGCTGATTCCTTTTATGTGAAACGCTTAAGATAACTTTAACATGGTCCTTTGCAGTTTAATTTATCATAAATTCTGGCACCATTTATCACTAAATGCAAAATGATGAAGAAATGGCTCTATTAAATCGGAATAACTACTGTATTAAAAAGCTGTTAAATGAGTTGAAGCACATAGCACTGTTAACAATATGTGGAAGTGTGTTTGGCTGGAATAAATTACTTTCACAGTAATCACTTGAAGAGTCTACCTTTAAAGAAATATGTTGAAAATTTCACATCTTGATTCCCTGACTATATCCACATGCATTGCTAATGTACTTTTAAATTGACTTCACAGAGAATGTGAGAAATGGCTCCTCTGAAATTCTTAGGTATCAAAACAAAATTTTTCTATTTAAAACTCGAGGAAAAGAAGACATTAAAATAGGCATGTAAATATAATAACAGATCCAATTAAGATATATTGTATTTTCCCACTCTTAATCTTTCTAGAAATGGCTTGGCAATATTTTTATGTAATCTGGCATGGTAACTTTTCAACAACAGCTCTCCCAATACAAGTATTTTAGCACAGCCTATGCATAGCACTTTTAAAAATAAGAAGCAGATTGGCTTAAACATCTAGTGGATTGATTTGTATTTTAAGAAATTATTTGGCAATTACAAGCAGAAGGATTGTTAAAAGAAAGGCTCTATCACATAATCTGTATGCATTTATACTCTGAATAGCATTAACAAAAATGGCTTACATAACAAGACATTTACACATTTCAGAATATAGTATCTGAAATTTGTAGAGTCTAGACTTTTACAAAATCATTCCTAGCATCTGCACTAATGGAGTACTGTTGCCCAAATAGGTCCCCTTGCAGTGTTTTAGCAGATAGTGATGACGTTCTTAATCCTTACCCTCATGAGGGCACTTTGTAATGTCTTTAATTACCACCCTGGTATTGTGATTAGAAACAAAGACATTTCAATAATAGTGTTCTATTGCATGTTTAGAGATATTTCAGTGTGAAGTCTTTAATAGAGAGGATTTGTGAATGAACTTAATTAGCCCTGTTAAAAACATCCAGCAGATAGCAATCTCATGTCCACAGAGAGGGCTGTGCCATGGCATGGAGGCAGGTTCCTTGGGGACACTCCTTCTCTATGAAAAGCAAAGGAACTATTGTTAAAGGAGATACAAGTTTGTTTATATCTTGACCAAATACAATATCTGGCTTATAGAAAGCAGTTTATTCAACCACTCTCAAAGTCAACCAGGTTATGTTGTCTTGCTGGATTTACAAAAATATCTATGGACAAATGCTAATTTACACACACTGACACACACACACCCCCCACACAAAGACACATTTTTTGATTCCAAGGTCGTAAAGACATGCCTTTGTCTTTATTTCTGTCTCTTTTTTAAAGAAACAATATAACTATGTAGAGAAGAAAGTATACATCAATAATGTCTATTTATATGATATCAGTTTCTATCTTCTCTTTTGTCTTCTCATGTACCCCTCTTCATCTTCCATTCTGCCAGCCCATCTCCCCTAGGAAGGGAGCTTGATAGTCTGTAGGCTATTATGTGGAGTAAACAGAGAGGTAAAGACAGACAAAACAGAAATTAAAACATTGAGTGGTGGGAGTAGAATACTTATCTTCTGAGTGAAAAGAATTTTACCTAATTCTTTAACAGCTAAAAGAGACTTTAGGCAGGCCTTAGCGACTGTAAGTTTTTGGAATACTTGTGAACTTTGAATTTGGTACCCAAATAATTTTCTGCCCTCTAATTTTATTTTCTCTGGAAATGCTTTCTGCTTGAGATGTGGTCTTTCACTCTAAAAAGCTAAGAAGCTTCAGGAAAGGGCCAGATAAGAGAAAGCTGTTGAGTTTGGTACTAAATTTAAAGCTGTTTTTTTTTTTTTTTTTTTTTTTTTTTGCTTACTTCTTTGTTTTCTTAGGTTTCTAGTGCAGCTTTTTGTTTGAGATTAATGGGAAAAAGACAGATAATGATTCATTGGTAGTAATCTATCCAGGATTAAAAATTAAGCATTTGTCAAGGGTCTTCCTTATGCTGTGATGCTGAGTATGTGTTTATCAGATGAAAAATAATGGAACCTTGGACGCTGAGGGATTTAGTTAAGGGACACCATCCAAACTAGAAACCTGGAGTCATCTTCTATTTCCCTCTTTTAGTTATCCTATTAGTGATAGAAAAAATTCTAACAATAACCCCTAAGACTCCTGCCCCCTAGTTATTTGGTCAAACATTAATCTAGGAACTTCTGTGATGGGACGTTGAAGATGGAATTAAGGTTACTAATCAGGTGATGTTAAAATAGGGAGATGATCCTGGATGATCCAGGAGGATCCATGCAATCACATGGGCCATTATAAACAGAAGAGGAAGTCAGAAGAGCCAGTGAGAGAGATGAGGCAGTGTGAGAAGAATCTGATGTTTTTTGGTTTTGAGATGTAGGGGGCTACAGATAAGGATGAGAAGGAGGCTGAGAGTAGCTTAGGACAGTGCCCAGATGAGAGCAAGAAACGACTTAGGACTGGACCGAGTGAACAACCTAAATGAGCCTGGAAACAATTTTCTCATAAAGCCCCCAGCCCTGTGGACACCTTGATTTCAGCCTTGTGAGACCCAGTTAAGCCCATTGAATTTCTACCTACAGAACTACAAGATAACAAATGAGTATTGTTTCAGCTGCTAAATTTGTGATAATTTGTTATGACAGCAATAGCAATCTAACATAGTCTTCCATCTAGTCTGACATTAAGTCTTGTCTATTCGGTCTCCTTAACTTCTAGAATCTCTCCTTTCTCCTCCCTGCTCATTGCCACTATGCCATTCAACTTTCATAATGCCTTTCCTGCGTTAGCAAAACACTCCTATAAGGTTTCTCCTTTTTCTCTTCCTTTATCCTCAATCTAGTCACCTTAGCGCTGCAAGGATAATCTTTTCAAAACAGAAATCTTGGCTATTATGTCAAGATGGTTGATTTCCTGCACACATTTTCTCTTCAACCCTCCAAGATCCAATTGAAATCATACTAGATACTTAAAGGCATAAACCAATCACACATAAAAACAAAATGGGAGACAAGCATATGAGTGAAAAACCAATTTCAAATGCCTCCCCCCCAAAAAAATTTGCAAAGTGGAAAGCAGATAGATAACTGGTGACTCATAAAGCAGGACCAGCAAAATCACTGCTTAGATCCATGCAGAGGGTACACAGCCAGAAAAAAGAGTCCATAAGTCCAGCAAAACTTGAAAGGGAAACTTGGGGTTTAAAAAGGCAAAGAATGACTGGGGACAAAAATGAACAAGAACTTGAAATCAAGAGGTCTAATGGAAAGTCAATAAACATAACAATTAAATTGTCACTTCTCCTCCCACTTCTGTGCACAGAACTGAAGCAACCAGATGTTTAAACCCCAGGAAAAAAGAAAACAAAAGAAGAATGAAACAAATGTTCACTTAAAGAAAATGAACAAATGAGGCCGAGAGCAGTGGCTCACGCCTGTAATCCCAGCACTTTGGGAGGCTGAGGCGGGCGAATCACGAGGTCAGGAGTTCGAGACCAGCCTGGCCAACATGGTGAAACCCCATCTCTACTAAAAATACAAAAATTAGCTGGTCATGATGGCGGGCACCTGTAGTCCCAGCTATTCAGGAGGCTGAGGCAGGAGAATCACTTGAATCCGGGAGGCAGAGGTTATAGTGAGCCGAGATCGTGTCACTGCACTCCAGCCCAGGCAACAGTGCAAGACTCTGAAAAAAAAAAAAAAAAAAGAGAAAAGAAAGAAAGAAGAAAGAAAGAAAGAAAGAAAGAAAGAAAGAAAGAAAGAAAGAAAGAAAGAAAGAGAAAGAAAGAAAGAAGAAGAAAGAAAGAAAGAGAAAATGAACAAACTATGTATGTATTGAAGCTAGGTTAGCTGTGCAGACCTTGAGAGCACAGAACAAGGGCATTTTTATTTTGTAGTGCAGGATGTGTGCCCAGAGTAATAGCTGACTCATTGACAACTCCCTGTGTAGTGAAGTCTGACAATGGAAAAGTAGATTTTTTTCCTCATTTCATTCTTAACTATGAATAAGCTACTAAGGACCACCAGATATTTGATCAAATTCTTCAGTCTGAAAGAGAAATATCTGGCCAGGCATGGTGGTTCAAGCCTGTAATCCCAGCACTTTGGGAGGCCAAGGTGGGCAGATCACTTGAGATTAGGAGTTCGAGACCAGTCTGGCCAACGTGGCGAAACCCCGACGCTACTAAAAACTACAAAAATTAGCTGGGTGTGGTGGCATGCACTTGTAGTCCCAGTTTCTGTGGAGACTGAGGCAGGGAGAATCTCTTGAATCTTGGAGGCAGAAGTTACAGTGGGCTGAGATTATGCCACTGCACTCCAGCCTGGGCTACAGAAAAAAAAGAGAGAGAGAGAGAGGAATATCAGGAGGAAACAGAGATAACTCAATAAATACAAGATTTTGTTCTAAGCTCCAAATAGTATGATCGGAAAGTTTTAAGAAGTTATTACAACCATAAAAAAGAATATGACGCTATGAGAAGAAGAGTAATTGCAGAAAGCAAGAAAGAGATTTTAAAGACTAAAAATCCCTAAGTGTGCAGCACAACTAATGAAAAAGAAACAGAAGTAGACACTTTATTGTAAACTTTCCAACTGCAGAGTAAAAAACTTAAAAAAAAAAAAAACTCCAGAAAAAAAACAATTAGATCTCTTAGTGAGAATGAAGCTAGCATCAAAGTTATCATCTTCAACAATGAAAACTAAAGAAAGAAAACAAACATCAATGTTCTGTAGGAAAATAATTTTCAACTTAGAATCCTATACCCAACTAACCTGTAACCCAAGTGTGAGGCTAGAAATACATATGTTTCAGACAGGAAAGAACTCACACATTTTATCTCCCTTGCTCTTTTCTTCTAAAATTGTTTCAGATGTGTTCTACCTAAAGAGGTGAAAAATGAGAAAAACAATAATACAATATTCAGGAAACAATGGCTACAAACTAGGAGAGCAATAAAGAAGAATCTGTGCCAGAGATGCTCAGGCCTAGAGAGAATTTAGTCCAGATGGAAGATGAAGGAGGGGGATTTCTGAGGAAAAATAGTGGGGGAGTTTTAGAGATTTTATATTATTATCAATCATTTTTCTTTAAATATGCATTAATATTTTGTCTGCATCTTAAATATGTCAAAAATTCATGAAAAAGAAAATCATTAAGAAACTCAAAGAAAAATATTGTTCAATAAAGCTATTTTATCTGAATAAAGCCTGTAAACTAGTTAATAATAATGTGCCAATGTACATTTCTTAGTTTTGATCACTGTACTGTGGACAAGCAGTGTTAATAATAAAGGAAGCAGAGTAAAGGATGTATAGGAACCCTCCATATTATTTTTGCAACTTTTCTCTATATTCAAAATTAATTCAAGACAATTTCTTTTTATTTTGAAGAAAAAGGTAAAATGATAGTTGTGTGCTACTTGATTGTACAGTGAACAATAATTATGTAGTCAAAACATAACCAGTGAAAAATAATAGAGTAACAACACAAAGCAATTAGTAACTTAGTCTGTGGTATGACTTTGATTTTGTCTGCATCGCAAGCAGTGTTGCTTGAGTGAAATGTTGCCAACTAGATGGTCAAAGTGCCAAATAGCAAAATCTTTACCTGCAGCTGTTACCAGGACTTATGTCAGAAAATTGCCTGCTGCCTCGGACTAGAATTAGGCATAATGTTTACTGAAAAATTGGGTGACTGGGAAATATCTGTGGAAATTGGTGAGAGCGTACATGGAGAGGAAGATATTTACATGGTTTAGAGTGACTGTGGCAAAATCAGTAGCAATCTGTTGGAATTTCTAATCATGATTAATGCCTGTAGATTGCTGCAGCCAACTGGGTTACTACATTTTACCCACATTTCCCTTATAACTGGGAACATAAAAAAAATAAAGCCAAGCCCCAGTTGTGACCAAAATTGTTGCAAATATAGTGTGTACAGCAGACACTGATCATACCATCCCTATGACATATACACTCCTAAGATTCAGGGCTTGTTGGCATACCAACTCATAACTTGTATATGAAGACAACTGGCATATTATTCTTAAAGTGGATGAAGAATAATATTGCTCAGTGAAGAAATTGTTTCTCACCTGTTGTTCATGGAACTAAGAACATAACCTCTAGTGAAGACCACATGAATGTGGCCTTTATCATGATTCATAAAGATGAGAAGTAGGCCACGGACAAGCACCTCCTTGTAATATCAGGAAACACAAAAGATCAACTGACCACTCTTGTGGGTTTCAAAGTGCCAACTGGCCTACTTTTTGCCATTAAAGCCATAGTATTCTCTATGATGAAAATACTTTAATTTCAGGCTCTCCTGACTCATGGAATCTTTTCTGGCCTAGCCATCTCTTGCATCACTAATTTGTGCCTTGATGCAGTGATAGTCACCAATATCATACCTATGGAGAGCAAGATAAATTATTGCCTCAAAATTAAACTGTTCAATATTTTCATGAGCCTTGATGAAAGCACTGAAGGAATTCAACTTGGGGAAACTTCCTTTCCGGTCCATCATCTTTTTAAAACATATTAACTTTTAATTTTGTTTTTAAAAATAGGAGCCTTTCAGCAGAAATTTGAGGTCAAGTTGGCTACAGTCTGCAGTATAGAGTACAAGAGAGAAAAGAGCTACATAGAGAGAGAAAGCCAGAGATCTGCAGAGTATACTTTCAAAGTCCTCATCTGAGTACAAAGGGGTACATGGATATGAGGAGATTACTCAAAGCTCATGAAGGAACCACCCAAAAGAAGCAGAGGAAAAAACGATGGGAGCTCACACAGGACCAAAAATTATTACTGTACTGTTCTTTAAGCCAGAAGCAAAATAATACCAGATGGAAATCCATCTGGTACAGAGGACTGAGGAGCACAGGAAATGGTTTCTTTTTAACTGGTAAATATAAACAATTACTTTTTGTTATACAAATACTTTTGAAGGGCAATTGACTATTTAAATCAATAGTAATAACAAAGTGTTGGAATTTGTAGCATGTAAAAGTAAAATGTGGATGATAATATAGCTCAAAAGGGCAGGAGAGAAAAATGAAAGTGTATTGTTGAGAAATTGAACTGAAAAACAAAGCAAAAAAGAAAACAAATAGTAAGATGGTAAATTTCAATTCAACTGTATCAATATTCACAGTAAATGTGAAATATTTCAATTAAAAGGCAGACAATATCAGATGGCTAAATAAGTAAGGCCTAACTCCATATGTCATATAAGATACACGCTTAAAATGTAAAGACACAAGTAAAGTAAAAGGATAGAAAAAGATATGCCTGATAACACTAATCTAAAAAAGCTATAGTCTGTTTAATATCATATAAAGCAGATTTCAGAGCAAAAATGTATGTATTTTCATGGAAAAGTGGTAATTGCATATAAAAAAGAGTTATATGCAACTCTTTTTTAAAGAGTTATAAAAGAGGACATACAAATTCCCAACATTTATGCACCTAAAACAGAGCTTCAAAACACATAAAGCAAAAACTAATAGAACTGTAAGAAGAGACAAATCCACAACTATATTTGGTCTATACATTTACCAACATAGACTATATTGTGAGTTGTAAAGCTGTCTAAGTAAATGTAAAAGAAAAACAAAGTATGTTCTCCTTTGGTGGAATTAAACTGAAAAACAATTTCAGAATAATATTTAAAAATCTTTAAGATTTGAAAACTAAATGATACACTTCTAAGTTATCCATGAAAAGTATCATAAGAAAAATTAGAAAATATTTTATATAAAAGATAATTAAAATCATAATATGTAAAATATTATTGAACACGGCAAAGTAGTTCTCAAAGAGAAATTTATAGCACAAACATCTATATCCGTGAAGAAGAAATGTTTGAAATTAAAGACCTCACATTCTGTCTAAAGAAACTAGCAAAAGAACAAACAAAATCAAAGTTAAAAGAATAAAAGTAGTAATAAAAATCAAAGTGAGAGTGAAATCAATGAATTAGAAAACAGAAAAAAATAAATAAAATCAATCAAACCTAAAACTAGTTCTTTGGGATGATGAATAAAATTGACAAACCTATTTCCAGATATATCAGGACAAACAGAAAGAAGCCAATAATAATCAGTAGCAGGAAAGAGACAGGTGATATGATTTCACATTCTACAGATACTAAATAGCTAAGAAGGGAATGTTATGAAAAATATTTTTCCAGCATTTCTGACAGTTTACATGAAATAGACAAATTCTTGGGAAAAGAACAAATAAAAAACAATGCCCACACAAAAAGGAATAGATAGTCAGCATACCCCTATGTGTATTACAGAAATTGAATGTTTAGTTGAAAACCTTCCTACAACAAAACTCTAGCTCCAGACGGCTTCCCTGGTACATTACATAAAATTGTTAAAGAAAAAAAATACTACTTCTATATAAGGTTTTATCAAAAATTGTGGAGGAAGAAATAACATTCCAACTCATTGTATGAGACCAGCAGCACTCTGATACCAAATTCAGATTAAGACATTTCAAGAAAACACAATTACATATCAATATATCTTAGGAACATAGATGCAAAAAATTTTAACAAACATTTAAAAAAATCAAGACTTACCATACATAAAAAGATGTCACACTGTTACCAATTTCATGGTTTATTTCAGGAATGCAACATTTGTTTACCATTCACAAATTTAAAAATATAATTCTTTGTATTAACAGACTAAAAAGGAAATCCATGATCATTTCAATAGATGCAGAAAAATATTTGACAACATTTGTGTTCTATTCCTGATAAAATATATCAGCAAATTGGGTATGGAATGGAACTACCTTTCTCTGATGAAAAGTGTCTATGAAAAAACCCAGAAACAATATCATACTTGATTCTGAAAAATATAATGCTCTTTCTCTAAGACCTGGATCGAAGCAAGAATATTCACTCTCAGCACTTTCATTCATGCCTATTCAATATTGTTCTAGCCATTGCCACAGGAAAGAAAAGAAGATAAAGATAAGTTATTGGAAAGCAGGTAATTTGTCTTAAATTATCTTAATTTTTAGATTGTTAAAATCTATGAAATCTACACGAAAGCTTCTAGAACAAATAAATATATTGAACAGATTGCAAAATGCAAAATCAATTTACCATTTTTGTGTGTTTTTTATACTTTTAATCAACAATGATTGGAGGGAAACTATCAGCGGAAAAACTGGGAAAAGAGCTGTGCATGATGACCCCCCACAGGAGTTATTGGACGGGGCATATTGGTCTATACTGCCCAGGGTTCTGGAAATAAACAGAAAAGTCAAACATCAGGTGAAGTAGGAGAGTTCGTGGCATGAGGGAAGTTTGTGGCGTATTTTGTATACTTCCTACCACTATTTTTCTGTCTTTTCAAATTTGTTGAACTTCATTGATAGTTTCCCATGTGTTAAGCTTTGTTATGTAATATATTTGAATGTCTTTTCATTTTTATTATAATTCTTAAAATGTGTAAAAACATGTATCTTTAAAAGGAATTAATATTTCCAAATTTACAATTTACTTGACCATGGAAATTTTTATTTTCCTCAGCTCCATATCGCCTACATGAAAGTTCGTTCATGAAGCTTGACACTTCTCTCCATGCCCAGGACAATGTAGATCAGTATGCCCATTCCACCTCACTCTTCTAGGTGACAATCATACAGCTTGTCTATTTCTTCTAGTTCCATCCCAATTATTTTGTTGAATGGTTTCCTTTAAACCATCAAGAAATGAAAAGTCACATGAAATACCACTATCAGAAATAATTACAGTTAACATGGTGGAACATCCTGCTGGTAATGACATAATACACACATGTACATGTACATGTATGCAAGCAATTCCACATAAAGTGGTTCATACAATAAATATGCCATCAAACTTGACAATGTAAAAATATATGTACAAATAACAGAAGTGCAAATCTAAGTAGTTAAGGAGATAGTAAAACTATGGCAGCTATTACTTTCTTCTTAAGGAAATTGAAGTGTGCTATGCTATTGAATGAACACACACACACTCACAAAAGTATAAATACACTAAAAGTGTAGTTGAAAGCTGTTACCAAAAATACCAAAACCCAAACTGGCTACTAGTGACATAGCTGAACTAGTAGAGTGTAGGAAAAAAAGGGTGTATATGTGTGTTTTGGGAGAGGGAGTTTGATATGTAGTAATCCCTACCTATTATATCACTTAGTCATTAATAATATCTAAAGTAGATCAATCAAGAAAAAGATCAATGTACCATATTATTTGAAGACATATAGTAAGCAGCAGAAAAATGGAAGAGAGCAAGAGGCATAACAGATTCCCTATGATGTGTGGATATAGATAGTGTAAATTAAATATCTAAATTAAACAAAAGACAGCAGAATAATGCCTAAAATCAATTATTCTGATGATACGTTAAAAAGTAAACAAAGTAAACAATATTTAAAATTTTTTTTCAACTTTTAAAATAAAACTGTACACAATGCACTGAATATTTAATTATTTAATTACTGTAATGTTTCTATGTATTACTTAGAGCTAATAATGTTGTCATTCCATTTTCACACTTGTACCTAGAATTTCATTCTTTGGTTAACTGCTTTGGGCAGTGAGGTTATCTAGTATTGTTGTTCCTGAGTTGAAGAAAAAACTTCTACTCTCTCACTTGTGCATAAACGTAACATTGTGGGTTTCTATGTGTGTCTGTGTGGTGGAGGGGAGAAGTTAATGAAGAAACCACCTATTTTTAAAAGGGTTTTTTATCAGCAATAAAGTAGAATTTAATCATTTATTTGATTCACAAAAATAATATAGTTGCTAAGAAAAATGAATCTATGTTTTAAAAAAAAATCAGCCGTAAAATTATAGATGACTGTCTATTCTTCAAATTTTGTAGTCTATTAGTTTTTCTGAAGGGGCCGGTTAGAAAGCCCTGTTTCTGAGAATAGGGACTCAATGTATATAATAAAGATTAACACCAAGAAGGCTTATAATTGAGTTTCAGTTCTTCAAGCTAAGTATTGGCATATTGGACAAGTGACCAAGGAGTACAAATCTCTAAATGGCTACAAGTAAGTTCAAATCTAAATTCCCATTAAAATGAATGGGCATTTTAAAATTGACATCTGTTAATGCTATTGTATTGTAGTGCTGCAGACTCAAACAAGAATGTTTGTAATAGCTCCCTTAAAGGAGGTGGCTTATCAATACAAAGAAGATTAATTAACTTCTAAATAAACATTAAGTTTACTTTGTTAATACTGCAGAAATATTGCAAAATCATTTATTAAAAATCATCTCTACCATTATTTGTTCATTTAAAGGAGAATAATATACCTGTCTTAGGAATTAATTTTGTATTTATATCAACTTTCAAAAAATGATTTGAGAAAAAGTATTAAAATTATATATTGTCATATGTTTAATAAAAATCAAACAAGGAATTGAGAAGAAAGGAAGAAAGAGGAAATAAACACAACAATGTTGGAGTACATTAACAATGCAATTTGCATAAGTTGTAATTCTGAACTCTCTGGAACCAAGGGCAAAAAGGGAAATGTATTGATTTCATATATCAGAGAAGCAAGTTAAATTTTTAAGACAGAAATATTTTTAAAATAAATTCTAAAAAAATTGTCTTGTATGAGACCTTATAAGTTGATATTGACAATTAACATTGTCATTTTAAATCCCTACTATTTGAATATCCTATGTAATGACATTCAAATTAAAGATTTATGACAAACATAGAAATAACTTGTATTTGATTGTTTCTTATTAAGAACCTCAAAGTCAAGATAAAATATTAAAATGCAACTGAGTGAAAATGATGTTGTAGAGAAAGTTAATGTACAACCAATATTTAGTTTTTCAGTAAATTAACTATGCAGAAATAGAAGTTAGAATAGCTGATGTTCAATAGCAAATAAAAGTATCTACTGTGTCATTTTGGGTTTTGAGGAACCCTAGCTCTCTATCAAATTATTTAAATTGTATAATTATTTTCTTCTACAACAATTTTTAAACATAAATAGTATTCAAGTCATCATCACTGGTGCTGGGGGACACAAAAGTGGAAGACATCGTTGATTATGGTATTCAATCAACACAGTATACACTAAGGTCTTACCAGCTAAGAGAAGACAAAATTGTGGTGATGCTAGCTCAAGTCAAAATTACAGAAGGAGATTCACTGTCTCTGTTAATACTACTCTCTAGACTAAGGGCCACTCCCCCTACTCCATCATGGCTGATCCACCTCCTTCCAATCTTGCCTAATCTGGGGTGGGTTCAAGAGGGGACATGTGGCACGGCTCTCAAGGCAGCTGGGTTTGGAGTTTCATCTACTCTTCTCAGGTTTCTAGTATTTTATTCCTGATCTGCTTGAGCACCAGGGTGTTTCTAATGGAACCTCTTAAAAAGTTTTAGCTTTATCTATTCAGTGATCAGACTTTTCTCCTAATGATATCTTAAAATGAACCTTACATGCTGACTCATCACTTACAAATCTTCATGGATATGTGCCATCTTTGCGAAGTAGCTAAATTATCCCATAGAATTCCAGACTTTTTTTTCGCTGACCAGAGAGATTAGACTAAATGTGTTTTGGGAATTTCGAGATGAGGGACTAGAGATTCTGGAGAAAGTTGCAGTGGAGAAAGTTAAAGTAGAAATCAATTAGCAGAGCATGAGGCATAAGGAAACAATTGAAGAGTAAGATATCAAGGGAGGCCAAACAAATAATGGTTCATGTTGTAATTAGCATGTATATTGGGTTGACAGCTATTTGTAAAGCTGTAGACTTTTACCAAATGTATATAGGACATAAAATGGGATGCTCCTATTCTTCCTGCAATTGGGAAAATTCAATGGAATCACACTGGAGTGTATAAATACTTGAAGAAAAGGGATAATACATGATGAAAGATAATGCAGTAAACAAAAACAAGTGGCTATAAATTTTATCAGCATTATAAAGAGTGTCGTTATCTAAGAATAAATTCATGTCATGATGTGGACATCACCATAACCAGTATGGGTAGAATAAGAAGATATTATTGCCTATATTATCCAAGAGACAAATACTTTAATGTCATTCTCAAGTGGCCTCCTTTTTCTCCTTTTGTTTCAGTTAATGTCAAAAATTGCAGGAAGCTTCCAAAAGAATTTATGAGGTGTTTTTAGTTTTTTAAATTTTCTCTCCCATGTTAAAAGTGATTCAATACATACCTGAGGAATTGATGGTTAACATATAAATTATCATCAGTATTAATAGTCTTTCATTTGAATACCATTGGGTATTAAAATAATAGAAATTTTAAATGTCTAGGGCCTTGATTCCAGATGTTTCTGAATCTTTGATAAGGGAACATAAATTGGTAGATGCAAACTCCTTTCTCTCTCTTTCTGAGTCTTTTGGTTTAATCAAAAGATAGAATGAACACCTAAGAGATTAAATAGCCTGAGACCAAATACCACAGTTATTTTAGCATATAGGGGAAAAAAAAGAAGAGCATTTGAGGCTAGAAAGAAAGTAGGGTTTAGGCGGTGAAAAGATGAATTGTACTGAGCATGAGTTGTCAGACGTAAAAAAAAAAAATGGAGAAAGTTGCTTATCAGATCTAACTTCTATTCCTTTCCTACATCTGCTACTTCCTTGGGCTTCAGTGTTACATCTATAAAATCAACAGGATCACAATTTATCTGAAAATAGTGGCATCAACTAGCTGATAATTTGAAGACTTTTCTAAACCAAGACTTTTATGAGTCAGAAAACAGAGTTAATAGACCTCCACAGGAAATGTAAAAATACACAGTTTTTATTTGAAGTTTTGCAAATAAAAATAAATTCTAAATTTTGAAATGAAAAAATCATACTATGATAAATTGATAGTTCTAGTCTGTGACAATAATAAAAGAATAAAAGTATACTGGACCCCAAATATATTAAAATTATCATAATTAAATAGCCTTCTTGTTACTATATAGCCATTAAAAATCATGCAGAGCATGTAACTTTTTTTATTGGCTTGTAATTTAGCCATTGCTCTTATTTTTAAATTTTAATGACTGTGTTTTAACCCTTCCTATAAGGTCCAGAGAACTCTCATTTTCTTTTCTATAACAACAGGAACATTCTACATGTAAAATTAGGACAGGTGTACTTGGCAAACTCTGTGGTTGATAAAAGGTTGCTTTCAGGTGATTTCATCATGAATTGACTTTACAGTTACCGACGAGTTTTAAAAAGAATGTAGCTTTTGGGTAAATATTCTTAGATTAAGGATTACTCTTAAAGGATATTATCACTCACTTCTATGTATTATAGAATACATCTTAAAATGTATTATATATAGAATTAGAAATGTACATACTCCAAGAACCAGAAAAATGAAGATGTGGTCATGAGCATTATGCAGCTATTATCTCAAATGCAGAAACCATTCCTAATAAATGGTTTATTCAGAAATAAAAACACAGGATTGGAAAACATTTAAGGAAATTGGGCACTAATTATAAACATTTATTAAGTCCTGATAATATGCCAAAAATTGTGCCAAGTGCTAAAATACAGAGATGAATAAGATTCAGCCCTTGTCTTCTTGGAACATATGTCCTAGCTGAAGAGACAGGCACACAAGAATGGTGATATAATATGCTAAATGCCATGCTGGTTTTTTTTACAAAATCATAAGGATGCAAGTGTCTCTCCTGCTCCCGTCAAGCACGAGTGCACCCAGACCTTTGAAGAACAATAGCAGCTATCTTGTTTCTAAGAGATTCCAGAAAAGGGTGGCTAGTGGGGAGCTGGTCCATCATATCACTCAGAGAGGATTCCCTACTAAATATGCTCACTGACAGGTTAGTTTTCTTTGTATCCCCTGTGGATCGTTTTCTTTCTCAATGGGGAAGTTGATTCAATGATCTAATTATAGTACATTTTCATGTTGGAGACGATAAGTAAATGGTTGCCAACTAAGAGATGTAATTTGGCAGCAATGCACGAGAGAGCATGATCTTCAAATTATGTTACTTCTTTGAATTAGCGAGAAGACAATGGTAATAAATGAAGGTCTTAGTATAAGGCTTTAATGCCACCTTTAAGATTGCAGAATTAAATGTATAATCTAGGTTGCTATTTTGTCCCACATATATCAGAATTGGGTTAACTGAACAAATTATTTTTAAGGTTTTTCTATTGTAAATAGGATCCCAAATTAGTGTAATAGTGCAAAACCTACTAACTAGTTTGTAGTAAAATCACCTTTAACAGAGAATTTATTTTAAAATTTCGGAAAACAAATATTTGAGACTACACATTCTCGGGGTCTGCTAAATATCTGCACTGGTTATATACAGTACTAAATTCCCCTGTTGATAATCTATCTTGATGTCAAGTTCCCAACCCACAAGAGGGCCACCATTGGTGATGCACATCACACAGAGAACAGGGAATCATTTCCTTCTGCTCTCCGTTTCTTTCCAGCATCCCGCTGCCAAATATAAAAACCCCACTGGTTGATGTATCACCCATTTTACAGTAAATATCCTTGCCTTGAAGAGCCATTCTGGTTAGTGGCCTTTTAAATATATTGAATAGTTTCAGAGAAATAAAACAATCTAATTATATTCTCCTCTTTTAATAAGTACACATATTGTATTCTCAGTCAATAATAACCTCAACTTGTAATTCTGTAAATTAAGATATTTCCTTCCTCAGCCAAAGCAGATGTTGTGTTTGTTCCATCTTAACAACTCACATTTCATTTATGACTACAATTATCTCAATGTTGTCAATTGTTATTTAATATACAATGAAATGCCCTTGCTCCTTAAATCTATTATAAGCTCTTTGAAGACAAGAATTATGTATTAGGAACCACCACTACCTAATCCAGATGTTTACAGATAGTAAGTACAGAAACAACTACTTAATTATGATGACCAAAAATAAATTGAGACTATTATGAATAAGATTTCTTATTTTAAGAATTGTGGAAGACACTGAAACATGTCCAGATGTGTTTATTATGAGCAAAATTGGGTCATTAATCTGCAAATCTCTAACCAATAATATTAATTAAGTTTCTAAACATCTTGCTAAAGTATAATTACCCACACTTTACAGAGTAGGGAAAGAGGCAGATGGCAATAATGTACTAGGCCCTACTTAGATACTTTTATTACACAGTAATAAAATGGAAATCAAGCATGCTCTCTGGAAGAAAATGTCTACATCAGCTATTTTGACCTGTCTCTAGTGTCAGCTGTATGAATAGCCCTGATAAAATGACATTTTTTTTCAAGATGATCTTTTTTCCTTTATAATAGTGTAGAACAGTGGTTAAAAGGATCATCTGAGTCAATCAGATTTAGACTCAAATTCCTGTTCTACTTACCAGTTGTAAGACCTCAGCAAGTCACTAAACCTTTCTGTTCTTCAGTTCCTTCATCTGTAAAATGGAGAATAACCATGCCTACTTTCAAGAGTCATTGTGAGGATTACAAGAGATCATGTGCAAAAAGCATCCAGAACATGCAATATTATCAGAAATGACAATTAATAGTACTAAGGGCACATCAAATCTGCTCTCTTTTACAATTCATAAAATTGTATTTCTTTGACTGAAAGAACTCTGTAGGTTGTGGTCAGAGAATGTTTTAGAAAACCTTCATTTTTCTCCAGATGCTGTTTCACCACTGCCATTTAATGAATTGTAATGCCTAATAAAAGGCAACAAAGTTTTCCATTTCTCTGGATTCCATTTTCCTCAACTATAAAATGGTATAGGACAATCTCTAAGAAACCTTTGAATATATTCTTGTACTCAGAGTACTCATGAGTACCTTCGTCCAACATCTCCTCAGACTCCTGTTTGGTGTTATTTTTGTGCAAAGTGTCATTAACATGATTATTAGCCGAAATTTAACTAGTACTTACTCTGAGTCAGTCACCAGGCAGGTATTTTACATAGATTCTCTCATTTAATCCTAATAATTACTTTACTGCATAGATCAGAAAATAGAGCCTCAAGAATGTTATGTAACTTGTCCAAGCTCATACGTACAACAAGCACATGTCAAAATAAAGTATAAGTCTTCATGACTCCAAAGCCATTGTACATTCTTTCTCTAATAAATTATTGCTCTCACTCTTATGCTTTCTGCTTTAACTTCTGTTCATCAAATCTGCCTCATCTCAGAATTCAGGAACATTTTTACCAACTATAGTACCAACTATCAAAATTAAAAAAAAATTAATGTCCCAAATATTTTGTAACCAAAAAAGTCCAGTTCAGAGCAATTGTGATATAGCATAGTACTAGGATTTAATCAACAAACACCAATATGTACTAAAAGATCAAAATAAAAATATATTATTAATAACAACTTGGTATAATGAAAGAACTCCAGCCTGCCCTCATTGAGTTAACCCATCGCTATTTTTACTACAGAGAAACTGTGAGTATGTTATACTACTTTCTTCAAAGTTTAAAAATACCCACTCCCCATACTTGCATTTCTTATGGCAACCCGATTTGGGCTTCACATTTAAGTATTAATCTAAACCTATTTTTGAATTTATTTGAATTTTCTGCACTAGGATGATAAATACCTTAAATATCTTCCCAACCCATGTGTTTATAATTTCTTTTAAAATTTTTCTACATTTATGTCTCTTAAGCTTCAAGTGGTACACTCCTCTCTTTTTCCCTCCTCTAAATGGTGCTCTGGATTTTAATCACCGTTGGCCTTCATCTTTGTGATGATTAACACACACTAAGCTGCTTTTGATGGTTTCGTAAGCAATGTAATCAGTGGTTCACTTCCTTTGATGATGTCTGCTACTCTTCCCTGTGCCCCCGAGGATTCTTGTCTGTCTTTCTTGAGGTATAGTAACAACAATAGAAAATAGTACCCCAGGTGATACATTAGGGGGGATTTTGTACAATTGGATTTTCTTTTTTTGTTTTTTCCAATGCCCTTTTTTATTATTATTATAGTCAGCATTCTATTGGATGTTTTCTTCACAGAAATGTATTAAATTTTATTTTTATCAGAATCTTAATATCTCTTGAGTATTATAATGAGCCCAGAATCCTATGTCCAGTTTGGATTATTTTACTCTCCAAATTGTACCTTGCATTTCTTTATATTGAAATACTTTTACCATCTTAACTATTTACTTGAAAATTCTTAAAAGATCTCCCTGAAATTTGTATCTATTGAATTGCCTGATTGCTACCCACTGGATTAAATCTTGCCATCAGATCACATTAAATTATTATAGAAGACTATTTGTAGGTCTTAAATATCAGCAAAACTTCTTCATTAACTCCCCAAGACCTTTAAATTCCCAAATATAAGATGCTCGGGGACAAGCTGTGACACCCGCCAAATTTGCAGCCTACCTGTTTCATTTTTGTTTACATACAAATGAAATTTGGAAATGAACAGCTTTAGTAACTATCAAGCAATTCCCAAACCCGAGCTTGATCCAAGAGCTTCAGAGCATAATATTATTAAAGGTTTATGAATCAGCTTGGACTTTTCTCCACACTGACCCCTACTTACCCTCTGCCCTTTACTTCTGGGCAAAGATAAATTCTGCTTTTCACATAACATTTTATTATTTGTAATAACAACAATATTGTCAGAAAATATTAAATCATAGTAGCTAGGGTTATTTTCATGCGTGGCCTTACAGCTTATTAGCAGGAAGAAAAGTGGGAACCAAACACTGATACTAAAATATTAATTTGTAATAATTATACATTTCATTTTCAAAGCTCTTTACATTTTATAAGATACTTTCAAAAAATAATCTCAGAATAATTCAGAAGACAGATGACCTCGGTTTGAAAACTTGCACCATGTCTTAAACACTGTGTGGCTCTGGGAAAATTATTTAATATGTTTTGGTTTCCTCATCTGTAAATAGACTTAGATGATAACTGTACACAACTCAAAGAATTGTTAAGAAGATTAAATGAGTAAAGGTTTAGAAAATGCTGAGGACTTTGCCTACTTTTTAATGGGGTTGTTTGCTTTTTTTTCTTGTAAACTTGTTTAAGTTCCTTGTAGATTCTGGATATTAGACCTTTGTCAGATGGATATATTGCAAAAATTTTCTCCCACTCTAAGTTGCCTGTTCATTCTGATGATAGTTTCTTTTGCTGTACAGAAGCTATTTAGTTAAATTAGATCCCATTTGTCAATTTTTGCATTTGTCGCAATTACTTTTGGTGATTTCATCATGAAATCTTTGCCCATGCCTATGTCCTGAATGGTATTGCCTAGATTTTCTTAAAGAAGACATTCATACGGCCAACAAACATATGAATAAAAGCCCAACATCACTGATCATTAGAGAAATACAAATCAAAACCACAATGAGATACAATCTCACACCAGTCAGAATGGTGATTATTAAAAAGTCAAGAAACAAAAGATGCTGATGAGGTTACAGAGAAATAGGAGCGCTTTTACACTATTTATGGGAATGTAAATTAGTCCAACCATTGTAGAAGATAATGTGGTAATTTCTCAAAGACCTAGAACCAGAAACACCATTTTACCCAACAATGCCATTACTGGGTATATACCCAAAGGAATATAAATCATTCTATTGCAAAGATACATGCATGTGTATGTTCATTGCAGCACTATTCACGATAGCAAAGACATGGAATCAACCCAAATGCCCTTCAGTGATAGACTGGATAAAGAAAATGTGGTACCGAGGTCAGGAGTTCGAGTCCAGCCTGGCCAACATGGTGAAATCCCATCTCTACTAAAAATATATTTTAAAAAATTATCCGGGCGTGTTGGCATGCACTTGTAATCCCAGCTAATTAGGAGGCTGAGGCAGAATTGCTTGAACTCAGGAGACAGAGGTTGCAGTGACCCAAGATCATGCCACTGCACTCCAGCCTGAGCAACAGAGTGAGACTCCGTCTCAAAAGAAAAAAAAGAAAAAAGAAGAAAAGAAAAGAAAAGAAAAGAAAATGTGGTACATATTCACCATCGAATACTATGCAGCCATAAAAAGAAGCGAGATCATGTCATTTGCAGGGACATGGATGGAGTTGGAAGCCACTATCCTTAGCAAACTAACACAGGAACAGAAAATCAAACACCACATATTCTTACTTATAAGTGGCAGCTGAATAATGAGAACACAAGGACACAGAGAGGGGAACAACACATACTGGGGCCAGTCAGGGAATGGGGTGGGGGAAGAGAGAGCATTAGGAAAAAAGGCTAATGTATGCAGGGCTTAATACCTAGGTGATGTGTTGATAGGTGCAGCAAACCACCATGGCACATGTTTACCTACATAAAAAGCTGCATGTCCTGCACAAGTACCCCACCCAGAACTTACAATTAAAATTAAAATTTAAAATTAAAAAAAAGAAGAACAGAATTTTATCCAGCTAGTAGAAAAAGAAGTCAGAGAGATTGGAGCATAAGAGCGATTCAAAAGGAGTTGCTTCATTGCTTAGATGGAGGGGGCCACATGGAAGCACCTCAAAGTAGAAGTGAAAACGAATCCAGCCAACAACAACAGGGACCTCAGAAAAACCTACAGCAGTACGGACTGACTTCTGCCAGCAACCTGAGTGCACTTGGAAGGGGACCCTGAGCTCCAGATGAGAAGGCAGCTCCAGCTGACACCTTAATTTCAGCATTGTGAAAGCCAAGCAGAGAGCTAGCTAACCTGTACTTAGCCTCCTGACCCACAGGTACTAAGAGATAATAAATAGATGGTGTTTTAAACTGGAAAGATGGAAGGAAGGAAGGAAGCAAGGAAGGAAGGAAGGAAGGAAGGAAGGAAGGAGGGAGGGAGGGAGGGAGGGAGGAAGGAAGGAAGGAAGGAGGGAAGGAAGGAAGGAGAAAATGCTGAGGACAGCAACTAGCATGTAGAACATGTTAAAAATAGTCCTAAAGGAATAATACTTTTTATTAAAAGTTTACGGCAGGTATTATCATCTTTCCAAAGACAAGAGTCTGCGGCTCCTGGTGACAAAGGATCTGCTGAAATTCAGAAGCCTACTAAGGATTAAAACTGATTCTAATCCAGCGATTCTGCTCCAAATTGAGCTTCCTTTTTTTTTTTTTATTTTTCAGAGACGTTAAATTCTGTGAATTGAGTCTTCAGATAATTTATATCTTATCGCTTATTTCATTTATATATTATGCAGCCAGTAATTGTGATACACAGAGTTTCTGTGTAATGAGGTACCTTCATCCAGCAACCCTCCATAAACATTTTAGCAAGTGTAAGATCACATACATGCAATGCATTATAGACTTCACATCCGGGTTCTGAACCCACTTTATCAGCGACACTTAAAAACTGTTCTCGGACAAGATCCCCTCTAATGAGAGCCTAAAAGACAGTTAAAAGCCGGTATTATTATAGCTGTATCTTTTATGGTCTGGAAGAAAATGAAGACTGGCTACTGAAGGTCACTCTACAATAGTTCCAGAATAACCTCCACACATCAACAGTCTGACTCTTTTTGCTGCGGCTGCAGGCTTAACAAGCATGGATGCTCTGGTCTCATTATCAAGCATTTATTTTGACTTTCCTGTGCCGAGCACCGTGTTAGGGGCTGCAAAAACAGCCTATCCTTAAGATGCTCACAGACTAGTGATAGATATATATAAATATTTATAGAATTATAATGTAAGACCATTTCTAGGTTATTTGAGATATGGTCCAAATACCAAATTGTTTGATAGTCATTAACATTACATGTGGACGTACGTAGGAGTTAAAGGAAACTTCTATTTTTTAATTTATATATGTCTTATATGTCTCTATTTTCTTTGTACTTTTTTTTTTTTTTTTTTTTTTTTTTTGAGACGGATTCTCACTCTGTCGCCCAGGCTGGAGTGCAGCGGCGCAATCTCGGCTCACTGCAACCTCCGCCTCCCGGGTTCAAGCAATTCTCCTGCCTCAGCCTCCCAAGTAGCTCGTACTATAGGTGCCTGCCACCATGCCCGGCTAATTTTTGTATTTTTAATAGAGACGGAGTTTTATATTAGCCAGCCTGGTCTCGAATTCCTGACCTTGTGATCAGCCTGCCTCGGCCTCCCAAAGTGCTGGGATTACAGGTGTGAGCCACGGCGCCCGGCCTTCTTTGTACTTTTTTAAGACCATGTGTTACTTTTGTAGTGTGAACATTCTTAAAGTGCAAAGTGAAAATTACAGCAAAACCACATATAAGAAAGAAGCAATATCTATGCAGAGGAGAGTAAGGGACTCCCTGAGATCTGACTAGGAACTGTGGGGGAAAAGTATATATAAAGAATGGATGTAAAACTGAAGAGGAAGTAAGTTTGACTCTGTCTATGCACATTGAAAAGAAGAGGAAGAGGCTGGGCATAATGGCTTATGCCTGTAATTCCATAACTTTGGAAGGCCAAGGCAGGCAGATCACTTGCGCCCAGGAGTTCTAGACCAGCCTGGGCAACATAGTGAGCCCACATCTCTACAAAAATTACAAAAATGAGCCAGGTGTGGTGGTGCATGCCTGTAGTCCCAGCTACTCCGGAGGCTGTGGTGGGAGGATCACTTGAGCCCAGGAGGCTGAGGCTGAAGTGAGCCATAATTATGCCACTGCACTCCAGCCTGCCAGCCTGGGTAACAGGATGAGACCTCCATTAAAAAAAAAAAAAAAAAATCCAAGAACCAAAAGAAGAGTTTTCAAGAGTATTCTGAGAGAGCTTTCCGAGAATGTGATTCTCATATATGTGATATTTGCAAGAATTTGAGTTGTTTACCAGGCAGATGATATGGGAAGATGTTTCAGGCTCATGGGAGAAGCATCTACAAAATTGCAAAGGAATGAAGCCTGGTGAAATGGACAGGGAATGGCCACGGTTTTCTCTTTAGCAATATTACAAAATACAATGCCAGACATTGTGGTAAAAAATTAGGCTTAGAAGTAGGCAGCATACTAATCTTGGTAGGCTCTATACAACTTGCTTAGGGTCCTACATCTTATATTTTAAAGGATTTTAAGCCCAGAACTATCATGGTGAGGTTTCTGTTTTAGACTGATCACAGATCACCTCCTAGGTTCTATTCAATTATTCAATAAATATTTATTAAATACTCATTAAATGGTAGGCACTGTTCTATTACTAACGATAGATCCAAGAGCAAAACAGCTTCAAATCTATTAGTACATTGAAGCCAGCTTTCTAGCTTTGAGAGCTTATTTTTCCATTTTCAGGAATTTTTCAATCTGTTAAAATCTGGTAGCTTGAAATGGGCATGATAGGACCATTTATATCACAGAAACTGGCCTATGCTACCAATCAGGGTTTTCTTCCCCTAGAGAGCTGATTGTTAAACGTTTATCAGCACACCTCTGGAGAGATCCCAGATATTATAGAGCTATATGTGATACAAATACATAAATTACATGTATTACACTGTATGTAAAATATATTACATATAGCTACACTTTATATAAAAGGAACTATGGAGAAAAAAATAGAACAGGATGGGGTTGATCAAAGCAAGGACTTGTGGAAGGTTAAGGAGTAACCCTGTCTGTGCTTGACCCTGAGGTAGAAGCAAGCCTGGTGTGATGTAGAGACAGTAAGGCAGTCAAGTGTAGTTGGCAGAGTGAGAGGAGGTGCTGGTGGAGAGACGAAGGGCAAGGATGAAACCTGGAATCAGTCCTTCTTATAGGGACTTTGCCTTTTGGGAATAATTGCAGTTTCAAACAAAGCAAATGACATGTTCCATCTCCTACTGCCATTTGATGTTTCCACTCAGTATTCAAATTCTAGTTGCACAGCTTTATAAATGATTTTTACCTGAAATTTACAAAAAAATTTACAAAACCACATTATACCCTTTGCCTGGATGTAGCTTTGGTTTTGTGAAATTAACAAGTCTGTCCCTAAACATGCTTGACTTTCTTGATTTGTTTACACACAACTGATTTTCATTACCCTGGAATGCTGCAAGTGAAACACAGTCAGTGAAGAAGGCCGTCAACACAGCTTACGGGGCAAATACCACTCGCATCCTCCAATATTACCAGGGGGATCTGCAGCTTCAGGCTGAACAGAGCCACTGCTTTATACACAATTGTCTACAACCATGCTGAATGAAACCTTCCCTGACTAAATGGAAGAGGAAGCCACTTACATCCCCTTTTAATATTTCACAATATAAAACCTATTAATACTAAACCATGAAGACAGCATAAAGTCTATTATAGGCCTTCCTCTTATACCTACTCTTAGCAAATTGCAATGGTATAAGCCTTTTATACCATTTATGCACCTTGGCCTTTTAAGTGGTAAATTTTGATAAATCCAAGGCTGTATTTAACTTTTGAGAACTACATTAAGATTGTCATTAGCAAAACACTATTTAATAAATATTGCAATGCTAATTGTGCTAACAATTATTTTAAGCCTGTTAAGTAGATGACTTTTTTTATCATGCTTGCAAAAGAATGATCTGAAATGATGTTAGAAATTATAGTGAAAACAACAGTCTAAAGTGGGGAGGTTTACTGTAAGCTGGTACACAGTCAACACACAGAAATAAAGAAGATAAAGAACATGTAACAGTACAAACAGCCAGAGTCTGCATGACGTTTTGAAGTGTGAGTGAGCACCTTGGTTCTATCTCTCCCTTTCCAGCCACCATCCCATAATAGTGACAAGAATAAATGAACTATACAAGAATAAATGAAACAAAATTTTCCAATGTTTTGCATAGGCCACAGTGATAAAATGATGATATATCACAAAGACTTCACTATGTAGCCACCACATTCAGTAGTAAAATTATGAAAATATCTTAAACCATCATTCAGTTATGTAAATAATTTTGATAACTCTAAGAGTTTATATTTTTTCTATCTTATTTCTAAGAATCTGTGAGTGAGCTGAATAAACTAGAGTCATTTTGTTTCAGTCAATAGTGTATTATTAACAACGTGAATTTTCATTATTTATCATCTAGTTCATGGTCCCTCTAGTCTGAATACAAGCTCAGTGACTAAAATGTAGGTGTAGTATATTTTCAAGATACAAATAATATGTTGGTGTTCCTTGTGTATTCTGAACAATTTAATAAATAGATCAAACAGCTAACAAATGTGATTTGGGGACTTCTTGAGGTGCAGATTATTGATAGCACACAACATCAATAGAATGAATATATGCCACTTTCTCCTCACTCCTTTTCAATTCTTTAATAGGTGTAGCAGCGATCAATACAACAAGACTCAGCACTCCTCCATCAAATTTGTATTTGGTAAAAACATTGAAAAAAATACCTCTTACTTCTCTAATACAGAAAAACGTATAATACCGAAAGATACCCATTGCAGTCATTCTGCACATGCAGTATGCTTTACATTCGTAAGTCTATTTGAAGACCATTATTTAAAAATATAATAGCATTAATTCTACTTCTCTGCATTGATATAATAGGATTATGTCTATTTAAGACACTTCTAAATTTCTGTGCAAATAATAAAGCAGAGTTTAAAAATGAATTGTTTAATGTATCTGTGTAAAGTACCTCTTTAAAATAATTTCATGGATTCAAGCAGTGACTCAACTGGTTAATTAATATGGTGAAAAAAATTTGAAAACTGTGACAAAACATCTTATCATATGAGAGAGATTTTATTTTTCTAAAGAACTTCCAAATTGTTAAATCTCACTGAAAACTGGAAGCAATTTTGATAACATTTCCTATTTTAAAAAAAACCTCGCCACTTTTAACCTATGCGTCTCAAATAGAATTCTTTATACATCAGTGTTTCTTTCCTTTCCAGTAGATTTTTCAGGTGGCAAAAGATAGAGTATTTCCAAAATGAACCCAGACTTTAAATTTAATTTTAAAACTCTGCCATTATTTAGTCATACTTTCTGTATTTAAACAGTTATGGCTTTGTAATAGTTAAAATTTATCCTTTTAATATCACTAATTATTTTCCCTCTGCAGCTTTGATGTGTTAGTTATAGCCTGGAATAAAAAAACACTGTGGTAAGGACAACTGTACAGCAAGGTTAAGTGCCTTCTTGTCTTCAGTACCAATAATTACCTTTAAACAAAAAAAGGCTGTTTTCAGATTTGACAGTTAATTTACTAATGAGTATGTGGACCCAATTTATAATAAAGTAATATTGACCAGAAATAATCCTGCATTGGTACTCATCTGAATTATTTTATTGTTCATGTCCTCTATTAAATAAATTGGAAAGGATTAATTTTGCAAGATGGGATTGTCAGAGACGGCTGCATAAACTAGATGCATGTCAGCACTAAATTTAATTATTGATCACAATACAATAGTGCTGAGTGTTCCAATCCCCAAACAGCTTCCAGTAACTATCAGCAGATTCCAAATATAGAGACTGAAGTAAAAATTTGATTGCAGATGACTACATTTTTAATAAATAAATATTTCATCAGCACTAAATAAAAATTTAATTTTACAGTATTATTTAGATCATTCATTGAACTATGGAGCAAATGAACAATGAATGAGTCTAACTCCCTTTAAGATACAAATTTTATTTTAACGGTTTAATGGTCTCAGAATTCAGGGAATTATTTTTATTTCTTTATTCTGGTAAGGGAATAAAATTTGTAAATAGAAGAACATTTAAAGCATGCACTTATGTTGTTGAAAACATAAAGTAGCATCTGACTGGCTTGTATTCATATGTAGAATTCTGGGCCACAGTCTCCTGCTGTACACTGTATATTAGTATAGTACAGAAATCAGTTTGGGGTATAACTTGAACTCTAACAATTTGGAACTAGTTAAAAATTGAGAAACATAATATGTTAATTAGCTATATAACATGAAATAAGTAAGGTTTTTAATTGAAATTAAGTCTCTGTAGGTGAACTGGGTGGAATGTTGAGCAGACTTTACTTATCATGATACACATTACCTTAACTGATAAATCATTTTAATATAATAAAAATCTTCCTTAAGTTTAGCCATCAAAGAGATTCACGGTTACTCTTTGTAGGATTATGGTTAAAGAATCAATGAGTGTGTATCTAGATATAAGACATCTGTAAGAACTAAATTAGATGATGAGTTCTGCTACCAAAAAAACAGATGTAATCTTAATTTCAGTGTTGCTAGCTATTAAAAACAGATAGTGAATACAAAGTTCTGTTATAAAACTATGAAATGTTATTTCAAATTAGAAAATAGAGAAAGATATTAGCATTATATTACAGCTTGTACGACGTTGAGTATTCATTCTATGGCTAGTGTTCGATTGAAGACAAAAATATTTAGTACTATGCGAAATACATCATGAGAGTATAAGTCACTTTATTTTCAACCAGCAAAAAAAGCAACAATATTGCCGAACTAAATAAATCTCAAAAAAAGATGCTCATAGTTTTTATCAAGAATTTATAGAGTGAAATTTATACAAATGTTGATTAGATCATTTTGACTCATTCAACCCACTTAAAATTTGATAGAAAACTTTGGAAATTAATATACTGCTTTAATTTTGATAAGCATTGGTAAGAGAGAAAGTTATCAGTATTCTAATAAATTTTTAACATGTATCTCGACAATTTTTCTATTTCCTCTGACCTTTTGAACAATAGTTCTGCACATAATTCTTTATTCTAAATTTATCAGTTTGGTTTGAAATAGAATTTATTCTTTTCTGTCTTGAATTTGAATCCAGTAATTCATTTTTGTATTACTGTAGTAAATTACTAAATTAAAAATAAAAGGCTTAGATCCATCTCAGAACTTATACATTTATGTGGCAGCATAGTATATTAAAATGAGTCCAAGCTTCAGGGCCAAGCAAATGGGGTTCAAAACCCAAATCAGCCATTTAGAGCACTATAATCTCAGCAATTTACTTAACTCCTGAGTCTCAATTTATTTCTCTGTGAATTTTTTAAATCATTTTTAATTATAGTTTAAATTTAGATACAAAATTAATTAAAACTTAAAAGTTAATTTTAAGAAGATTCAGTCAATGGCTAACCTCATCCATATTTCACTTGTCTTCACTCTCAGAACAGTAAACGATATGTCAAACATTATATATGATAGTATACATCATACATATGTATATGCTACCATATCACTGAGTGGTTTGAAGGTACCATAGCACTTTTAGATTAGTAAGTACATTAAGTAATATTAAATTCATTAAGTACGATAAGAAGTCCTGTTTTAGAACTTCACAAAGAAGAGAAGACATTGTTATATATGTATAAGATAGGAAAATTTATATTACAAGTCACAGAAAATCCAAATTAAATTGGCTTAAGCAATAAAGAGTGTTCATTGATTAATGTAACTGAGAAGAATAGGAAAAAAGAAATGGTCTTCAGCCATGGTTCAAAAAAGGCTCTGGCCGGGCGGGGTGGCTCACGCCTGTAATCCCAGCACTTTGCAAGGCCGAGGCGGGCCGATCACCTGAGGTCGGGAGTTTGAGATCAGCCTGACCAACATGGAGAAACTCCGTCTCTACTAAAAATACAAAAAATTAGCCGGGCTTGGTGGTATATGATTGTAATCCCAGCTACTCGGGAGGTTGAGACAGGAGAATCACTTAAACCCGGGAGGCGGAGGTTGCAGTGAGCAGAGATCGCGCCATTTGCACTGTGGCCTGGGCAACAAGAGCAAAACTCTGTCCAAAAGAAAAAAGCTCTAAGTCCCTTTGTCTGCAGGTCTCTCTCAGTTTAGCCCATTTCTGAATGTTGGCTTCATCCTCATGATGTCTTCTCATGCTTGCAAGACATCGCTTCCTTGTTCATATCGAAGGCAATGGGCAGAGGTCTGCAAATCAGACCTGCAAGCCAAAGAGGATTCACAGCCTGTTTTCTTACAGTCCATGAGCTAAGAATGATTTTTACATTTTTAAATGGTTGAGAAAAAAATCACAAGGAGAGTAATATTTTGTGGCATCTGATAATTGTATAAAATTCAAATTTCTAACATTCATAAACTTAGTTCTATTGGAACATAGCCATCCCCATTTATGTATGTATCATCTGTGACTGCTTCCATGCTAGAGTGGCGCTTAAATACTTCTGAGGGTAAGATAAACTGTTACCTCCTTTCCAGAGATACTTGGTAATTAGAATCAAAGTATTTAGAGACATTCCTACCTTTTAACATAACATTCCAAACTGGCTAATCGCTTAAGAAACGACTTAGTGATATCTAAATATGTTCATTTAGATTTAGACTTACTAATGACACTATCAATCACAGTTTTATTTATAATAGTAAACATGAGGGCAAATGCCAAATAATATGGATATGGCTAAATTAATCATGTATCATCTATAAAGTAGAATTAGTACATAGCCAATTATAAAATAATCTAACAGATACTTAGTATTATGCAAAATGCTTACAGCAATATTGAGTTTAAAAGAAGGCAAGATATGAATTTCATCATAAGATTACACCTATTTTATTGGCATATGTATATATATATAGAGAGAGACATAAAACATATCAACCCAAACTTTCTACACACCCACACATTATGCTGACTAGATGCCAAAGGCTGATAATCTAGTTCTTTAATAGATTTAATTTATTCCTAATCAATATGGTTTATAAAATAACAATTAATTTTAACTGCTCAAATCTTTTAAGTCTGTGTCTAGCACTGCCAGACCTAGCAATAAGAAAGGCAGGACATGTAAATTTTAAATTGACATGTATGTCTCCTGAATAAAATCAGGATTCCATTAATAGGGACTAATTGGAGAAGGTATATGTTTAGGGGCAAGCAAGCTCAGCTGATTGACCCACTTGGACACTTACGTGTGCTGAGAAGTTATTTTATTATTAAAACAAAAATTAACCAAAACAAAACAGAAAAACCCAGTAGAGTTCTTTCCTTGTTTTCCTGTTTCATTGGAAAGTTTTGGTTTGGTTTGACTAAAGTAAAAAGGAAAGAGTAAGTATAAGTAAAGCTATCATTTGATGAGATTGCCTAACATTTCAGCATTTGATGAATGCCCAGTTATTTAATATGTTTAATCAGTTCCCAACCAATTCACTTTTCAATATAGTGATTGATTTTGATTTAAATTACTTGACTTTTCTATATTTGTTTCACCTATTTTATGACCTTATTTTCCTTAGAATATGTTGAAGATTCTTTCAGACATAAAACAATACTCATGAGCTGCAATAAAATTCTTCTACAAATTTATTTTACATTTGTTATTACTGAAAAAAATGATATTCAAGTTTATGTTACCTTTAATGTGCATGTAAGTCAGACTCTGAAAATCTTCATAGTGAAGAGATTTTAATATATTGAGTCACCCCTATAATAAATATGATGTATTAGAACTGGTATTACAATACTATGTATTATTGCATTGATTTTATTTAGTTCCATTTATATAACGTTCGCCATTTGTCAACATAAAAATGAATGTCGGTTTCAACTTTCCTTTTAATTTCTTCTGCTTCCAAAATGTCTGCACTCTCCACTATCCCTCATCTTTCCAGTGTGATCAACATATCTGTACCCATTATGCTATTTATATTCACTTACATTATCTCTATTTAATATATTTCAATGCCACTTCACTAAGTTTTATGTAAACATACTATTAACATAAAAGAAAGAAGAGTTAAGTTTCTTTTATTTGGCTCAATCATGCCAAGGAGCTGGATAAAATTCCAATATGCATCAAGCGTAATTTCCTGAATATGTCTTTATGCTAAAACTTCTAGTATTTTAAATAATAAAATCCATAAAGTAATTCCAGTCTTAACTGGCAATCAGACTTCAGATAACCACAATCAGCTTCAACAGAACCACAAGTCCCAAATAAGACAATAAAAGGCTCCTGAGCATCAGAGAACATAGTTGTCACAAAGATCTTGTACTATAGTTTAGACATGGAATTATCCTCAGGACAGAACAAATTGATTTAGTGTAGGTGTTTGACTAAAGTAAACAGTAAAGGGTAAATAGTGCAAATCCAAAAGAGTCTGTGGGTAGATTATAGAAAAAGATTTTTCAGCAAGAAGCCCCTAGAATAGAGGGAGATCAAAGGCCATTATTTGCCACCCATTTGTCTCACAGGTTTGTATTGTACATTATGCTAGTACTATTCCAGGTGCTGAGAATGCAACAGTAAAGAAAACAAATGAAGCTCTTTGTCTCAAGGGTCTTACATTGTACTTGGAAGAGGGATGTATATGGATGGATGAATCCAAAATAAACAAAGTTACATGTATATCAGAAGCTGACAGTGATAAATAAAAAATAATCTGGTGCTCTTTAAAAAGGATGATCAGGGAGGCATAATCTTATAAGGTGAGATTTGAGCTTAAGGTAGTGAGGAAGCAAGATATGAGTCTATAAGGAAACAGATGATGGGGTAGAAGAGAGAGCAGCAAACACAAAAGCTGTACTTGGTATCTCTGAGGAAAAGCAAGAGGCCAGTGTGGTTGCATCCAGTTGGGAGATAGACACTTGGTAGTTAATGAGATTACAGATGAATCAAATGTCCAGATTACACAGCACTTTATGGGACATGACAAGGGTTTTTTATTTTTTTTTCCACCTTAGCAGAAAACCAATGAAGAGTGAAAAAAGAAGTGCATATAAATTATCTGAAGTTTTTTTTTTTTAAGATCACTCTGGCATCTGGGAGCAAATTGGACTTTTGAAGGTAGTGGTAGAAACTTAGATATGTTCTATGAGGCTATTGCTGTGGTCTAAGTAAGAGGTACAGCAGTTTGGACCAGGATGGCAAGGGCGGGAGCAGCAGGTATCTGGTAAGATGCTGTGTTAGTCTGTTTTCATGCTGCTGATAAAGACATATCCAAGACTGGGCAATTTACAAAAGAAAGAGGTTTAATGGACTCACAGTTCCACATGGCTGGGGAAGCCTCACAATCATGACATAAGGCAAGGGGGGAGCAAGTCACGTCTTACGTGGATGGTGGCAGGCAAAAATAGAGCTTCCCCTTTTTAAAACCATCAGATCTCATGAGACTTCTTCACTGTCACCAGAACAGCACCCAAAAGACCTTCCCCATGATTCAATTACTTCTTACTGGGTCCCTCCCACAAACAGTGGGAATTCAAGATGAGATTTGCGTGAGGACACAGCCAAATCATATCATTTCACCCAAGCCCCTCCCAAATCTCATGTCCTCACATTTCAAAACTAATCATGCATTCGCAACAGTCCCCCAAAGTCTTAACTCATTTCAACATTAACTCAGAAGTCCACAATCCAAAGTCTTATTTGAGACAAGGTAAGTCCCTTCCACCTATAAATCTGTAAAATCAAAGGCAAGTTAGTTACTTCCTAGATACAATGTGGTATAGGCCTTGGGTAAATACAGTTGTTCCAAATGGGAGAAATTGGCCAAAACAAAGGGGATACAGGCTCCATGCAAGTCCAAAATCCAGCAGGGCAGTCAAATATTAAAGTTCCAAAATGATCTCCTTTGACTCCATGTCTTGCATCTGGGTCACACTGATGCAGGAGGTGGGTTTCCATGGTCTTGGGCAGCTCTGCCTCTCTGGCTCTGCAGGTTACAGCCTCCCTCCTGGCTGCTTTCACAGGCTGGTGTTGAGTGTCTGTGGATTTTCCAGGCTCATGGTGCAAGCTGTCAGTAGATCTACCATTCTGGGTCTGGAGGATGGTGGCCCTCTTCTCACAGCTCCACTAGGTGGTGCCCAAGTAGGGACTCTGTGTGGGGGCTCTGACCCCACATTCCCCTTCTGCACTGCCCTAGCAGTTTCTCCATAAGGGCCCCACCACTGTAGCAAACTTCTGCCTGAACGTCTGGGCATTTCCATACATCCTCTGAAATCTAGGCGGAGTTTCCCAAACCTCAATTTTTGACTTCTGTGCACCCACAGGCCCAACACCACATGGAAGCTGCCAAGGTTTGGGGCTTACATCCTCTGAAGCCATGGGCCGAGCTTTACCTTGGCCCCTTTTATTAATAGTTGGAGTGGCTGATATGCAGGGCACCAAGTCCAGTAGAATGCACACAGCATGAGGACCCTGGGCCTGGCCCACTAAACCATTTTTTCTTCCTAGGCTTCCAGGTCTGTGATGGGAGGGGCTGCCATGAAGACCTCTGACGTGCCCTGGAGACATTTTCCCCATTGTCTGGGGTATTAACATTCTGCTCCTTGTTATTTATGCAAATTTCTGGAGCTGGCTTGAATTTCTCCTCGGAAAATGGGTTTTTCTTTTCTACTGCATCATCAGGCTGCAAATTTTTCTAAGTTTTGTGCTCTGTTTCCTTTTTAAAACAGAATGCTATTAACAGCACCCAAGTAACCTCTTGAATGCTTTGTTGGTTAGAAATTTCTTCTGCCAGATACTCTAAATCATCTCTCTTAAGTTCAAAGTTTCACTATTCTCTAGGGCAGGGGCAAAATGCCACCAGTCTCTTTGCTAAAACTTAGCAAGAGTTACTTTTGCTCCAGTTCCCAACAGGTTCCTCATTTCATCTGAGAACACCTCAGCCTGGACCTTACTGTTCATGTCACTATCAGCATTTTTGTCAAAGCCATTCACAAGTCTTTAGGAGGTTTCAAACTTTCCCACATTTTCCTGTCTTCTTCTGAGCCATCCAAACTGTTCCATCATCTGCCTGTGACTCAGTTCCAAAGTCACTTCCACATTTTGGGGTATCTTTTCAACAGTGCCTCATTCTACTGGTACCAATTTACTGTATTAGTCTGTTTTCATGCTGCTGATAAAGACCCACTCAAGGCTGGGTAATTTACAAAAGAAAGAGGTTTAATGGACTGACAGTTCCATGTGACTGCAGAAGCCTCACAATCATGGTGGAAGGCAAGGAGGAGCAAGTCACATTTGACATGGATGGCAGCAGGCAAAGGGAGAGCTTGCCCTTTTTAAAACCTTCAGATCTCATGCGACTTATTCACTATCATGAGAAGAGCATAGGAAAGACTTGCCCCCACGATTCAATTACCTCCTACCAGGTCCCTTCCACAACATGTGGGAATTCAAGATGAGGTTTGGGTGGGGACACAGCCAAACCATATCAGATGCTGCATATATTTCTAAGGTAACACTCGTAAGATTTGCTGAAGAATTGGTTGTGAAATTTAAGAGAAAGAGAGTGATAAGCACTTTTCCCAACATTTTAGCCCACAGCAATAGAAGAATGGAGTTGCTATATCCTGAGATGAGAAAAACAGAGGACCTTTTACGAGAGAAAATCAGGCATTTGTTTCAAAACCTATTAAATTTAGAGGTCCATTTTTGACATCCAAGCAAAGACAATAAATATGCCATTGATGTTCAATATTAGAAGCACAGTTTGAGATACAAATTTGGTAGTTAATTATCAGCATAGAAATAATATTTAAATTTATGGGTGCATAAAGTCATCCAAGGAATCAATATAAACAGAAAGGAGGTCCAATGTAAGAATGTTGAGATATTACAACATTTCCAAATTTTGCAGAGGTTGTAGAACCAACAAAGGGGAGTTAGTGGGAGCAGTCCATCTGGTAGGAAGAAAATCGAAACAGGATGAGGTCCTGAAAACCAAGAGAAGAAGCTTGCTTGCAAGAGAAAAGAGTGGTCAACTTTGCCACATCCTGTAGATGAGTCAAGTAAGACAAAGACTGAGACTGGAAAGTTGGATCTAGCAGCATCTAGATTATTGGCAGCCCCAAAACTAGCAGTTGAAGAGATAGAAAATTGCTTACAGATCATGCGGCTTGCAGATTTCAGGCATGCCAAAGTAAGTGGAAGGAAGGTTACGCTAGGGCAGATGGGGAAAATGGTCATTTAGTTAAAGAGAACTGAAAGATCATTGTTGAGTATGCTGTCTTGTATCTCAAAAATTGACCTTGGAAAATTATTTAGGAGTTTATCCTAAGGAAAATATCTCAGATATAAATTTGAGAGGAATAGAAAGTACTGTGGAGTTAGGATAAATATTCTGAATTCCAAAGCAGGGACAGTTTTACATATACACACACGCACACACGCACACACACACACACTCACACATACACACACACACACACAGAGTGTTCTACATCAGTCTAGTAAAGGAATACATTGTCAACATTTATAGAGAAGGGAGAATTATACAAAAATTCTCAGTGTCTATTCCAAACCACAACAGTATTTTATATGTGAGTTATGAATTTATATTAATTAGATATATTAATATTTCCAAAAAGACTATTTCTCATTTTAGATATTTCCAAGAGTGCTAGGAAAGAGGAATATGTCAACTGGCAATGTTCCATGAAATGAATTACTTGGGAGAATCCATGTAACAAATGCACTGATTCAGGTGTTACATGTCTAAAATTAAGTTTACTGTTTTAACAAATGTGGTTGTCTGGTTTCCCTAGCAACTAAAAGTGACAGGTGACAGAAGAAAAGCAGTAGAGAACAGAAGACCAACCAGAAAAATACAGCAATTTAGGTCCATTAGATATTAAGCATAACCTGTTCTGCCCAACTCAATGGTCCCTAAGGTCTGCATTGTTTTGCTGTAAATTACAATGATTAATGCTTATTATAATGGACTTGAGTCATCATGAAATGGTTAAATTAATTCAAGCTTATGCTCTTATCTATAGTATGTAATACAATTTTGAAAAGATGCTTATCAAAAGTAGGTAAAATACAGTGGTTTGAGAGATTAGCTTCAGTTATTTGAGACATTTGTTTACCCAGAAAGAGTGGTCAGATGCAAGATATAGAAAGCATTAAATAAAGCAGTCAAATGTCTATAAGTGATTAGAAATGTTTTTGTTTAATACTGTACTATTAAGGAGTCATTAATTTATAAATTAATACATTTACTCAAAAAGCACTTATTGGCTTCAAATTCACTGTCCTTGGCCATGGCAGGAGAGAGAAGTAATAGCCATCCTCTACCTTTTAGAAGCTCATATTTTAGTAGTAAGAAAAGAGTCTCTGGCATCCAAGTATCTTCACAATTTTCCAAGACTACTGGAAAGTAGTTGCTTGCATGGTCACAATCAAGGTATTATTGAGAGAGGAGAGTGAAAGCTGGCTTTCTAATAATGAAATGATGGAAATTACTGCATGGGAGAGAAGCCTAAAATTTTCACAGAAAACAAGTAGACAACATTTCTGATTTCTGTAGTTGGTTTCCAAAGCAAGTCTATTCGGCAAAATTGTAATAGAATGCTCAGTATATTGACACAATTGCTACCTTGAAATGGTCTTTTCTACCACACCTGAAGGAAAACTAAACTCCAAATATTCTTTTCCATGTGTACTTCAGAAATTTGTATGATTTTTCTGGGATATGATCTTAAGACCTATGACTAATTATCAGTCTGCCAAATGCTCTAGCTGAATTTCCAACTGTGTATTCAACATTTTCACTGATTGTCCTGTCACTTTAAACTTGAGGTGAGTCCATATATCAGATCAATATTTTATATACAAATAATAATGATAATATAAATATTTACAAGCACCATACACTCAGTGTCTCTGAGTCAAAACTTGAATTTCTCATTATGTTATAAAATTTAAAAAGCTCTTTGACTTCCTTTTCCTTATTCATGGTGCCATAAATCCCTCAGACATAAAAACTATGGTCCTGTTGAATTTCCAAGACTTAGAGCCACCAATCTGGTAAATTCTCCCTCCTTTTTCTCATCTATAATGCCGGAGCCTTCAGATTTTTCTATGTGCTTGTAGCTCTGCTGTCTTTAAATTATTATCCACTCTATAGTCAGAATGATCTAGTATGTGACCATCACCCTGAAACCCCTAATATCTCTCCATTGTCTATGGCTTACTGAGGATAAGTAGGATAGGCCTATTTCTTAAATAGTCATGCAAGGACTCAAAGACCTATCTCTTTCTAGAATCTCTAAGCTGATTTCACCCCTTATTGCCCCAGTAGTACCAGATTGCTGGTGCTTCTCTGTCTCCTTGTTATTTTATATTTTTCATTCTGGCCTTTCTGCTTAAGAGGCTATTTCCAACTTTCTAAGCTAGGTGGCTTACATGCAGTTTCTAGAGCTTGTCCCAGGCATCATTTCCTCCAGGAACTTTTCCTTCCTTCCCTCCTTCCTTCCTTCCTCCTGTTTCCCTTCCTTCCTCCCTCCCTCCCTCCTTCCCTCCCTTCCTTCCTTTCTTCCTTCTTTACATCCTTCCTCTCTCCCTCCCTCCCTTCCTTTCTCTCTCTCTCTCTTTTTTTTGACACAAGGTCTCGTTCTGTCCCCTAGGCTGGAGTGCACTGGCACAATCATGGGTCAATGGCTCAATGCAGCCTCAACCTTCCTGGGCTGGTGCAGTGATCCTACCACCTCAGCCTCCTGAGTAGCTGGGACTACAGGTATGTGCCACCACACCCAGCTAATTTTTGTTTGTTTTTGCAGATATGGGGGTTTTGCCATGTTGCCCAAGCTATTCTTGAACTTTTGAGCTCAAGCAGTCCACCTGCCTTGGTCTCCCAAAGTGTTGGGATTACAGACATGAGCCACTGCACCTGGCCAGGAACTTTTCTTTGAAGTATCTACTCTCTGTATTATCATACCTAGGCTGAGCACACTTCTGTCTTAATTCCTACCATTTTGAATTGAAATTTTGTTTATCTGCCTGTCTCTGCCACCAGGCCGTGTCTTATGCATCATTGCTCCAAGAGCATTTTCAACAGGGCACAATAAATGTTTGCTAAATTATATTAAATAAGCATCTGAGTTCTTTTATAGTCTGATTTCTACTTTTCTTTCCAAAATTGTTTTTCATCATCAAGCCCTTTCCTACTCTTGAATGTTCTACTCATCAGTTCTTCAAAACTCTTTTACTTTCCTTCCTCCACAGTTTGTTCATTCCTTTGGCTTAGCTCACTCTCCTTACTCTTATTGATTCTTTTTTCAAGATCCGGGTGTGTACACCGCATGCTTGGTCTGCCTTTGTAAGGAGGCTCCATGAACTTTCAAATCCGGTGTGTGACTTCCTTGAGTAAGTTATTTAGAGTAAAATATGCTATTCTTCAAGTATCTGTGCTAAATGTTATTCCATTCTCATTTAAAATTTACTTTCTTTACTATAGAGTTTAGAAAAACATCTAATGAGGCCTTTCTTGTACTTTTTCACATCTTTACACATTTTGTGTGTAGTAATATTTTATCACATCTCTCTGCAGATGAAAGCATTCAAACACAATGACAAGTCAGAAGAGGAGAAGGAGAGGATGGAAATGGGAGGAATTGAAAAGACAATGACGAAAGAAAACATTCCTTACAAAGTAATAGCTCATTACAGGCTAGATCAAGGGATACCATAACTTCAGGCAATAACAGGGTGGCAGTAGGAGAATGTCTCCCCATTTGAAATGTCTGTCATGATTTTGGACTTAAGTTTGCTAGTAATTTTTTTTAAGATCTGCTAAGTTCTGGCATTAGGGCAACCCTTGGTGCCCTAATCCTATTCTTGAACCTGTGTCAACTATATTGTCATTTCTGTTTTTCTCCCCAGCATATTAAAAACTATTCATCAAAGAATCACCAAGACATTCTAAAGTAGAATCCTTTTAACAGGAGGTGTATGATTCAGAAGGTGTATGGCCATGACAATAAGGTCCTTGTGCTTGTAGTAACTTAGCTGAGCCTATGATTGGCAAAGTTCCTATTCCTGCTGCAAAACACCCCAAATATCTGATATTCAGCTCTAGTCTGTGGTCTTTTGTTATTGCTTCACATGATTTTTCTTTCCAAAGGAAATTTCCTTGCTACACTCATTTGTCTATAGGATCCCACATGCAGTGATACTCCCCCACATGACTGCTGATTTAAAGGGAACTAAGGTATTTTCTGTGAGTGTCCATCACACTTCCAGTTCTCAAGAAGCCATAAAAATGGGGTCCTTTGAGCTCTGAAGTAACTGGAAATTCTTCACATTATGTTATTGTTTCAGCAGCTCAAGCAAAGACTTTTATCCTTTGTCTGTTCCTTATTTCTCAAAGAACAGAAATAGAACTGCCAAAATGCCACAAGGGAAGCTATTCTCATTGTCAGGTCAAATGGTAGTCCCATTAATAATGCTAGTGGAAGTAAAAAATATCATACAGTTATACCAATGATTGTTCTTGTTAGAATTTCACTCTCTTGATTTGAAATAACCATTTTCCCCTATTACAAGCGAGTTTTAATTTACTGTTGCTTTCTTATTATTAAGGAAACTTGGAAACTGTGTGCTTTCTTCCTATTGTTATCTTTAGATAATTGATCTCAATGACAGGTAAATGTGTCCTATAACTAGAAATGTGTTTTGAGCAATTTGTAGGCTCAGTTTATGGTCTAGTTCATGTTATCTTATCTGGTTTATTCTTTGAGTTCTGATTTAATAAGATTCCTATACCCTCGTAATACAAAAAACACATGGTAAAATAAGACAAACCTCTTGGTCATCTCTCTTATGTCCTAGGGAGGGTGTCAGCAAGCATTTTTTACAGAGAGTCAGATACTTAATATGTTAGGCTTTGTGGGCTATACAGTCTCTATTGCAGCTACACAATTTTGCCATTGTAATGTTAAAGCAGCTATAGATAATACATGCATGAATGAATGTGATTATACTCCAATACAATTTTATTAACAAAAACAAGATGTACGCTGGATTGCCCTAGAGGAATTACTTTGTCAGTTGGCCAGAGAACACAGTGATCATAGACTGAAAAAAACTATCAGTACCTCACAAGAGTTCTGTAACTAACATCGAATTCATCTTAATTTTGGTTGTAAAGTATATCTGTTTGGGTATAGGCTAAGTTCGTGAAACAGAGACCACAGAATAGAATTACTTCAGATATAGAAATGATATTTTTCTCAAGTGCATGGGGTTGAATTGTGTGCCCCCAGTAAATATATACGGAAGTCTAAACCTGCATACCAGTGAATGTGATCTGACTTGGAAATAACGTCATTGCAGTTGTAATTAGTTAAGATGTGGTCATACTGGAGTAGGGTGGGCCCTCAATCCCGTATGGCTGTTGTCCTTATAAAAAGAGAAAAGACCATGTGAAGACACAGGCACACACAGAAAATTCCACGTGAGTATGTGAGAGGAAGGTATGTTTTGGAGTAATACATCTACAAGACGAGAAATGCCTAGGAGTTCCTAGAAGCTATAAAAGGCAAACAACGATACTTCCTCAGAAATTTTGGAGGGAGCGTGGCCCTCTCGGCACCTTGATTTTGGACTTCTAACCTACAGAAATGTGAGATAATACGTTTCTGTCTTTTAAAACCACCTAATTTGTGTGGTACTTTGTTACTGTGGAATTAGAAAACAAATACACCCAGTAATGGTTTAGTAGTGAGGCTGGCAGAAGACCAGTCAGGAACCTAGGTCTCTTGTGGTCTGCCTCTCAGTCATCTTGGACCATAGGCCCTTGTGGTTACACTCCAAGGTTTATGAATAACTCATTTGATAATATTTTATTTTTAAAAATATGACTACAAAGAAAAACAACTTATATTAAAACATAGTTAACCAAAATATTAGAAGAACGAATTCATATGATACCCTTATATATGCTTTATTATTAATACATTAAATATCAAGATTAAGTGGTTGGTCTAATAACTACTAAATATCTCAATAAGGATAAGCATGAACAATATTTTGATGCATCCTCAACTATAATGTGATATGAAAATGTCTGTTATTTCTATATATAAAAAAGGCCCAGGTACAGCTAAGATTACAATGGATTTTACCTACATTCATAATTGAAAGAAATGCTAATTTTCAATTAGGGGCTAGTAAAAATTAAGATGTAATTATTCCCACCATGTTTGTGACCCCTTGGATTCCATGCATAGGTCCCTTAGTTCCTGAACCTCAGGTTAAGAACCACTTCCAGGGTGTTTGTATCTACAGGAGGGAACAATGCATTTCTTTCCTTTTACCTCTCTTCTTAATTTTGAGTGTAATTGACAAGGATCCTGCATAATTCCACTCTCTGTAAGGGTATTGGCTAACATTAACATAAACATATTTACATAATTATAAAATACCTTTCTATAAATTATAATTTTCTAAGATGTCATCAACATCTACTAAGGAATATCATAAGAAGTAGCCATATGAAACTGGTTACTCTATTCCCTGTAGACAATATTCCCTAAGTTAGACAGTGCCTACTCAGTGGAGACCCACTTTACCTTTGTTATCAGTATCTCTGTGTTGCCAAGGCAACTAGATTATTTTTATATGATGGATATTATGAATTATGTAACTTGTAATTATATATATATATAAAAATATATATGCCACTTGGAAGCTTAAAGCCAACGTGTGACTCATCTCTACTAGGGTAGCAAATTTATCCTACATTTTGTGTACCAAATTTCGCTACAGATTTAATGTTTTTTTTCTATATCTTATTTTTTTTCTTTGCCTCAATTCATTCAACTTTTAAAAGCTCTTTTATATTTTGTTGTATGGCTCTTCACATATGGCTTTAAATTCTTATTTTGAAACAGGGTGAAAGGTGAATAAATATTTTATTTTACTATTGCATTAATATGCAATACATTATTGTAATTATTTATATACATTATGATTATATAAATAACATAATTACGAGTTACTCATGATCAGATATCACCAATGCCTCTATTACTACATATGCTTTCTTTATTAATTTATAACTTGTACTTGTCTTATTCCAGGCAAACTGCTAATGTCTCATGAGTTTACCATAGCAACAGTAAAAGGAAGTAATAGAATTTTGAATACTAAATTCTTATCAAGGATTCTATGTAGGTTTGAAGGCTTAGTTATATTGGCTGGACACAGTACTTTAAACAGTACAATCAATTTTCACTTACCGGAAGATGAAAAATTTGAAGACAAGGGCATTAGATATGAAAACTATATGCAGTTGGAAAAGAAAAGCACAGATCCCTGTCAAACAGTAGAATGATGTGGAATATTATAGTAATTTTTCTGAAATTGGTACCAAAATCATTAAGCATGCAAATTTTTCACTGATGTTTTTATTCATTTATTTAAGTAAGATATATCTTACTTAGTTATAAAATTAAAAAGGACACTTTTGCATAGAATGTATATATTCCCTGTTATATATATATGTAATTTCACAGTAGGCTTGCTATTTTCCCCTTGTCTAGAATGCTTAATTCTATGCCCTATTCCATCTACATTGACAGCAATACTGAGAGCAACCTAATATTTACAAGATGCCAATGTGAGTAGCCACTCATTCCCTAACTAAAGTTCAGTTAAGTATAGACATATGTCACTGGGATATGTTCTGAGAAAGGCGTCATTAGGCAATTTACTTGTGCAAACATCATAGAGTGTACTTACAGAAACCTGGATGGTATAGCCCACTACACACCTCGGTTACGTGGTATATAGACTGTTGCTCCTAGGCTGCAAACCTGTACAGCATGTTACAGTACTGAATACTGCAGGCAATTGTGACACAATGGCAAGTATTTGTGTATCTAAACACAGATAAGGTACCGTAAAAATATAATATTATAATCTCATGGGACCACCGTTGTACATGCAGCTCATGACTGACAGAAATGTCATTATGTGGCACATGATATAATATTTATTTGGATAGCATCACCATCAGTTTGTGTATACAACATTAAAACAAACACTTGTTAAAAATCAGCTAAAATATATTGGACATAAAAACTTGAATATAATATCATTGACTGAATTACTCACTTTTTCTCTCATTGCTGTTATGCAAATGTGTGTCTTCAATAATGGTTTCATGGGAAGTACAACCAACTCCGTCTTTTATAGAAGTGTCCTTCCTTGAGTAGAGAAAAGATATGTAACATAAAGAAGAGAATCCTTGTAATATTTCTCCATCCCAATTCACTGCTCTTAATGCAAAAGCTATTTTTGGCAAACACCTTGAAAACAGTAATACTATTTTGCACGCAATAGTAGCACATGCCATAACAGCTTTTACAGCCTAGGTATTAAGATACCTGAGAATTTCTAGGTTTCTCAGATATAAGCATCCTCTATCAGTTCCATCTTTTATTGAATCAATAGCTATTAATTAAGCACTTTCTATGTGTCAGATATAGGAGATGCCATTAAGATATGACAGGTGACCTGCCATTATAGCATTTAGATTCTTTGTGAAAAAGCAACACTAAAAGTAATGTTAAGGTATGGGCTACCAGAAACAAAAAGGTGTCTGCCTTATTTTCTCAGGAAATCTTAGCTATAGTAAGTGACTGGGGGAAAAAAACTAAATAAAATAAAGATTAAACTCAAACTCCCAAGGATAATTTACAATGAGAAAAAGAGAAAATATCAAATATTGAGAGAACTAGCTTGAAAATATAGAAAGTATAAGTATATTGTGACTAATTTGCTTCAGATTATTTGATTAAGCTTAGATATTTTGCATTATCAAAAATACTACAAAATTACATATTTTCCAGGAAATGATTATACACTTTATGAGAAACCAGTCAACAGTAATGGTAAGAACGTTATGAATAGTCAACCAATATTAATGATAAGAACAATAAAATGATGAACTAATAATATTCGATCACCCAGTTTTTATTTTAGGGCCAAACTTCATATATGATTCAAATTGAAATACTTTCCAGATACTTAGAAAAATGGAATAAATGTATTTTCCCCTTCAAGTAGTATTGTTATTTCCTTACAAATCCATATGCAGATCCAAAAATTTTTAAATATCTTCAATATTGACATACTCAAATTTCTAGTAACATGTAAACTAATAAGCAATAGAAAAATGCCAATCTTGTTCTCACCAAACCATACTCCCAGTTCCAGTAAGCAGTAACAATTTAATCATTGGGCTATTTCAATGACATTGAAAAGAAGTAATGAAATCATTCTGCTTCTTTATAATTCAATAATATGATGCATCTCAGAAGAATTTACAATAGATTTTGCACCTTTCAAGATACTAAAAATGTATTTTTATTTTTATTAAAGGTATGTTATATATTACCAGAGGGAGAAACTAAACAGCTCTGATAGCATTATAACTGACTGAAAGCCTGAACTGAACAGGAAAAAAAAAAAAAAGCAAATTTCAGACCCTATTTTGTATTTTAATAGGATCAGTTAGCAAGTTCAAATTCACTTTTCTCATTGTGCTTTCAAGTTACAAATGATCGAAAATCATAAAGCAAAAGGAGGACAAAAATTATTTTCAGATTCTCTGATGCCAGAGGAAATGTATACAATGGGGTGTATGAAGAAATAACCTTTATCTGCCAAAGTAATCTGAATGTATTTCACAGATATTTTTGAATAGTCTACAATAAAGCAAATTATGTGAGATAAAGTTGTTCAAATAAAAGTTAAATGAGACAAAATGTCACTTCATTTAAAATGTATTGCTACAGAAATAAATTAATGCAATATAACCTGATATAAATATGCAGAAAAAAATCCTGTTTTACATTTGTCTATTTTTCTGACTATTATTAAGAAACATATTGTATTGCTTGCTGTACCACAAGGTACCCCAGTATCATCGTCTATAAGACCTTCAGATTTAACCTGACCTCCTCAGAATGGATATCCACACTACAGTATGTTAGGAGACCTTTTTGATACCACTTTGATAATTCTTTGCAAACCTCCATTAGAAACAGAGAAAAGCCACTTCAAGAGTGTGCACTTAGAGCTTACTGTTTACCTATACACTCATAAGATCAAAACCCCTGGTCTTACTGTTTTTGTTAACAAGGAGCAGTAAAAGTCTTCCCACATACTGAGTTTTGGTTTCCATTTTACAATCTGAGATGACAGACGGCACAAAAATGATGAGAAAACTGTGGGGAGGCTTCCAGAAGATTGATTCTCTCATCAGCTGATTCTTTTCTAGTTAGTCTTTTATTGACTACAAAGGTATAGCCAATGCAGAAAAGGAAAACCAGACTGCCCTGTTTAATCCTGAGGGCATTGGCAAAAGGTGATCACTTTTTGAGAAAACAGAGGCCTACAAGGAAATCAGCACACTGTATGAGCCGTTAAGCTGATTTAAACACACAAGGGATGCCTGGGGTTGAGCACAAGATCTCTGAGGTGTGAGATGAGAATGAAACCATTGCAGAGACTAATATTACTGAGCTTTAGTAGCAGGTGGTACAGTTGATCAGTCAGGAACCTGTCATTTGGAGAATAGGCCAATATATCTGAGAGACATGAAAAATCCTTCATTTTTCCCTCCTTCTCACCAAGAGTAAAAATATTGCAATTTCAAACTTTTTGACAATTATCAACTGTAAGTTATCACAATTTAGACACCTATAAGACGTGAACAAATCCAAAGCACAGCTAAATTCTCTGATGTTTGCCTAATGTTACAAACTATAACTCACACTGGCCGAACCTGATATTTTGTTCTGATTTAAGTCAATCTGGAAGGAAACTTTTAAATTCTGTCAGCACAACAACCTGCAATCCAGACAACCCAGAAAAATCCACATGGGATATTCATATCTACGGAGAGAAGTAAAGATTCACATTTCCCTTTTTGTTTTGCTGATTTTGTGGTTTAGATGGTCAGTTTTCTTATTACTTAAAAAATTTCAGAGAAAAATCTTCAACTTGACTATATCCACTTGCTGTTTGAAGTCTTAGAGTGAGAGTAAATGTTAAAGTGTGATTACTTTAAATTTGTAATGACCATAATCCTATCATCTCCATTTGCTAATTTCTACAGACAATTCAACATAACTCTAAGACTGAAGTGACAAGTAAAATATAAAATATTACATTTTACAGGGTGTTTTCACTACCACTAACTGGGCATCCTAAAAATTTAGAATTACAGTGTAAGTAAATAAAGATGTTATTAAAATGAAAGTACCATCAATTTCAAGATGCACCTAATTTCAAACATTATGTCCTTAACTGAGAAAATACTCAATTTGATTTGACTTTTATTTACAATGAGCAAATCATAGAAATCCTAAACATAATCTCCTCTTCAGGTACTTAACATGTTTTTATTTTTTAAAATGATTTTCCTTGAGCCTTTTATGACAATTTATATCACTAATGATTATGCCAACAATAGTTTTATTAATATTCTGTCTACTATATCAACATTTAATACTTATTTAATAACAAGTGTCATAGAATATATTTGTGGTATGATTTATTTTGCCTCAACTTTACCAGCAAAATTAAAACCAATACCACTAAAGAACTTAATTCAAGATAATTTTCTACTAATAGTGCTATTGTATCTAATGTCTATGCCCCAAACATAAGTTATGAAGTCTTGATGAACTTCCCTGAACATCTTTTCCAGGTAATTCAATAAAGAAATTAAACTCAACAATGTAATAACCAATATTTTTTTAATGTCCAGTAGATGAGCTGTAATTTCCTCAATTCTAGAAGACTATGTGGTAGGTTTGCTTCATCAACTCATCCATTTTCCCATTTACTAGAATCCTATCAAAAATAGAATCTAGAAATAATAAACAAAAAAATACTAAGAAGAAATATCTGCCAGAAATATATACCATAAATAACTTTGTGGACAATAAACTCTTCTTAGAATTTTAACATAGTAAGTTTTACACTACTTTTAAAACAGATTTGCAATATGCTGCCTTCTCATTACTTCTCCTGGCTCTTCAGTTTAAACCTGGATATAATACACTAATGTTTACATGTGTGAGTTCAAATCATGAAATTATCCTGACTACAGGCTCCTGTCCTTATGCTTCTCCCACCACTTTATACCTACTGATTTCCTGTTTTCCCTAGTACGTTGACACCCGCTTATTGTAAAAACTAATCAATTCCCCGCCCGTCCTGATTTATCTCCCTCTCTCTGGTTAGCCAATCACCAAGATCCATTCATCATGCTAGAGATGATGTCTTTAGACTTTTTAGATTATTGGAAAATGGCTAAGCAACACACACATATGCCAGAATGATAGAACAGCATTCACTGGGCAAACTCAAGGAGGTAGGATCCATTGCAGGTGCTCAGGCCTCTTTGCCCCATCATACGCTGTGGAAGAACACAGAAATCTTTCAGGACGAGACCTCAGGCTTCTGGGGAGGATCACAGAAGCCCTGGGCTTTTGTGGAACCTTTAAACTGCAAGATCAGGGAAGAACCACCCTCCGTAGGCATGAAAAATAGTCAGATTACAATAATAATATGTCGGGCCAGATATTGACTCCAACCTTATCCTTGCAGAACCAGCCTCTTTCCTGACACAGTCATCAGGTGGAAGAACAGCCATGCACTTGAAGTTGTGTGATATTGTAACCATAGTTTATCAGTCCTCACAGATAAGGATACAGCAATCCCTTCAATGGTGGGGTGATGAAGTTGGAATCCAAGCTTTGTAATGGAAACTTCATTATATAGAAAGCACACTATCAACCTTCACAGCTGATAAAGCACCAGCTCCTTCCCTGGCACAATGTGGGGCTGGGGTCTCAGCCTTGTCACTGACCAGAATCAGTTGCCTAAAGCACTGGATGATAGCTGGTTTCCATGGAACTTGGTAGGATGCCAATGCCTTCTCTGAGTGGCCAGGTTGCAGGGGTTAAGTCTTGTAAATTTTTACTCTTGCCTGTCAGAGATTAAAAATCAAAATGAAATAGAAATTCTAATAGTTTGTTTTAACATAACAATTTTTACATTCTCTGGGTTTCACATTTTCTTCAACCCTAAGTAAGTGATACCACACACCATCTAAGCTCCTGCTCCCTCTTTGCCAGGAATTGCTGTGAAATTCACTAAACAGAGTCCACTTACTTCAGCGTCAGTTGAGTACTTAACTGCACTTTTCAGCAACCCTTATTTAATTTCTATACTGTTTCCTACAACATCAATTACAAACTTCTCTAGCAGGTTCTAAATGTCTTTCAATCTTCTCTTTCTCGGGAGAAACACTGCTACTGACTGTAATTACAGAATCTCACAAAATTGACATCCTCGGTGCTTTTATTCCAAACTAAAAATGTTTCTCCATATTTATTTATTCTTTTTCCCATTTTACCCTCTCTCTATTAGAGAACACGATCCTTTTCTCCTCTAGCTCGATATTTATGCTTCAATTTCTCATTTATGCATTTCTCCTCTACCCATAAATATATTCTAGTGAATCAAAATATAGTGTAACAAAGTGCCTTTTTTGGTTTTCCAGTCATCTTTGCTTTATATTGTTCCTTAATAGCAAACGTCTCAGAAGAAGAGTCTTTTCCCTGCCTTGATTTTTTACCCATTCACTCATCTCTTAATTCCTATTAGCCAGGGTTCCACCACTGAAAATACTCTCTCTGAGATCTACAATATCAGCGGTTACTGAAGAGGGTGAAATCTGTTAAGAGCTTTACAAATATGAGAGGACATTCTTATTAAATGTACTGAAATCTTCAATCCTCTCCCTGCCTCTGATTTATCTTATTTTATTAGCTGAACCTCAGATCAGAGCAATTCTTCCATTTAAAAAAAAATCTTTTTATCCCCTATCTTACCATATTTAGACTGACCTATACTGAGTAAAGGTATTGAACGAACTAGCAAGGGTGTAAGAAAATTAAAGTGATGAAGCCAATACATTCAACTGCAGTAGCATAAAAATTACATGTATACATGTATGTATTTAGTCTCCTTTTCATCTCATGCAGTGTGTGCTTATTATGAGACATATGGATCTACTGAGAGAAAATAATATATATACACACACATATATATGTATATATATATACTTAAACCCTGCCTTCCAAAAATAAGCTGTGCCAACTGCATATTTGTGTTGCTTTGCATTAGGATTAGTTAATTCTTTATAGTGTTTTAGATGTTTTATGGAATAAATTCTTTAAATGATTCCTCTCTGACACTGTGGCAGTTTTTGCTTTCAGCTATGCATATATTATATATGACATGCATATTTAATGTAAATATCTCACACATAGATGAAAAAGTATGATTGTACAATTTACCACTTACCTTCAGGGGTGGGGGTTAAGAGGCATTTTATTTTTAGAAGAAATTACTTGGATTAAAAATAAACACATCTCACTGCCAAACTAAATGTAATTGTAAAGAAGGAGGCTGCTGGAAAATGTCACATTCCTTTGGAAATTGATGAATAAAATAATAAAATAATAGCCTTGTTTATCTACAGTATTAAAAGATATATTTCAATATTCCCTTTGCCAAATAGGAAAAAAATGAGTAGCAGGGGAGAGATTTTATTTATCAGTCTTCAAAGATAGAAGGGAAAATTCTGTGTAAGAATACATAAATTGTAAATGACATTTAACAGATATCACATGTGAAAGTGCCTTCAATGCACTATTTCCAATTTGCTTAGACAACTTGAAAGTAAAACATCAAAATAAGTGCCTGTAACTTGCCCCAGAATGGCCAAGCTTTAAAGAGAAACAGTGTTTTCTGATTTAACTTATTACTATTGATTCACAAGGGAGAAGTTGCATTCAAAGATATATTTTCAAAATAACACATGGTACTCTAAAAACTTCAAAATACATCTAAACAGCGTTTAAACAAAGAAGGACAAATGGAAATATAACTATCATAATTCACATGCAAACATATCTATTCTAGCTTACACTGGCAGCCTGAAATATGAATAATTTGCTTCTTTTAATATACACTTGTTAAAAATCCAATTAAAGCCAATCATGAGAAGAAAAAAGAATCTACCAAATATTTGTTTTTATACTCTATTCCGGGTTCTTTTCTGTCTCCTTCCAAATTGTAACCTTCTCATTTAAAGAGCTCAGTCACCTAGCATTGCACATGAACCTAATTACCGGCTTCTAGGATTCAATCTTGCTTTTCATGCCCTGCCTCAATGCAGCTGGCACTGAACCATAGTTATATGCCAGGAAAACTACCAGCTGGTAGTACTCCGTGGTATAGCTCACTGAGGAATTTTTAATAGAGCCCATATTTTCAACAGTTGCACTACCATGACTAAGCAGGTGGCTCAAAGAGCTCCAAGTTCTTACTCACATCTGCACATCTTTTCACAAACCTGGGAAATACACCAGATTCAAGTTCAGCCTCCACGGTATGAAACCAAGTGAAATTTGAGACATTCTTTAAATAATTTACTGTATAAACCTGCAAACCTAGACAATTAACTAGCTCTGCAATATTATGGTCTTTTCATTTCTAAATGGACTATTTTCACTTACATCTGAGCTGAGTGGATGTATTTTTTTATCAGAATAATGTTTATATAACCTTTATAAGAGATATGAGCTCCCTTAAAAGGTTTCAGCAATATAAAAAGCCTGAATAAAGTTTTTAAACACTCTAAATCCATACTCATACTTAACCAAAAAGTTTAAATATAATAAAGATGGAAAAAATGTACTGGACAAATAACAACCAACAAATATTGGTAGTTATCTTAATATCTGATAAAATAAAACTTAGAGCAAAACAATATAAGAAAAGGAAAATGATGCTATATCTGGAAAAAAGAACAACAAAAATAAAACATAAGCATTACAAACATTCTAACATATATAAAGTTAACTGTAGGCCGGGTGTGGTGGCTCAGGCTTGTAATCCCAGCACTGTGGGAGGCTGAGGCAAGCAGATCATGAGGTCAGGAGATGGAGACCATCCTGGCCAACACGGTGAAACCCCGTCTCTACTAAAAATACAAAAATTAGCTGGGTGTAGTGGCGTGCACCTGTAGTCCCAGCTACTCGGGAGACTGAGGCAGAAGAATCGCTTGAACCTGGGAGGCGGAGGTTGCAGTTAGCCAAGATCGCGCCACTGCACTCCAGCTTGGCGACAGAGAGAGACTCTGTCTCAAAAAAAAAAGAAAAAAGAAAAAAAAAGGTATAACTGTATAGCGTTATATCAAGCAACTAAAAGAACTGCAAAATAAACTGTACTTTGAGATTTTAACATACTCCACACAGAAACAATAAAAGCAACTAGACAAAACTATATGCAAAAAATCAAAGATCAGAAAATAACAATATGCTTGAGTTAATAGATTATATATATAACTCTACATGCACAAAGAATACCTATTGATTTTGAGCATTACAGAACATTAGCAAAAAATAGATCATATATCTAGTCATGAAGGCAGCCGCAGCAAATCTCAAGGGTCAATATGATGCATTTGTTCACTGTCCACAGTGCAATAAACTTTTAAATTAATACAGAAAGATAATTCTAATTTCTTACATATTTAGAAATTAATTATATACTATTAATCCTTGGGCTCAAAAGAAATGATCGGAGTAATAAAGAAATATTTTATAACATAATGACAATAGAAGCAGTGCATATCAAAATATGTGGGACAGAACTGAAGTAGTACATAGGGAATTTATAGTTTAAATCCATATATCAGGAAATAAGGATAATTAAATATAAACAAACTAAATATTTGATGAAAGAGATTATAAATAGCAATGCCTAAAGAAACAAATGAAATAAATAATAAAGATAAGGGACCAGACATGGTGGCACATGAGCTCATGGTGGCTCATGGCTCATGGTGGTCTCAGCAGTTTGAGACCAGTCTGGCCAAAATGGTGAAACCCTATCTCTATGGAAAATACAAAAATTAGCCAGGTGTGGTGGTGGGTGTCTGTAATTCCAGCTACTTGGGAGGCTGGCCCAGGAGAGTTGCTTAAACCTGGATGTGGAGGTTGTAGTGAGCCAAGATCGCACCACACCAGCCAGGGCAACAGAGCAAGACTCCTTTTAAAAAAAAAAAAAATAAAAGAGAGAGAGAGAGAGATAAGGGAAAAATATTTATAACTGACAATAAAAATAGAAAAAATGAACAAAAACAGAACTATTTTTGAAAATATTAGTAAGAAAGAACTTGGAAGCCTTCATCAAGAAAAAAAGAGAAAAGATATAAATAAACACAATGCAGAACAGAAGGGGTAAATAATTAAGACACAAAAAAAGATTTTAATAAAGTATTAGAACAACTACATTACAAAATTTGAAAGCCCATATGAAATGCACATATTCCTAGGAAAACATAAAATGCCAAAGTTGGCAAAAGATAAAATAAATCACTACGAAATATTACAAAAATTTTAATTTTAGTCAAAACCTCCCTTTCTTCAAAAATCTAGGTCTACATGGCTTTACATGTCAATTCAACCAAACTTTCAATGAACACTTCATTTGTCTCATAAACTTTTTTCTTTTTTAAGAAAATGGAAAGGGACCAAAAGTTAACCCACGTATTTATGGGATACTGTAATGCTAAAACAATGCAAGTGAGCAAAATCATGAGTGCTTTCACTTATAAACATGCAAGTAAAAGTTCTAAAGAAAATATTAACTAACTAGAATATGTCATGATCATGCAGAGAAATGCAAGGATGTCTTAACATCCAAATATTTCAGTAAATTTTACCACATTATTTTTTAAAATGTGATTTTTCTGAAGTGGCGATTTTAGAAATCTTTAGCAAGCTAGGAAGAGCAGGATTTTTTTAAAAAAGAGTAGGTAAATGTATGTGTCAGTTATTATTATTGCATAACATATTACCCCAAAACTTGGCAGTTTAAAACAACTAACATTTACTATCTCATAGTTTCCATGAATCAGAAATGTGAATGCAGATTAAGTGGGTGGTTCTGCAGCAGTCTTTCACAAGGCTGTGATTAAGATGTTGGCCACAGTTGTAGGCATCTCAAACTTCCACCATAGGAGGTTCCATTTCCAAATGCACTCACACTGATGTTGAAACACCTAAGACAAATTGCTTCCAAGTTTATTCACCTAACTCTTGACTGACCACAGGTCTACTTCGAAGCTCACTCATGACGACCTGTCCACAGGGCTGCCTCATGACATGATAGCTGACTTCCCCCAGAGCAAATGAAAGAGTGTACTCATTTGCCAAAAAAGACTAAAGCAACAGCCTTTTTAAAACCTAAACTCCGAAGTGGATATCCCATCATTTCTGCCATATTCTATGTATAAGTGAATAAATCGGCTCGCTCCCCACTCAAGAAGAATACACAATGGCCTAAATACCAGAAGGTAGGCATTATTGGGGATAAAATTAGAGGATGTCTAGCAAAATGGGATATACCAAAACCTACACCAGTAGAGAAACTAGAAAATGGATAGATTCAATGGGTCAGGAGTAAGACAGAGATGCCTATTGTCTTTATGCACACTATTTCTAATGACTAATATATTCTAGTGGTCTGGACTAACATGAAAATGAAAGAGGGAGGAGCCAAGATGGCCGAATAGGAACAGCTCCGGTCTACAGCTCTCAGCGTGAGCAATGCAGAAGACGGGTGATTTCTGCATTTCCATCTGAGGTACTGGGTTCATCTCACTAGGGAGTGCCAGACAGTGGGTGCAGGTCAGTGGGTGCGTGCACCGTGCACGAGCCGAAGCAGGGCGAGGCATTGCCTCACTTGGGAAGTGCAAAGGGTCAGGGAGTTCCCTTTCCGAGTCAAAGAAAGGGGTGACGGACGCACCTGGAAAATCGGGTCACTCCCACCCGAATATTGCGCTTTTTGGACCGGCTTAAAAAACGGCGCACCACAAGATTATATCCCGCACCTGGCTCGGAGGGTCCTACGCCCACGGAGTCTCACTGATTGCTAGCACAGCAGTCTGAGATCAAACTGCAAGGCGGCAGCGAGGCTGGGGACAAACAAAAAGACAGCAGTAACCTCTGCAGACTTAAATGTCCCTGTCTGACAGCTTTGAAGAGAGCAGTGGTTCTCCCAGCACACAGCTGGAGATCTGAGAACGGGCAGACTGCCTCCTCAAGTGGGTCCCTGACCCCTGACCCCCGAGCAGCCTAACTGGGAGGCACCCCCCAGCAGGGGCACACTGACACCTCACACGGCAGGGTATTCCAACAGACCTGCAGCTGAGGGTCCTTTCTGTTAGAAGGAAAACTAACAAACAGAAAGGACATCCACACCAAAAATCCATCTGTACATCACCATCATCAAAGACCAAAAGTAGATAAAACCACAAAGATGGGGAAAAAACAGAACAGAAAAACTGGAAACGCTAAAACGCAGAGCGCCTCTCCTCCTCCAAAGGAACACGGTTCCTCACCAGCAACAGAAAAAGCTGGATGGAGAATGACTTTGACGAGCTGAGAGAAGAAGGCTTCAGACGATCAAATTACTCTGAGCTATGGGAGGACATTCAAACCAAAGGCAAAGAAGTTGAAAACTTTGAAAAAAATTTAGAAGAATGTATAACTAGAATAACCAATACAGAGAAGTGCTTAAAGGAGCTGATGGAGCTGAAAACCAAGGCTCGAGAACTACGTGAAGAATGCAGAAGCCTCAGGAGCCGATGCGATCAACTGGAAGAAAGGGTATCAGCAATGGAAGATGAAATGAATGAAATGAAACGAGAAGGGAAGTTTAGAGAAAAAAGAATAAAAAGAAATGAGCAAAGCCTCCAAGAAATATGGGACTATGTGAAAAGACCAAATCTACATCTGATTGGTGTACCTGAAAGTGATGGGGAGAATGGAACCAAGTTGGAAAACACTCTGCAGGATATTATCCAGGAGAACTTCCCCAATCTAGCAAGGCAGGCCAACGTTCAGATTCAGGAAATACAGAGAATGCCACAAAGATACTCCTCGAGAAGAGCAACTCCAAGACACATAATTGTCAGATTCACCAAAGTTGAAATGAAGGAAAAAATGTTAAGGGCAGCCAGAGAGAAAGGTCGGGTTACCCTCAAAGGGAAGCCCATCAGACTAACAGCGGATCTCTCGGCAGAAACCCTACAAGCCAGAAGAGAGTGGGGGCCAATATTCAACATTCTTAAAGAAAAGATTTTTCAACCCAGAATTTCATATCCAGCCAAACTAATCTTCATAAGTGAAGGAGAAATAAAATACTTTACAGACAAGCAAATGCTGAGAGATTTTGTCACCACCAGGCCTGCCCTAAAAGAGCTCCTGAAGGAAGCGCTAAACATGGAAAGGAACAACCGGTACCAGCCGCTGCAAAATCATGCCAAAATGTAAAGACCATCGAGACTAGGAAAAAACTGCATCAACTAACGAGCAAAATCACCAGCTAACATCATAATGACAGGATCAAATTCACACATAAAAATATTCACTTTAAATGTAAATGGACTAAATGCTCCAATTAAAAGACACAGACTGGCAAATTGGATAAAGAGTCAAGACCCATCAGTGTGCTGTATTCAGGAAACCCATCTCATGTGCAGAGACACACATAGGCTCAAAATAAAAGGATGGAGGAAGATCTACCAAGCAAATGGAAAACAAAAAAAGGCAGGGGTTGCAATCCTAGTCTCTGATAAAACAGACTTTAAACCAACAAAGATCAAAAGAGACAAAGAAGGCCATTACATAATGGTAAAGGGATCAATTCAACAAGAAGAGCTAACTATCCTAAATATATATGCACCCAATACAGGAGCACCCAGATTCATAAAGCAAGTCCTGAGTGACCTACAAAGAGACTTAGACTCCCACACATTAATAATGGGAGACTTTAACACCCCACTGTCAACATTAGACAGATCAATGAGACAGAGAGTCAACAAGGATACCCAGGAATTGAACTCAGCTCTGCACCAAGCAGACCTAATAGACATCTACAGAACTCTCCACCCCAAATCAACAGAATATACATTTTTTTCAGCACCACACCACACCTATTCCAAAATTGACCACATACTTGGAAGTAAAGCTCTCCTCAGCAAATGTAAAAGAACAGAGATTATAACAAACTATCTCTCAGACCACAGTGCAATCAAACTAGAACTCAGGATTAAGAATCTCACTCAAAACTGCTCAACTACATGGAAACTGAACAACCTGCTCCTGAGTGACTACTGGGTACATAATTAAATGAAGGCAGAAATAAAGATGTTCTTTGAAACCAACGAGAACAAAGACACAACATACGAGAATCTCTGGGACACATTCAAAGCAGTGTGTAGAGGGAAATTTGTAGCACTAAATGCCCACAAGAGAAAACAGGAAAGATCTAAAATTGACACCCGAACATCACAATTAAAAGAACTAGAGAAGCAAGAGCAAACACATTCAAAAGCTAGCAGAAGGCAATAAATAACTAACATCAGAGCAGAACTGAAGGAAATAGAGACACAAAAAATCCTTCAAAAAATCAGTGAATCCAGGAGCTGGTTTTTTGAAAAGATCAACAAAATTGATAGACCGCTAGCAAGACTAATAAAGAAGAAAAGAGAGAAGAATCAAATAGATGCAATAAAAAATGACAAAGGGGATATCACCACCAATCCCACAGAAATACAAATTACCATCAGAGAATACTATAAATACTTCTACACAAATAAACTAATAAACTAGAAAATCTAGAGGAAATGGATAAATTCCTCGACACATACACTCTCCCAAGACTAATCCAGGAAGAAGTTGAATCTCTGAATAGACCAATAACAGGCTCTGAAATTGAGGCAATAATTAATAGCTTACCAACCAAAAAAAGTCCAGGACCAGTTGGATTCACAGCCGAATTCTACCAGAGGTACAAGGAGGAGCTGGTACCATTCCTTTTGAAACTATTCCAATCAATAGAAAAAGAGGGAATCCTCCCTAACTCATTTTATGAGGCCAGCATCATCTTGATACCAAAGCCTGGCAGAGACACAACCAAAAAAGAGAATTTTAGACCAATATCCTTGATGAACATTGATGCAAAAATCCTCAGTAAAATACTGGCAAACCAAATCCAGCAGCACATCAAAAAGCTTATCCACCATGATCAAGTGGGCTTCATCCCTGGGGTGTAAGGCTGGTTCAACACACGAAAATCAATAAGCGTAATCCAGCATATAAATAGAACCAAAGACAAAAACCACATGATTATCTCAATAGATGCAGAAAAGGCCTTTGACAAAATTCAACAACCCTTCATGCTAAAAACTCTCAATAAATTAGGTATTGATGGGATGTATCTCAAAATAATAAGAGCTATCTATGACAAACCCACAGCCAATATCATACTGAATGGGTAAAAACTGGAAGCATTCCCTTTGAAAACTGGCACAAGACAGGGATGCCCTCTCTCACCACTCCTATTCAACACAGTGTTGGAAGTTCTGGCCAGGGCAATCAGGCAGGAGAAGGAAATAAAGGGCATTCAATTAGGAAAAGAGGAAGTCAAATTGTCCCTGTTTGCAGATGACATGATTGTATATCTAGAAAACACCATCTTCTCAGCCCAAAATCTCCTTAAGCTGATAAGCAACTTCAGCAAACTCTCAGGATGCAAAATCAATGTGCAAAAATCACAAGCATTGTTATACACCAATAACAGACAAACAGAGCCAAATCATGAGTGAACTCCCATTCACAATTGCTTCAAAGAGAATAAAATACCTAGGAATCCAACTTACAAGGGATGTGAAGGACCTCTTCAAGGAGAACTACAAACCACTGCTCAAGGAAATAAAAGAAGATACAAACAAATGGAAGAACATTCCATGCTCATTGGTAGGAAGAATCAATATGAAAATGGCCATACTGCCCAAGGTAATTTATAGATTCAATGCCATCCCCATCAAGCTACCAATGACTTTCTTCACAGAATTGGAAAAAACTACTTTAAAGTTCATATGGAACCAAAAAAGAGCCCACATTGCCAAGTCAATCCTAAGCCAAAAGAACAAAGCTGGAGGCATCACGCTACCTGACTTCAAATTATACTACAAGGCTACAGTAACCAAAACAGCATGGTACTGGTACCAACACAGAGATATAAATCAATGGAACAGAACAGAGCCCTCAGAAATAACGCCACATATATACAACTATCTGATCTTTGACAAACCTGACAAAAACAAGAAATGGGGAAAGGATTCCCTTTTTAGAAATGGTGCTGGGAAAACTGGCTAGCCATATGTAGAAAGCTGAAACTGGATCCCTTCCTTACACCTTATACAAAAATCAATTCAAGATGGATTAAAGACTTAAATGTTAGACCTAAAACCATAAAAACCATAGAAGAAAAGCTAGGCAATACCAATCAGGGCATAGGCATGGACAAGGACTTCATGTCTAAAACACCAAAAGCAGTGGCAACAAAAGCCAAAATTGACAAATGGGATCTAATTAAACTAAAGAGCTTCTGCACAGCAAAAGAAACTACCATCAGAGTGAACAGGCAACCTACAGAATGGGAGAAAATTTGTGCAACCTACTCATCTGACAAAGGGCTAATATCCAGAATCTACAATGAATTCAAACAAATTTACAAGAAAAAAACAAACAACCCCATCAAAAAGTGGGCGAAGGATATGAACAGACACTTCTCAAAAGAAGACATTTATGCAGCCAAAAGACACATGAAAAAATGCTCATCATCACTGGCCATCAGAGAAATGCAAATCAAAACCACAATGAGATATCATCTCACACCAGTTAGAATGGTGATCATTAAAAAGTCAGGAAACAACAGGTTCTGGAGAGGATGTGGAGAAATAGGAACACTTTTACACTGTTGGTGGGACTGTAAACTAGTTCAACCATTGTGGAAGTCAGTGTGGCAATTCCTCAAGGATCTAGAACTAGAAATACCATTTGACCCAGCCATCCCATTTCTGGGTATATACCCAAAGGATTATAAATCATGCTGCTATAAAGACACATGCACCGTATGTTTATTGCGGAACTACTCACAATAGCAAAGACTTGGAACCAATCTAAATGTCCAACAATGACAGACTGGATTAAGAAAATGTGGGACATATACACCATGGAATACTATGCAGCCATAAAAAATGATGAGTTCATGTCCTTTGTAGGGACATGGATGAAGCTGGAAACCATCATTCTCAGCAAACTATTGCAAGAACAAAAAACCAAACACCGCATATTCTCACTCATAGGTGGGAATTGAACAATGAGAACACATGGACCCAGTAAGTGGAACATCACACACCGGGGACTGTTGTGGGGTAGGGGGAGGGGGGAGGGATAGCATTAAGATATATACCTAATGCTAAATGACGAGTTAATGGGTGCAGCACACCAACATAGCACATGTATACATATGTAACAAACCTGCACGTTGTGCACATGTATCCTAAAACTTAAAGTATAATAATAATTTTAAAAAAGGAAGTTTCCCTGCACAAGCTCTCTCTTTCTGCCTGCTGCCATCCATGTAAGACATAACTAGCTCCTCCTTGCCTTCCACCATGATGGTGAGGCCGCCCCAGACACTTGACACTATAAGTCCATTAAACCTCCTTTTCTGTATAAATTACCCAGTCTCAGGTATGTCTCTATCAGCAGCATCAGAACAGACTAATATGGTAAATTGGTACCAGTAGCGTGGGGAGTGGCTGAAAAGATACCCAAAAATGTGGAAGTGACTTTGGATCTTGGTAACAGGAAGAGGTTGGAACAGTTTGGAGGGCTCAGAAGTAGACAGAAAAATGTGGGAAAGTTTGGAACTTCCTAGAGACTTGTTGAATGGCTTTGACAAAAATGCTGATAGTGATATGAACATTAAGGCCCAGCTGAGGTGGTCTCAGATGGAAATGAGGAACCTCTTGAGAACTGGAACAAAGGTGACTCTTGCTAAGTTTTAGCAAAGAGACTGGTGGCATTTTTACTCTGCCCTAGATATTTGTGGAACTTTGAACTTGAGAGGGATGATTTAGGGTATCTGGCAGAAGAAATTTCTAAGCAGCAAAGTATTCGAGAGGTGACTTGGGTGCTGTTAAAAGCATTCCATTTTAAAAGGGGAACAGAGCATAGGAGTTAGGAAAATTTGCAGCCTGACAATGCAGTAGAAAAGAAAAACCCATTTTCTGAGGAAAAATTCAAGCCAGCTGCAGAAATTTACATAAGTAACAAGGAGCCGAATGTTAATCACAAAGATAATGGGGAAAATGTCTCAAGGGCCTGCCAGACCTTTGTGGCAGCCCCTCCCATCACAGACCCAGAGGTGGAGCAATAGCAGGAAAACATGATTTCGTGGGCTGGACCCGTGGCCCCACTGCTTTGTGCAGCCTAGGGACTTGGTGCCCTGCATCCCAGCTGTTCCAGCCATTGCTAAAATGGCCAAGCTACAGTTCAGCCCATGGCCTCAGAGGGTGCAAGCCCCAAACCTTGGCAGCTTCCAAGTGGTGTTGAGCCTGCAGGTGCAGAGAGGTCAAGAATTGAGGTTTGGGAACCTCCACCTAGATTTCCAAGGGTGTATGGAAATGTCTGGATACCCAGGAAGAAGTTTGCTTCAGTGGCAGGACTCTCATGGAGAACTGCTAGGGTGGTGTGGAAGGGAAAAGTGGGGTTGGAGGTCCCACACAGAATCCCTACTGGGGCACCACCTAGTGGATCTGTGAGAAGAAGGCCACTGTTCTCCTGTTCTCCAGACCCCAGAATGATAGATTCACCTACAGCTTGCACTGTGCAGTTGGAAAATCTGCAGACACTCAATGCCAACTCATGAAAGCAGCTGAGAGAGAGTCTGTAACCTGCAAAGCCACAGGGATGAGGCTGCCCAAGACTATGGGAACCCACCTCTTGCATCAGCATGGCCTGGAAGTGAGACATAGAATAAAGGATATCATTTTGGAGCTTTAAGATTTGACTGCCCTGATGGATTTTGGACTTGCTTGGGGCCTGTAGACCCTTTGTTATGGCCAATTTCTCCCATTTGGAATGGCCGTATTTACCCAATGCCTGTACCCCCGTTGTATCTAGGAAGTAGTTAACTTGGTTTTGATTTTACAGGCTCATAAGCCAAAGGGACTTACCTTCTCTTAGATGAGACTTTGGACTGTGGACTTTTGAGTTAATGCTGAAATGAGTTAAGACTTTGGGAGACGGTTGGGAAGGCATGATTGGTTTTGAAATGTGAGGACATGAGATTTATAAGGGACCAGGGATGGAATAATATGGTTTGGCTGTGTTCCCACCCAAATCTCATCTTGATGTAACTCCCATAATTCCCAAGTGTCATGGGAGGAACCTGGTGGGAGGTAATTGAATCATGGGGGCAGGCCTTTCCCATGCTTTTCTCGTGATAGTGAATAAGTCTCATGAGATCTGCTGGTTTTAAAAACGGGAGTCTCCCTGCACAAGCTCTCTTTTTTGCCTGCTGCCATCCATGTAAGACATAACTTGCTCTTCCTTGCCTTCCACCACGATGGTGAGGCCTCCTCAGCCATGTGGAACTGTAAATCCATTAAACCTCTTTTTCTGTATAAATTACCCAGTCTCACGTATGTGTCTTCATCAGCAGCATGAGAACAGACTAATGCAATAATTAAATATGATAAAGAAAGCAAAGGAAAAAATATTTGTGACTTTGGCAAAGCTACAGTTCTCTTAAATAGAATATAGACAGGTATATATGTATCACATTTGGGTTAAAAAGAGAAAATTAGTAACTGCCTCATCAATACAACTAGTTTTGCCCTTTGAAATATATCATTTTTTTCTTTATCAACTTTTATTTTAAATTCATGGGGTACATGTGCAGGTTCATTACCTGGATATATCTGTGATATTGAGGTTTGGAGTATGAATGATCTCATCAGCCAGGTACTGAGTATAGTACCCAATGGTTAGTTTTTCAATCCTTGTCCCCCTCCCTTCTTTCCCCCTCTCATAGTCTTCAGTGTCTGTTTTTGCCATCTTTATGTTCATGAGTACCTGATGTTTATCTCCCACTTACAAGTCAGAACATGTGGTATTTTGTTTTCTGTTCTTGCCTTAATTTGCTTAGGACAATGGCTTCCAGTTGCATCCATGTTGCTACATAGGATGTGATTTCATTCTTTTTTATGGCTGGGTAGTATTTCATGGTGTATATGAACGACATTTTGTTTATTCAGCCTGCCATTAATGGGTGTCTAGGTTGATTCCATGTCTTTGCTATTGTGGATAGTGCTACGATGAACATGGGGTTGCATGTGTCTTTTTGGTAGAACTATTTGTGTTCTTTTGGATATGTACCCAAAATGGGATTGCCGGGTTGAATAATAGTTCTGTTTTAAGTTATTTGAGAAATCTCAAAACTGTTTTCCACAGTGGCGTAACTTATTTAAATTTCCACCAACAGTGTATAAGCATTCCCTTTTCTCTGCAGCCTTGCCAACATCTGTTTTTTGGTTTTTTTTTTTTTTTTTTTGACTTTTTTATACTAGCCATCCTGACTGGTGTGAGACGGTATATCACTGTGGTTTTGATTTGCATTTATCTGATTATTGGAGATGATGAGCATTTTTTTCATATGTTTGTTGGCTGCTTGCATGTCTTCTTTTGAGAAGTGTCTGCTCATGTATCTTCCTCATTTTTTCACGGGAGTATTTGTTTTTTCTTGTTCAGTTGTTTAAGTTCCTTATAGATTCTAGACATTAGACCTTTTGTCAGATGCATATTTTGAAAATATTTTTCTCATTCTGTAAGTTGTATGTTTACTATGTTGATAGTTTCTTTTGCTGTGCAGAAGGTTTTTTATTTAATTAGGTCCCACTTGTCAATTTTTGTTTTTATTGCAATTGCTTATGAGGGCTTAGTCATAAATTCTTTCCCAAGGCCAATATCCAGCATGGTGTTTCCTAGGTTTTCTGCTAGGATTCTTACAGCTTGAGGTCTGACATTTAAATCCTTAACTCATCTTGTGTTAATTATTGTGTATGGTGAAAGATAGGGGTCCAGCTTCATTCTTCTGCATATAGCTAGGCAGCTATTCCAGCACCATTTATTTAACAGGGAGTTCTTTCTCTATTGCTTATTTTGGCCAACTTTGTTGAGGATTAGATAGCTATAGGTATGTGGCTTTATTTCTGGGTTTTCTATTCTGTTCCCTTGGTCTATGTGTCCGTTTTTATACCAGTACCATGTCGTTTTGGTTCCTGTAGCCTTACAGTATAGTTTCATTTGGCGAATGGAATGCCTTTGGCTTTTCTTATTTGTTGTTTTGCTTAGGATTTATTTGACTATTTGGGTTCTTTTTTGGTTGCATACGATATTTAGAATAATTTTTTCCAGTTCTGTGAAAAATTATGTTGGTAGTTTGATAGGAATAATGTTGAATCTATAGATTGCTTTGGCCATTTTAGAGATACTGATTCTTGCAGTCCATGAACGTGGAATGTTTTTCCATTTCTTTGTTTAATCATCTATGATTTCTTTTAGCAGTGTTCTGTAGTTCTTTTTGCAGAGATCTTTCACCTCCTCAACTAGATATATTTCTAGATATCATTGTAAAAATGAAAGGGCAAACCACAAATTGTGAGAAAACATTCAAAACACATATATTAGACAAAAGCCTTGTATCTAGAATATATGAAGAATTCTTATAATCCAATAATAAGAAAATAAAAAATCCAATAAAAATTAAGCAAAAGAATATATATGAATGCCTGATAAGTATATGAAAATACATTCAATGTTGTTATTCATCAAATAAATGAAAATTAAATTTTATTACATAACCATAAGAATGGATCAAAATAAAAATCTTACCATACCAAGTGTTGGTGAAGATTTGGAGCAACTAGAATTTGCATGCTGTGCTGATGGGAATGTAAAATGGAATAATCACTTTGGGAAATAGCTTGGCAGTTTCTTAACAAAGTTAATGTTTTACCTACCATATCACCGTCATATAGCTTCTCACTCAGCACTGACCATACTTCACTGAAAACATATGTCTATACAAAGACTTTTACATAAATGCTTATTAGAACTTTATTTGCAATAGTCCCATACTTGAAACAACTTATATGCTTATCAATAGATGAATGAACAAACAAATTGGAGTATATTTGTTAAATAAAACACTTCCTAGGTGATAACATAAAGTAACTAACATTATATGCAGCAATGTAGATGATTCTCAAAATTATTAATGTAAAGGAAAATATTGGGCCAAAAATACTATGTGCATTAATACAATGAAGTTCTAGAAAATGTAAACTCAATTGTAACAGATGACAGGTTAACTGTTGCTTTGGGTGGGGGTGGTGAGGGATGAATCAGAAAAGGGCAGAAGGAGACTTTGGGGATAATAGAAATGTTTACTATCTTGATATTGATAATAATCTCAGGGTTGCATGATTATATCAAAGCTAATCAAATTTAGCATTTCATATATTTTTTGTTTTATTTCAATTATAATTCAAAGTTAAATATATAGCTGCTGATTTAACTTCTCTTAAGTTGTCAAATACAACTGAAAGTTTGTACATCCCAGACAGAAAATGAACAGATACAATCCGTAAGGGTTTTTCAATTTAGAAAGAAATACCTTTCACATAAATATTGCAGCATATAGAGGAAAACTTAACATTTTAGTAAGCAAGGCAAATTATAAGCCAAAGATGTCATAAAAGCAATAATTAGAGCACTGCTGCCACCAAATAATCTCATTTGGATATTTCTACCATTCTGATGTTACAAAAAAAAATCCTAGAACCTATAATGCCCAGGAAAGAAAGTAGCAGAGATTATGAGGCAAGGGAATAAGAGAAAAATCTTTCAAGTTAAGGGAAAAATTTTTTGTGTAATACATACTTATATGTGAGTACAAGTCTCCCAAAGGTGTTTCTACCTCTGAAATATATAGGATCCATCCACTCTTCCTCTCCTCTGTCAGGGTCTGTTCCAACATCCAACATGTTTCAACTGGCTATAGTCTCTCTTTCTGTCTATCCCTCCTCTTCTTTTTTTTCCATATGAAGTCTGTAACATGCTCCTTGTTTCATTGTCCTATCTTCAAAATTGGCATAATGCACTAATCTTGTATTTCTAAACATCAGAGAGATATCTACCTATATTTATAGTTATATCAATAGATTAAGAGATCAACCTATAGATACAGGTATTCATGAAACTATAGCAACTACTCAACTAAAGCATACAAGCAGTGTTTTCATCACACAGAATTTTAACTACTGCTTTTCTCACAGGCCATCAGCACACCGTTATACACATAACATCAAGCTTGGATTTTTTTTTTTTCCTTTCTACTTAACTTCCTATAGTTGTTATCCAAATCTCTCTTCTATTTGAATTCTCATTTGAACTCTTTCATAGGATAGAGTGAGATTTGGAACTGAGTGTTATATCACAAAGGCAAGTCTAAAAAAAAAAAAGAGCATAAGACCCTTTCTACTAAAATTACAGCTGCTATCCTGTTGACACTAAACCTTGACATCCCTTAAGCCAGTTTTGCAAGTCCTTTGGGATGCAAGTCTGCCTTAGAACTGATTTATGGCAATTAATATGGGCAATGGAAAAAAATAAAGAATGGCTTAAAAACAAGCTTAGTTCTGGGACAATTTTGTTTCACTTGTGCAAGGGTTGATACTCATGAGCCCAACCTTTTATTTTTTGCTTTCAGTTGTGTTCCACAACCAGGTCATGCCTGGGTGCTTCTAACTCCATGGGTGATTCCTATTTTAAGCCACTAACACATTGTCTTCCTTCCCCCTGGATTTATTTGTGAAGAATGTAATTGATTTTTGCCACCCACCACCAATCCCTACAGGACATTGATAGTACCCACAATGCTCTTTTTGCTATTTCCCACAGGTGATGTTGTCAAACTTTCCTGCTGGCGTTTTCTTAGATAGGTATAGGTATAGAAAGAAATTAGCTTTGTCCTCTCTCTCTGTCAAACACACACACACACGCACCACACACCACATTGCTAAATGCCAGCAAACAATAAGAATAAAATGCAAATGTAATCAAATTAAGACAATTGCAGTTCAATAAAGAGATTAAATTCTTGACATGGAACTTTAAAAAGTCTTTTAAAAAATTATATTATTAAGGTTCCCTTAAGTGTGAACAGAAATGTAAAGCTACAGTTGCTATTGATTACAACTGTTCCTATTGTTCTTTCCTTTATGGCCAAAGTGCTGTCGTTCTAAACAGTTATGTCTGTTTCATGATAGATCTGATGCTTCAAATTGTCACTTGCTGGAGGAGACCATCTGTGCTTCAGTGTTGGCATTCCTCATTGTAGAATAATATATTTGTCATATTAGTAACTATTGCAGCCAATAAATCCATGGATAGAAAATCTGATTATGTGATATGTCATTGACAAACTGTTACTTGAGATTGAAACAAAAGCACCTGCTATCCAATTCTTAAGATCTGTAAGTTTCCCTAAAATTATTCATGATTCTGTCTTGTACTGGAGTCTGCATACACACAGTATTTATTTGCCAAAGACTCTGTCTGGCTAAAGATTCTGTGGCTATCTGACGATGCCATTATCTTATGCTAATGATGTATCACCACAGTAAGCAGTAATTAATTATTCAAAAACATATGACTGCTTGGTAAGACACCCAGTATAATAGGGTCAATACAACTTAGCAGCTAATATAAGGCATAGAAATTCTGTGGAACGGTTTATTTTAGAATTACATTCCACTAAGAATTTTTGTTTTTGTCTTTTTGTTTTTGCTTCTGTTTTTGCATGTGCCATGTGTTGTTTGGATGAAAAAACATTTTGCCACAATTTTCCTTGTATAAAATTTAGAATTTTGGTAATCAAATATTTATTCATATAGATTTTTTAAAAATTAGCTATTGATTTGAGTGAAGAGATTCTTTTACATAGATTAAGGAAATAAGTAATTCTATAAAGTTTCATGAAATTATGGGCCCTTTAACCCCTTTTGCAGTTTCTATTTCCCAGAGGCAACAACTTTTAACCCTTGACCTCATTAAGTTCAGTATGTCTAATTCCTAATTTATAAGAATTTTTCTAGGAATTATTAATCAATTTCCCAGTGGGAAAAATAAGAATTTAGCTATCTGTCAAACACCACTCATCTCTACCACCAACGATAAAAAAATTGTATTTCTCGAAAATCATTTTCACTTCTGAAATATATCTAGATCCACCTGGCCTCTCAATATTTGTTTATCATACTTTTAGTTAGGTCAAAATTCTGTCCTTAGATTATTATGATAATGTAAACAGTATTCCTAGATAAGCTATATACTAGATCATGGTTACTTTATGGGTGATACAACTTTTCTTTATCTTATTGAAAGTAATATTTATCTGGTTTTTACATTTTGGTGTTCTGTTTCCTACTAATTCAGCCCCAAGCTCACTCAGCATTATCTACATATTCTCTCAGTATATTCAAATATTAATACCTTAGGGTCCTAGTGTTGCCTTGTCTTAGAGATGGAGTTTTGTGACCTGCCCTCTACACCTGGGGCACAGCTCTTTCACTGTGATCTTGGGCTTCATTTTTTTTTTAAGTTGGAGCCATTGCTTTCTAGATCCCATTACATTTTTCTTTCTTGATTTACTTACTCTTTTGGTTTCTAAGGAAGGATACATGGATGGTACATTTTTTGAGAACTCACATATCTGAAAATGTCTTTGGTCTACCTTATACATAATTAATAGTAGGTATATAAAACTCAATGTTTAAAAATTTTGAAATAAAAGAACTTCTTTAAAAAAAAAAAAGTTAATGTCTTGCTCCATTACCTTTTAGCTTTTGGTGTCACAAAAGAGATATCCATAAACCTCTGAACTACTACTGATTTTTTTTTGTATGTAGCCTTTTAGTTTTGGTTTGGTTTTTTCCCCAATAAGCTGTGGAGATTGTTTCATTTACTATAGTGTTTTGACATTTCTTGGTGTTATGATTCAGTATGAGTCAATTTTTTTCCATTGAATATATTTTTCTTGAATACAGAAATGCATACACTTCAATTCTGTGAAATTTTGAAGTACTGTTTTTATTTTGTTCCCTCCATTTTCTCTGATACTTCTGATATACTTACCATTTGGTTTTCTGACTTTCTGGTCTTTCACTAGATGTGTGGTTTCCTGTATATCTGTTTTGGTCTCTGTCTTGGGTCTAATGAATCCTGACTATTCATATGTAAAGGCATAATATCTAAAAGCTGATTAGTAGCTCTGCACTAATGAATGGTCACTGTCAACTAAGAACCTCATTGCTGGTCAGCTGGCAAGGCTATTTTATTAGGGAAACTTGGATGATGGTAACTTTAGCTTTTTTGTTCTTTGTCTCCTCAAACTCCCTAGGCTGCAGTCTACCCACCTCCTGCACAGAGGGTATAAACCTAACTGCCAGCATTCTGGGATCCAAGTTGTGAAGGATAACTGGGCATTTCTAAGATAAGAGAAATAATTGGGGAAAAAAATACCTGGAAATGATTGCAGTGTCATAAAGAAACCTGCTTCAAAATAAGTACCATACATCAATAGCGTTTTTGTAACAGCAATTAACACATTGATCTTTTAAAATTTGTTCATACATTTAGTAAATTTACTTTTAAAAATATAATTGAAGGAAATAGTCAAAAACTTGGAAAAGATTTGTGTATAATTAAATTTACTTATTATTTATGATACAAAAAATAGAAAACATTTTAATACTGAGAAATAAGATTAAGTATATTACATATTATTTATGATATATATTGTTAGAATATATTATGTAATCTGTCTTATATTTTATATGCACATAGATGGCATCTGTTGTTATTTTAAACAACAGGCACTAACTTCATTTCTCATGGCTCTTACGCGATTCTTTGTACCTTAAAATGAAAACAGAAAGAAAGAAGGAAAGAAACAAACAGAAAAAGAGAACAAGAGAAAAAAAGAGAAAGAAAAATAAAGGATGAAAGGGAGGGATGAAGGGAGGAAGGAAGAAAGAAAGAAAAGGAAAAAAGAGGGGAGGGAAGGAGAAAGGGAGGCAGATGAAGAGGGGGAGAGAGGCAAGAAGGGAATCATCTTTCAAGTTGTTATAATCTTGGCCAGTAAGACAGAATGTATGGTATTTAACTCCATCCTTTTTTCTCCAAGCATTTCACATTTTTATTGGCTTAGTGGAAATCTGTTCATGCTGTAAATGACCGAAAATATGAAAGACAGTGTTGATTAACTGATCTATTTGTACAGGATAGAAAATATTCTACAACTCCTTTCCCATACAGCTAATGCTGTTCTTTGTCAAAAATATTTTCAATGATGAATTTTTGAAAACCAGATTCCCAAAACCATAAAAATAATGGAAATTTAGCTGTGAGGCCATCTCAATACCCTTTTCAAGGTTCTAGTCTTTGAATAAGCAGTCAGAGTCACAGTGCTGAACATTTTTCTTTTTTGAAAAAGGCAATAGTAACCTGGCACAAACCAGAACAGTGCAGTCAGAAAGCCTAAGAAGTTTCCTTTGTTATATTGAACAAAGAAATGAGCTACACAGTTTAAAACCATCAGGGTTTCTAAAATCAGTGAAACTTTCTGTTTATTTGTTTCAGAAATGTTTTTAAAAATCATATACGTTAAAGGTTTCACAATCAGAATAGGTTAAATCTCATTCAAAAGAAATAACTTATTTGAAGAAAAGTACCTTAAAAATAAAAATATAATAATCTTACTTATGACGCTTACTAAGTCAATATGGCAAAGTATACGTTATTTATACAGTTATAATCAAGATATGCATATTGAGCCTTTCCAATTTTAAAGACTAGGTTTAATGAATGGTCACATGACAAGGAGAAATAGACATTTAAAACAGCACTCAGACTTCTCCAAGCTCTGCTAAATAATTCCAAGGGGAAAAAATGTAAAAGAGTAAAGAGTACATTATGAAATCACTAAACAACTTCATTTGTAATTATTTTTTTATTGATACACTGTAATTGTACATATTTATGGGGTAAAATTTGATTTTTTGATACATATGTATGTTGTATGATGATCAAATCAGGTATTTAGCATTTTGATCACCTCATGCACTTGTAATTTCTTTGTGGTGAGGATATTCAGTAGCCTCTCTTCTTCCACCTATTTTGTAATATACAGTGCCTTACTGGTAACCGTCTTCACCTGACTGTGCAATAAAACACCAGATTTTATTCCTCCAATCTAATTGTTACTTTGTACCCTTTGATCATTCTCATCCCATCCTCCCCTCTCTCCATCCATCCTCTGTCTCTGGTAAACACTATTCTACTCTCTACTTCTATATCAATTTTTTTTTTCCTTTCAGATTCCACATATGCATTAGCTCATGCAGTATTTGTTTTTTGTGCCTGGCTTAATTCCCTTAGCATAATGTCCTCCAGATTCATCCATGTTATTACAAATGACAGGACTTAATGTTTTATGGCTAAATAGTACTTTGTTGTGTGTGTGTATATATGTGTGTGTGTGTGTGAGTGTGTGTGTGTATGCCATATATTCTGTATCCATTCATCCATCGTTGAACATGGGCTGCGTTCCTACCTTGGGTATTGTAAATAGTGCTACAATAAACATGGGAGTGCTCATATTTATTTGACATACAGATTACATTTCCTTTAGATATATGCCCAGCAATGAGATTGCTGGATCCTATGGTAGTGATATTTTTATTTTTTTGAAGAACCTCCACACTTCTTTCCATAATGGCTGTGCCAATTTACAATCCCACCAACAGTGTGTAAGCGTTGCCTTTTCACCACATCCTCACTGACACTTGTTTCCTTTTTTTTTATTATTATTATAACCATTCTAACTGAAGTGAGGTGGTATTTAATTGTGGTTTTGATATGCATTTCCCTGATAATTAATGTGTCAAGCTTTTTTTTTCATATTGGCCATTTGAATGTCTTATTTTGAGAAATGTCTGTAGATGTCTTTGGCTCATTTTAAAATGAGTCATTTGGGTGTTGTTGTTGTTGTTGCTATTAAGTTCCCTGTACATTCTGGATATTAACCTTTTGTTGAATGTATAGTTTGCAAATATTTTCTCCCACTCTGCAGGTTGTCCCTTCACTTTGTTGCTTTTTTTGCAGTGCAAAGTCTTTTTAGTTTGATGAAATCCTGTTTGTCTATTTTTTCTTCAGTGCCTGAGCTTTTAAGATTTAATTTAAAATTCATTGCCTAGGCCAATGTCATAAAGTGTTTATGCTATGTTTTCTTATAGTAATTTCATAGTTTTGGGCTTTACATTTAAGTCCTTAACCATTTTGAGTTGATTTTTGTATATGTTGAGAGGTGAAGGTTTTGTCTCATTTTTGTGCATGTGGATATTCCATTTTCCCAGGAACATTCACTGAAGAGACTGTCTCTTCTCCAATGTGTGTTTTTGGCACCTTTGTTGAAACTTAGTTGGCTATAGGTGCATGAATTTATTTTTGAGCTCTCTATTCTGTTCTTTTTGTCTGTTTGTTTTTAAGCCAAAACCATGCTATTTTGGTTACTACAGTTTTGTAATATATTTTAAAGTTAGGTAGTATGATGCCACCAGCTTTTTTCTTTTTGTTCAGTATTGCTTTGGCTATTCAGGGTCCTTTGTGGTTCCAAAGGAATTTTAGAATTGTGTTTTCTATTTCTATGAAGAATGTCATTTGTATTTTGATAGGGACTGCGTTACATCTGTAGATCACTTTGGGTAGTAGGGCCATTTTAACAATGTTAGTTCTTCCAATCCATGAACACAGAATATCTTACCATTTATTTGTGTCTTCAGTTTCTTTCATCAATGTTTTATAATTTTCAACCTAGAGATATTTCATCTTGCTAAGTGTATTCCTAGTTTTGTTTTGTTTTGTTTTGTTTTTGACAGAGTCTCACTCTGTCGCCCAGGCTGGAGTGCAGTGGCATGATCTCAGCTGACTGCAAGCTCCGCCTCCCAGGTTCACGCCATTCTCCTGCCTCAGCCTCCCGAGTAGCTGGGACTACAGGGGGCCACCACCACGCCCAGCTAATTTTTAGTATTTTTAGTAGAGACACGGTTTCACCGTGTTAGCCAGGATGGTCTCAATCTCCTGACCTGGTGATCTGCTGGCCTCGGCCTCCCAAAGTGCTGGGATTACAGGCATGAACCACTGCACCCGACCTATTCCTAGGTATCTTATTTTTGGTGTGTGGCTATTGTAAATGGAATTGTTTTCTTAATTTTTTAAGAGAGAGTTTACTATTAATGTATAGAAACCCTAGTGAAATTTTCATGTCTATTCTGTATATTGCAAACTTACTCAGTTTGTTTATGTATTCCAAGAACAATTTTTTGTTGGGGTTTTTAGGATTTTCTATATATAAGATCATGTTTTCAGCAGAGACAGATTTCCTCCTTTCCAATTTGGATGCCTTTCATTTCTCTCTGTTACCTAATTCTTCTGTCTAGAATTTCTTTTCTATTGAATAGGAGTGGTGAAAGTGGGCATTCTTGTCTTATTCCTTATCTTAGCAGAAAAGTTTTCAGCAAAGAGGAGGAAAGCTGTGGGTTTATCATATATGGCCTTTATTGTGTTGAGATACATATCTTCTGTGCCTAATTTCTTGAGAATTTTCATCAGGAAGGGATGTTGAATTTTGTCAAATGGATTTTCTGCATCTATTGGAATGCTTTTTTCTTTTTGTCAATGTGATTTTTCATGTTTGTTGATTTTCATATGTTGCTTGCATCCCTTGGATAAGTACTGCATGATTATAGTGAATGATCTTTTTGATGTGTTGTTGATTTGGTTTGCTTGTATTTTGTTGAGAATTTTGCATCTCTATGTTCATCAGGGATATTAGTCGGTAGTTTTCATTTTTTTGTGTGTCTTTTTCTGGCTTTGGAATCAGGGTAATAATGCTGGCCTTGTAAAATAAGTTTGGAAACATTCATTCCTGCTCAATTTTCTGTAATAATTTGAGGAACTTTGGTATTAGCTGTTTAAGTGTTTGCTAGAATTCAGCAAGGGAAGTCATCAGGTTCTGGGCTTTTATTATTGATTGATTGACGGATGGGTGGATAGATGGATGGATGGAGACTTATTACTGATTAATTTCCTTACTTGTTATTGATCTGATTCGATTTTCTATTTCTTCATAATTTAATGGTAGGTCATGTTTGCCTAGGAATTTATCTGTTTATGTTCTCAAATTTGTTGGCATATACTTGTTCATAATAATCTCTTATGATTCTTTATATTTCTGTGACATCAGTTATAATGTCTCCTTTTCCATATCTTATTTTATTTATTTGAGTCTTTTTTTCTTCGTTAGTCTAGCTAATGGTTTGTTAATTTTGTTTATCTTTTGGAAAATCAATTCTGTTTTGTCTCTTAATTTTTTTTTAGTATTTCTTTCTTTTATTTCTGCTCTGATATTTATTCTTTCCTTCCACTAATTTTGGGTTTAGTTTGTTCTTGTTTTTTAGTTCCTTAAGGAGCACAGTTAGTTTTTTATTTAAAATCATTCTTAGTTTTTGATGTAAGCATTTAGTGCTATGAACTTCCTTCTTAGAATTACTTTTGCTATGATTCATATGTTTTGGTGTGATGTTTTCTATTCTCATTTGTCTGAAGGGATTTTTAAATTTTCCTTTGAATTTATTCACTGACCCATCGGTTATTTAGGAGCATGTTTTTTAATTTTCATGTATTTGTCAGGTTTCCACAATTTTTACTGTTCTTAATTTCTAGTTTTATACCACTGTGGTTTGAAAAGATACTTGATACTATGAACTGTATCTTCTTAAGTTTGTCCAGAGTTGTTTTGTGGCCTACCGTATGATCTATCCTGGAGAATATTCCATGTGCAGTTGAGAGGAACGTGTATTATGTATCTGTTGGATAGAACGTTCTCTAAATATCTAAGACTCATTTGGTTTATGATGTAGTTTAAGTCTCATGTTTCTTTGTTGATTTTCTGTGTACATGACCAGTCCATTGTTGAGAGTGGAGTGTTGAAGTCCCCTGGTATTACTGTATTGCAATCTATCATTTCCTTTAGATTTAAAAATATTTGCTTTATATATTTGCATATTCCAGTGTTGGTGTATATATAATTGTTATATCCTTTAGTTTAATTGCTCCCTTTATCTTTAGATAATGTTCTTCTTTGCCTCTTTTTGCAGTTTTTTACTTAAAGTCTATTTTACCTCTTATAATTATGGCTACTTCTCCTCACTTTGGGTTTCCATTTGCAAAGAATATCTTTTCCCATTCCTTCCATTTCATTTTTTGTTTTGTTTGTTTTGTTTTTAATGGTGAAGTAGGTTTCTTACAGTCAATGCATAGTTAGGCCTCATTTTTTGTCCATCCAGCCACTCTATACTTCTGCTCACTTTTGGTTTCTGTTTGCAGGGAATATCTTTTAATATTTCTTTCATTCTGCTAATTTGGGGTTTCGTTTGTTCTTGTTTTTCTAGTTCCTTAAAGAGCATGGTTAGTTTTTTATTTAAAATCATTCCTATTTTTTTATGTAAGCATTTAGTGCTGTGAGCTTCCTTTTTAGAATTGCTTTTGCTATGATTCATAGGGTTTAGTGTGATGTTTTCTATTCTTATTTGTCTGAAGGGATTTTTAAATTTTCCTTTGAATTTATTCATTGACCCATTGGTTATTTAGAAGCATGTTGTTTAATTTTCATGTATTTGTCAGGTTTACATATAATTATGGCTACTTCTGCTCACTTTTGGTTTCTGTTTGCAGGGAATATCTTTTCCCATTCCTTCAATTTCATTTTTTGTTTTGTTTGTTTTGTTTTTAATGGTGAAGTGGGTTTCTTACAGTCAATGCATAGTTAGGCCTCATTTTTTGTCCATCCAGCCACTCTATACTTCTGCTCACTTTTGGTTTCTGTTTGCAGGGAATATCTTTTCCCATTCCTTCAATTTCATTTTTTATTTTGTTTGTTTTATTTTTAATCATGAGGTGTGTTTCTTACAGTCAACATATAATTAGGCCTCATTCTTTATCCATCCAGCCACTCTCTTTTTTTTTTTTTTTTTGAGATGGAGTTCTGCTCTTGTCACCCAGGCTGGAATGCAATGGTGCAATCTCAGCTCACTGCAACCTCTGCCTCCCGGGTTCAAGCGATTCTCCAGCCCCAGCCTCCCAAGTAGCTGGGATTATAGGCACCCACCACCACGCCAGGCTAATTTTTAATTAATTTATTTATTAATTATTTTTAGTAGAGACAGGGTTTCATCACATTAGCCAGGCTGGTCTCGAACTCCTGACCTCAGGTGATCCACCCACCTCAGCCTCCCAAAGTGCTGGGATTACAGGCAGGAGCCACAGTGCCCGGCCTCACTCTATACCTTTTAATTAGAGAGTTTAATGTATATTTATTCAAAGTTATTATTGATAAATAAGGACTTACTCCTGCCATTTTGTTAATTGTTTTCTGGCTGTTTTGTAGATTGTTTGTTCCTTTCTTTCTCTCTTTTTGTTTGCCTCTGTGTTTTCTTGGTTTTCTGTGATGCTAAGCTTTGTTTTCTCTTTCTTATTTGTTTATCTGCTATAATTTCTTTCTTTGTGATTACCATGAGGCTAACATAGAGTCTTGTAGATAAAATAGACTACTTTATGTTTATAGCAACTTAACTTCGGTAGTTTAAAAGTATTATATAACTTTCGCCCCTAACCCCCACAGTTTGATTGAGAAAGGATACCTACCCTTGTCACCTCTGTTCAATATTGGTTAGGAGATCTTATCCATAGCAACGCTGAAAAAAATTTAATAAGCATAACTATCACTATTTTCAGAGAGCGTGTTGATTGTATAGAAAATCCTAAGGAATCTATAAAACAATGGTGGTAACTATTAGGTGAAATTCAGAAGGCAGCAGGGTAATATATTTTAATAGTTCAAATTATTTAAATTTCAATTAATTCAATGTATAATATTTTTGGTTGATAAATTGTGCTTTAAATGTCTGAGAGCTCTTCACCTAAATTCAGATTAGGAAGATTTTCTTCTAAATGTTTTATAGTTTCATATTTTACATATAGATCTTGATCAATTTTGATTGCACAAGGTGTGAGGTTTATATGAGACTTAACGTTTTTATATATGGATTACCAATTGTGCTAATAGTACTTGTTGGAAATACTTTTTTCCATAGAATTTCTTTTGCAACTGTGTCAAAAATTAAATGTATGACCATATTTCTGCAGATCTATTTCTGAACTCTCTATTCTGTTTTATTGATTTTCTAAATCAATTTCTTCATCAATACAACACTGTCATTAGAGTAATTTCTCACATGTTTTGCTAAATTTATTTCTTGGTATTTTATATTGACACTATAATTATATATGAGTTTTTTATATATGAGTTTTTAAAATTTAATTTTCAAGTTAATTTTTTCTTTAAAAGATAATTCTTATTTTATTCAGGTGTCAGTTTATTTGCCCTTCCAAATACAATTTACCATATGGATGTGGTAAAAATGATTGGATTTGGGTATAGATTTTAGTTAGAGTTGACAGGCTTGATGACATATCTGAAGTAAGGGAGTAGAGAAATGGAGGAGTAGTGGATGAAATCAACCTTTTTGGTTGCAGCAATGGGAAAATATGGCCTTCAACATTTGTGTTGTATGCTAAGAGAAACATAATATTTTTCAAAAATTAATGAACAAAATTTTTCATAAGGGAACTATTTATAATAGCAATAAGAAAGAAAATAAGTAAATATCCAACAATATCAGAATGGTTAAAAACTGTATGGCAAAAAAATATGGGAATAATATTTCAAAACAATATTATATAATTTTATAAAACTATAATTTGACATTTTTAATGATATGGAATGTGTTTATAAACTAAATTATTCACATAATGTTAACATTAAATAACTACAAAGATAGTGAAAGGATCACTGGTTTCCAGAGGGTAGAGGGGAAGGGAGGGATGAATAGGCAGAGCACAGATATTTAGGGCAGTGAAACTAATCTTTAGAACACTGAAATGGTGCATACATGTCATTATACATTTCTCAGAACCCAAGGAATATACCAGAGCTTTGGGTGATGATGATATGTCAGTGTAAGTTCAGGGATTGTAACAAATGTACCACTTTGGTGCAGGTTGTTGATAGTGGGAGAGGCTGTGCATAACAGGTGCAGAGTGTATAAAGGAAATTTCTATGCCTTCTGCTCAAATTTTCTGTAAACATAAAACGTCCCTAAAAAATAAAGTATATCAAAAAATAACCACAATTACTTGTTATAAATATATGTATGTATATATGTATGTGTGTGTGTATATATATATATATATACACACACACATACACTCATGTGAGATAGAATCAAAATGTTAACAGTACTTATCTATAGTTTTCTGTATTTTACAAAATGATGAGGTTTTTTAACTACACACATATAAACTTATTCTTATGACAGAGCATAATTAAAAATCCAGTTAGTGTATAATGATTTAAATTAAATAAAATGTGTAATTTTTGTAACACTATTGTTGACAGATTTCATAAAGGAGGGTGTATAGTTAACATATTGCCTTCTATTTTAAAAAGGTCATATAATTCATATATTTGGATAATTAACAAATTATATACACATATTTGGGGGGCTGGAAGCTATACTTAATATATATGAGTCATTGTTTGCGTTGTTAAAACTAAACAGATTTTTCTTGGTATTTAAAGGTCTTGTTAAGAAATTTGAAACACCCATATCTATGAGATTATTCCAGAGGTGTATCACAATTATTAGTATTTTAATTAACTTTTTTTTTTCTTTTGCAGGATATTTGTGATCAAACATGGAAATATAAAAATCCTCTGTATTATATAACATTCTTTGGCTCCATAGTTTTATAAACAATTGTGCATTTTACTTGCTTACCTGAAAATATATTATCAAGTTAAAAAATAAAAACATCAATGATCTGGTTGGTTTGGCAGAATGTTTTCACTCCATTCACAGATGGCGCATGCATAGAGCATTCCAGATTAGCCAATGGAATATGGCCAAGTGTGTCAATTTTGGAAGGCTTAGTTCACCAGGTTGCTTTGAAAATTAAGTGAGATCGTTCATATGCAAGTCCTGAGAAACCTTCACAGCACAGGGCCACATGAATGTTACTTACATAATGATGTTGACAATGGAAATCACAGCACTACTCAAGATCAATGTTAAGTTGAATAGCAAAAATAAATAAAATAATTGAGCACCAATTGAATTAAAGACTCCTGGTGCAGATTGTGACAAAGAGCCAAAATTATGCCATCTCCTAACATCAGAACCTTGCCATTCAAAAGCAGAGATAAAATATGCACATTCATAGAAAAATTAAATATAAAGTTGTATACCTATAAAAATGTACATTGGCACAAATGGGAAGATAAACAGGTAGTTATGAGATTGTCTTTAATCAGCAAAGTCTATAATGTGGTCATATTGCATGCAAAATGGTATTCATCATGAGGAGAAAGACTCTAAGTTGTCCACTGCAGGGAATTGAATTTGTTCTTTCCCTTCTATCATTTTACTTAAAAGTCTGAATTTTAATCTCAGATGAAAATTTGTTTGTGATAGTTCAAGTAGATAAGTTTCTTTCAGAGAAACTTTTGTAGATACTGGGAAAAATGCTTTAGAGAAACTGATACCTTATTTCTTTAAAGTTTCTTAAGATAGTATTAATGCTGTCCCATAAACAGATTTATCCAGGCAGTTTTAAATATGCGTGTGCTTACTCACACAATAGGGTCACAAAGTTTGCATATGTTATTTAATTAAATATATTTGGGTATGTTTAAAAAATAAGCTGGAAAACTTCACAAGACCTATTTCCCTAAACATTTCCATTCTTTCTTAACCAAGGTAACAATAAACTTTGATAGATAAACTCGTGGAACTTTTTAAAAAAACTAGAAAGTCAAATGTTTGATTTTTTTTATTAAAATGAAACAACCAAAATGCATTTAGCCAGTTTGTAGTGGACCTGGGCCAACTGAGACCTAGAAGTTACTAGGATAGCAAATCAGCACCCACATATGTTGTCTAATATGGAGGTACCTCATCATTTTAGCAAGTTATTTCCTATATGAGTAATGAGAGTAAACCTCTCCTTCAAAGTCTACTTGAGCTTCTCCAGATAACTCACAAATTTAAGTCTAAAAAATTTAAAGAAAGAAGGAATGAGGGAAGGAAGGAAAGAGGGAGGGAGGGAGGGAAGGAGGGAGGAAGGGAGGGAGGAAAGAAGGAAGGAAGGAAGAGGGGGAGGGAGGGAGGAAGGAAGAAAGGAAGGAGGCAGGGAGGGAGGAAGGAAAGAAGGAGGGAGGTAGGGAAGGAAGGAAGGAAGAAGGATAGAAGAAAGGGAAGAAGGAAGGAAGGGAAGAAGAAGGAAGGAAGGAGGAAGGGAGGGAGAATAGAAGGGAGGGAGGGAGGGAGGGAGAGGTGAAGGCAAGCAGGCAAAGAGAAACATGCTTATGCAGATCTGGATGTGTGCCCTTAATCATCCGCTTACTGACTCTGCCATATGTTAGCCACTTTACTTAAGATGTTTGGGGCACAGAATTCATTAGAGATAAAGTCGACAGGATAATTACAGGAAATTGAAATCAATTGAATACTGAGTTTTAAGTCCCATGAATCCTTTAAAATATCCAGCTGCTATGGGGGAAATTCAGAGAATGGTTACCACCTTATAAAAGAAACAGGTAATTTTTTTCCGTAAGGGGCCTTGTTTATAAGATGAAAATCTTTTCCATTGATATAAGTATATGAACAATACATTAACTCCAAATATTCTTCAAATATGTAAAAGATGGTAGCTGAATTTGAAATCTAATCAAAAATTAAGTATATACATATGTATATATATAACACTTACATTATATGTGACTATTTCCCTTGATGCCTGTGGTTGCTTAGCTAGTTTTTGTCCTACCTATGTGGCAGTAATTATAGTTTAGGAACAGAAATTGAACATTTCACAACGTTAATACTCATGTCTACTACGGATAATGTTGCCACGGGAGTCATTTCCTTCTTTTGTTTCTGTAAGAAAGGGACAATAATACTTATCTTTCTCACAAGGGTGCTGTAATATTAAATACTAATGCTGGCGATTTCCACAGGCTGAGTTTTATTAGGAACATAACCAAATGATCTTAGACATGAGAGAAAAATCATAAATTTTTTATCTTGCAAAATTTGTAACAAAGTATCTTCTATGTGTTCATGATTGTCAATATTCTCTTACAATTGTATGGCTTTTCTGCGGGCTTTTTAAAAAATTGGTATACGTTAAAAGCCAATAACATCTCTTAAAAAGAAAAAGAGGTGAAAATAGTATTGTCTGGTTGAGGGGAGCCTTATGCATACTTGTGTTGGATTCTTCAATCTTCAAAGGAGGTCATTCATATAAATTCAGTAAAGACAGTAATGTGTGAATCTGATACTACCCTGACCCCTATCCACCTTAGAAAGCAACTCTAACATCTCAAACAGTAAAATTCAGACCAAAACGTAACTTTCCTGCTGCCAAACAGATAGATAGCCTATATCTGAACTCAATTTACAAAACAGGGACATCACTATATGTTAGCCACTTTAATAGATTCAAGTTTATTTTCAGAATATACATCTACCTTCAGCAGAGAGTAAAGCAATTCAAGACTAAGACAAAAGTGCTGACAGGCCAATAAGACAAAGAAAAGAAGGCGTCAATTAACCTACAGCGACAGGCTTTAAAAAAAGAATAGCGAATCCATTTATTCATCTTCAAATACTGTTTCTGTAGGACTATTTCTCCTCCTCCAAAACTTCTAGATATAGTAGATATATTCATGCACTGCATGTTGTAGAAAGCTGTCAGAAGTTCTGATATAGTCACCTCAAGGTCCAATCCTATTATATTAGATGAAAAAAATACAAGGATGCTCACAAAATCAGCCCTTCTTAAGAAACATCAAGAAATACATAAAGTACTTTAGGTGCTTTGCCCCTGAGTGTTGCTAGAACAGTAACAGGCTACGAACAATCTATGAATCTAGAGATGGCAGTAAACAGGATTGCTTTCAGTTTATGAGCTGTTAAGCCTGTTTCATAAAGTAGTTCATGGTGACTGACAGTTAAAACATTGGGTCATTCGCTAGTTCCTGTGTTATGTGCCAAGTGGCACAAGGCCATGAAAAATGATGGTACTAGGAGAAAAATCTTACAACAAATGCTCTTCTTGCACAGCCACCTATGGGAAAGATGAACAAAAGGTAGAGAAAGAGTTCAAAGCTATAAACTTCTCCAAAAGCAAAGTCTCAGACTACTGAAACCACAGTAAATAATTATGCATAAAAAAACAATTTCCACTGATAACCCAACATTGTTAATATTATAGTATTATCTAGAGCAGTGTGGGTGGAGGAGCTGGTAGAGAGGTTGAAGTTAACTTTATTCTAAATGATTTATACTCAAAATTATAATGCTGATTAACTCAGTTTTTATGAAGATTCATTCGTATATTGGTTAATTTGTACATAATATTATGTTTTATGAGTACAAATATCTATGTAATCTATGTTATAAGCACATACATTCTGAACTTGAGTCCAGATTGTTGATTAAGCATAGAACACACATTCTAATTTCCCCCGTACTCAAAACTAATTAAAACGTTTGATAACGTATAAATAAATTACTAAAGGGAAATACATTTCTAAGTGCCAGAATCAGAAAAGGAATTCACAAAAGGAATAAATCAATCTGAATGGCTTTGGAATGTCAGGATTAGGCAGAGGCCAAGATGCTTGGGTTTCCAATGCAGTTACAAAGAAGCAGCAAAAACTACAGTCTTTACATAGCAGGGGTACAGAGTGGGGATTATATACCTGACTTCAGACTGGGGCTAAAAGTCACTGCTGGATCAAGTTACAAACCTGGACTATAGGAAGAAAAATTCCACAAACCAGAAACCCAAATTTGCATTTTAAGGGTGCTGAGCCTTAATTCATGATAGTCACATAAAAACAAACCTGCTTAAAAGCAAAATAAGCCTAATGAGGCCAAGAAGAAGCAAGAGCAAAACAGTACCCAGAAAGGCCTCCACATCTCAGGATGAAAACTTTCTCATTTACAGTAATTCCCACAGAAGATGAACTCACAGAAATAATTACAAAACATATGAGGAATGCTATTTCCAAAGAAGAGAAGATATACTTGAAGAGTAACTTAATAGATCCACTGAACTTTAACATAATAATCCTCAAATATATAAAGGAAGGAATAGCACCCATGTACCAGAAATAAGAAGCTATGCAGCAAAGTAAGGATAGAGAAAAACAGTAAGAGTCTTAGTTAATAAAAGACAGTCATTTTTTATTGTAAAAGTCTGTAGATGTGACCAAATAGTAGATGGGCCATCTATTATTCCATTTTCACACTGCTATAAAGAACTACCTGAGACTGCCTAATTTATGATGAAAAGAAGTTAATTGACTCACAGTTCTGCATGACTGGAGAGGCCTGGGGAAACTTACAGTCATGGCAGAAGGTGAAAGGGAATCAAGGCATGTCTTACATGGTGGCAGGAGAGAGAGAGAGCAAGTAGGGATGTGCCACACTTTTAAACCATCAGATCTCATGAGAAGTCACTCACTATCATGAGAACAGCATGAGGGAAACCACCCCCATGATTCAATCACTTCCCACCAGATCCCTCCCTCAACAAGTGGGGGTTACAATTTGAGATGAGATTTGAGTGGGGACACAAAGCCAAACATATCAGGGCACAACTGAATAAAACCTACAAAGAGATTTAGATTCCCGCTACAATAATAGTGGGAGACTTTAACACCCCACTGTCAATATTAGACAGATCAATGAGACAGAAAATAACAATGATATTCAGGACTTGAACTCAGCTCTGGACCAAGAGGGCCTAATAAACATCTACAGAACTCACCACCCCAAATCAACAGAATATACATTATTCTTAGCACCTCACTGCACTTATTCTAAAATTGACCACATAATTGGAAGTAAAACACTCCTCAGCAAATGCAAAAGAATGGAAATAATAACGAACAGTCTGTCAGACCACAGTGCAATCAAATTAGAACTCAGGATTAAGAAACTCACTCAAAACTGCACAACTACATGGAAGCTGAACAGCCTGCTCCTGAATGACTGCTGGGTAAATAACGAAATAAAGGCAGAAATAAATAAGTTCTTTGAAACCAAAGAGAACAAAGATACAATGTACCAGAAACTCAGGAACACAGCTAAAGCAGCGTTTAGAGGGAAATTTATAGTACTAAATGCCCACAGGAGAAAGCAGGAAAGATCTAAAATTAACATCACAATTAAAAGAACTAGAGAAACAAGAGCAAACAATTTCAAATCTAGCAGAAGACAAGAAATAACTAAGATTAGAGCAGAACTGAAGGAGATAGAGACACGAAAAACCCTTCAAAAAAATCAATGAATCCAGGAGCTGGTGTTTTGAAAAGATTAACAAAATATATAGACCACTAGCCAGACTGTTAAATAAGAAAAGAAAGAAGAATCAAATAGACACAATAATAAATGATAAAGGGGATATTACCACTGATCCCAAAGAAATACAAACTACCATCAGAGAATACTATAAACACCTCTACACAAGTAAACTAGAAAATCTAGAAGAAATGGATAAATTCCTGGACACACACACCCTCCCAAGACTAAACCAGGAAGAAGTCGAATCCCTGAATAGACCAATAACAAGTTCTGAAATTGAGGCAGTAATTAATAGCCTACCAACCAAAAAAAGTGCAGAACTAGACGGATTCACAGCTGAATTCTACCAGAGGTACAAAGAGGACCTGATACCCTTCCTTCTGAAACTATCCCAAACAATAGAAAAAGAGGCACTCCTCCCTAACTCGTTTTATGAGGTCAGCATCATCCTGATACCAAAACCTGGCAGAGACACAACAAAAAAAGAAAATTTCAGGCCAATACCTCTGATGAATATCCATATGAAAATCCTCAATAAAATACTGGCAAATCAAATCCAGCAGCACATCAAAAAGCTTATCCACTACGATCAAGTTGGCTTCATCCCTAGGATGAAAGGCTGGTTCAACATACACAAATCAATAAATGTAATCCATCACATAAACAGAACCAAAGACAAAAACCACACGATTATCTCAATAGATGCAGAAAAGGCCTTCAATATAATTCAACACCCCTTCATGCTAAAAACTCTCAATAAACTAGGTGTTGATGGAATGTATCTCAAGATAATAAGAACTATTTATAACAAACCCACAGCCAATATCATACTGAATGAGCAAAAGCTGGAAGCATTTTCTTTGAAAACTGGCACACTGCAAGGATGCCCTCTCTCACCACTCTTAGTCAACATAGTGTTGGAAGTTCTGGCCAGGGCCATCAGTCAAGAGAAAGAAAGAAAGTGTATTCAAATAGGAAGAGAGGAAGTCCAATTGTCTCTCTTTGCAGATGACATGATTGTATTTGTAGAAAACCCCATCGTATCAGCCCAAAATCTCCTTAAGCTGATAAGCAACTTCAGTAAAGTCTCAGGATACAAAATCAATGTGCAAAAATCACAAGCATTCCTATACACCAATAATAGACAAATAGAGAGCCAAATCATGAGAGAACTCCCATTCACAATTGCTAAAAAGAGAATAAAATACCCTAGGAATACAATTTACAAGGGATGTGAAGGACTTCTTCAAGGAGAACTACAAACCACTACTCAAGGAAATAAGAAAGGACACAAACAAATGGAAAAACATTCCAAGCTCATGGATAGGAAGAAAAAATATTGTGAAAATGGCCATACTGTCCAAAGTAATTTATAGACTCAATGCTATCCATCAAGCTACCATTGACTTTCTTCACAGAATTAGAAAAAAAATACTTTAAATTTCATATAGAACCAAAAAAGAGTCCATATAGCCAAGATAATCCTAAGCAAAAAGAACAAAGCTGGAGGCATCACACTACTTTACTTCAAAATATACTACAAGGCCTTAGTAACCAAAACAGCATGCTACTTGTACCAAAACAGATATATAGACCAATGGAACCTAAGAGAGGCCTCAGAAATAACACCACAGATCTACAACCATCTGATCTTTGACAAACCTAACAAAAACAAGCAATGAGGAAAAAGGATTCCCTATTTAATAAATGGTGTTGGGAAAACTGGCTAACCATATGCAGAAAACTGAAGCTGGACCCCTTCCTTACACCTTGTACAAAAATTAACTCAAGATGGATTAAAGACTAAAACGTAAGACCTAAAAACATAAAAACCCTAGAAGAAAACCTAGGCAGTACCATTCAGGATATAGGCATGTGCAAAGACTTCATGACTAAATCAACAAAAGCAATGGCAACAAAAGCCAAAATTGACAAAGGGATCTAAGTAAACTAAAGAGTTTCTGCAGAGCAAAAGAAACTATCATCAGTGTGAACAGGCAAACTACAGAATGGGAGAAAAATTTTGCAATCTATCAATCTGACAAAGGACTAATATCCAGAATCTACAAGGAATGTCAACAAATTTACAAGAAAAAAACAAACAACCCTATAAAAAGTGGGCAAAGGACATGAACAGAAACTTCTCAAAAGAAGACATTTATGCAGCCAACAAACATATGAAAAAAAGCTCATCATCACTGGTCATTAGAGAAATGCAAATCAAAACCACAATGAGATACCATACCATGCCAGTTAGAATGGCAATCATTAAAAAGTCAGGAAACAACAGATGCTGCAGAGGATGTGGAGAAATAGGAATGCTTTTACACTGTTGGTGGGAGTGTTAAACAGTTCAACCATTGTGGAAGACAGTGTGGCAATTCCTCAAGGATCTAAAACCAGAAATGCCATTTGACCCAGCAATCCCATTACTGGGTATACATCCAAAGGATTATAAATCATTGTGCTATAAAGACACATGCACATGTATGTTTATTGCAGCACTATTCACAATAGCAAAGACTTGGAACCAACCCAAATGTCCATCAATGATAGACTGGATAAAGAAAATGTGGCACATATACACCATGAAATACTATGCAGCCATAAAAAAGGATGAGTTCATGTCCTTTGCAGGGACATGGATGAAGCTGGAAACCATCATTCTTAGCAAACTATCACAGGAACAGACAACCAAACACCACATGTTCTCACTCATAAGTGGGAGTTGAACAATGAGAACACATGGACACAGGGAGGGAGACATCACACACAGGAGCCTGTTGGGGGGTGGGCGGCTAGGTGAGGGATAACATTAGGAGAAATTCCTAACATAGATGACAGGTTGATGGGTGCAGCAATCCACCATGGCACGTGTATATCTATGTAAAAAACCAGCATGTTCTGCACATGTATCCCAAAACTTGAAGTATTAAAAAAAAGAAATAGTAAATTAAGAAAGAATGATGGAAGTCTTTCAGAATAAAGCACACAGAGATAAAGAGGTAGTAAAATAGACAGAAATTATGAAACACATAAATGGCACAGGAGGCTGGAATCCATCTATTAAAATAGCAGAGAAGCAATATTTAAAGAGAGACTGGCAGAGAAATAGCCAACAGTCAAAAGACTCATGTATTCTCCAATTGAAATGTTACATCAAGTGATAAGGTCAATTAAAAAAAAAAGTCATATGTAGGCATATCATAACAAAATTGTAGACCCAAGTATAAGGTAAAAATTCTAAAAGCCACTAAGGAAAATGATACATAGTATGTATATATACATGGTAACTAAATGATAAAAGCCTCCTGTATCCTGGGCCTCCCAATTCTCTCTCTCCTGAGTTTCATTTCAATTCACAGGACTTAGCGTATAGTCATAATCATGGCTATGATTTATTACATCAAAGGATAAAAAGCAAAATGAGCAATAGGAAAGACTCATGAGGTAAATCCAGAAGCAGTAACCAGTAAATCCAGTAACCAGGAGCAAGCTTCCGTGAATCCTTTCCCAGGGGAGTTACACAGGATTCACTCAATTACATTAGCAACAAGATATGACAACATGTGTGAAATGCTGTCTATCAGAGGATATAATTAAAGACTCCGTGTCCAGAATTTTTGCTGAGGGTTGGTCATATAGGCACCCTCTGCCCAGCATGTGCCAAAATACCAGATTCCCAGATGGAAATCAGGTATTCAACTTAAAGCACATTGTTTGTACAAACAGTTTAGGTACAATGAGTTATTCTTATCAGGAAATGGTGGAAACACCCCCAAATCCAAGTTCTGGAATGCCAGCTGGGCCAACCTCGTAAGGAGGACTTCCTAAGGATAGCAATCTCAGGCCTGCTATGTTCTTTTCTGCATACTTTCTTATTACCAGGAGCAGATACTGAAAGACAGTAGAGAGTAATTCTGTTCTGCTATCCCTTTTCCAACATTAAGCAGTTGTATAAATAGAAAGAAAAAAATGAGAGAAAACTATATACCTTCTCTTCAACAGTGTTTATTTCTGACTTTTTCTAATACCCTTCACACACTGTAGATGATCTCACTCATGCCCATGACTTTAGTTAGCATCTCTATGTTGATTGATCCATAAACCGTCATCCCAATCACTTCTCCTTGATGAGTTCTAGACCAAGATATTCAATGTGCATTGAAAATGTCTACACGCATATCCAAAAGGGTACCTCGCACCCAATTATCCCCCAGTTTTTATTACTCTGATTTAAAAACAAAAACAATTTTTAAAATTTACATTCTATATAGCAATATCACCAGTTACACAATCTAGAAATCATATTTAAAAATCTAAGAAAATCTACATTCCCAAAAGTTCTTAGAACAAATGAATGAGTTCAGCAAGGTCTCAGTATACAAGTACATAACAGTTAATCATGTTCCTATATATCAGCAATGAACATTTGGAATTTGAAGGAAAAACTATACCATATGTAGTAGCAACAAAAAAAGTAAGCACTTATATATAAACATAACCAAATACATGCATAATCTGTATGCTAAAAACTACAAAACACAGATGGAAAAAAATAATGAATATCTAAATACATGGAGAAATTGTCAGGCCTCTGAGCCCAAGCCAAGCCATTGCATCCCCTCTGACTTGCACGTATAACACCCAGATGGCCTGAAGTAACTGAAGATCCGCAAAAGAAGTAAAAATAGCCTTAACTGATGACATTCCACCATTGTGATTTGCTCCTGCCCCACCCTAACTGATCAACGTACTTTGTAATCTCCCCCACCATTAAGAAGGTTCTTTGTAATTCTCCCCACCCTTGAGAATGTACTTTGTGAGATCCATGCCTGCCCACAAAACATTGCTCTTAACTTCACCGCCTAACCCAAAACCTATAAGAACTAATGATAATAATCCATCTCCCTTCGCTGATTCTCTTTTTGGACGCAGCCTGCCTGCACCCAGGTGCAATAAACAGCCATGTTGCTCACACAAAGCCTGTTTGGTGGTCTCTTCACATGGACGCACATGAAATTTGCTGCCGTGACTCGGATCGGGGGACCTCCCTTGGGAGATCAATCCCCCATCCTCCTGCTCTTTGCTCCATGAGAAAGATCCACCTACGACCTCAGGTCCTCAGACCAACCAGCCCAAGAAACATCTCACCAATTTCAAATCTGGTAAGCGGCCTCTTTTTACTCTCTTCTCCAACCTCCCTCACTATCCCTCAACCTCTTTCTCCTTTCAATCAACACTTCAATCTCTCCCTTCTCTTAATTTTAATTCCTTTCATTTTCTGGTAGAGACAAAGGAGACACGTTTTATCTGTGGACCCAAAACTCCGGTGCCGGTCACGGACTGGGAAGGCAGCCTTCCCTTGGTGTTTAATCACTTGCAGGGACGCCTCTCTGATTATTCACCCACATTTCAAAGGTGTCAGACCATGCAGGGATGCCTGCCTTGGTCCTTCACCCTTAGCGGTAAGTCCCACTTTTCTGGGGAAGGGGCAAGTACCCCAAACCCTTCTCTCCTTGTCTCTACCCCTTCTCTGCTTTTCTGGGGAAGGGGCAAGTACCCCTCAACTCCTTCTCCTTCACCCTTAGTGGCAAGTCCCGCTTTTCTGGGGGAGCGGCAAGTACCCCTCAACCCCTTCTCCTTCACCCTTAGTGGCAAGTCCCACTTTTCTAGGGGGCAAGAACCCCCAATCCCTTATTTCCACACCCCGACCTCTTATCTCTGTGCCCCAATCCCTTATTTCCGCACCCCAACCTCTTATCTCTGTGTCACAATCCCTTATTTCTGTGCCCCAACCCTTTCTCTGCTTTTCTGGAGGGCAAGAAACCCCCACCCCTTCTCCGTGTCTCTACTCTTTTCTCTAGGCTTGCCTCCTTCACTATAGGCAAGCTTCCACCTTCCATTCCTCCTTCTTCTCCCTTAGCCTGTATTCTTAAGAACTTAAAACCTCTTCAACTCTCACCTGACCTAAAATCTAAGCATCTTATTTTCTTCTGCAATGCCGCTTGGCCCCAATACAAACTCGACAGTAGTTCCAAATAGCCGGAAAATGGCACTTTCAATTTTTTTCATCCTACAAGATCTAAATAATTCTTGTCGTAAAATGGGCAAATGGTCTGAGGTGCCTGACATCCAGGCATTCTTTTACACATCAGTCCCTTCCTGGTCTCTGTGCCCAGTGCAACTCATCCCAAATCTTCCTTCTTTCCCTCCTGTTTGTCCCCTCAGTCCCAACCCCAAGCATCGCTGAGTCTTTCTAATCTTCCTTTTCTACAGACCCATCTGACCTCTCCCCTCCTCGCCAGCCCAAGCTAGGTCCCAATTCTTCATCAGCCTCTGTTCCTCCACCCTGTAATCTTTTTATCGCCTCCCCTCCTCGCACCTGGTCTGGCTTACAGTTTCGTTCTGTGATTATCCCTCTCCCACCTGCCCAGCAATTTACTCTTAAAAAGGTGGCTGGAGCCAAAGGCATAGTCAAGGTTAATGCTCCTTTTTCTTTATCCCAAATCAGATAGCGTTTAGGCTCTTTTTCATCAAATATAAAAACCCAGCCCAGTTCATGGCTCGTTCGGCAGCAACCCTGAGACGCTTTACAGCCCTAGACCCTAAAAGGTCAAAAGGCCATTTTATTCTCGATATACATTTTATTACCCAATCTGCTCCAGACCTTAAATAAAACTCCAAAAATTAGAATCTGGCCCTCAAACCCCACAACATGACTTAATTAACCTTACCTTCAAGGTGTACAATAATAAAAAAAAAAGTTGCAATTCCTTGCCTCCACTGTGAGACAAACCCCAGCCACATCTCCAGCACACAAGAACTTCCAAACACCTGAACTGCAGCGGCCAGGTGTTCCTCCAGAACCTCCTCCCCCAGGAGCTTGCTACAAGTGCCAGAAATCTGGCCACCAGGCCAAGGAATGCCTGCAGCCCAGGATTCCTCCTAAGCCGTGTCCCATCTGTGCGGGACCCCACTGGAAATCGGACTGTTCAACTCACCTGGCAGCCACTCGCAGAGCCCCTGGAACTCTGGCCCAAGGCTCTCTGACTGACTCCTTGGCTTACTGGCTGAAGACTGACGCTGCCTGATTGCCTCGGAAGCCCCGTAGACCATCAACAATGCCGAGCTTTAGGTAACTCTCACAGTGGAAGGTAAGTCCGTCCCCTTTTTAATCAATACGGAGGCTACCCACTCCACATCACTTTCTTTTCAAGGGCCTGTTTCCCTTGCCTCCATAACTGTTGTGGGTATTGACGGCCAGGCTTCTAAACCTCTTAAAACTCCCCATTTCTGGTGCCAACTTAGACAACATTCTTTTATGCACTCTTTTTTAGTTATCTCCACCTGCCCAGTTCCCTTATTAGGCTGAGATATTTTAACCAAATTATCTGCTTCCCTGACTATTCCTGAACTATAGCCACATCTCATTGATGCCCTTCTTCCCAATCCAAATCCTCCTTTGCGTCCTCCTCTTGTATTCCCCCACCTTAACCCACAAGTATAAGATACCTCTACTCTCTCCTTGGCGACCGATCATGCACCCCTTACCATCTCATTAAAACCTAATCACCCTTACCCCACTCAATGCCAATATCCCATCCCACAGCATGCTTTGAAAGGATTAAAGCCTGTTATCACTCGCCTGCTACAGCATGGCCTTTTAAAGCCTATAAACTCTCCTTACAATTCCCCCATTTTACCTGTCCTAAAACCAGACAAGCCTTACAGGTTAGTTCAGGATCTATGCCTTATCAACCAAATTGTTTTGCCTATCCACCCCACGGTGCCAAACCCATATACTCTCCTATCCTCAATACCTCCCTCCACAATCCATTATTCTGTTCTGGATCTCAAACGTGCTTTCTTTACTATTCCTTTGCACCCATCATCCCAGCCTCTCTTCGCTTTCACTTGTACTGACCCTGACACCCATCAGGCTCAGCAAATTACCTGGGCTGTACTGCCGCAAGGCTTCACAGATGGCCCCCATTACTTCAGTCAAGCCCAAATTTCATCCTCATCTGTTACCTATCTCGGCATAATTCTCATAAAAACACACGTGCTCTCCCTGCCAATCATGTCCGACTGATCTCTCAAACCCCAGCACCTTCTACAAAACAACAACTCCTTTCCTTCCTAGGCATGGTTAGTGCGGTCAGAATTCTTACACAAGAGCCAGGACCGCACCCTGTAGCCTTTCTGTCCAAACAACTTGACCTTACTGTTTTAGCCTAGCCCTCATGTCTGCGTGCAGTGGCTGCTGCTGCTTTAATACTTTTAGAGGCCCTAAAAATCACAAACTATGCCTAACTCACTCTCTACATTTTTCATAACTTCCAAAATCTATTTTCTTCCTCATACCTGACGCATATACTTTCTGCTCTCCGGCTCCTTCAGCTGTACTCACTCTTTGTCAAGTCCCACAATTACCATTGTTCCTGGCCCAGACTTCAATCTGGCCTCCTACATTATTCCTGATACCACACCTGACCCCCATGACTGTATCTCTCTGACCCACCTGATATTCACCCCATTTCCCCATATTTCCTTCTTTCCTGTTCCTCATCCTGATCACGCTTGATTTATTGATGGCGGTTCCACCAGGCCTAATCGCCACACACCAGCAAAGGCAGGCTACGCTATAGCCACTAGCTCGCCTCTCAGAACCTCTCATTTCCTTTCCATCGTGGAAATCTATCCTCAAGGAAATAACTTCTCAGTGTTCCATCTGCTCTTCTGCTACTCTCAGGGATTATTCAGGCCCCCTCCCTTCCCTGCACATCAAGCTCGAGGATTTGCCCCCACCCAGGACTGGCAAATTAGCTTTACTCAACAGGCCCGAGTCAGGAAACTAAAATACCTCTTAGTCTAAATAGACACGTTCACTGAATAAGTAAAGGCCTTTCCTACAGGGTCTGAGAAGGCAACCGCAGTCATTTCTTCCCTTCTGTCAGACATAATTCCTCAGTTTAGCCTTCCCACCTCTATACAGTCTGATACCAGACCAGCCTTTATTAGTCAAATCAGCCAAGCAGTTTTTCAGGCTCTTAGTATTCAGTGAAACCTTTATATCCCTTACGGTCCTCCATCTTCAAGAAAAGTAGAACGGACTAAAGGTCTTTTAAAAATACACCTCATCAAGCTCAGCCACCCACTTAAAAAGGACTGGACAATACTTTTACCACTTTCGCTTCTCAGAATTCAGGCCTGTCCTCAGAATGTTACAAGGTACAGCCATTTAAGCTCCTGTATAGATGCTCCTTTTTATTAGGCCCCAGTCTCATTTGACACCAGACCAACTTAGACTGTGCCCCCAAAAAACTTGCCATCCCTACTATCTTTTGTCTGGTCATACTCCTATTCACCGTTCTCAACTACTCATACATGCCCTGCTCTTGTTTACACTGCCGGTTTACACTGTTTCTCCAAGCCATCACAGCTGATATCTCCTGGTGCTATCACCAAACTGCCACTCTAAACTCTTGAAGTAAATAAATAATCTTCACTGGCAGGGCTATGCTGAATCTCCTTAGGCACTCTCCAATCAGATGTCCTAGGTCCTCCCAATTCTTAGATCTTTTATACCTGTTTTTGTCCTTCTCTTATTCCATTTAGTTTCTCAATTCATCCAAAACCGTATCCAGGCCATCACCAATCATTCTATACAACAAATGTTTCTTCTTACATCCCCACAATATCACCCCTTACCACAAGACCTCCCTTCAGCTTAATCTCTCCCACTCTAGGTTCCCATGCCGCCCCTAATCCCACTTGAAGCAGCCCTGAGAAACATCACCCATTCTCTCTCCATACCACCCCCCAAAAATTTTCACCACCCCAACACTTCAACACTATTTTGTTTTATTTTTCTTATTAATATAAGAAGGCAAGAATGTCAGGCCTCTGAGCCCAAGCCAAGCCATCTCATCCCCTGTGACTTGCACGTATACACCCAGATGGCCTGCAGTAACTGAAGATCCACAAAAGAAGTAAAAATAGCCTTAACTGATGACATTCCACCATTGTGATTTGTTCCTGCCCCACCCTAACTGATCAATGTACTTTGTAATCTCCCCCAGCCTTAAGAAGGTTCTTTGTAATTCTCCCCACCCTTGAGAATGTACTTTGTGAGATCCACGCCTGCCCGCAAAACATTGCTCTTAACTTCACCGCCTAACCCACAACCTATAAGAACTAATGATAATCCATCTCCCTTCGCTGACTCTCTTTTCAGACTCAGCCCGCCTGCACCTAGGTGAAATAAACAGCCATGTTGCTCACACAAAGCCTGTTTGGTGGTCTCTTCACACAGACGCACATGAAAGAAATATATTATTTTCTTCTATTAAAAGATTCAATATTGTTAAAACATCACGTATCCCCAATTTGATCTACATAGTCAAAGCAACACCAATTAAATCACAGCAAGTATTTCATGGGTATCAACAAACTGATTGTAAAATGTATTTGGAAAAACAAAGGTATAGGAGTAGACAAAATTAATATGATATAGAAAAATCCATTAAAAGGATTCACATTATCCACTTTCAAAACTTACTATAAACTTACTAGGAATTTTAAATGGTATGATATTGGGAAAGGATAGAAACATACATCCGTGGTATATATAATACAGAGCTCAGAAACAAACACACTAATAAAGTTAACTGACATGAAAAAGTACAAAAGTGGCCAGGTGCAGTGGCTCATGCCTGTAATCCCAGCACTTTGGGAGGCCAAGGCTGGTGAATCACTTGAGGTCAGGAGTTTGAGACTAGCCTGGCCAACAGGGTGAAACCCCATCTCTACTAAAAATGCAAAAAATTTAGCTGGGCATGGTGGCAAGCGCCTATAATCCCAGCTACTCGGGAGGCTGAGGCAGGAGAATCACTTCTACCCAGGAGGTGGAAGTTTCAGTGAGCTGAGACCGTGCCATCGCACTCCAGCCTGGGCAACAAGAGCGAAACTCCGTCTCAAAAAAAAAAAAAAAAAAAAGTACAAAGGTAATTCAAAGTTTTATCATTTCAATGAATGGTGCTGAAGCAACTGGACCTTCATATGTAAAATAAAATAAATCTTGACACATATCCTCACATCTCATTAAAAAATTTACACAATGTAAAACTATAAAACAACTAGAAGAAAACCTGATAACCTGCATGATCTTGATTGATGAAGTTTCTGATACAAAAATCACCAAAAACCATGATCAATAAAATAATTGATAAACTGATTGTCAAAATTAGAAGTCATATTCTGTTAAGAGAATGAAAAGACAAGCCATAGCTTGGTAGAAATATTCTCAAATCAGATATATGACAAAGGATTTTTATCCAGAATATACAAAGAACTTCTAAAGCTCAACAATAATTTAGAAACACCCAATTAAAACACTGGGTAATAGATTTGAATGGAAACACAAATACATTTCCAGAATGGCAAGACAGGAAGCTCTATAGACTCACTTCCCAGTGAAATAAGCAAAACTGGTAAAAAGTATTTAGAAACAATCATTTAAAGTCTCTGGAGGTTGTCATGAGGTACATAACAAATGAAGAAACATTTATTCAAGGAAATTTGCTAAAACTTAATAAGAACAGCAAAAGTCTGTTGTACATGAGCTATGACCCACTTCTTGCCTCCAGCTCCCAACTCAGCATGACCAAAATTTAACTCTGGGAATGTCCAGCAACGAACACAGAGATCTCCTCCCCGCAGGTTTAACTCAAGGATTACAATATCTCCCCAGGAGGTGTGGGCCAAGAGTTGCTGAGAGATTTTTACTAAGAGGAGAGGCAGTCCACAAAAACAAAGAGCTCCAAAGCTCTCGCCAAAGAACTAACCTTATTTGAAATAGAGTGTGGGAAAATTCAAATTTCTCAAAAACAGTGAATACGGCATAATGAGCAATTAGGAAGATGTTAGCTTTATGAGAGCAACAAACTAAACCGTAGGCCAGTTAATTTACCAGAGAGAACCAAGGAAAGAGAAAGCTAAGAGTTCTCCTGAGGTTTAGATCAGGAGATTTAGATCAGACTATGGAGCAATTTAAGCACTAGGACACTGTTGAAAACAACAGAGAAATCAGTGGGTAATTAGTGGGGTTTAACTGGTAGGTATAAAATCAACAAAGGCAAAATCTCAATTTAGTGATTAGGGATGCTCCCAGGATAAATGTACATATGGCTAAGAAGTAACATCAGAAGTTTCACAATGTAAGAGAAATAGACATTGCTAAAATAGAGTGGCCAAGTAACTAAACAAATAAAAAAGCAAGTAACAACATTGGCCTGAGTGGCTGGATAAGAATAAGTATCCAATCTTGCTACAATATATCATTGTAAATATTCAGCCTTCACAAAAAATTTAAAGACATGCACACAAAAAGTATAGAAAAATACAATTTAAACACTAGAAATATATAGCAGGGGAAAGAAATTACCTATAAGATGGCCTGGATGTTAGATTTAACAAAGACCTCAATGCGATTATTGTAAACATGTTAAAAAAAAAAAAAATGGAAAACCTACCTAAAGAAGTAAAGTATGATGACAATGTCTCAGCAAATAGATAATATCTATAAAGACATAGAAACTATTTTTTAAGAAAAGAAAATGGAAATTCTACAGTTAAAGGCATAATAACTGAAATGAAAAATTGAATACAGGGTCCCAACAGAATATTTGAGCTGTCAAGAGAAAGAGTAACAAGGTTAAAGGTACATCAGTAAAGATTATGTAATCTGAGGAAGAGAGAGAACAGTAAGTAAAAATAAACAGACCCTCAGAGGAATATAAGACATTAGGATGCCAATAACTGTACAAACGCATAACAAGAGGGCAAAATTATAGACTAATATTTCTTGTGAATGTGAGCACAAAATCCCTCAAAAAAATACTAGCAAACTGAATTCAGCAATATATACAAAGGATTACACACCAGACCAAGTGGGATTTATTTCAGTAATGCAAGGTTAGTTTAACATCAGAAAATCAACTCATGTAATATACCATATAACAGAAGAAAAGACAAAACCTCATGATCATCTCAAATGCATGCTATGGCTAGAATGTGTACCTCACATCTCATGTTTTGAAAACTTGATCCCCCAATTCATATGTTGATTAGAGGATGGGACCTTAGGGAGGTAATTAGGATTAGATAAGGTAATCAGGATTGGATCCCTATAGTGGGACTGAAGGCTTTTTAAGAAGAGGAAGAAAGCTGACAATCATGCTTTCTCTCTTCCAGATGTGGCCCCTCAACCTTGGACTTCTCAGCCTTCAGAATTGTAAGAAATACATTTTTTGTCTTTATAAATTACCAAGTCGATAGTACTATGTTATAGCAACAGAAAATGGACTAAGACAATGTAAAAGAAAGCATTTTATAAAATCCAACATTCCTTCACAATAAAGGCACTCAACAAACCAGAAGTAGAATTTCCTAAACATGCTGATGAACATCTACAAAAACCCGACAGCCAACATTATAAATGGCGCTGTAAATTGTAATACGGTTTTCCTCAGTATTGTGAATAGACAAGAATGTCTGCTTTCAACATTTTTATTCAATATTTTTCTGGCAGTTCTAAACATGGTAATTAGACATGAAAATGTAATTAAAACATTCAATTTGAAAAAGAAGAAGTAAAACTATATTTGTATGTTATATAATTTTACAGATAAAAAATCCTAAGTAATCTTCTAAAAAGCTATTAGAAGTCATAAATGAGTTCAACAAATTTCAGGGTACAAAATAAATATAAAAATTAAATATATTTATTTACAGTAGCAAGTCATAATCAAAAAATTAAATTTACATTTATAGTAGCATCAAACATAATAAAAGTTACAATACATTTTTATAATACCTCCAAAACTTAGGATCTAAAAACTACGAAATAAGGTTTTATTAAAGACCTGAATAAATGGAAAGATATGGTATCTTCATCCATTCAACATATTTAAAATCATTAAAATGTAAATATTCCCCAAATTTATCTTCAGATTCAACAAAATTCCTATCAAAATCTCAATTTGTTTGTTGCAAGCTGACAAGCAAACTGAAAAGCTCATGCTAAAATTCATATGTAAATGCAAGGGACTCAGAGTAGCCAGAACTGTCTTCAAAAAGAAGAATAAAGTTGGAGGAATCACCCTTCTTGATTTCATAATGTGCTACAAGATACGGTAATCAAGACAGTATAGTAAGCCAGTAAGAGAAGGATATAGTACATTGCAGTACAGTGTAAGAAGACATCAATAAAATGGAATTGAGAATCCAAAAGTCAACCCTAACATTTATAGTCAATTGATTTCAGCAAGGGTGCCAAGACATTTCAATGCAGAAAAAAAATCTTTTCAATCAATAGGGCTGGGACAACAGGATATCCAAAAGAATGATGAATGTGCAGAATAATACAAAATTCCATATAAAATAACTTAAATCATAGACATAAGTGTAAGAGCTGAAACTATAGCATATTTGGTAGAAAACATAGGCCTAAATCATCATGACCTTGGAGTAGACAATGGTTTCTTAAACATGACATTAAAAGGATAAGCAACAAAAAATAAATAAATACACTGGAATTCATCCAACTTTGAGACATTTTTTCTTCAACAAACACTGTCAAGAAAGTGAAAAGACAAAACACAGAATGAGAGAAGATATTTGTAAATCATATATCTGCCAAAGCCTTGTATATAAAATAAATAAAGAGCTCTTGCAATTCAATAATAAAAAAGACAACCCAATTTTTTAAATGAGCAAAGGGTCTGAATGGACATTCATTGAAAGAAGATATACAAATGGCCAATACATAGGAAAACATAGTCAACATAGTTAGCTGTCTGTTAAATGCAAATCAATATAATGGAATATTATTTAACAGCAAAAAAATGCATTATTGATATCTGTTACAATATATATGAACTTTTAAAATGTTATGCTAAGTGAAAGAAGACAATCACAAAAGATCACATATTATGTGATTTCATGTAAATGACATGTTATAATATGCAAATCAATAGAGGCAAAAAGCAGATAAATGGCTGTGTAGGGCTGGGAAGTTCAGGAGAATTGGTGGGTGACTGCCAAAAGATATTAGGTTTCTTTTTAGTATGATAATAAATTGTGTAGGTAATTTCATAACTGAATATGCAAAAACATTAAGTTGTACATTTTAAATAGGTGAGTTTTATGGTATATGATTATATCTCAACAAAGCTTTTAACCCACCAAAAAAATTTGAACAGATGTTCTGCCAAAGATATTTGGATAGGAAATAAGAAAAAAAATACTCTGTATATTTGTCATTTACAAAATGCAAACTCAAACCACAATGAAATATCACTACATATCTATTAGAATGATAAACAAACAAACAGAAAGAAGCAATACCAAATCTTGGCAAGATTGCAGAGCTACAGGAACTTTTATTTATTGTTAATGAGAATGTGACATGGTACAGCTACTTTAGAAAATAGTTTGGTGAATTTTTTTATAAATTTAAACATGTACTTACCATATAGCCCAAAAATCATACTCCCAGATATTTACCCAAGTGAATGGAAAACTTGGTTTCACATGAAATTATGTATGTGAATATTTATAGCATCGTTATTCGTAATTATGAAAAACTAGACATTAACAAAATTTCCTTTGGTAGGTGAATGGATAAACAAACTGTGACATATTTATACAACATAAAACTACTCATCAATAAAATTAAAGAAGCTATGGATTGATGCAACAATATAGATGAATCTTAAATGCATTTTTCTAAATGAAAAAAGCTAGATGCAATAGACCACATATTGCATAATACCATTTATAGGACGTTATAAAACAAGATAAAATAATGAAGATACAAAAATATCAGTGTTGGTCAGGGTTTGAGAATAGAGGAGGTATTCAATACAAGGGGCTTTCCACTGGAACTTTTGCTGCCATTAACTTGTTCTGTATGGTACTGAGTAAAACACCTGACTGGGAAGTTGTCAAAACCCACAGAATTGTGATCTTTACTGTATGCAAATTTAAATAAAATCAATCAGAATTTGAGGGTTCCCAAGATGGAATACAATCTGTGACAAATAAACCTAGCTGTATTGTAATTTATGAAATAACCATACGAAGAAGGGAGAGAAAAATAACATGATGTAAGTAACTTTTGGAAAATGTAAACATTGCCGAAAAAATTAAAGATGTGGATAAATATGAAGACATTATGTGATCATGAATTGAAAGACTTAATATTGTTAAGATAGTAATGTTTCCTAAATTAATCTATTGATTTAACAGGATTCCTATAAAACTCTCAGGTAAATTTTTTACAGAAATTGAAAAGATAATCTTGAAATTCATATGGAAATGCAAAAAATAGAGAATGGCCAAAACAGTCTTCAAAAGGATTATAAAATTGGGAACTTCTTGATTTCCATACTTACTTCAAAGCAACAGTAATCAAGATAATGTGGTACTAGCATAAGGACAGACATATAAATTAATGGAATAGAATAGAGAACCCAATAATAAATATTTCAGTTTATAGTCAATCAACTTTCAACAAAGGTGGTATGACAATTCAAAGCGGAAAAATAATCTTGTCAATAAATAGTGCTAGAACAACTAGATACATGTGAAAGAATGGAGTGAGACACCCACCTCATACTATATGTTAATTCAAAATAGATCACAGACATAAATGTAAGAGATATTGCTATAAAACTTTCAGGAAAAAAGATAGGATTCAATATTGATGACCTTGGAATAGGCAATAATTTCTGAGATATGATCCAAAATTACACATGACAAAAGAAAAATAAATAAATTGGACTACATCAAAATTTTTTTTTTACTTCAAAAGACATCATCAAAAAAGTGAATAGCCAACCTACAGAATTGAAGATGATATTTGCAAATCATGTATCTGACAAAAGAATTGTATGTAAAATGAAGAACTCTTATAACAATAATAAAAGCATAACACAACTGAGGGATAGATAGATAACATATACTATATCCATGCAAAGGAATAAAATACTAATACAACATGGACAAACTTTCAAAATACTATGCTAAGTGAAAGAAGACAGTCACAAAACACTACACAAGTTATCATTTCATTTATATAAAATGTTCACAATAGGCAGAAAGGTGAATAGTGTTTATCAAGAAAATGTAGTACATATACACAATGGTGTACTATTTAGCCATTAAAAAAATGAGATCCTGTCATTCGCAACAGCATAGTCGGAACTGGAGGTCGTTATGTTAAGTAAAATAAAACAGGCACCGAAAGACAAACTTCGTGTGTTCTCATTTATTTGTGGGAGATAGAAATTAAAATGATTGAACTCATGTAGATAGAGAGTAGAAGGAGGGTTACCAGAGGCTGGGAAGGGTAGTGGGGAGTTGGGAGTCGGAAGTGGGGTTGCTTAATCAGTACAAAAAATAGAAAGAATCAGTAACAACTAGTATTTGATAGCACATCAGGGCAACTATAGTAAAATATTAATTTTATGTTTAAAATAACTAAAAGAATATAATTGGGCTGGGGGTGGTAGCTCCTGCCTATAATCCTGGAACTTTGGGAGGCCGAGGTGGGTGGATCACCTGAGGTCAGGAGTTTGAGACCAGCCTGGCCAACATGGTGAAACGCCGTCTCTACTAAAAATACAAAAATTCGGTGGGTATGATGGTACACGCCTGTAATCCCAGCTACTCGGGAGGCTGCAGTGGGAGAATAGCTTGAACCCGAGAGGCAGAGGTTGCAGTGAGCCAAGATCGTGCCATTGCACTCCAGCCTGGGCGACAGTGCAAGACTCTCCTTCTCAAAATAAATAAATAAATAAATAAGAATATAATTGGATTGCTTGTAACACAAAGAAGGGATAAGTTCTTGAATTGATAGACACCCTCATTTACCCTGATGTGATTATTATACATTGTATACCTGTATGAAAATATCCCATATGCTCCATAAATATAAACACCTATTATGTATCCACAAAAATTAAAAATCCCAAAAACTATAAAGCATTATTTTTTTGTTTTCAAAAATAAAGTATACAAGGTATTGAAAGTAAAAGGCAAATGTCTGAATTATTATTTATTTTATAATCTTATTTTGAAATTGGATAAAGCTCAAATTCTAAATCATATTTTGAAAATTTACTTAAAATTTATTAAATATGTTTTAAATTAAACCGTTGGAAATTCTAATATTCTATGCCCATGTAGCTGTCCATGTGAAGGCATTTAGGGTTACAGTGCATTGTGTGATGACTGACTTCATATCCCAAATGACAGAGTTGCTCATATGTTCCCTAATAAAGTTTTTGTGGGTGTCTATGCTATATGATTCTCTCTAAAGAAGTGTCTGTCTTCTGTAAGGGCAGTACTAAAGGATTAAGCATATGGGTCAAAGTATTTGTCTTTGTTTCATTTTATAACAAATTATTGCAAACTTTGTGGCTTAAAACAACACAATATATATTATCTTATAGGTCTCTATGTTAAAATTCTGACAGTGGTATCCCTGGACTAAAATCAAGGTGTTGGCAAGGTTGCACTCCTTCTGAAGACTCTAGGTAAAACAAAACAAAACAAAATGTTTCCTTCCTTTTTCCAGCTTCTAGAGACTCCCCACATTCCTTGGTTGCTGGCCCACTTCCTGCATCTTCCACTCCAGCAATGCAGCATTTCTCTGACCCTGTTTCTATCATTGCATCTCTTTCTCTGATCTTCTCTTCTGCTTCACTCTTCCATTTGGAAAGATCCCTGTGATTATATTGCATCCCCATAAGCCAAGATAATCTGTCTATCTTAAGGACGGCTAATTAGTATCTTAATTGCATTTGCAACCTTCATTCCCCTCTGCCATTTAACCTAAGATATTCACAAGTTCCAGGGCTTATGATATGGAAATCCTGGGGGAACCATTATTCTGCCTACCTTAGGGGAAAAATAATAATCCCCATAGGTTCTTAGTTGGAGCAGACCCCTGTTACAAGTGACAAATTAACAACAACAACAAAAAGATAAGCAGTTTACTAACATGTATATTTCGTGTATACATAGGAGAAACCCAGAAAATGAACAGTTCTCAAAGAGCTGACTTTAAATTCCAGCTTACATAGCATCTTCAGCAAAGAACAGTAAATTTTTAGAGAAGTGATAAAACAAAGGAAAAGGATTTTGGGTCTCTAGTCAACACTTGGGAGAAGGTGAATAACTGGCAGATAAATAGTAAAGGTAACTAATTAGTTACGTGGTTAGTTAGCAAGGCTTCTTAATGTAAATTCCTCTGATTATCATCTCAGAACTGAGAAGGGTCCAAAGCTGTCTTCAGTGGTTAAACTTTGCTCTCACTAGTAGAATGGGTGGGGGGAAGGATAGGATAATGTGTCCTGTTAATTATGCAAACAAATGAAGGACAAGGAGCTTTTCTGCATCTGCCACTTCTTCATTGTTTCCAGCTCAACAATCTTTCATATTTTGGGGAAGGAAGGATATTTTGGTCTCCCACACTACCATAGTCAAGATAGGCTAAATTATGCTGAGATAACAAACAAATAAAAACTCCAAAATCTTAATGCCTTGTAATAACAAAGATGTATTTCCTAATAGTGCTACATGTCCCTCTCAGATCAGCAAAGAGATCTCTGCTCATTGTATTTAATAAGAGGCCCAGGCTGACAAAGCTGCTGCCATCTTGAATATAGCTCCTTGATGTGCCAGACAGAATAAAGAACTCTGCAGGATCACCCATTAGCAATTCAGTACTTGTCCCAAAAAGCAGCATGCATCATGTCTGCTCAGAACACACTGTTCATAACTTGTCTCATGACTCTACGCAGCCTCAGAAAATTCAGCCAAGGTAATCCCATTTTCTGCCTTAAAAGGAAAAAAAAAAATCACACTTATAACCATCACATGAAGTTGAAGTCTACTTGTTACAAATATATACAAATGCTAGATAAATAAACAAAACAAATGTAGTTGATAGCTGAGCCTGCAAAAATGAAATCTTTACATTCCAAGAATGAAATCCAGAACCATAAGAACAGGAGCTATTGCTGCTACTGCTTTGAATGAGGAGAAAATGTTTAATTAGAACCATAAATATGAAGAAATTGAGGTTTAATATCCTCAGAGGGAGGTAAGACAGGGCCACAGACAAAAGGGCAAAAGGAACTGAGATTTCCATGTAAAGCCAGAATCCCTAGAAAGATATATAATTTGCAAAAGAACTGGAGAGAAAACTCTACTCACTAAATAAGAACAAACACATGTTTCTACCCAAGCTATAGAGGAGGAGGTAGAAGTATCCCTAAAGCAATCCAGCCCAGCAGCATGTTAAATTCTCCCATTCTATTGATTTGTTTTTTTTTTCTCCTTTTATATCTACACATTTTGGCTTTATATATTTGACATTCATATCAAAAATTTATATATGATGTATTAATTATTTTATCATGAACCGTTTTTCTTTATCCCTAGTGATATTTCTTATCTCAAAGATTGCATTATTTGATATTGACATAGCTATACCTATGTATTTAGCTAGTGTTTATTTAGTATTTCTTTTCCTTTTTTTTTATTTTCTGCCTTCTTTTTCTCTGAGATTTTAATTCTGTGTCTTTAAAGCAACATGTAACTGGTTGAACTTTTAATGCATTTTTTTCTATTGGAATGTCTAGTAAACACTTGCATGTGAAACAAGGACACTATTACCAGGTTAAAATTCAAGCCGAAGACTGGGAGACATTATTGTCTACATGTATAGTAGAAAATCTGCAGAAGCCCTACAAATAAAAAGATAGACAAATACCCTAGTGGGAACATGAGCAAAGTAAATGAACAGGTACATTGAAGATATAATTCAAATGGCCAACAAGCAAAAGTCAAGTAGCTTTAGTAGTAATCAGAGAAATGCTGATGGTGTGTAAAAAATTACACTGGAAAGCATTGTGAAAATACCGAAGAAATTTGTAGATGCACATTACCTAGGAAAATAATTCTACTTCCTGCTACCCATCCTAGAAAAATTCCTATGCACTAATAAGGGAGCCTTAGGTGAAAAGGATTTTCACCATTTCATTTGTAATAGTATGATATTTGAAACAAACTTATTGTTCATTAATACGGAAGTGGGTAAACAGAGGATCAATAAATGGAATACAGTATTGAAACTGTAAACACTGCACCTAAATGCATCAATACATCAACAAGGATAAATCTCACAAAATAATATTATAAATAAAGAAAAAAGTTCTTACAGCATTAGGGCCATACGGCACTATTTATGTAGATTTTGAAAATGCCCAAAACATTTCTTTGTATTATTTGAATATATATATATGTTATTAAAAATATGGATTTGAATACTCACCAAATTAAGGAGGCTGGTTGAATCCAGGAAAAAAATTAAGGTTGGGATTTAGCTATATCTACAAAATTTTATTAATTCTTTCTGAGGGGGAAGAACATATCAAGAAAATATAGCAAATCAAGAGCAATTTTTAAATCTGAATGAAGTGTCTGTAGAAGTAAGGATTCTTATTTTTCTTACTGTTTTGAATGTTTGAAATATTTTACAATTAAATATTTTTAAAAAAATAATTTTTGGCATTTATGGGTTTTCAGAATGAAGTACACATATAAAATGGACAAAGATAATTGTAGATATAAAGTTAATTTCGAGTCTAACCTGAACATTTACACAGTACAAACTTGACCCTATTTTTACATTTTGTATTCATGTCACTATTATTTGAAAGATAGCTGATGGAGCATCCATTAATGTATAGTCATGCAAATGTACAGTTAGATATTTAAACAAATAAAACTGACTAAAAAATGGGTTCAACTTAAAAGAAGTAGGGGCATTTGGACACTAAAATTGAAAATATTGCTTTAATTAGGCAATACCTTTGTCTAAAAGATTTTTAGCCACTGATACAATTTGGAAAATGGGCATCATTGAATAGATTCTGTTTTAGGAAAATAGGAAGCCTGAATATTTGCAGAAACAGAATTTTTTGTAAAATTAAATTCAGGTTTACTTTATCTCGTGTTTATCCTCATAAAATTTATGAAGCAACCTAACAATATTTTCAACTGCAATTTCTTGAAAGCTAAAGAAAGCCTAGTCTGTAAAATACTTGTTTTATAGACTCTCAGCAATCTCATTACTAAGGTCAACATGATTACAAATATTTCATCTTCTCCTTACAAAGTTTCACTTGTTCCTTTACTTACAAGTAATCTAAATTTGGGAGAATATTTTTTAAAAATGTGCTAAGGGTCTTTCCCATGAGTTCTCATAGAACACTGCACATTTCTAATCACTGCATTTACTTCACTGCAATTTCCTGTTTACTTGTGGGCCTTTGCCCTAATCTTGGTCACTCTTTTATTCCAGTGCCCAGCACTGTGCCAGTCACATAGTTTGTACTCAAATAGTCATTGATGCATTCCTTCATCCATTCATCATTCTATTTATTCTCATTAGTCTGTATTCCCTATTTCTATTATCCGTTCGAACCGAGAGGGAATTCAGTACAGTGTGATATATAGAACAATAAAAATATTTTTAAGTTAATTTATGGTCCTAATTGACATATTCCTTCACTTTTTGCTTCCCATCCCCTTGTACATTCAGGTGGAGTGGAATAACAAATGGAGCTCAGATTCCAAGTGAAAGAAATATTAATGGGGTACACATCTGGGAACTTCCAAAAGTTCCCACTTCAGCACACACTCAGACACACTCCTAAAGTAAAATATGGTTGTTCCTATGCCTGGAAACCCACACAAAATCCACTTCTGCTTGAAATATTCAGATTCTTAATGAAGTAAGGTTTTTATTTGATTTGAGTTACCTGAAATCGAGCTACGACCCTTTTCTATTTCAAATACATGGGCAAAGACTTGTACTTACTATCCATGAACGTTTTCAGTAGAGTATTTCCAGAGCCTCTGTGACAGAAGTTGCTGAGATCGCAGAAACCACGGGAGTTTCTGCAGAGTAATCAGGCATAGGCCAGAGGAGTGCATTCTTTGGGAGACATCAGGAGACATGCCTGGAACAACCAGTGCACAGTTTCATATACTCAGGAGCATGAACTGTTGTAAAACTTTGGCAGGCAAGTACTCTTGAGCCTCATGGCACTTGGCCAAATGCAGAAGGATTCTGAATCAGCAACAATGTGACAAAAGTAAACTTTTTTTTTTTTTCTGATTTGGACTATGGTGTCAAAGTCTGGACAGTCCTCTAGGATAAGGCCAGCAATTTCAGTGGCATATGTCTAAGCTAATTCTGATCTTTCAAATACCACTTAAAGTTATGGGGCAATATCAGTAGAAATCTAACCTCTCAAGGACACATGCATAGCAAAGCAGATGGCTGGCAACAGACTGTTTAATCCCAAATCAAATAACAGAATCAGCACTTCAGGATGACTGCTTATATAGACACTTTTGTCAGATAATGTGGCTGAGAGCTACACTTCCAACACAATAAGCTCCATAAAGAGTTTGCCATACACTGATCAATGGCAAATTCTTTTAGCGTATACAGCAAACCGTGAGCTGTTGCAAGCATAATATACACCATCCTAAACAAACATGAATTTACATTAAAAGATAAGACATTAATCTTTTGGTATCTAACGTCTTATTTGTAGTTTATTGTTTTTATTTCTTCATACAGACTCCAGGAAGGAAGTCTGACAATGAAATTTGAAGATGGGAAATACCTTTTTGGATTTAACATCATTGAGGGAGATTTCTGTGAAGACAGCAGTGAGAATGCTTCCATGTTAGCCTGGTATAAATACACCTGGTAAAAATAATCTGTATAAATCCTCTTACCAGGACAAATAAACCATGAACAGTGCTGATCCTTGTAGGTAAAGTTTTCCTTTGGTTTCTGGCATGATGGTGGCTGTTGGAAATTCTAACTTTTTTACTTTCAGGCAATCCCAGATTTTGCTCACCTTTTCAAAGGAAAGTTCCAAAATGTAAGCAGAAACGATACATGGAATGACTGGTTCCTAAAATATGGTCTTCATATCATACTTTAAAAAAAAGTTTAGGATCCCATGGTCAAGTAAATGTGGAAAACACTGTCTTAATAAATGCTAAACAAGATTCATGTTCCCACAGGAATTCTCAGCACTTAGAGTAAGGTGTTATTAAGTTGACTGTTTAAGAGATGATATTATATATATTGTATGCAGCATTTCCCAAGATTATTTGAGCACACAATTGTGCATGCTTGTGTGTGTGTATGTGTATGTGTGTAAAATATCTGAAGAGACTAAAGTTCTGAGAAATGGACTTTTTGAAATGTTAACGATCACTTGTACCTTAACAAACAGTAGCTTTACTTTTCTATATGTTCATTTTGAAGTTAAGCCATTTTCTTTCCTGTGTTTTAGGCCTGCCAATAGATACATAGACTTTATAGCAACCTGGTAGTTGAGATGGAAGAAGAAAGATATGGAGGCAAGAATGTGGAAGATTGCAATAGTTGGAGCAGAAATAAAAGAAAATAAAAGAAAGTAGATTGGGGTCTTGGTATAGGAACCAAAAAAGAAGAAACTGGCTTTTCAAACATTACAAAAGAAAGAAATGGCAGGACATAGAAAGGTCCTAGACACAAGGTAGAAAGAGAGATAATCAAAGATGGACTCAAGGTTGTAACCCTGGGTGATAGGAGAGTTGTCGTGCTGCTAGCAATAATGGAAAGTAGAAGGGGAAAAATGATAAGCCTGGTCTATTATTATGGCATTTTTAACTGTAGGGGCACAATAAAGTAGGTTTTTATATGTGAAGGAAAAAAATTTAAAATCAAATAACAATGTATAAAATGTAAAAATATTAAACATTTCTCACTCAAGTGTCAAAAATACCCTTTAAAACAGGATTTTATTTTTAGTAGACACATATATAGCTAATTGTTTTGGTAGCTGTGGCATGTGTTTTTTGTGTTCTCCCTGGAAACTATTCTCTGGCATTTTAGTTCCCACAATAACATAAAGGCACACACAAATTACATATAATATTGATTAAACGCATATATCCTTGCAATTACATATGCTTAAATGCACATATATGTTTTTTATATACAAAAAATACATTTGACCCACAAATGCAAATTGCCCTAGCTGGGAAAGCAAAGGTGGTGTTGGGGGAAAAGAATCTGAAAATGTAACACTGTTAAAGAGTTCTGATTTAATTTGCTAGTGTAATACAGAAGAGAATCACAAATAAAAAGTCTTTATTTGCTTGAAGAGCCTCTGAGGTTTTTCAATACCATTGAAATGCTTTCCTCAACTCAAGTACTTTTCATATATCAGAGAAGTGGCAAATTTAACAAAGCCTACATTAACGTTCCGTATTTCTATTCTAAATAAAATGCTTCAGTAAGTAAACATGAGTATTCAGTAATGCTGCAACTGGAGACAATGAAAAAAGCTCCTGTTTCATAATATATTGATAAGTAAATTATTTTAAAAGAAGCAAACAGTATTGTTGAACAGTGAAAGGCTAAACCAGTCATAAAATAGAAACTACTTGAGTACCTTTGTTTATTTTCTATGACAATACAAAAAAAATGTTGGCATACATGTGTTTTGTAAACTGTAGGTATTTTGTGTAGATAATAGTCAAACCCATATAAAGAGCACATCTAAACTATTACTACTGGAACAATTTTCAATAGTATCCAGAGTAATGAACCCCAAATAATAAAAAGAAAATGAAGGCAGGGTAACAAGCATTTAAAAAGAAAAGATTTTAGAGAACATAGAGATCCAAATCAGGAAATTGCATTTCGCGTTAACTGCATCGTTGTCATGTCTTCGATAATCAAACCTGCATGAGTAATTTACAGTTTCGCTGGATATTGAAAAAAATTCAACTTGCTATATAATAGTGGCATGGCCCATGAGTAAACAGACATTAGTTTATGTTATTTGTGTGCGGCATGCTAACAGTATGAATTTGGGCATGTTCTTTTGTCACTCTGTATCCCGATCTCTCATTTCAAAAAGAAAAAAGATGGGAAAGATAATAATGGCATTTTAATAAATGCAAAAGTTTAACCCAGTGCCTGCCATGTAGCCAATATTCAACAAACATGAGGTATTTTATCATAATTATTGTTATAAATATTATCAGAGATTTTGTCTGCTCCCAAATACCAAAATAATTCTTAATGTCTGGTTCAACATATAAATCCTTAAAAATAAGCTAAAACTACATAAAATGAAATGTTTCCATCTGAAACCTTTGGCTGGGACTTGGTAATAAGTATAGAACAGGGGATAAAATGTCAATGAACATTCATATTTTCTAAACTAGATACTAGAATATTTTTTCAGTTTTAAAATGTGGTGCTTTCAGGAGATATAAATAGAAGAGTATAATTTCTGCTTTATCATATGTGTTCTCACTATGCAAAGGCTTCAGCTCTAGCCATCCAACCAGAGATTGGTGATAATGTTCTTTTATTTTTGTGTAGAAAGATAATAGGGGAAAGATAATATTTATTAGCTGCTATTTTACCAAATACATTATATTAATTAGCTCTTTTAAAGCTCTCAGTACCTCAGAAGATTATATTTTATACATGCCCCCAAAAATGTACTGATTTTATGGCTTAAGGACATATTCACTGGCCCCAGATTAACTAAGGTTTGAATACTGACTCGAATATTTGCCCACTGAGTGATCTAGGGCAAGTTATTTAATGTCTCTGAAAATAGGAATCATAATAATTCTGGTCACATACATTTTATGTGTGTGTGTGTTTGTGTGTGTGGGTGTACATGTATACATATAATAACTCAATCCACAATAAAAGGTTTAGAATAGTGTCCAGAACTCAGTAAGTTATCAGTATATAATGGGCAACACTTGTAGAGCACTCACTCAAGGTCACTCAGCTAGTAAGTGTTAGAATAAGAGTCCCAACCTTTGTCAAAATAGGCAATTGTAAAATATCTGACTGATGGAGTTTCTCTTAGCTTTGCTGCTTCCCATACCTACAGCTTCTATGGGCCTCAACTACTTCATGTATGAAGTAAGCAGATTTTAATATCAGATGTAGTAGTCATGGCACTCCCCCTCTAACCTGCCTCCTGCTTACCTCACACCTTGCCAAAAATATTAATAAATAGCCTTAATCTATAGAGACACTTTGTTGATCTTGAACTGGGTCTCCGAATACTTATCAGATCAGTCCACTAGGCAGCTACTAACCAACAACCCAACAAATATTCACTAAGTGCAAATCTCTGGCTTTCTTTCCTTCTGTATAAACTTCTTATTTTAGACCAGTTTAATATTTACAGAAATAAAATTACAGACAGTACACAGTGTTCCCATGTAACCCATACCTACTTGTTCCTATTAACATAGTACATTATTATGCTACATTTGTTACAAGTAATGAACAAATATTGATGCATTGTTATTAACTAAAGCCTATAATTAATTCAGAATTCCATGTATTTTATCTAACATCCCTTTTCTGATCTCAGAACCAATCCAGGATACCACATTACGTGTAATTGTCATGTCTTCCTAGGCTCCTCTTGGCTGTGAGAGTTTCTCAGACTTTGTTTGTTTATCATGACCTGGGAAGTTTTGAAGAATGCCGGTCAAGTGTTTGTAGAACAACCCTGAATTAGAATTTGTCTGATGTTTTCCTCATGATTAGACTAGAGTTTGTGTAGGAGGGAGAAAGACCATAGAATTAAGTGTCATTTTAATGACATCATATCAAGAGTAGATATTATCAACATGATTTATTTTTGTTGATATTAACCTTGATTACCTGGCTGAGGTAGTGTTTGTCAGGTTTCTCCACCATAAAATTATTTTTCTTTTACCCTTTCTGCACTCTATTCTTTGAAATGAAATCACTATGCACAGCCCACATTAAAAGACTGGGGAGTTATACTTCACTTCATTGAAGGCAATAATTTAATACATAAATTACTTGAAGTTTTTCTGCATGGGGGATTTGGCTATTCTCCTCCATTTATTTATTTATTTAAGCATTTATATCAGCATAAACTCATGGATATTTATTTTATACTTTGAGTTATAATCTATACTACTTTATTCTGTAGCTGACATTAGATTAACTTTGGCCTTCGGGAACTCTTTCAGCTGGTTTCCATATCCTTTTGATATATACCCATCATTCGGTGGGTTTTGGGTTTTCTGGTTTTTGTTTGTTTTTGTTTTTGTTTTAGCACTTCTTTACTCTCTTTAACTACAAATTTTTCCAGGCTGAATTTGCATGTATCATGTTGCAGTCCTAGAATCAACCTTTCTCCAAAAACTCAGAATCATTTTACTGGAAATTAGTACCAGAAACCAAGATCTGGGTTCTGGGTATACTCACTGATACTGAGGCGTCATCTCCTCTAGTTCCGCTCAATTAAGAGACCAAGAAATATGTGTGTATCTAACCAATGTATACATGAATATCTATAGATATTTCTACGTGTAATGATCTGTATCTACAGGAACCTAACTATAAGTTCACATTGATGTTCTAACTCTAATTCATTACCATATGGATTATTCCAGACTTCTACTTTTCATTATCTGTAACCTCCCATTAAAACAGGCAGAAATCTGGTGACCACTTGTTACTGAATTATTTAATTCCAGTATATATTAATAGTAGTTTCAGAATTGTTGACCTGTATCTGCATAGGAGACAAACGCTTTAGAGTTCACTGAGCCTCTTGGGTATTTATTTTTATGTATTTCATCAATTTTGGGAAGTATTCAGCTATTAATTCTTCAAGTATTCCCTCTGTCTCCTCTCTCCTTCTTCTGGGATTTCCAAAATGTATATGTTGGTCAGCTTGATGGTGTCCCACAGGTTCCTTAGGCTCTGTTCATCTTTCTTAGATATTTTTTTTCTGTTACTCAGACTCAACATTTTCCATCATCCTATCTTCAAGTTCACTGATTCTTTCTTCTGCCTGCACAAATCTGTCTTTGATCCCTCTAGTGAATTATTCATTTCACTTATTGTACTTTTCAGCTCCAGATTTCATCTTGGCATCTTTTTAAGTTTTCTTGTTTTAATTGATTTTTTTTGTTATTTTGATGAATTTAGGGGTACAAGCGCAGTTGTGTAACATGAATATGTTGCATAGTAGTTAATTTTTGGCTTTTAGTGTACCATCATCAGAATAGTACCCAATAGGTGATATTTGATCCCTCTCTGTCTCCCAGCTTCTCATCATTTGGAGTCCCCAATGTCTATTATTCCACTCTGTATAACTGTGTGTGCCCACTGTGTAGCTCTCACTTGTAAGTGAGAACATGTGGTTTTTGACTTTCTGTTTCTGAATTATTTCACTTAGGATAATGGCCTCCAATTCCATCCATGTTCCTGCAAAATACATGATTTCATTCTTTTTTTATGGCTGAGCAGTAGTCCATGGTGTATACATACCACATTTTAATCCAATCATCTTAGGTTGATTCCATGACTTTCTTTCCTTTGGATAGATTCCAGTAGTGGAATTTCTGGGTTGAATGGTAGTTCTATTTTTAGTTCTTTGGGAAATTCTATTTATTGAAGTATGTAGAGAATAGTCTAGAAACTTAATGAGATAGTCTTAGAAAATTTCTATTGTCTGAAAAGTATTTTAAAAGGTTAGATTTATAATCAGGATGTATGCTATTGAGGCAGAATATGTGCCTGAGGAATTTTATTATTATTGAAATCTGAGTCTAGAAAAATGATGAGAGACATCAAGAACAAGAAGACAGGATAGATTATTTGACTGTTTTTTTGAAGTATTTAGAAATTGTTTACTAGGAGTTTGAAGCACTCCTATTTGCAATTATTCTAAATTGGTATCTAAAAAGTAGAATTGAAATAGGTGCTTTTAAGTTCAAAAAACATATAAAAGAGGAAACATAATTATATCTGTTGCACTTATGATCAATGCTTATGAAGTAATAATAATGTGAACATGAGTACTAATATAATAAAAATGTGATATAAATTCACTGGGGAAACTGGAGTGAGGGAAAGTGTGTGTGTGTGTGTGTGCACGTGCATGCACGCGCACGTATGTGTGTATGTTTGCATGTGTGTATGTGTCTATATATTTATTATGAGATGGTGATAGAGAGGTAAGTTCTCATCTGTCTTACCACGAAGTTTTAGAAATTTTCTAAAAACTGATAAAATCCAGAAATCAAAAGAGTTGTTATCTAGAAATGTGAACATAAATTTCAGAAGAAACTTCTAGAATGTTTCAAAGTGTCTGTCTCTGTGGAGTTTAGGGATCTTGTGTGTGTATGTTTATATGCAACTTGCATACACACACAACACACAAACCCATGCATACATATATATATCTGTTAGTAGAATTCAGTTTTATAAATATCACATATTATTTTGATATAAAATTACTTTTTGATTGTTATCCTTCTGCAATGTACTAAATATTTATATTTAGAAGCATTTTATCATTTCTATTTGAGTTGACTATCCTATATGTTCTATGTGGGTGAATACAGATTTATATTAATGCTTAGCTTGCAGGAGAGTTATATGAATCTATAATATAGTAATTTTCTCTCTAAGTCTAGGTGCACTTCTGGCCCTATAATTTATATGTATAATGTTGTAGGGACACCTTCATAATGCTTCAAGTATGCCTGAACTGCTACGACAAATGTGCCATTTTTCTCCTTTTTCATCAGTCCTCACTTGTGTCTTGTCATCTAAAGTCCAGGAAGAGACGGACCATGCAGTTGGCAGACACTGGAGGCCCTGCATGCAGGACAGGAGCCACATGCCCTACACAGAAGCCATGGTGCATGAGGTCCAGAGACACTGACCTCACCCCACCAATGTGCCCCATGCACTGACCTCTGACATTAAATTTAGAAACTACCTCCTCCCCAAGGTAAGCTTGTTTCTCCTAGACTGTGCGTCTATGCTCTTGATGTCCCCAAATTCACAGTATTGTTTCAATTCTCTAGCAACACAAGATGAGAGAAATGCAGAACTCACACATGTGGCAGCTCAATGGACTCTGCTGTTTCCAGTTTGGGGCTACAAAGCTTTATAACAGGTTTTAGTATCTGACAATATGTGTCTTTCCATTATTTTCTGCTTCTTTAATAATATTTTGGCTACTCTTAAGTGTTTATATTTCCTTTTACCTTTTTTTTTTAAAGAACAGCGTCTCACTCTGTTGCCCAGGCTGGACTGCAGTGGTGCCATCAAAGCTCACTGCAGCCTTGAACTCCTGGACTAAACCATCCCTCCCACCTCAGCCTCATGAGCAGCTGGGACTATAAGCATGCCACCCTGACTGTCTAATTTTTTTTTTAATTTTGTAGAGACACAGTCTTGGCTGTGTTGCTCAGGCTGGTGTCAAACTCCTGGCCCCAAGTGTTCCTCCTGCCTCAGCCTCCCAAAGTGCTGGGATTATAACATAGAGGTGTGAGCCCCTACACCCGGCCTATGTGTTTACATTTCCAAATAAATGTTGAAAGTATTATTTTGTCAATTTTCCAAACACTGTGCTAGAATTTTTGTCAGGGTGACATTAAATCTATAGATCAATTTGGAAATAATTGATGTCTTCAAATGTTGAATCTTTCAATCCATGGATATGATTATGCTCTTAATTTATTTGGGCTTTCTTCTATTTTTTCATTAATATTTTGTTTTCAGTGCAATGGCTTGCAGATGGACTACATTTCTTCCTAACTAAATGATACTTTTGATGTTACTGTAAATTGTGTGTGTGTTTGTGTGTGTGCGTGTGTCTGTGTGTGTGTGTTAAGATGAGGTCTTGCTATGTTGCTCAGGCTGGTCTCCCAGGCTCAAGATATCCTTCCTCCTCAGCCTTCTAAAAAGCTGGGATTATAGATGTGTGCCACTGTGCCCAACTTTTAAATACTATACTTTTAAAAGTGCCTGTTTCATTTCTTTGTTTTTGATACATGGAAATATAATTGACTTTATTATTTTGATGACTTTAGCAAATTTGCTAAATTTACTTATTGTTTATTATTTCTATGTAGATTTATTAGTAATTTCTACGTACAATTCTGGGATCTGATTTAATTAATATTTTTTCTTATTTCCAATTCTTATAACTTAATTTTCCCTTTATTGCATCATTTCACTGGTAAAGAAGATTTCCGGGACAGCATTGAGTAGATCATGATAGCAGGCATTCTTTCTTTTCTTTTTTTTTTTTCTGAGACAGGGTGTCACTGTGTCACCCAGGCTGGAGTGCAGTGGTGCAATGTTGGCACGCTGCAACCTCCACCTCCCAGTCTCAAGCACCTACTACATCCTTTCAAAGTTGGATATGAGCACAGTCAAAAATTAACTGCAGCTGTCAGCTGAGCTCTATGAGGTTCTCCCATCTTTAGAATCCTGAGAACAACATTTGTCTCAGCAGCCTTCCAATGCCTCCTAACTCATGGTTTCTGTGTTTATTCATACTTTCTAGTTGCTATGCTATCAAACAAGCTACTCCCTTCCACTTGAAGTAATCACATATTACTATTATGTAAAAAATAATATAACTAAAAATTTAACTTTGAGGGAAAAAAAGGATTGGAGTTTGTTAAGATTGAACTTAGTACTGCTCTCTTCCAGGGAAGAAGCAATTCAGAGTATCTGCCATGTGGCAGCCACTAGCCACAGCTGTCTATTGAGTACCTGCAATTTGATAAATGTGAATGAGGAATTTAAAGTTTTAACTATTTTAAATTTAAATATAAATAACTATGGATCACTTATGGCTACTATGCTGGACAATAAAATGTAAGGGGTTTCTCTTTCTCCCCCCCCAATAATACGGGGTTAAAAATTTCTCATTCTCGATGATGCAATACTAAAAGCCTGACTAATTAAAAACAACTTAAGTTGGATATAATTTCATTTGGTAACTAAAACTTTACTTGAACTAAGTGAATATATTTGTATCCCTTATTTGTCACACGTTGTGTAAATATTAAATATTAATGTTTTGCTAAATAAATTTCAATATGTCTCATATGACACCCCCTACATTGTTGGGAGCATTATAAAATCTACAACAACTACATGACAATCTTCCTAAAATGAGTATGTGTGTAGATATATAGTACACATATAACATATGTAAATGCGTATATATCTACATTTTAATCTGTATATTCATCTAGATTTATCTATCATTTATCTACCCATCTATATAATCTAATCTGCCATATTGTTTTCCATAGAGGTTATACTAATTTACAGTGTATGAGTGTTCCCTTTCCTCCACATCCTCACTATACTTGTTGCTTTTTGATGTTCTAATAGTGGCCATTGTGGTTAGTGTGAGATGGGATCTCATAGTGGTTTTAATTTGCATTTCTCTAATGACTAGTGATGTTGAGCATTTTTTTTGGTTTTTGGCCACATGTATGTCTTCTTTTGAAAATGTCAGTTTATGTCATTTGCTCACTTTTTATGTCATTTGCTCACTTTTATACGTTTTTTCCTTGTTGAGTTGATTTCCTTGTAGATACTGAATATTAGCCCTTTGTTGGATGCATTGTTTACAAATTTTTTTTTCCCATTCTGCATGTTTTCCGTTTACTCTGTTGATTATTTCTTTTGCTGTGAAGAAGCTTTTTAGTTTAATGCAATCTAATTTGTTTATTTTTGTTTTTGTAGCATTTTGTTTTTGTAGCATAAATTATTTCTCTAGACCAATGTCCAGAAGAGTTTTTCTTAGGTTTTCTTCTATGAGTTTTGTAGTTTCACTTCTGACATTTAAGTATTTAATCCACCTTGAGTTAATTTTTGTATATGCTGAGAGACAGGTATACTGTTTCATTCTTCTGCATATGGCTTTCCAATTATTCCAGCACCATTTATTGAAGAGAGTGTCCTTTTCCCAGTGTATATTTTTGTTGACTTTGTGAAAATCAGCTGGTTGCAGGTAGGTGGCTTTATTTCTACGATATGTGTCAATTCTGTTCCAGGTTGATCTATGTGTCTATTTTTATCTTGGTACCATGCTATTTTGGTTACTATAGCCTTTTAGTGTAATTTGAAGTCAAGTAATATGAAGCCTCCAGTATTATTCTTTTTGCTTATGATGGCTTTGGCTATTTGGGCTCTTTTTGGATTTCATATTAATTTTAGGATTCTTTTAAAATTTTGTGAAAAATGACATTGGTAGTTTGATAGGAGTTACATTGATTCAGTAGACTGCTTTGGGCAATATGGTCATTTTAGTGTTTATTTATTTTAATACTATTGATTCGTCTAATCCCTGAGCATGGAATGTCTTTCCATTTATTTCTGTTACATACTATTTCTCTTAGCAGTATTTTGTCGTTATTGGAGAAGACCTTTCACCTCCTTGGTTAAATGTATTCCTAAGTATTTTTTTGAGGCTATTGTAAATGATATTGAGTTCTTGATTTGATTCTCACCATAATTGTTATTGGTGTTTAGGAATGCTACTGATTTTTATATTTTAATTGTGTATCCTGAAAATTTACTGAAGGTATCCGTCAAATCTAGAAGTCTTTTGGAAGAGTCTTTATGGTGTTGTAAGTATATGATTTATCATCAGTGAACAGAAATAATTTGACTTCCTCTTTTCCAATTTGTTGCTTTTTGTTTTTCTCTTGCCTGATTGCTCTGGCTATGACTTCTAGTACTATGTTGAATAGGATTGGTGACAGTGAGCATTCTTGTCTTGTCCTGTTTCTTAGGGGGAATGCTTCCAACTCTTCCCCATTTTGCAGTTGTAGCATAGAATGATCTATAAATATGTGTTAGTTCCATTTGGTCTACAGTTGAATTTTACATTTAGACTTTCTTTTTTGATTTCCTGCCTCAGTGATTTGTCTAGTGCTGTCAGTGAAGTATTGAAGTCTCCCACTATTATTGTATTAGTACTCGTCTCTTTTCTTAGATCTAGTAATATTCTTTTCATGAATCTCAATGCACTCCAATGTTAGGTGCATATATATTTAGAATTGTTACATCTTCTTGTTGAATTGATTCTTTCATCATTATATAATGACATTCTTTGTCTTTTCAAGTTGTTGCTGATTGAAATCTGTTTAACCTGATATATGTATAGCTACTCCTGTTTGCTTTTGTTTTCTGTTTGCATGGAATATATTTTTTCACCCCTTTACTTTGAGTCTGTAAATGCCTTCACCAGTTAGGTGGGTTTCTTATATGCTGCATATGGTTGGATCTTGTTTTATTATCCACTCCATCAGCCTGTCTTTTAAGTGGAGCATTTAATTCATTTACATTTAAAGTTAGTATTGATGTGTGATTTTTTTCCTGTCATAGTGTTAATTATTACTTAGTTGCTTTGCAGTTTCAATTGCCTAATAGTTTTATAAGACCTATCAGTTTTATACTTTCATGTGTTTTTGTGATGGTAAGTACCATCTTTTGGTGTCTATGTTTAGAACTCCTTTGACCATTTCTTGTAGCCCTGGTCTAGTGGTGATAAATTCCCTTAGTGTTTTTTGGGAAAGATTTTATTCCTCCTTGATTTACAAAGCTTAGTTTTGCAGGACACAGTGTTTTTAGCTGGGATTTTGTTTTTCCTTGAGAAAACCCCTGCCTCTTTCATCTTATAAGGTTTCAGCTGAGAAGTCCACTGTTAATCTGATAGGATTTCCTTTGTAGCTTATTATATACTTCTCCCTTGACATTTTAAGACTTTTTTCCTTTATATTGACTTTGGATAATATGATGGCTCTATGTCTTCTTGCTATGAATCTCTGAACTTCCTGTATCTGGATGTCTAGTTGTCTAGAAAGACCAGGGAAGTCTTCCTAAATTTTTCCTTCAGATGGGTTTCCCTTGCTTTTTACTTTTTCCTTTTATCACTCTGAAATACCTATCACTTATAGGTTTGGATGCTTTACATAGTCCCATATCTCTCAAATGCTTTGTTCATTTTATGAAATTATTTTTTCCTTTATTTTTGTCCGACTGGATTAATTTGAAAGACTTGTCTTCCAGCTGTGAAATTCTTTCTACTACTTGCTCAAGCCTACTGTTGAAGGTTTAAATTGTATTTTGCAATTCCTTCAGTGAATTCTTTATTTCCAGAAGTTCTGTTTGCTTTTTAAAAAATAATATCTATCTCTTTTTTCATTTTTGAATTTTTTCCTGATTTCTTTGTGCTAATTTTAAACTTTTTCTTGGATATCTTTTTTGTTTTTTTGTTGTTGTTGTTGTGTGTTTTTTTTTTTTTTTTTTTGAGACGGAGTCTAGCTCTGTTGTCCAGGCTGGAGTGCAGTGGCACAATCTCCACTCACTGCAAGCTCCGCCTCCCCGGTTCACGCCATTCTGCCTCAGCCTCCTGAGTAGCTGGGACCACAGGCACCCACCACCATGCCTGGCTAATTTTTTTTTTTTTTTTTTTTTTGAGATGGAGTCTCACTCTGTCGCCCAGGCTGGAGTGCAGTGGCACGATCTCGGCTCACTGCAAGCTCCGCCTCCCAGGTTCATGCCATTCTCCTCCCTCAGCCTCCCGAGTAGCTGGGACTACAGGCGCCCGCCACCACGCCCGGCTAATTTTTTTTTTTTGTATTTTTAGTAGAGATGGGGTTTCACCGTGTTAGCCAGGATGGTCTCAATCTCCTAACCTCATGATCTGCCCACCTCCACCTCCCAAAGTGCTGGGATTACAGGCATGAGCCAGCCTGGCCATCATTTTGGTTTTTAAAAATCAGTATTTTGAATCCTTTATCTGGTATGTCAAAAAATTCATTTTGGTTAGGATCTATTGCTGGAGAGTTAATGTGGTCCTTTGGAAATGTAACACTTTTTTTTTCATACATTCAGAATTCTTTATCTGGTTTCTTCTCATCTGGATAAGCTATCTCTCCTTCTTATTTCTGAATTTATTTTTATTTGGATGGGATTTTTTCCCCTCTTAAGGATGTGACTGCAATGTGTTTTGGGTACAGTTATTTGGATTTTGCTCTGGGTGCTCTCAGTGGCAGTCTCTGTATAGGTTCCTTAGTTATATACAGCCTTTTCTGGTGGCTTTCTCAGATGCTGACTGTAATAGACACTGGGCACGTGAGCAAGCTCACTGCTTCCCGCACAGAGAGTTTGTCGGAGGTCTCAGGAAGCTTATCTTGTTCCCCAGTGCTATGCACCTGTGTCAGTAGATTTTTCTATTGGGTTGCACAGTTCATTCTCCAGGCCAGTGGGTGGCATTGATGGGTAAGAGCCAACTGTAGCCGACACAGATGGATATATGCTTTATCTTTGTTTGTCATGAGATGCTCTGATGTCTCAGGTCATGGGTTATCCTGTGGAATGCACAGTGGTCTGAGATCCCTGCTCAGTTCCAGAGTGAGGGAACAAGCTAGGTGGAGCCAGATTAGGTAGGCCTGCCTCTATGTCCCCCAATGGCATAAGCACTGGCTCTAAAGGGGGTCTGGGAGGCAGCCTCCAACCACCTGGGGATATAGCTAGGCATGAAGTGGAGAAACCCCTTCTGCCGCAACTTCTCTGCCCAGGAAGTGGGGGAAGCCTAGATTTGCAATCTGGAAAAGTGTGTGCTCCAGATTCCTGGAAATATGTCTGAGCATGGAACAGAGGAGGTGCTGCTGCACCAAGATTTCTGGACCCAAGGGTGGTGTGAATCAGGCCTCTAATCCAGGTGAACAAGTGTGCTAAATGCTTGAAGTTATGCCCAGGTATGGAGCAGAGAGGATGCCACTGCATGGAGACCTCTCTGCACAGGAATAGACGGGTGATTCAGGTCCCTAGTACAGCAGGCAGGTACACTGAATGGTTACTATTTTGCCTGGACATGAAGCAGAGGGGGTGCTGCTATACCAAGTTCTTTGCAAGGAAAGGGAGGTATGGCCCGCAGTCTCAATCCAATGCGCAGAAGTAAGGTCTGCCTCCCTCCCACTCCTTGAAACTAATGGGACACACTCCCTTGACTGACCAAGGGAGCAGGCTGGGGCACTCAGCAATGAGGTGCAGACCAGCACCATCCCACAAAGCTATTTCTGGCTGAAACTCAGGAGAAACCATGGCTTCAGCAACTTTTCTCTCATTTCAGTCCAGCTGTTGGAGAGAGCCCAATTCTAACTCCTACTGCTAGGGTGCATTCCACACTTGCCACTCTATTCTGGCTGTGGGAACCCTTCTCCCACTCTGGAGCAAGCACTCCAATCTCCTTCCAGAGACTGAAAGACCTGTAGCAGCCACTGCTGTTTAGGTCACCAAACAGTGGCTGACTTTGTAGGAACCTGGATTGAAAATGGTATACTTTTCTCAGTCCTGGGTCTGGGAAAATGCCTGCAGCTTTTCCTGGTTTCTTTCTGTCTCCACTTCTCTCAGCCTCTCCTCAAGTTAGCTGCAGGGGTTGGGAGAAACAAGATGCCCTCCTGTGGCCTTGGTGGCATGGATCCCCAGTGGAAAAGTGAACCATAGAGGGAGAATCTGCCTCCTTATATATATATACTGGAGCTTCAATTACTTTTGTCAGCTGAATGCCATCATTCATCCTGCTTGTAAACTTTCTTGTCCCTGGGATCTGGGTGTCCTTCACTTTTTGAGTGAGTTCTCATATTTCTTCTTGAATAAAAGCTTACAGTGTCAATCGTAGCATACCATTTTTCTATTTCCAAGTGGACAAAGGCACAATAAAAACCTCTAGTCTGCCATCTTAGAAAAAAAATTTACTTTTTCTGTCTATTGTTATTTCCATTTTGTTTATACATTGTTTTCTTGACCTTCTTCACATCTTTTTTTAGCTCCTCGAGCATCTTTAATACAGAAGTTTTAAACTTTTTGTCAGTAGATCTGCCATCAGAATTTTTTCAGGGACAGTTTTTGTTGATTTATTTTTTTTTTCTTTGAATGAGCCATACTTTCTTGTTTCTTTGTAGGCTTTGTGATGTTTTGTTGAAAACTGAACATTTGAATCTAATAATGTGGTAACTCTGGAAATCAGATTCCTCTCCTTCCCCTAGGGTTTTCTGTCTTCTGTTGTTGTTTATTTTTTGCTTACTTTATATATTTTTAATTGCGACAGGCTGTCTTTGTGTGAAAAAAAAAATCCTCAAGTTGTAAATCTAAAGACTTCTAGGTCTTCTCCGAGCCTTTCCTTGGGCATGTATGATCACTTTTTATATTCCCTGTATAAATAGTTGTTTTTGAATGTCCTTATCATTAATGCTTGGCTCCCAAAAGGGGCAAAAGATAAAAATAAAGCAGTGGAAGGTATTGGCAGTTAAGGTCCTTTGGAAATCACTTCACACAGGAGTGGGTCTTACAGCAACGAGAGGAAGTGTAACAACAATGACCACCTACCTCTTTGTCTGTACCTCTGTGATCAAAAAGCAGCAATCGGTGACCAGAGCACAGAGATCTGCTATTTGGAGGACACAGTCCTTTCTTTTGCCCACCCTGGCTCCCCCAGGCTGTACACAGCTTGCTTCTGGAAGGTGTGCTCAGCTGCCTGCAACAGGGCTGGGGGTGGGAGATGAGTAGCTGCTACCATGCTAAAAACTGAGTTGACTGAAAGTAACTGCAGTTTACCACCCAAGCCTTGCCCTGGAAGTTGCAACTCTTTAATAGACTCCAGAGTTTCAAAGTAGTTACATCAGACCGATTCTACCAGTGTAATAGTTGTCCAGGTGGGAAGAGAGGTAACTGGTATTTTCTACTTTGCCATATTCTCAGAATCCTTCTCAAGGGTTTTTGTTGTTGTTGGGTTTTTTTTGGTCAATTTTTTTTTTAATTCTTACATAGACAATCATATCATCTTGAAACAAAGACAGGTTCATCCCTTCCTCACCAGTCTGTTTACATTTTATTTTCTTGTCTTGTCTATTGGACAAGAACAAATTGAAGTATGATGCTGAATAGGAATGGTGATAGAAAACATCCTTATCTTGTCCTTGATCACAGAGAGAGAGTATACTGTTTCTCACTAGTAAATATAATATTAGAGTAGGATTTTCATGCTTTTTTTAAAAATGAAGTTGAGGAAGTTTCCTGGGAGTTTTTATTATGAATAGGTAATTTTTTTTTCAAATGTTCCTTTTCATCAATTTGCATGATTATATGATTTTCTTTCTTAGCTTTCTGATGTTATAGATTACACAGATTGATTTTCAAATGTTGAACCAGCCATGTATAACTGAATAAGTTTCATTTAGTCAGAGTGTATAATTTTTATTGTAAATTTTTTAATTTCATTTGTTCATATTTTGATAAAAAATTATACATCTCTATTCATGTTAAACAATATTCTAAAGTTTTACTTTCTTGCAATGTCTTTTCCTTAGTTTTGGTATTAAGGTAATGATGGCTTAATAAAATAAGTTAGGAAGTACTTCTTCTGCTTCCGTTTTCTGGAAGAGATTGTAAATCATTGATATAATTTTTTTTTAAATATTTGCTAGAAATCTCAGTGAAATGATCTGGGCCTAATGATTTCTTGTTTGGAAGAATATTATTAAATATTGACATAATATCTTTAATAGATATAGGCCTATTTAGATTATCTATTTCTTCTTGTGTGATACTAGGTAGTCTACTTAAGGAATTGGTCCATTTCATTTAGTTATCATACAGTTGTTCAAAATATCCACTTATTATCCTTTAATTCTCATGGAATCCATAGAGATGACATCACTTTTATTTGTGACATTGGTAAATTGTGTCTACTCTCTTTTTACCTTGAGTAAGTTGACTAGAAGTTATATATATGTATATATATGTGTATATATAAATAAAATATATATAAGTGTATAATATATATAATATGTATATATAAATGTATATATAATTTTTCTCCAAAATAACAGGCTTTGGTTTTGTTGACTAACTCCCTTACTTTCCTGTTTTCAATTCATTGATTGCTGTTCTAATTTTTATCATTTCTTTTCATCTGCTTGATTTAGGCTTCAATTATTCTTACTCTAGCTGCCTAAGATGGAACACAGGATATTGACTTTAAGTTTTATTCTTTTCTAATATAAAAATGTAATGCTATGAATTATCTCTAAGCACCCCACAAATTTGATAAATTGTATTTACATTTAGTTCAAAATATTTCTTTAATATCTCTTGAAACTTTGTCATTTAGAAGTATATTGTTTAGTAGTATTTAGGGACTTTTTTCCTGCTTTCTCTGTCATTAATTTCTAGTTTAATTCCATTGTGTTCTGTGAAAATACTTTTTATCATTTCTATTCTTCTACAGTTAATTAAATGGTTGTCTTCAGTGATCTAGAATGTGGTCTATCTTGCTGAATATTTTATGTGAGCCTCATAAAATGTATATTCTGCTATTGCTGGATGGAATATTTCATAAAAGATAATTTTTTTAAGAATCTAAAAGTCAATTGGATCAAATTGATTGATAGTGCTCTTCAGGTCAACAATATCCTTCCTGATTTATTGCCACCTGGATTGATCAAATGCCAATAGAGGGGTCTCCAACTACAATCACAGATTCATCTATTTTTTGCTTTTGTTCCATTAGTTTTTGCCTCATGTAGCATAATGCTCTATTGTTAGGTGTATACACTTTGAGGACTGTTATTCCTCCTTGAAGAATGAACGCCTTTATCACTGTGTAATTCTCCCCTTCATTTCTAATAGTTTTCCTTGGTTAGAGGACTGCTTTGTCTGAAATAAATATTGCTACTCCAGTTTAATTTTACTAGTGTCAGCATTCAATATTTTCTCCATTCCTTTACTTTTAATATTTCCAGTATTTATATGTAAAGTGGGCTTCTTATAGAAAACATATATTTGGATTTGTTTTGCATTCATTATGATAGTCTCTGTATTCTTAATTTATTCAATAAGACAATTAACATTTAAAGTCATTATTGGTATAGTTAGTTTAATATCAACACTGTCAGTAACTATCTCCTCATTGCGCTTATTCTTTCTTATTTTTCCCTTCACTTCCTGACTTCTCTAGTTTTAAGTGAGCATTTTAACTCTTAATATTTAACTTTAACAAACATTTACCTCTTAATGTATTTATTATACTTGTTTCTGATTTTTTTTTTACTTTCTCTAAGTTTCCAATGTACATTTTACACTAATTTAAGTCTACTTTCAATTAAACACTATACCATTTCACATGTAGTACAGGTTGACAATATTTCTAATTCCTTTCCGTCATTCTTTAAGACATTTCTGTCATTCATTTCATGAATATATATTCTATAATCACCCAATATGTTATTTCTATTTTTACTTTACACAATTACCTTTTAGATCAATTAAGAATAGGAAAAGAATTGCTACATTTAATTATTCCTATCTGATACTTTTCTATATGTGGATCTGAGTTTCTGATCCACATCATTTTTTTTTTTTTTTTTGCCTAAAGAACTCTTAACAATTATTTGTATGGCAGATCTGCTGCCTTACTAAATACTAAATACTAAATTTCTTTAGTTTTGTTTGTCAGAGGAAGACTAATATCTACTTCACTTTTGAAGGTCAATTTTGCTAGATATAAAATTCAAGGTTAGTGAATTTTTCTTTCAACCCTTTAAATATTTAAATTTACTTTCTTCTTGCTTGGCTGGTTTCCGATGAGTTCGCTGTAATTATTATCCTTGTTTCTCTATAGGAACAAGGTGGGTTTTCCCCCCATCTGACTTCTTTCAAGGTTTTCTCTTTGCCTTTAGTTTGCTATAGTTTGAATACAAGATGTCTTGCTGTGGTTTGGGGGTACTTATGCTCTCTGGTGTTCTCTGAGCTTCCTGGATCTTTAGCTCCATGTCTGTCATTAATTTTGGAAAATTATTGGCCGAATTCACTTATATATTTTTTTCTGCTTTGTTCTTTCTTTATTCTTCTTCTAGCATTTTAATTACATGTAGGTTATACTTAAAAAATTTTTTCCCACAATTCTTAGAGGTTCTGTTATTTATTGTTATCATTATTACGCTATTTTTCTCTGCATTTTAGTCTGAGAAGTTTCTATTGACCTATCTTTAAGCAGGCTGATTATTTGTCAGCTGTCTCAAGTCTACTGATGAATCCATCAAATACATGTTCATTTCTGTTACAGTGTTTTTGTTTCTAGCATTTAAAAAAAGTTTTCTTAGAGTTTCTCTTTTCTTTCATTACTCATTTATTCTCACATCTTCTCTATTTTTTCATTAGATCACTTAACATGGCAATCATAGTTATTTTAAATTTCTTCTGTGATATGCTTAATGTTTGCTGCAGATATTGGTGCCAAAAAGCTTTAAATTCCTCTAGTGTCCTTGTTTTCATCTTTCTTGTGTTTGGGCTTCCCTAAGTATTCCTTCTCAAAGAAAGTCTGTGTCTTATAGCTCTTCTATCCAGTGTTATATGGAACCGTTTTAGTATGATGGTAAGGTGACCAGAAAGGGGAAATGTCGTATAATTTTCTGATTAAATCTAAGTCTTTTAGTAGATCTCTATCTTGGGGCTATTATTTTCACAAATGTTTCTCCAGTAGTACAGCTTCTTCTTCTTTACTGCATCATTCTCAATGTATTTCCTTGAAGTCCTGACACCTATTGTTTGCTTCTTCCTTAGTCAAGAAAAGAAGACAAGAATGGAATGGAGTGTGAGAAATGCCCTTCTCCTATATGTGGTAATGCTGTGGTAAAGTCATTTTCCTTGAAGATTAGTCCTTTATTATGTAGGATCTTCAAGATGTATTTCATAATTATTACTAACTTTTTCATCTTTTAGCTGTAATAATTCACTGATATCATACAAATGTCCTGTTGGTATGGTGGCAAGGTATGGGGGAACTTAAGCAGTCTATAATCTTAAGATGAAATCTCTGTGTTTTAATGATTCTGTGTTTCTTACTGTGACCCTCACCAGTGCTTCTCCAGTGATGTAGATTTTTTTCCCAGCACAGGTGAGACAGAAAGACTAGTGGGGCTGGAGAAATGCCCTTCCCTAGCTGAAATAAGTTCCTCATTAAGTCTTCTTCCCTAAAGAGTAGGCCTTTGTTATGGAGAATAATCAGGTTGCATTCCACAGTGACTATGACTTCCCTGCTCCTACTGTAACTATGAGGGAACATTTCTCAGATCTTCACCCTCAGGAGCTGGTAGAGGTTTTGGAGGTAAAAACTCATGAAATTGTGGGGTCTCCCCGAAGAGTACCTCCGCAAAGAATTTCTCATTCTCATTCTAGTCCATATTTATACTACAGAAATTCATCAAAATTGCTATTTCATTGTTCCTAACAGTTATGACTCCTGCATCTTCTGCTTCAGATACATTTCAGGTGTGGCTCTCTGGATTCCCTTATCACTTCAGATTTTGAGACACAAATTTGCCCTGCAAATCTAGTTCTCTAACGGATCTAAGAAAGTCTTTGATTTTCAGTTTGTTCAGCTTTATCTTGTTGTAAGGACAGTAGCAATGAGTTTTAAGCCCTTTACATGTTGAAGCAGAAATCAAAAGCCCATGGTTTTCATTTTTAACATAAACAAGGTGTTAAACTCATGTCTAACAAAAGAAACCGACCAAAAATGTGCACATTAATTTATTAACTTTAAATGGTGACAAGTTCTATAAAAGGAAAGAAGAGAAAAGTATGAGAAAGAATAATAAGGGTTAATTTAAACTGGTGTGTCAAGGAAGGCTTTTCTGAGGAAGGAACAATAAAGCTGAAATCTGAAGAATTAACAGGAGTTAGAGAGAGGAAACAACATCTAAGAAAGCATTGAAATGGAAGAGAGATGGATTTAATCAGTGACCTAATTTCTGACTAGAGCTTAGTGAGCAAGGGCAGAATCAGCCCTAGATGAATTTGCATTAGCTGGCAGGAGTCTGTTTGAACAGGTGTATTAGGCCATGCATGTGGAGGAGGGTTACTGTGAGGACCTAAGAGAGTCATTAAAGGGCATTAAGTAGTGCAATGGAATGATCCGTTCATGTTAGTTTATTCTCACTACAGTATGAAAAGCTGATCAAAGTGAGGCCAACAGAAGTGGAGGCACCAGTTAAGAAGCCACAGTACGAATTAGGCAGTGGATGATGGTGCTTTGATCCAAATTCATAAGGTAGATAATGACAGTAAGTGAACCAATTCAGGGTGTATTTATGGATGTAAAAACAACAGAACTTTCCAGTGTCTTGGATATAAAGGGTATACAATACAGGAAGGTATTAAGCATGATTCTCTGACTTCTAACTTAAGTGAAAGGGTAAATTGTGGCATTTTCTAAAATAAAAGAACATGAAGGGTAATTGATGATGGGGGGTGTCAAGCATTGTATTTAGACATATTACTTTTAATGTATCACAAAACAAGCAAAATGGAGTAGACAGTTGGGGATGCTGGCATTTAAAACAATGGGGTTGATGAATTCACCTAACTGGAGAATGTGGAGTGAGAAGAAAATTGATAATTGCAAACAGAGCCCCAAACAGTCAATTGTAGAGACCCATGAGAAATCTGTTTCCATTCCTGATCTTAATGATTCTTAGGTTTTCATGCAGACCTAGCACAGTACATAAGACTCAAATTTCCTATCATAATTTTGGGGCCAGGTAAAATACTTTAGTATTGTTTTTTTAACCAGATGAGGTAGCTAGGGGAAACCAACATGACTGAGTATCTGCAATATTCCAGGAACTGAGCCTGTGTCTTTGGAGTACTAGGGAATGAGAAAACAATTTTTAAAAAGACAAACAAAAGATCAAAAAGAAGAGAGTAATGGAGGAAAAAATGGAATGAAAGGGGTTACTATGGAAAAAAAGGAAAGCATGGAAGAGGAATAGAAGTAATTTGAAATGCATAGATTCTATTAAAACCCTTTGAGTCAATATCAAATCAAATAATTCTATTTATTTTCTTCTCAGTGTAGAATAAAACATTCATGTCTGATTTCAATTACTGTCATTCCCAATTACCAACTCTGTAACAAGATGTACAAGACAAATTTCTGACATTTAAGAGCTCATAATACATATAACGTTGACCTTCCCCTTTAAGTAATACTCTCTGATGGAGGTGCTGAATTAGGTGTAAACTTGTCTTTACACGTGCAAAATGAAGTACGAAGTGATGGTAATATTGTAGCCAATTTGTAATGAAAAAAGAAAAAGAAAAAATACATCCTTGAGAAACTACTGACAAATATATACAAAAATGAAAACAATGATCCTTGTCAGTGGATGCTTTTTAAAAATGGAATCTTTGAAACAAAGTAAACACTTGATTTATAATTTGAAAAAATATATAGTAATCTTCACAGTGTGGGAAGTGGGGGTAACATGAATTCTGCTTAAATTCTTTGATCATTTTATGAAGAAGGAGGTATTGTTCCCCTGAATTATATAGGCATGCCTTCATTCTTCATTTTGCTAATCTGGTGTTCACAGAAGCATTTGACAGTCGAGAGAAGTGTAGAAGCTTGGCACAATAGCAGAGGAAATGCTTCAATGAATAGTGTATTAATATATATCTCATTGGTGCCTATACCTTTTTGTCAAACAAATTAGTTTCAATTGTGAACTTACCTAGGCAATGGCTATTACCACATAAATCACAATTTACAGTGAACTATATGAATTTCACAAATTACAAACTTCTATCACCCTTTTGCATGACAAGAAATGTTTGCCCTGTGGAGTTCTCCACGCTGTCCATTTAAGAGGTTCCTTCAGTGTGTCTATCTTTCAGCTTATTCTCTGCTGGTGATAGGATTCATTCTGGAGGGCTCTTTTAATAGGATATAGGCAGAACTTAGTGTCATCTTATATTGACCATATGGGGAAAATGTTTTCTATTACAAGGTTGCAAAGCCTGCCCTTATACTCCTTAATGATAGGACATCCCTCAGATAATAAAGGGAAATTGTGGCTGAATTTATAAACATGGTTTCAATGGTCCTAATGAGCTGTGACTGCAAGATTGTCAAGGATATAGCACTTCCTAAAGTTTTCCTTACATAAAACCTTCCAGAAATGCAATTCTTTCCTAAAGCATGTCGGATCCCCTTCCCTGCACCAGCATGGAATTTGTGTAGGAAAGGATGAAAAGGGTTCACCTACATATCATAGCCTAGGTCAGGGTTCTTCCTCTCTGGTGTCCTAGGGGGATTTTCATCTTACTGATTTTGACGTTTCTAAGCTTTTCTGGTAGCTTTCAAAGGGTCCTGTTTGTGGAGGGCTGGACAGTAGTACTAGACCTCACATCCGAGCCTGGAAGTATACATTTCAAGCACTAGCTGGACAGTCCAAGTTCTATTTGTCTTGCAAGTTTACAGGCGGAGTTAATTAGTGGCCAGCTACTTTTTCAGAAAACAATCTAGGAGGAGATGAAATCTCAATATATTGCTTCAATTATCTTGAATAACAAAGCAGAATGTTATCAAGAAATGAAATCATGGCTTTCTAGAGCATTTTACATACATTATACTACTTGTTATAGGCTGAATTGTGTCACCCTCCAATTCATATACTAAAGCCCTAACCCTCAGCATTTGAGGAGGTGACTGTATTTAGAGATAGGTAGGGCCTTTAAAGAGGTCATTAAGTTAAAGTGTGGCCCTTATGGTAGGGCCAATCTCGCTGGTGTCTTATAAGAGAAAACTCAGGCACACAGAAAGACACCAAGGATGCCTTCACAAAAAGGAAAGACCATGAGAGGACACAGGGAGAAGGCAACCATCTGCAAGCCAAGCAGAGCGCCCTCAGAAGATGCCAAACCTGCAGACATCTCAATCTTGGACTTCCAGGCTCCAGAACTGTGAGCAAATAAATTTCTGTTGTTCAAGCCACCCAGACTGTGGTATTTATGACAGCTGTAACAAACAAATATACCACCTAAGTTTCTCCTAGAATGATCTATGTGTTAGATTTCCAGGCCCTATTCCAGGGCCTGGGGCCTGGACCTAGTACAAAAGAGTCTGCATTTTAACTGTTATCCCAAGAATATTTTGATGCCAAATAAAGCTCAAAAATAACTGATAGCAAGGTCACTTTATCACCTTTATAGATCAAAAGGGATAAACATTTAACCTTTTTTTTTAGTATTTTTTTTTTATGATTACATTTTGGTAGTAGCAAGGCTTGAAAATTAAGATCACAGAAAACTCACGGTCTTTCCCTCTCTAGGTCTCTGTTAGCTGACGCTTGTTACAGAATCGGACCCTTTTATAATGGTCCCAAGTCCTGCCTCTTACTTTAGACAGGAATACCTGACAGGTGGCAGACAGGGAACTATTCATTAACACAGATGGCTGTTTCCATACCTAACACTTGCCAACACCTGCAGAACCAACCAAGACTTACTCCTTTAATTAATTTTTATCTTTATTCTTAAAATTTAAAAGAAAATTAAATTAAAATCCATTCACTATATATAGGATATATGACATTTTCAAAATATAGAAATACTTGTTGGAAAAATCTTGGAGCCAAATCTTGCCCTCAGATACACAGATATCTTCCGCTAATGTCATATTAGGGTCCTGTCAACATTTTCAAATAATTAAAGGTAACAAATATTATAAAGGTTGATATGAACATTCCAAACAATTGTAGGGTAGTTTTTTTCTCTGCTGCTGCAAAAAGAAGACCCATATGTGCATATAAAGTAATGTGGAAAAGGAAAATGAAGGGAGAAACATTCAAGTTTTTCCAAAACCTTAAAAATAGCCTTCCTCACTTTAGCTTCCTTGCACAAAAAGAAAACATTTTACCTATCCATTATGGTGCAGTTATATCTGAGTTACTAACTTCTGAAAATTATGTTTTTATTGTTGTTCTTGTTTAGCTTTTTTTTCTGTTATCTCTCCTATACCTTTTTTGATTAAAACAACAAATATTTTTATCACTTCAATTTGGCTTAAAAGACATTTATTTAATGTGTTAAGCATTATGCAAGGTTCTGCCATGTTCATCTGTTTGACTCTACAGTAAAGATGCATCTTCTTTAACCAAAAATATAGTATTTCCCGAGTGTACATGTACTACATATATACGTGCATATATGTAATGCACTTTCTCCCTTTCTCTTTTCTCCTTCTCCTCCTTCCTCTCTGTCCTTCTCTCCATCTCTCCCTCTTTTCCTCTTTCCTTAGGCAGTAGATCTTTATTTTAGGTACACCCTTAGGCATAGATTGCAACCATCCTTGCTGGGAAGGTCAATTTATATCTGACGAATAATAAAGTCAGAGAGGCTTTTCTAAGTTGCTTTGGAGAAAATAAGACATATTTATTACTATAACCCAACCATATATTCCCACTTTCTATTCTAATAATAATGATCACAATGATAATAATAAAAAATTGTATTTACTGGCTACTTATTCTTGAGCTAAAAACTATTCTTTATGGTAGTATTCTCTCTATTTTGCAGATGAGGCTTAGAGAGGGTAAATTTTCCTAGGTCATAGAACTAGTACCTGGCTGGGCGAAGGAGTCTAACATAGCTGTTCTACCTCCAGAACCCTGTGTTTAATGAAACATACCACTTCTAGTTCTGCTGAAACAAAAATTTCCAATGTAGAATAAATGTTCTCAGATTTTACTAGGGTCAGTACTGGAAACAGCCATTTTAGGGTGGATTTGCCATAGAGAATACTATTCATTCTGGTCCTTGAAGACTCCTACAATTAATTGTTCCCAAAGCTCAACACTTCTTTCCATATTTTATGTTGATAACTATTTGGATTATACATTTCTTATACAGTTTTATTTCCTGAAATTTTGACTTCCATATTTCTATCTTCTCTATTATTTAATAATTTGTTAAATGTAGCTTTTATCTTTATTATTTCATACCTTATTAGTTTTGTTGTGTTTAATTTGTTGTAATTTATTTTGTTTCTTAAGGCGAATATGGATATTTTCATACTTATTTTCATTTGTTCTTATATTTTTAAGAAAATGATTTGAGGCTGACAATTTCCCTAAAAGTTCTATTTTAACTGCATGTCACAAGATTGAACACACATATTGATTACTTTCAATTTCCACAATCATAAATATTTTGTCATTTCTATGAGGATTTTCTGATTAAGCCATTAGTTATTCACAAGTTTATTAAAAGTCTCTTAACATGTAGAAAATTTTAACTTTTCCATTGTTAATTCTTTATTAAATTGTATTACAAGAGGGCATGTTGTGTTTGATAACAATTATTTGTACTCACTGAAACTTCCTTTGTAAACTAGCACCTTATAAATTTTCATAGAAATGTGCTAAGGTTACTGGCAAATAATACATATTTTCTACTCATTGGAGACAGATTTTTATTAAAATTATGAGCTGAAAATGTTGGTATTACTGTTCAAAATGTCTATAACTTACTTATTCTTTTACTAAATATTTGCCTATTTTTGTTAATTAGCTATTAAAGAGTTGTGTTAAAATTTCCTACTATTATTATGGATTTCCAAATTCCTTACTATCATTTTGTCTATTTCATATATTTTTGAGCTATATCATTAAATGCACATAGCTTCTGAATATAATGTCTGATTGAAGTATCTCTTCTTCTGTCATTATGTAGTAATCTCCTTTGTTCTTTGTTAATTGTGGAGCACTGTTTAAATTCTATTATATGTTATGTGAATTTTGCTATTTTGCTTATTGTATATTGTAAGTGCTTATTAAATTATTTTGCTTTACTTTATTTTTAACCATTCTTTGGGATTTTGTTCATGCATATAACTTATACATTAGCATATATCTGGATTTTTTACTTTAACAGTCAATTTAATCTGTTGATATATTATAGTTACTCATATGTTTAAAATAATTTCCTCCATGTTATTTTGTGTTTTCTGCTTAACATTTATATTATTTGTCCTATCTCCCTTCCTTTCTTGCTTTCTCATGGATTGACAAATATACTGCTTTTTTAAAATCTAGATTTTGACAATCTATATATTTAATCTTTTAGTGTTTATCTCCATTGTTAGTGTACTATAATCTTTTTAAAATATGCATTATCCAGTATTTCTGACCTCTTTTTGGCCATGACAAGGGCATACTTTTACTGTCCTTTAAACTCACTTTCCCTAGAATCTTATTTGTAAACCATTTTAACTTTTTAAAACTTTTTGTCTCTTTACCTTGGCAAAATGAATTAGTTGTTTTTATAAAAAATGAGGAATAGTTAATTTAATTCAACGAGCAAACTTTACTAATTTTTGTATTTACGATTCTATTCTCTCTTATAACCCACAACTTCTCTATTTTTTTCTTTTACTTTTTTTCTTTTTGGAATATGTGTTCAACAGGGTTTTTTTTGGTCTACTTATGGCTTGTTTTAAGTGAAGCTTATGAGTTTATATGTCTAACTATATGATAATGTTTTAATTTGGCTTTCCCTCTTAAATGACATTCTAGCTGGACATAAAATCCTAAGTTGACTAATACATCTTAGCCTTTTAAAGTTATTATTCTGTAGTTTTCTGGCATCCATTTTCGTCAATGAAAAGCCTTGCTCACCTAACTGCTGTTCTTTTGTATGAAGTCAGTACTTTTTTCTTTTGGCTATATTTTAGGATTCTATCTTTATTCTTCATTTCTTTAGGATTACTTCTGTGAATCTGAGAATGCATTTCATTTTATTTTTACTTTTGGTTCTTGGATCTTGGGGGTGTGCTTTTGATCTGGACACTATTGTATTTCTTCAGTTTTGAAGGATTATCTGAAGTCATTTTTAAAAAAATATTGCTTTCCTGCTATCCTCACCTATGAAACATATTACTATACATTTTTAAAACTTAATAAAAATCATCTTTTTAGTAAAACAAGACTTCCTAGAAGAAAGGCAAAAACTAGGGAAAAATATCAAACAACAAGACAGATAATTCATGTGTATGTATAGCTCAGGAAACAAGTTAGTGTGAGATAAATGAAGGCCACATAGACTCAAGACAAAGAAAAATAAAAGCAATAAGGTACATGGAAGATAGGACAAAGAACAAATAAAAATGAAATAGATCTGAACAAAGAGTTTATATTATTGGAGATTTAACTAAGGGCTATTAACATGGCTCCTAGATATGTGGGTCATTGCCATAAGTTTAGAATTTTATTTCACAGGCCTTTTTAGCCTGAGGAGTGAGAGGGATAAATGAGGACTGAATTCATATCTAAGTAGTTCTGCCATACTCTCATCTTATTACATAATCCTGAGTTTGACAAGTTATAGCTGTCTCAGATGAGATGGTCCCTAGAATATGGCCAGTCTAGTTTTTGTACATAATATTATGTATATAAGGCTCGGTTTGAAAGGGCTAGATGAATTAAAGTCCAACATTACCCTCATTAATTCAAAATACCTCAATATTAAGTGCACACTGCTAATAAATTTTTTGATGGGGATGAGAATCAAAGATACACGTATCTGCCTGTACATATAATTGCTGGATTATCCTTAGTAGATAGTTATTCACATCATTTTTCCTGTATCATTTAAATCCTGATTGACTTATCCAAATGGTGTTTATGTCTTTTCATAAATATATCTGAGATCAGCTTGTGATGCTTTCTCATTCCAAAATATCTAGAGTAAAAATGATAACAATGGAAAACTGACAAAGGTATATGCAATATATTTAATTCATATCCCTGAGGAAGAGAATCAAAGCTACTTGACTAAAATAAATAAAGAAAGAAAGATAGAAATTAAGAAAACTTTCAAAATGTGAAGAAGATTGAGCCTCCAGATTGAAATCACTCATCATCAATTCAAGACAAATGCAGAAACAAATCAATACCAACAGATATCTTGCTATTGGATGTTGAATACAAAAATAGAGGATCATTTAGAAACCAAAGTCAAAATAAAGAGATGTTGGGAGGAAAATCAAGCAGGCCCAAAACGTTTTCACAGAAATATTCAATGCTGCAAACCAGCGAGTATCTACAAAGTCCTCAAGAAAGAAAGGGTGATCAAATAATACTATGTCCAGCCAAGATATTGTACAGATATGAAGACAAAAGGTAAGTTTTAAATATGCACAAACTCTGAGATTATAGTTTCATGAGCCTGTCATGAATAAATGACTGTGAAATTCTTTTTTTTCTTTTCTTTTTTTCTTTTTTTTTTTTTTGAGACGGAGCCTCGCTCTGTTGCCTAGGCTGTAGAGCAGTGGTGCGATCTCGGCTCACTGCAAGCTCCAGCTCTGGGTTCACGCCATTCTCCTGCCTCAGCCTCCTGAGTAGCTGGGGCTACAGGCGCCCGCCACCACGCCCGGCTAATTTGCTGTATTTTTTAGTAGAGACGGGGTTTCACCGTGTTAGCCAGGATGGTCTCGATCTCCTGACCTCGTGATCTGCCCGCCTTGGCTTCCCAAAGTGCTGGGATTGCAGGTTTGAGCCACCGCGCCCAGCCATGACTGTGAAATTCTTTTAAGCTAATGTAATTGTAGTAAAATTAGTTGGGATAAGCATTAAATACATTTAAATGTTGGATTAAAACTTTAAAAAAATAGGGTTTATGGCTTCAGAACCATCTGAAAATATAGAATAATATCACAAGGAGAAGAGACTCTAAAATTAGGTAGGAGAAGTATACTGATCTCTTCATCTTTAAAAGCTGTTGGTCAAATGAGATTACTTTTAAAATAATAAATCAAATAATAAGACTTTAAATGTAAATTATAGCAAACACTGTTCTTTTCCTTCAAAACACAACTTCCCTCTTCTATACTAAGAGAATCAAAATTTGTTCAGGTATAATGAGAAACTCCTTTATTTCAGGGAGTGTAGGGCTATAACCTAGCCACAGGAGATGAATTGAGCCTAGACTAAAACAGCTGCAACACGCTTCTTCCGTTTGGCCATTGATTGTCTAGAAGAGCTATGCAGCTCAGTCTGGCCAATAAAATATCAGCAGAAATTAGTTGACTGGAGCTTCTGGGAACTTTTACTATACTGATTTTATTTTTATTTTTATTTTTTTGTAACAGCTTTATGGATACAGTTCACATACTCTGTATTCATATACCACTCATACAAAGTGTACAAATCAGTGATTTTTAGTATATTCACAGTTGTACAACCATCACCATGATCAAATTTAGAAACTTTTCATCATATCAAAAAGAAATCCCATACCCTTTAACATTCACCCCCCCATTCCTCCACCCTGTCAGCCCAAGACAACACTAATCTATATTTCGTCTTTATAGATTTGCCTATTCTGGACATTTCATATTCATAGGATAATATAATTTCTGATTTTCTTGTGTGTCTTGCTTATTTAGCATAACGCTTTCAAATTTCATCTGTGTTGTGGCTTGTATCAGTACTTCATTCCTTTTCATTGCCAAATAATATTCCATTGTATGGATATATAAATATATATGTATATATATACACACACACATACAAACACACACATACACCACATCACACTTATCATTCATCAATTAGTGGATATTTGGATTGTTTTCACTTTTTAGCTATTATGAATAAGATTACTGTGAGCATTCAGGTACAAGTTTTTGTGTGGACATGTTTTCCTTTCTCCTGGGTACATATTACTGAGTCCTATAATAACTCTATTTTAACATTTTGAGGAAAGGTTAGATTATTTTCCAAAGTGGCTATGCCATTTTATATTCCTAACAGTGGTGTATAAGGTTTCATTTTTCTCCATCCTCACTAACTTTTTCATCGTTTTTATTATAGCCATTCTAGCTGTAAAAAGTGGTATCTCACTGTGGTTTTGATTTGCCTTTCTCTATTGGCTAATGATATTGAGCACCTCTCCATGTGCTTATTAGCCATTTGGATATCTTAATAAATGGCCATACTTTGTTTTTGTTTGTTTAAATATTTATGTATTTTAGCTTTGTTTCTTTTTTGTTTGCTTGAGTATTTTGGATTTTATTAAAATTTTTATTTTAGGTCCTGGTACATGTGGGAGTTTGTTACACAAGTAAACTTGTGTCATGGAAGTTTGTTATACAGATTATTTCATCAGCCGTGTATTAAGCCCAGTACACAATAGTTATGTTTTCTGCTTTTCTGCTCCTCTCCCTTCTCCCACCCTACAACCTCAAGTAAACCCCAGTGTCTGTTGTTTCCTTCTTTGTGTTTATAAGTTCTCATAGTTTAGCTCCCACTTATAAGTGAGAACATGTGGTACTTGGTTTTCTGTTCCTGCCATAGTTTGCTGAGTATAATAGCCTCCAGCTGCATCCATGTTCCCACAAAAGACATAATGTCATTCTTTTGATGGCTGCATAGTATTCCATGGTGTATATGTACCACATTTTCCTTATCCAATCTGTCATTGATGGGCATTTAGTATAATTTCATGTCTTTCCTGTTGTAAGTAATGCTACGATGAACATGTCTTTATGGTAGAATGATTTATATTCCTGTATTAATCAGGGTTCTCTAGAGGGACAGAACTAATAGGAGATATATATATATATATATATATCCTTTTTCTGATACAAGAACAAGGATATCCTTGCCCAGAACAAGGCTTCTCTTGTTCTGGACCCCACTCAATACTGGCATATTCATATGGCATATATATGGGAGTTTATTAATTAATTATTTATTAATACTGGCATATCTATAAGGCATATATATGGGAGTTTATTAAGTATTATAATAATATACTATATATACTTAATACACAATATAATACTTAATATACAATATAATACTGGCATATCTATAAGGCATATATATGGGAGTTTATTAATACTTAATAAACTCACACTACCACAAGGTCCCACAATAGGTCCTCTGCAAACTAGGAGCAAGGAAGCCAGTCTGAGTCCCAAAGCTGAAGAACTTGGAGTCTGATGCTTGAGGGCAGGAAGTATCTAGCACTTCCTAGACACTGATTATGTGTCTTCAAGATGTTTTTGTTGTGTACAATCTTGCAGGAGCTCTCTGTATTTCCTGAATTTGACTGTTGCCCTCTCTAACAAAGTTGGGGAAGTTTTTGTGGATGATATTCTGAAATATGTTTTCCAAGTTGTTTGATTTCTCTCCCTCCTTTCATAGATGTCAATGATTCATAGATTTGGCCTCTTTACCTAATCTCATACTTCTCAAAGATTTTGTTCATTCTCATTTTTTATTTATTTTTTTTCTTTATTTTGTCTGATTGTCTTATTTCAGACAGCCAGTCTTCTTCAAGTTCTGAGATTCTTTCCTCGGCTTGGTTTATTCTGCTGTTAATACTTGTGATTGCATTGTGAATACTTGTATTATGTTATTCAGTTCTGCCAGATCCATTAGGTTATTTTTTCATGCCAGCTATTATATCCTTCAGCTTCTGTATTACTTTATTGTGATTCTTAATTTCTTTGGATTGGATTTTGCCATCCTCCTTACTGTTGATAATCTTTGTTTCTATTCATACCCTGAATTATATTTCTGTCATTCCAGCCAGCTCATTCTGGTTAAGAACTGTTGTTGGAGAACTTACGTGGTCTTTTGGAGGACATATGACACTCTGGCCATTTGAGTTACCAGAGTTCTTATGTTGCTTCTTTCTCATCTCTGTGTGTGGATATTCCTTTAACTTCAATATAAATCGAGTAGAGTCAATAGACTTATTTTCTTGATGTTTTCACTGGGCTGAGGCTTTGTGCAGGTCTTTATTTGAAGCTGATTGTCTCTGGTTTCAGAAGGGGATATTTAGCAAGGTATTTTTGGTGTTGAAGCTTTTGGGTGTAAGGTATTTTTGGTGTTGAAGCTTTGGGGTGTAATCCAGTAGGTGGCACTTAGGTTATTGGTCAGTTGGTAGGCTCTTGTTCAGTTGTGTGGCTCCGTTATGTTTTCTCATAGTTGCAGCCATGTTTCTTCTCAGTGCTCTGAAAGTGTGTGTTCCCCCGCTCCCCCATTGAGTGTCGCCTGTAGATCATGGCTTGGCACTCCCGGGCTGCTCACTGCAGCTCAGGGGCAATCTCAGTGTTTATGTTCCTCCTCAACTTGGAGGCAACAAAGAAAGGGACCTTAGGTGGCTGTGGCCAAGGGTCTTCGGTTTGTCTCCTTGGGGCTAACCCCACAGAGAAGCAGGTTAGCAATCACTCAGTGAAATCAGCTCAGGATGGAAAGTCCATGCCATGGGCCCAAGCCAGGGGCTCTGTGTGGTGATGAGTAGTGGGGGGTGGGGGCCTTGTGGGAGATGGGCTGGCTTTCTCACCTTGGGTCAACTGCAGCTTATTGGAGGTGTGGATAAGGCACTAAGGGTCTTTGCTCCTTTGTTAGTCCAAGGGTAGAAAGGCAGAGGCAGTGGGTGAGAGGCTTTCAGTTGCCCCTGGAGGCTCTGTCCGGGGAGTTACTGAACTGCTACTGGCTTGATAGCTTTGGCAGTGGGTGGCTGGATGCTCAGGCCCGGAGGACCTGCCTAGTGAGGAGATATGGGACCAGGCCTTTATGTATAAGCCTGGCCGCTTTTCCGTAGGGCTGCTGTAGTGTGCTGGTGGCCTGCTGTAGTCACTAGCTGCTTCAGATTTTTCAGTACCTGGAGGTATCACAAGTGAAGTCTGTGAAGCAGCAAAGATGGTGCCAACACCTTCCTCTGGGAGCTCTATCCCAGGGAGGTTTGAAACCTCTGTCAGCCAGAGAACACCATCAGGGCTAGCTGGAGACCCTGGTTGGAAGATTCCACCAGGTGATGAGGAATGGGTTTGGGGACCTGCTCAAAAAAGCAATATGAAGTGGCCATATTTCAAATCCATATGAAAAATAAGTAAATCCCCACTTCACACCATTCAGGAAAAGAAGACTAGATACATTAAATACTTATATATGAAAAATAAAACTTAGAAATTATTAGAAGAAAATAAACAATTAAAAACCTAGCATTAAAATTACTTTTATACCGCTTGTATTAGTCTGTTTTCACACTGCTGATAAAGACATACCTGAGACTGGGAAATCTGCAAAAGAAAGGACTTAACTGGACTTACAGTTCCAAGTGGTTGGGGAAGCCTCATAAACATGGTGGAAGGCAAGGAGGAGTAAGTCCTGTCTTACATGGATAGCACCAGGCAAAGAGAGAATGAGGAAGACACAAAATGGAAACCCCTGATAAAACCATCAGATCTTGTGATACTTATTCACTACCATGAGAACAGGATGGGGGAAACCACCCCCATGATTCAGTCATCTCCCACTGGGTCCCTCCCACAACACATGGGAATTATAGGAGTATAATTCAAGATGAGATATGGGTGGTGACACAGCAAAACCATAGCACCCCTGAACCAAAAGATAACATAAAATTGGAAGACAAGCATACAGTGGGAGAAGATTCTGTGCCACATATGAGATAAAGAATTAATAAGAGTATATAATTGTCTCATATAAGCCACTATACTATTTTCTCCACTTATCTGTGTGTGTGTGTATATATATATATATATATATATATGATATGTATATAGATACATAAATTTTTTCAGCTTTTAACAAAGAAAAAATAGAACCTGCAGAATAAATATTGAACTATTTCCTATCTCACATGTTTAATTTTGAGAAATGTGCTGTTTTACAAACAGCTTTACTGAAGCAAGGGGTAAGGTTTCAATAGGATTATTTTCAAAAGGACAAAAAGTACCAAAGTCAGGGCCTTTCAGCAGTTCATGTGGTTCTGTGTACTCAGGTTATTTGTAGAAAGGTATCATGAGGTAGAGAAAAAATATATAAGCTATTAAAAGAAAATAATGTGAATTCAAAAACTGTTCTACTTCTTATTTAGCTGTGTAATATTGGGCAAACATCTTAACTTCTCTGAACCTCTGTCCTATATTTTTAAAGTAGAGACAATGGTACATAATTTACCTGTTTGTTATAGTTGGTATGTTAATTACATAATATGCCTGGTGCAGAATTTAAAGAATATTCACTTGTTTTTCTTCCTATAATACTCATTCTTTTCAATAAACTATCTTTTGATTTTATTTTAAGATTTCAATGAGTTATTTTTATTCCTTTAATATATTTTTTAAATTTTGTATCTTCTTAATTTGAGACTGGCAAGAATCCGTTTTGATAGTGATTCTTTGGGGATTGTAGAAAGAATGAAAGATCCACAATTACAACCAGCTTGTCTTTCCTCACAAAAGTTCATCAAAGTTTATGTGCTCAAATTTATACCTATAAAAACCAAAATAACTTTTTTCTAAAACCAGAATGCAAAATATTAACCTGGATCAACACAGCTACAACTTCATGCCAGTTACATTACATAGTTTACTGAAGCTAGACTATTCATTTTAAAATTCAGTAATAAAATTTTGTTTGATAACTGCTATGGTATTAAAGGCAAGATCTTTCATTGTGTAGTCAATTTATAGGGCAGAGTATGAGTAGCATAGATTATTTCTCATAATATACAAACTATTAAAATTCCATTTTACTCTGAATTATCTAATTTAATTATTAACTTTTTGACTTTCTTGAATTTTTTCTTATACTTTTATTTTTAACCATTTTTGGATAAATTTTATTTCAAAATACATAGCCAATAACAGTAAAAGGATCATAGAAAATCTATTAGTATTGAGCTTCTTTTGTTCTACTCACATTTAAATTCATTGCATGATTAAAAGATAAATTTTCTTTTTATTTTCCCTGAACTGATAAATAATGACAAGAACAACAGTAGCAACAGCACCTTACAGGGTTCTTACAGGATTTCTCGGTTAATAGCCTAAAAATTACTAAAAATAAAAATGCAACAAGTTATCTTTCTCACCCTCCCAGATGAAAAATCCTCAATTCCTATCCATTTGACTATCTTTAGCCCTCCTCACCATCCCAAAAGCTACTTACTACCTGATTCTAAGCCCTCATCATTTCTTTCCTGGGCAATGCCAGAGCCCGTGGACTCTCTCTGCAGGGCACTTACATTTTCAAAATACACATCTGACACTGACTCTCCAGTTTGAAAATCTGCATGTAAGTTTATGGTTAGTGAATACACTTAGCACTAGGCTTTTTTGCTCACATTGATAACTTTAGGACCAGAAGGGTCAGCTTTGGATAATGCTATTTATCTTAGATAAATGCAAGAAATGTAGGAGAAAGAAGACATCCCTTGGTCCTATAGATGGAAAGAGGTTTTCTTTTATGGGAAGAGGAAATAAAAGACAATGATATATAGCTTTCAAGTTGCATTGCTGATTTAACCTTCTTATTGGTCGTGAGCATTAGGACAGAAAGGCTTCCACTTTAGGACATGTGGTCACATATATTTTATTTTTGTGAGAGCAAAATTTTTGGAAATATATCGTGTATTTCTAAAAGCAATCTCTAAGCTGCAGGCAGAATAAAATGGATCAAAGAAATAGCTACATCTTTATAGAAATAGTTTGGTGGGCTAAAGTTACCACAATAAGCAACAACAACAACAACAAAAAGTCCTTTTGCAAGCAGAAGAGTCACATGTCTTTTTCATTGATTTTTGTGGCTTCATCATGCACAACAAATCTATGTCAACATGAGTGGTAAATCTCAGAGGAGAAAAAAATGTACAAGTCAAGGCCATGAAAGCAAAAGATACACTTAGGAAATTGTCTATTGTGGCTATAATGAGAGGGCTTGTTGTTTTTCAGAGTAGGATTCACAGCGCTCTGTATCTAAAGAAATGCTAAAGAAATTTTATTAATTTACAATAGTTATCTCTCTGTCAATATGAATGATTTTTTAAAGAAACAGAAAAAAATAAGACTATGTAGGGTAGCCCTACTAATTGGGTATTATTTCTATAAAGTCTTGCTAGTTTCTTATTGTGTGAGTTTGCTGGGGCTGGCATAACAAAGTACCACAAACTAAGTGGTTTAAACAACAGAAATTTATCAACTCACCATTTTGGAGACTGGATTATGAGATCAAGGTGTAGGTAGGTCCATGCTCCCTCTGAAGATGCTAGGGAAGGATCTGTTCCAGGCCTCTCTCCTACTATCTATCCAGATGTGTTTGTTTCTGAGTCTAAATTTCCCTTTTTCATAAGAACACCAGCTGTATTGTATTAGGGACCCATCCTACTGCAGCATGACCTCATCTTAACTAACTAATCTGCAATGACCCTATTTCCAAATAAGGTCACATTGTGAGGTGCTGGGGGGTTAGGATGTCAACAAATGAATTTTAGAAGGAATGCAATTGAAACCTTAACACTTATGAATACTCAATGTATTCATTACCTTTACATGATATAAATAGTGTGAAAATAATTCTTGTTTTGTTAGTTTTTGAGATATTTTATTCTGCACTGAAAAATAAGAAAAATGAAAACACAGGCTTCACATTCAAAGAGCTTATAATTTTGAAAGGGAGATACACTGTATACGTGAAGACAACTATGATATTACAACATAGTGAGGGTGTGGCCAAGTGAATATTGCTAAGAACAAGGAATACGGGAGTTTTCAAAGGCTCTTACAAGGATGATCAAGTTGTAAGAAGAAGAAATTTGTACAGTGAACAGAATTTTGTGTGAAAAAATGTGGACATGGTGAAATTTACGCACACACTCACACATACAACACTTTCACACACACATACAAACACATGATCGGGATTCTTAAATGAAGAAAATTAGGCACAAACAAGGATGAACTCATTTGCAGAGATCCTTAAATGCTAGGCTAAAGAGTTTGGATTTTGCCACATAAGTAATAGGAAGACACAGAAGATTTTAAGTAGAAGAGTAACATTCTAAAATGGCGTTTCAGAGAAATTAATTTAAGGCATCACTGTGAATGAGTGAAAGAAGGAGACCATGGAACTGACTTATGTTAAACCTCTTTAGAGGATAAACCAAAGGATGAACACTTCCCTTTCTCATACGTGAAATCTCCATCCCTCTGCTGAAAGAATTTATTTTGCCAGTACTCTTCCTTTCTTGACATTTCATCAATTATGAAGCAATTGAAGCCTTGAAAAACTGCAGAAGTGGACTTATTGCTGTAACTGATTTTGGGATGTTGGATCACCATGAAAGAGAATGGCACTAATTTGAAAATCTTGGTCTCAAAGAACTGAAGATCATTTCTCAAATCTACCAAACACCTGCAGTCACAAGACAATAAATAAATTCATATATATATATATATATATTTGTTTTTTCTTTTGAGATGGAGTCTCACTCTGTCACCCAGGCTGGAGTGCAGTGGTGTGATCTCAGCTCACTGCAACCTCTGCCTCCTGGGTTCAAGCAATTCTCCTGCCTCAACCTCCTGAGTAGCTGGGACTACAGGCGCATGCCACAATGCCGGCTAATTTGTTTCATTTTTAATAGAGACAGCGTTTCGCCATGTTAGCCAGGGTGGTCTCGATCTCCTGACCTCGTGATCCACCTGCCTTGGCCTCCCAAAGTGCTGGGATTAATATTATTAAAATTTTACAGCTGTAATATTTTAAGTATTATCAGAAGGTAATTGTGAGCAGGTTCATACTGAAAAACTTAAGTTAAAAAAGTCATTATTATTCCTGGACTGACTACATATGCAAAAAAAAATAAAAATAAAAATGTTATGGAACAGAGGAAAAGAGTCCCCACTTTGAGATTCAGGAGAGACTAAAGCAGGAATATGCATTCAGTTTGGGGATCTCATTATGAGAAAAAGAGAGACATACTGCAGGAGGTTCAAAAGAAATCAACAGGAATAATTAAGGATCCAGAGGTATTTACTCCAGAGGAAATATTAAAAGAATAAATAATGTACATGCAGTTGGTTAAGGGGAACATGAGAATTGTCTACAAATACCTAGTATGTGTAAACATTGAAAACTGAAAGTCAATATAAAGACTAGAGCAAGAAAGTAAAATTAAAAATAAGGCAATTCAATAAAAAAGAAAATTCTGGCATAATACAAAAGAGGGCAAGTAGAATTCTGCACAAATAGTTTGTCTAACATGTCCTAGAATATTTAAAAACAAACTAGTCAAATAATATCTGGGTTCTATAGTACCCAGGAATAAATAAGTTTTAACTCATAATGTTACCTGCTTTTCTCTTTTCTAAAAAACAGAGTTTTAATATTTAGTCACTAATATAATAACAATACAGGAATGTTATTTGGGGCTCATCTGGAAAATCAAAGTACAATTTAGCTATCTGAACTGTTTAAAGACAGAGTGCTCTGTCTGTAAGTTAGGAGATGTCAATCAATTTCCTCCTCTATCTAGAGTAATTTTTATTTACCTGAAAATGGTAGAAATTAGTTGAATATTGGTATTGTTTATCTCTTTTCCATTAGCACTCTCCTTCTGCAAGAAACTTGAGGGAAAAGTACTTATATGAGGCTGTACAGCTGGAATGGTCACCTTGCCTGGGACTGCTCGCCCAATCCTATCACAAGAAATTACAAATCTTTACCCCCTTCTTTTATGGAATGAACCCAGAGATTCTTATTCTAATCCACCTGACTTGAGGGATTTTTACTGGAAACTCTCAAGCATAGAGAGAGAATCACCCAGGGGAGGTTGTCATCACCAGAACCATGATACTTTTGCCCAGTATCCCCATCACCTAGCAAAAAGCTAGTACAGGTCTCAGAAAATGTCTGCAAATTAAACGAAAGTTTTGTGACCCTGATCCTTTCTTCATCAGGAGGAGAAACTGAGTCTTACCCTTTTTAATATTCTACAAATGACAAAAGAATTTCCGATTCTTTCATGATGATTGTTATGGATGCATCTTCTTTTTTCCAGAAGCATTAACTCCTATTTCCTCACTGAGCAATGCTTCATTCAAATGATCTCATCAAAGGCACTGTGCATATATCTTTTTTTTCTACAAAAGTTCAGATTAGACACTTATCCTCAAATCAGACCTCAACAAGTTGGGTTGAATGGGGTATCCTGGAACTGGGGATATATTGTGAGGTTTTATTTGCTGCATTTTTTTGGAATCTAAAACTCAATTTGCAATGTGTAAATTGGAGCCTCTAGTGATCCGGACCTGTGTCATTACAGATGTTTCACTTTTCCTTAGGAAGTTCTAGTTTAGGAAGTTAAATACAAATATCTTCAGAAAACCAGTGCAAATGGAAGTTACCACCAGATCTCAGCCCTTGGAAGCCTGCCTCCCACCCCATCATCATTTAGAGAGTAGTTTGCATTCATAGTCTACTGGTGGGTTGGTCAGTTTGTTTGAAACAGAGTCTCGTTCTGTCGCCTAGGCTGGAGTGCAGTGGCGCGATCTCGGCTCACTGTAACCTCTGCCTCCTGGGTTCAAGCAATTCTGCTCCCTCAGCCTCCCAAGTAGCTGGGACTACAGGTGCACACCACAACACCTGGCTAATTTTTTGTATTTTAGTAGAGACGTGGTTTCACCGTGTTGCCCAGGCTGGTCTCGAACTCTTGAGCTCCGGCAATCCACCCGCCTCAGCCTCCCAAAGTGCTAGGATTACAGGCATAAGCCACTGAGCCCAGCCTCTTGGTCTACTTTTAATTTTATCATAATTCCCCTTATTACTGCAGGGGTCTAAAATGTTACAATTTGAAAACAGCAACTTTATCTATAATAAAAAGTGGCTTTAACTCTGTCCAACTTTTGTAAACTTTCTGAATAAAGACACCTTAAATTTCAGTCTATTGCACAAAACCAACTGACAAATTTTCTACAATTTTATACTTCAGCCAGTAAAATATTATTGCATATTCCCCGACCTGCACTAATAAAAAATTCAATCTATTAAAAACTTTAATATGAAAACACAGATTCTTTTAACTCAAACTTTTATTGCAATGTATGTTCCCTTCCATTTAAATTTTAAGAAAGTAATGGCAAGATCAGGTTGGTAGTAAATTGATCACAAGTCTATATCCAGTGAGTTTGAAGACATATGGTGCCACTTGGAGCTAGACGGCCAATGTTCTCTTGGTCTAGCACTGTTCATGAAGTACAGTGTGAAATGGGACACAAGTGACTTAGGTATAGTCATTTAGCATCTGTTCCAGTCATGTTAATTCAGCTTGGACATTATCTGAAGGCAGGAACATAACATGATGCAGAAACACTTACAAAAAGCTTGCCAATTTAATAGCTTGGCAAAAATGAATGTTTAACTTTTGGTGCAGGAAACTAGGTTTGTTTTAACAGTAAGATTTTCTGTTACCCTGAAGCCATGACAACATAACATGAAGCAAAGTTTCCCTTCACTCTAATAAAGGCAATGATTATCACTATTCAATCATGTATTCATTCACTCATTCTTTAAATCTCAGCTCTAGTATCGGTTCTTCCAAAAAGAGCAATTAACAATTTTAAAGGGATATACACTAGAAGCAGAAAGAATAGCAAGTACGAATCAGGGCCCAGAATAAAAAGTAGGAAAATTTAATAAATACGGTATTAGTTTCACACTAGAAAAGCACATAAAATAGTATCTAGAATAAAAAGAAATTATGCGATATGTGGCATCTTGACTAAGGACTATTTTAATCAACTTTTTTTTGAAGTAGTGGAAGGATAATTTTCTTACACATAGTTTTTCCCGGTAAAGGGGAAATAAACCATATTTCTCAACATTACGGTGTTCTGAGGCTACAATAAAAATTTCAGTTATTTTAAATTTAACATATGTAGCCAAAAGAACATCATTCAATATGCTGCTCATTCATTAATATCAAGGTCCTGTTGAAATGCAATAGTTCATAACATAGTTTTAGAGAACAATTGCTAAATGTGTGAAGTGGGGACCTTACATCATATATATACACAACTTAGCAACAGGAAGGCAGCACGATAGAGAGGGAAAGAAGGCACTAAACTGGGAGTCAGGAAATGTGGCTTCTACTGACGGACATTAGTTAATTGCCGATGAGTCAATCACTATGAGCTTGTTTCTTTATCTATAAAATAGTGAATTGGACCAGATGCTCTCTAAGATTCCTTCCATCTCTGACATCTATTTTAAATTTGTGATCTTTGATGGTTAACAAAAATATTATAAAAATAGGCTTTCATTTCTAAATAAAGTTGATATTATTTAATAAACTTTAGTTTGCCCTAAGCTATAAAGACTGTTAATGAATCTCTATGAAAATTAATACCATCAATTTCCAAAATAGTTTACTCAGAAACAGCCTGAGGATAGGAAATAGAATGTTTCTCTGAATCATGCCTTTAAATATTTTTGTAAATTACACTTACAACTTTATTCTCATTTATTTCTTTAAAAAAATTACAGGCATACTGTATGCTAGGAAATATGCTGGTTATTGGAAAACAAGACAGTTACAAAAATGTTTTGCTGTTTTTAGTGTTTGCAAGTCTCATAATAAAAATTTTCTGGATATTTATTCTCATAATGATATCCCCAAAGTCCATTTTTACCCTAACTGAAAATATGAAACTTAGTAAAAATGTCAAATTGCAACACGGAGATAGGATTTAAAAAAAAACAAACCCAGACATATTGGCCCGTGTGACATTATCTAACCTCCACAAAAGTTTTATTTTAACAACATTTGAAAATGATTTTTTCTGTGGTTTTTGTTGAGGGGATGGGAGTGAAATTTGTTATACTTATTTACTAAAAGGCTTCAATAAACGGAAAATAAGAAAATTAAAACAAACTATATGGACCCAAATTATTACTCTGAAGCTATTGCTATACAATGTTCTTAAACCTTAAAAAAAATTGAAATGTAGTTAAGCATTCTCATGTAAGAAAACAAGCAATATGTTGAGTTTCTCATTTGATTTTTTTCAATACATTCCGAGAAGTGAGGTATAAGCATAACCAAAATTAGCATAATTGCTTAAATATTTATACTTATTTTACATATTAAATATTAAGTTGTTAGCAGTGCTGTACCAGGGAGGAAGAAGTTGACTGGCTTAATATCTGCCTAAATGGAAGAACAAGGTAAGATAATTACAAAGATACAGATTTTTGGTTTAATCCAGAAATCAAAGATATTCATACATGGAACTGGCTGTCTTCATGAGGACTTCATTATTCAGGAAGTAGCTGGGGTACAGCATGTTGGGGATGCTGTCCAGTGGATTCAAGCATCTGTCAATATAGGTTTAATGTCTCTTTCAAGCCTCACTTACTACAATTCCTTAAAATCTTATGTAAGTCAAAGAAAAACAAAACAAACCTAAATACTTGAGCAAAATTCGAACTAAAAATTGAAATAAGAATTATTTAATGTAATCTCCCAATTCCTTCTACCAATTCTGAACTAGCTTAATCCATCCAAACCTTTCAGAAAGTAAAAGAACAAGGAAACTAGTTGATTTTTTTTTCCTGTAAACAAGTCCCTGTAATTTTCCCACTCTAATATATTGGAAACCAACTTTTAAAAATGATTCCTATTTCAATACACTCCAGCTGTGCTATTTTTCTTATACATATAGACTTTTCCTGGCCCTAAACATGAAATGCGACATTATTTTATACATAAAAGTTAATATTTCTATTAAATTACATTTCAAAAGAACTTCAAGGATTCAGCTTTGGGAGAAACTCACATATTCTTTTTCTTTCTCATAAGGAATATAGTGTATAAAAAACACAAAGAAATGTATATGTTGCTTTAGTTACAGAATACTCTCTGTCAAAAGGTCTCCCCCCACCCCACCTGACTGTTGTTTCCAGCATTCTCTGTCTCTCCATTATTCTTTGCTTGCTAAAGTAGCTTATTCTATAATAAAGGCAACTGAGTGTCGGCTTGAGACTGCCATGAAAACTCACATCCATATAAAGCGTTTTTCCACTTTTGTTAAGCTTCTTATCACACACACACAAAAGAAAGAACTCTCTCTCCTTCTCTCTCTACGCCTCTCTTTCCCTCTGCCCTTTTTAAGCGATCGTTCTAATTTTATGGAGACTCTTTTGCTAGGGTACCAAACTACAGTTCGCTCACTATAGGAAAGTGAACCCCAAAGAGCCAGCTTGCAACTATGACAAACCATTTCCACTTCTTATGTTAACATTTCATCTCAGAGGACTCTTTTCTCTCTCTGACAGTTGCAAGGCACCTCTTTGTCTCTATTGAGCTTACTGTGTGAAGGTGCGTCATTGACTATAGTGAAGTGAACTCGAAATTGCCAACTTGAAGCGGGCACACGGTTTTTTAAATTTTGTTGAAGTTGACGCCCCCATGGGATTTGTGCTGTCCTAAGCAGCAGTTTAGTCTTTTATGACATTTCTCTTCGGAGACAGCCTCAGGGAGAGACAATGTGCCAACTTCTGCATTTGGGGAGGTGGGAGCATTGGTGATTTGACGGAACTCATTTGATCACACCCGCACCCCACTCCCGTGTCCATCACAGGTGTCCTTTCTCATTGTTCTCTCTTCTCTCTTCTGAACTCACTGGGTTCTTTAAAGCAGGAAAAGTTCAAAAATGCTAACTGAGGCAGCCCTCTCAACAGGAGGATTGCCCAGTAAGAGAAAATACAAGGCATTAAGGCAGTCTGCTTACCAAGGCTATAAGCAAAATTCTCTTCTTCTCCAAGTCCATTTTTATGACCTTTGTTAGGACAAATTTCAGTAGTAAAGTTAAGCAGAGAAGAAGCTGCTCTTTCATTCTAAGGGGATACTAAACATGCTGAATATCATTTAGACCAATGATTCTCAAAATTTGGTCAGAAGACTAGCCACATCAGTATCACCTAGAAACTTGTCAGAAATACAAATTGCTGGACCCCACCTGGACCTATAGAATCAGAAACTCTAACCTGCTTTAACAAACGCTCCAGGTGATCTCGATGCACAGTAAAGTTTGAACTGTCTAACTAAACTAACAGCTCAAGTACTATTGCATTTGATGAAAGTTTGTTATTGGAGTGGAATCAAGTGAGTGCATAATAATAAGAGTAAATAGGGAATAAATATAATAGTTCATGATACAATAAACTATATTTTAGTACTGAATTCATCAAAGCAGAACCATTTCAAAAATTGAAATTTTGCTTGAAAAATATCCTGAAGCATATGAATACAAATAATACCCAAATCAAGGTCAGTTGCTCTACAGCGGTATCTGTTCAATTAAATGCCAGATCAGTTATTAACACAAAGAGTACACCTTGAGCACTTGCTGCATGTACTGTCCTGTACCAGGATCCAGGAAAAGTGACAAAGATCCCAACCTCAAATCTATGAGGAAGCTAGGACATTTACATGCAATTATACTACACAAAGAAGAACGTCACTCCATAAGGCACAGATAAAATGCTCTGGAATTTCAGAAGAGATGAAAAATTGTACCTTATGAATCAAGAAAAGCATTATGGAAAATGCACCAATTCAATTTACACAAAAAAGAAGCACAAGGGACAATAAGTGAAAAATATATGAACCTCACTAAACATAAGTAAAACGTAAGTAAAAACTATAAGTTATGGATTTTTACCTCTTAAAGTGGCAGTGTTTTTTAAAAATATTTGGTGAGGATGCAGTGAATCAGAAACTTTAACCACTGACTGGGAGGGCAAATTAGTATATTTCTGGGAGGAAACTTATGCATTGAAAGCCTTAAAAGTGTTTAAACTTTTTGACATATTAATGTCATTTTAAGAATTCAACCAAAGAAAATGTGTACAATGCTTTATATGCAAGAATAATAACTGAGGAAAAAGTGATTTTTAAAATGTTAAAAAATAGTGGATTGAATGAATGTATATGGCACCACCATACAAAGAAACTCTGTGTTGCCCATTAATATCATGTTGTAAAGCAATATGTATTGACATGAAAAAATGCTCATGGTGTATTGTTGGGTGAAAAAATGGAAGCCACAAAACTCTATCTACATTCCTGATGTTATTTTTTAATCTGCATTTCTATATATCTAGTAAAAAGAACTGAAGACTGCATAGCATTCCATGGTGTGTATGTGCCACATTTTCTTAATCCAGTCTATCATTGTTGGACATTTGGGTTGTCACATATACACCATGGAATACTATGCAGCCATAAAAAATGATAAGTTCATGTCCTTTGTAGGGACATGGATGAAGCTGGAAACTATCATTCTCGGCAAACTAAAAACCAAACACTGTATGTTCTCACTCATAGGTGGGAATTGAACAATGAGAACACATGGACACAGGAAGGGGAACATCACACACCAGGGCTTGTTGTGGGGTGGGGGCAGGGGGGAGGGATAGCATTAGGAGATATACCTAATGTTAAATCACAAGTAAATGGGTGCAGCACACCAACACGGCACATGTATACATATGTAACTAACCTGCACGTTGTGCACATGTACCCTAAAACTTAAAGTACCAAAAAAAAAAAAACTGAAGAGAAATAAGTCAATATTTTATCTATAGGTAGTGTTTGCTATTAGGCTATGGGTTTTTTCTTATATTTCTATAGTTTTAATATAATAAACTCAGAGTAAAATCTGTCCCCACCATGGCCCTGGTTTTTGTCTTCTTCTGTGCCCTTACTTTATATTTCTCTTCCCCACACTCTCCGATCTAGAACTACCCTGGCCTTTTTTTTCTCCTCAAATATACCAAGTGCAGCTTGGTCCTGGAGCCTTTGCACCTGTGGTCCCCTCTGCCTGGAGTGCTCTCCTTCAGGTCATTTTGTTACCAGGGGGTCCTAATTACCCTAAAAGGTGGGCTCTTTCTTGTTCAGTGTCGTGAAGCCAGTACATTAAACCGAAAGTGAGCATAGAGCAGTACAGGTTTTATTCGATGGTCATGACATGGAGAAGTGGGAGTGTGGCTCACACATCAACATGTCAGCTCCTGAGAATCAGGAAGTTACAGACACAAGGTATCTTTAATGAAAGGTTTGAGCGTTAAAACCAAGGAGAGGAATATTCATGCTTTTCTTGGGAAAGGATGGAGATTTTCCTGGAATCAAGTAGCCACTTCTTTCCTGTCCTTTTTTGGTTCTTTTTGGTCACTGTCATGATGATTGTCAACTGTCATGGCATTGGTGGGAGTGTCATTTAGTATGGAAGTTGGAGTATAATGAAGCTAGAGGTTCTTCAAAGATCGAGTAAGCTGCCATCATGGATTTTGCCAGCTTCAACTGGTTTAGTCCCAAGAAGGAACTTCTGACCACAGACATTCTGTTTCCTAAAAATGAGCAGAGATAAGGCCGAGTAGAAATTCAGCTATGTCAGGGAGGCATTGCATTTGGCAATGAAAGTTAGGTAGGGGTACAGCTAAGTCACGTTGGCACTGCCATGGGTAACAGTTGCATGACTGGCTCCTTCAACATTCTGCTTAACCTCTCACATCAACAGAGAAGCCTTCTTGAGCAAACAAACTGAAGTCCCCATACATTTTTCCTCTCCTTGTCTTTATCTCATTCATCACTGTCCAAAATTATTTTGTGCATGTGCTTATTAGTTGTCATTTCTCCTCCTTTCTCTAAAATGCATGTTCCCTGGGAAGTTGCCTGTCTTGCTTATCTTGAATATTAGAGTATCTAATAACCAACAACAGTGCCAGATATATAACAGAACCTCATTGTACTATAATTTATATAAACATGGAAAATATAAGTTATTGGGTATATCCTGGGGATCAAGAACCTTTTATTTCTAAAATCTTCCTTTATCTCCGGTCTCTGCTTTAATTTTCTGCATTCTAATTTCTTGTCTAGTCTCTTCTGCATTGTCAATATCTAAATGTCCACAGAAATAAAAATAAGCAACTAAATGATAATATGTACATGTTGATACATAGTATTGTAAAGTTAAGATTGTAAAAAAGAAAACCATCAACACAATGTGCACTAAACAAGAAAGAGTTCCTGGAAGAGATGTTCCTCGAGTTTGTTTAGGGAGTGATGGGATACATCTTTATGGAAGAGTGGTACAAGGACATTCTACATGCAGAGACATCATCAGCTAGAATTAAGCAAGCCATATAGGATTCACGCCAGCAAGATTTTGCATAGGTGTTCCTATAAGAAGGACGTTTTACATGCATTTTTGTTTAATATATTGCCTAATATATATACAAGAAAAACTATAAACTCTAAAATTTCCATGTTGTATAATAAAAAATTTTACTTGTCTTTTTTCTCCAAGTATTGGGAGAGAGCCTCTAAATCTTTAGAATTTTCCAAATGATAAGAGTGTCTTTGTTATTTTTGGTGGGCCTCTCAGATCACACCTAAGTGTATGCTAACAAGGTGACTCATGGTGGACCCCTAATAACCTCAGCATAGGGGCTGGCTATACCAAAAAGATCAGCCATTAGAGAGTTGGGATTTTGAGCCGTTTATATCTCCAGGGAGGGGAGAAAAAAGGCTGAAGATAGGGTTCAACCACGTGGGCAATGATTCAACCAATGGTGCCTACACAAAATTCCAAAGAAAACTTTAGACACTGAAGCTCAGGTGAGCAGCCAGTTTGGTAATACAGATTGATTTAGTCGGACAATAATATGTCCTGAGGATACAGAAGTTTCACATTTGGGACCCTCCCAGACATTACCCTTTGCATCTTTTCCTTTGATTGGTCCTCATCTGTATCTTTTATAATAAAAGTATGATTATAAGTATAGTACTTGCTAAGTTCTGTGAGTCATTCTAGTGAATTATTGAACCTGAATGAGTAGTGGGAAATCTTGAATGTGTAGGCAGTTGGTCAGAAGCACAGGTAGCCTGGGAATGCCAGAGCTTGTGGCTAGTATTTGAAGTGAGGAGGCTTATGAAGCACTGTGCCCTTAACCAGTGAAGTGTGTGCTAACTACAAGTAGTTAGTGAGAAAACTGCAATGTATTCAATATAGAAAAATTTGATTCTCCATGAGCTTACACCAATTTTTCTTAACATATATGTCTATCAGAATTTTTAAAATAATACTCCCATTTCCCAGATATTAACCAAGTCAAAATTTATACCATATGGAATATAAATCACTAACAAGATAATATTATATCCATAAACAGAGGTTTCATCACAAGCTGACTTACCTTAGTATTTCATCATTCAGAGGCAGATAAAATGAGTATCATGCACCCCTGGGCTCTTCCAAATGAAATTCAGCAATAAAAATTCTGACTCTACAGAGGCTCTCAATGTCCTGGGGTCTTATTTTGTAACATCAGAAATTCTCCCTGGAAAGTAATTTCTTCCCAGTAGTTGTGGAAGTTGGGGAATGATATCACCTACAGGATTCCTATTTGTACCAAACTATAGTCAATATTAAAGATAATTTAGAACTATATGCATTATAGTGTTGCTTTTTGTATTTGAAAGCAAAAATTTAAGACTTACCTGTGTATCCCCTGTATTCTAATAATAGCTGTAAGATTAAATAGTTCAAAGTAGTGAAAAGAAAAGGAAAAAATTTTTAAAAGGCATCCATTGACTATGAAACTGTTTTTTATTCTTGATGTTGCTTATTTCAAGGAAGTAACTACAAATATTTCCTTAACATGGTAAAATTCAGAAATTGGCCTGAATCCTCTGAAGATGGGAAGTTTTCATATTCATATCAAAGAGTTTTTGCTTTTCTTGAAAATGCCACAATTGCACATTTAAAAAACTCAATTTATTTTTACTTTTGCTTTGTAAAATGCTGGAATTGAGAAATATCTAGCTCAGAACATAATTATGGAGTTAAAATATAACATAATAGAAATTGTAGATTTGCATTCTAAGATCAAGGCTGTAGTTTTTGATCCTTAGAAGAACCCCTAAGGGAAGTGGATCAAGTAATAGAATCGCCAGTTTCCATTTAATGATGTGGAGTGTTTATTTTGAAAAGAGTAAAAATAGGAAATGAGCGAATCTTCAAAACATCCTAAATCTTCTATAAACTACTACAGCATTTAACTACAGGGATGCAAAAGAAACTTAGCGACTGAGATTGAGCTGGGATTCTCTGAAATAAATAACACCATTCTCCTTAACAGCCAAGGTGCAAGGTTGACTCTGTATTATAAAAAGGGTGCAGAACCAGGACCTGTTCCCTAGCAGTTCCATTGGCCAAAGAAGAATCATTGCTTCTCTCACTTAACAAATTCTGTGAGCCTTCAGAACTGCAAACCATGCCCACCGACCCCATGATCTCAATTATTATGACACAGACCTTGTCCTGTCTCTACAGTTAATAACAATAATAATTAAATCAATTGATATTTATTAAGTGCAAAAACTGTATGACAAACATATTTATACCTAATTTCATTTAGTCTTACTAATAACACTATTAGGCAAGTAGCATTAGTCCTATTAAACCAAGATAAGCGGGAAGGTATCAAGTTACTTGCTCAAGATTGCTTAGTGCTGATTGCTTAGCAGCTAGTAAGTAGTAGAGCAAGGATTTGAACCTAGGTCTGCCGATTCTAAATCCCAAGATCTTACCAGCTATAATACACTGAAAATAATGGTCCTGTGAGGAAAAAGTAGTGAAAAATAGATGTTCAGTAACAAATCTCTACAAGATGTTCTCCTAAGCTTTTACGTCCTCAGCTAAATCTGATTAAACAATCAGGTGTCACTTTAGAGTCTCAATACATATGCACAAAACAAGCAACTCTTTAACATCAGTCCATTTGTTTTTTGAAATGTAAGTTACATTTGGCTGAAGCAAATTTAAACTGTGCCCATACCCCTACTTCTGTATATAGTGAGTATCAGAAAAAATGTAAAATACATAGTGTATGAACATCAAACGGATATACAATATAACTATATCTATAACTATATATGATATGTTATCTAATATGTATATACATACACAATATACATACATTTTAGAAACAGTGTTTGATTCTGTTTCTAACACTTTAGAGCATTCTAAAATTATATGTTTTCTTAACAATTAAATTGGTAGTCAGTCAGCTTAAGTCCGGTGAGCTTCCAAATGAGGTTGAAGATTCATTATTTGCAGGACTTAATTATTTCCATCTTTCTCTCAATTGTTTTCTAAGTGTAATAGAGCTATAGTTTACATATCTAGTACAACATATTTATTTTCTCTTATTCTCATTTTTGTCATCAGTTGACCAAAGACTTAACCTTTTTTTTTTTTTTTTTTTTTTGAGACAGAGTTTTGCTCCTGTCACCCAGGCTGCAGTGCAATGGCATGATCTTGGCTCACTGCAAACTCTGCCTCCCAGGTTCGAGCGATTCTCCTGCCTCAGCCTCTCCAGTAGCTAGGATTACAGGCAACCACCACCACACCTGGCTAATTTTTGTATTTTTAGTAGAGACGGGGTTTCACTATGTTGGCCAGGCTGCTCTCAAACTCTTAGCCTCAGGTGATCCACCCACCTTGGCCTCCCAAAGTGCTAGGATTATAGATGTGAGCCACTGTGCCTGGCCAACACTTTATCTTAAAGATCAAATAGCATGGTGCTTGATCAAATAGCATGGTGCTTGTTAGGCACAATTTCTTATATACAGTAAGTGCTCAAAAAATAATGTTATTTCAATTATTGTAGTCACTGTACTTTAGCATACAGGAACTCAACAGGATCTGTAGTACTAATATTAGCTGTATATTGTCCCCTGGCATTCAGATAACAAAACAACAGTAATTGCTTTGAGTACAGATCACATAGCTAGCTAGAGGTACTGGGTACTTTAGCATGATACATCATTCTTCCACTCTAGTGGTGCATAGTAATCAGAGATTGCCCATTTAAGAAGAATAAATCTTCTATGATTTTCAGTAAAATGTTACTCAGATCTCTCTTTAAACCAAAGATTATTTCTAAATTATATATACCTGGTAAAAGTCGACTTGTTTCCATCAGGTAAAACATAAATCAATGTTTAGTTTAGAAAAGAGGTTCAGTCTCCTGAATTATTTACTGTCTTACTAACTTTAAAAACATTTAATAAAGCGGACTTTGTCATTGTACAAATTCTTACTAATAACCAAAATGAACACTTTGAAAAGAAGTATATGATATTTTAAGCCACTTGGAGACCATTTGGTGCATCCAAGAAACAATTTACTTAATGGTATCAGCAGAATCTAGACAAATAAATTTAAAACAGCATATGCCAGAAAAAGTGGAGGGAGTCACATTTTGCCATGTAAACACACAGCGATATGTCCCTGTGAACATTAATAAATGTTCCTTAATTTCCCTAATTCCTGAAAATTTCCTTAAGATGAACAGAATTATGCTAATTTTAAAAGTTTGTATAAATGTAAGGAGTATAAGTGCAGTATCTTTTTTACATGGGTATATTGCATAGTGGTAGTCTGAGCTTTTGGTCTAACCATCACCTGAATAATGTACATTATTCCCATTAACTAATTTCTCATCCCTCATTCTCCTCCCATCCTCCCACTCTTCCACTCTTCCAAGTCTCCAACGTTGATTCTTATATATATATATTTTTATTTTTTATTTATTTTTTTTTTTGAGATGGAGTCTAGCTCTGTCACAGAGGCTGGAGTACAGTGGCACAATCTTGGCTCACTGCAACCTCTGCCTCCTGGGTTCAAGAGATTCTCCTGCCTCAGCCTCCCGAGTAGCTAGGACTACAAGCACCTGCCACCATGCCCAGCTAATTTTTGTATTTTTAGTAGAGATGGGGTTTCACCATGTTGGTCAGGCTGGTCTCGAACTCCTGACCTCAAGTGATCTACCTGCCTCAGCCTCCCAAAGTGCTGGGATTACAGGTGTAAGCCATTGCACCCGGCCTCTACATTCTATGTCTGTATGTACACATTATTTAGCTCTCACTTATAAGTGAGAATAAGTGGTATTTGACCTTATGTTTCTGAGTTGTTTCACTTAAGATAATAGCCTCCAGTTCCATCCATGTTGCTGCAAGATACTTTATTTCATTCTTTTTGATGGCTGAATAGTATTCCTATATATGTCTCACATTTTCATCATCCAGTCATCCACTGACAGATACAAGTTTATTCCATATATTTGCTATTGTGAATAGTGTTGTAATAAACATATGAGTGCAGGTATCTCTTCGATACAATGATTTCTTTTCCTTTGGACAGATACACAATAGTAAGATTACTATTGGCAAATAGTAATCTATTGATAGATAGCAATTCTATTGGTAAATAGAACTAACAGTAGTTCTATTTTTAGTTCTTTGAGAAATCTCCACACTGCTTTCCACAGTGGTTGTACATTTCCACCAATAGTCCTACCAACAGTGGAATTTACGTTCTCACCAACAGTGTATGTGTTCCCTTTTGTCTTCATTCTCACCAATATCTGTTATTTTTTATCTTTCTAGTAATCGTCATTCTGAGTGGTGTAAGATGATATCTACTTGTGGTTTTAATTTGCATTTCTCTGATGATTACCGATGTTGAACATTTTTTCATATGCTTTTTGGCCATTTGTATGTCTTCTTTTGAAAAATAAATATTCATGTTCTTTGGCCACGTTTGAATGGGGTTATTTTTGTTGCTGTTGAGTTGTCTGAGTTCCTCATAAATTCTGGAGAAGCAAATCATGTTCATTATTAATCATTCATAAAATGAAATGATATAATTCTATAAGGTGTAGTCATGATGTAAATAATCTAGTTGTATACTCTTGCTAAGAAAATCAACAAGAACAATCACCTTGAGATACGAGGAAATAGTAGTTTTGATCTAAACTTTTAAGTTTGTAATGTAATTCTAATGCTAAATCAGCTTTAGAAACCAAGGGGACAAGAACTAGGTCGTTCTAGTTGGTAAATAACTGATATCATGAGCGTCCTGTATTATATCAAAATACTGTTATAGAGAAGAACAGGGGCACTTTCAATTTGCAAATAAGAACTCTGTTAAAAATAGCCAGTCAAAAGTTTAAAGTAAGCTTGAATATGTCTAGCAAATTGAAACAGAAATGCAATTGGCTATCCCAGAAAAATTTTTTGGCAATCTTTCAAAGAAATGAAGAAGCATAACATGAACATTTTGTCAGGCCTCAGGAGTTTTGGTGAATATTCTATAAACAATAGCATCTCAGCATTATCCCCAGTCACAATCATACCAGATGTTATACTTCCAACCCTTATTCCCTGGCTCATAATAAAAATAAAGGAAAAAATGATCCTTCTATTTATGAAAATAGGAGGAAAAAATAACTCTTTTATAGACTATCGGTTGAAAGACAGTAGGATAGATAGTTTGCAAAAGTGTGTTAAAATGGCAAATAATAGTAGCATGCATTCATTATATCTTGTTTTCTCAAAGCTCAACTAAAGTTGAATTTTACTTCATTCAGTGTTTCAGAGGAAAACTGAAAGAGACATAACCTCTGCAATAGTTAGTGGCAACTTTCTATGAGATTGGAAATGTATTCACTGTGAAAATATTGAGTCACTAAGCCTTCAGACTGCATTCCAAAAGTCTACCAGGGACATTTCAATCAAGGGTGTGAAAATGTGACAGCCAGGCCATTTGGGCTAAAAAGCATTGTACAGAATTATGTTGGGGAATCTAGTGCCCTCCAAATGACCTCGTGTGTGGCCATGGTATTAAATCATGGAGAAACTTATTCATTAGTTGAATATTTTCTTTCCAAAAAAGGGAGAAAAAGAAAGAGTCTTGCATTCCCAGTAAGAATGCTAAATTACCCTATCTCCCAATGGAATGATTCACTTTCATTTCCAATAGCAGTAAAGCCTATTGACCCCCGTGGTGTTATCCTTCTCGCTGCTCATGCAGTACTTTCTTTAATCTCTCGGATCAAAGATTGGTCAATAAAAATCATCTCTGCTTTTGTGGAGAGCAAACAAACTGCACTCAGTCCTGTGATAATTGTAAGTTTTCACAAAATTCCAGAAAAAGAAATACCCATGTGTTGTCACTAAATTAGCCAAGGAAAGAAGTCATCTTCTATTTGGTGAGTCCATTTAAAATGCCCTAGGTTTTCCATGTAAGGTACATATTACTTCTCTTGGGAGGGTAGGAAGAGTTCTGATTTTTTTCCTTCTTCCTAAAAATTTTAAATGAATTTTGAATCAGTGAAAGATCTCTCACCAATGACCCTGAACACTGAAGTCCAATTTTTCTGCAGAAAAAAATTACATGGAGGTGTCATTTTGAAAAAAGAACATCAATATAAATGACAGCCCCAACATGAACTGCCCTTTGCAATAAAAAAAACATGCCTCAATCCCAAATGAAAAGGACAACTTCTTTGGTGAAAGAGTAGACCAGTTGTTTTCTCCATTAAAGTTTGGTCCACTTTGCTAAGCAGCAGCAAGTTTCAGTAGAAGATGACAATAAAATCTAGTTTTTGTTAGGTCTGTAATTATTCAATTGAAACTAGACTCAGTTCATTGACTTATTTCATAATAGATCATCTAATAGTCACTCATGGGAGAATCATGGTTCTTCTGAATTATCTTAAAGTTGACAAGTTGCTAATTTAGTAGGGCACAGTTTGCCATTGACAACCCCATTAAGCTTTTAAAATTTTATTTTAATTTTCTAATTGCTAGTCATAAGAAATATATATTGTCATCTGAACTGTTTCTTTCATCCCAGTTTAAATTTAAAAAGTGATGGAAAATTAACTCTTAGCAGAAGTAAAATTTGTGGAGGGTATTCTGATACCTTTGCCATCTGATATGGTGTGGCTGTGTCCCCACCCCAATCTCATCTTGAATTGAATTGTAGTTCCCATAATCCCCAAATGTCATGGGAGGGACCCCATGGAAGGTAATTGTATCATGGGAACTGTTTCCCCCATGCTATTCTCATGATAGTGAGCAAGTTTTCATGAAATCTGATGGTTTTTTAAAGGGTTTTCTCCCTTTGCTCAGCTCTCATTCTACTTCTCCCTGCTGCCATGTGAAGAAGGACATGTTTGCTCCCATTTCCACCATTATTGTAAGTTTCCTAAAGCTTCACCAGCCACGCTGAACTGTGAGTCAATTAAACCTCTCTCCTTTGTAAATTACCCAGTCTCAGGTATGTTTGTATTAGTAGTGTGTATTAGTCTGTTTTTACATTGCTGAGACTACTGTTTTCACATGCCTGAGACTGGGAAGAAAAAGAGGTTAAATGGACTTATTGTTCCACATGGCTGGGGAGGCCTCGCAATCATAGTGGAAGGCAAAGAGGAGCAAGTCAAGTCTTAGATGGATGGTGGCAGGCAAAGAGAGAGAGCTTGTACAGGGAAACATCCCCCTTATAGAACCATCAGATCTCATGAGACTTAATTCACTATCACTAGAACAGCATGGGAAAGGCCTGCCCCCCATGATTAAATTACCTCCCACCAGGTCCCTCCCACAACATATGGGAATTTAAGTTGAGATTTAGGTGGAGACAGAGTGAAATCATATTACAGTGTGAGAATGGACTAACACAGTAAATTTGTACTGCAGAAACTGGGGTACTGCTGTAAAGATACCTGAAAATGTGGAAGTGATTTTGCAAGTGGGTAACAGGCAGAGATTGAAGCTGTTTGGAGGGCTCAGAAGAAGACAGAAAAATGTGGTAAAGTTTGGAACTTCCCAGAGACTTGTTGAATAGCTATGACTAAAATGCTGTTAGCGATATGGACAATGAAGTCCAGACTGAGGTGGTCTCAGATAGGAGACTGGCGGCATTTTGCCCTGCTCTAGAAATCTGTGGAATTTTGAACGTGAGAGAGATGATTTAGGGTATCTGGTGGAAGAAATTTCTTTTTCTTGAGACAGAATCTCTCTCTGTAGCCCAGGCTAGAGTACAGTGGCACATTCTTGGCTCACTGCAACCTCCACCTTCTGAGTTAAAGTGATTCTCCTGCCTCAGCTTCCCAAGTAGCTGAGATTGCAGGCATGCACCTCCACACTTGGCTAATTTTCGTATTTTTAGTAGAGAAGGGGTTTCACCATGTTGGCTAGGCTTGTCTCCAACTCCTGACCTCAAGTGATTCACCTGCCTCAGCCTCCCAAAGTGCTGGGATTACAGGTGTGAGTCACCATACCCAGCCCTGGTAGAAGGAATTTCTAAGCGCACAAGCATTCAGAAGGAAGCAGAGCATAGAAATTTGGAAAAGTTGTAGCCTGACAATGCTATAGAAAAAAAAAAAAAAAAAAACACTTTCTCGGGATAAATTCAAGCCTGCTGCCGAAATATGCATAAGTAACTAGGAGCCAAATGTCAATCAAAACAATGGGGAATATGTCTCCAGAGTACGACAGAGACTTTCACTGCAGCCCCTCCCATCACAAGCCTGGAGGCCTAGGAGGGAAAAATGGTTTCCTAGGCTGGACCTGGACCCTCCCTGCTCTATGCAGCCTCAGGACATGGTACACTGCTTCCCAACCACTTCTGCTCCAGCCATGGCTAAAAGGGGCCGACATACAACTCAGGCCATTGCTAGAGGGCATGCAAGCCCAAAGCCTTAGTGGCTTACATGTGGTGTTGAGCCTGTAGGTGAACAGAAATCAAGAATTGAGTTTTGGAACCTCCACCTAGATTTCAGAGGATATATGGACATCCAGGCAGAAGTTTGCTGCAGGGGTGGGGCCCTCATGGAGAACCTCTGCTAGGACAGTGGGGAAGGGAAAGGTGGGGTCAGAGTCCCCATACAGAGTCCCCACGGGGGCACTGCCTAGTGGAGCTGTGAGAAGAGGGCCACTGTCTTCCAGACCCCAGAATGGTAGAGCCCCTGATAGCCTGCACCTTGTGCTTGGGAAATCTGCAGACACTCAATGTCATCCTGTAAAAACAGCTGAGGGGAGCTCTACCCTGCTAAACCACAGAGGCAGAGTTGCCCATGGCTGTGGGAGCCCACCTTTTGCATCAGTGTGTCCTAGATGTGAGACATGCAGTCAAAGGAGATCATTTTGGAACTTTAAGGTTTAATAATTCCCCTATTGGATTTTGGACTTGCATGAGACTTGTAGCACTTTTGTTTTGGCCAATTTCTCCCATTTGGAATGGGTGGATTTACCCAGTGCCTGTACCCCCATTGTATCTAGGAAGTAGCTAGCTTGCTTTTGATTTCACAGACTTATAGGCAGAAGAGGCTTGCCTTGTCTCAGATGAGACTTTGGACTTAGATTTTTGATTTAATGCTGGAATGAGTTAAGACTTTGGGGGACTGTTGGAAAGGCATGACTGTGTTTTGAAATGTGAGAACATGAGATTTGGGAGGGGCCAGGGATGGAATAATATGGTTTGGCTGTGTCCACACCCAAATCTAATCTTGTATTATAGTTCCCAAAGTCCCTACATGTCATGGGAGGGACCCGGTGGGAGGTAATTGAATCATGGGAGCAGTTTCCCCCATGCTATTCTCATGATAGTAAGTTCTCAAGAGATCTGATGGTTTTATATGAGGCTTCTCCCTTCACTTGGCTCTCATTCTTCTTCTCCCTGCTGCCATGAGAAGGATATGTTCACTTCCCCTTCTGACATTATTGTAAGTTTCCTGAGGCCTCCCATCCATGCTGAACTGTGAGTCGATTAAACCTCTTTCCTTTATAAATTATGCAGTCTCACATATGTCTTTATTAGCAGCATAAGAATAGACTAATACACCATCATAAGGAAGAAATGATCAATTTTAATGATATAGTGGGAAACAGCAATTATGTGTGACAATTATTTTAAATACTACTAGATATTTTATGGAATGAATCAGAAAAGAAGTAACTGAAACTATAAATATATAGAAGAACTGTTAAATACAAAGTGGAAGAATTAATTCCCAGGGAGAAAAACACACTCTATATCAAGATTTACAGTCTCACGTATTCTGCTTTGCATTAACATTGATATTACTACTGATCTTTTCTGTATAAACTTATTCTTAATAATACTTTTGTGTTATAGGGAATGATAGTATTTGCCTACTTAATATCTTACAGAGTTACTGTAAAAGCAAATGAATATATATACTTTAAACTCATCAGATGAATAAGATTAAACTAAGAATGATTACTCATTTCTAATTTTAAAATATAATTCCATAAAACTTTGTCACTCTTAAAAACAAGTTACTATATTTTAAAAAATAATAAAAGCATCAGCTTTGGAGTTAGAGTTGGGCTCAACTTTCAGATTTGTGACTTATCCTTACTGAGTTTTGGTTTCTTCTATAAAATTGGAATTTTAAAAAATTGTTTCTTTGTAGTAAGAATTAAATATAATAATGCACTCAATATGCCTAGTAGTATGCTTGGTTTAACATTTACTGAGCATCTACTATTGTAAGGCCTTGTATTTAGTGCTTTTTTTTTATAGTCACTCATTTAAACTCCAAACTAATCTATGAGGTAGACATTATGACAACCACATTTTACAGACTAGAAAACAGAGGCATAGAGAAATTCAATAACTTGTGTAAGGTCATAGACCCAGTAGTTGGCAGAAGCAGGATTTGAACCAAGCTAGTCTGACTCAAGCACTTAAATTCTTGATTGTCGCACTAGACTGCTTCTCCTATTAACAACAGCTTCCAGCTTGTCAGCTATTTATGTTAATATGTATAGCACTGTCTTGCCTTGAAAATTTTTGAGGTTTGCATTTGTTTTTTTTTTTTTTTGCTTTTTTTTTTTTTTTTTTGAGACAGACTCTCCCTCTGTTGCCCAGGCTGGAGTGCAGCGGCGCGATCTCGGCTCACTGCAAGCTCCGCCTTTTGGGTTCACGCCATTCTCCCGCCTCAGCCTCCCGAGTAGCTGGGACTACAGGAGCATGCCACCACGCCTGGCTAATTTTTTTTTTTTTTTTTTTTTTTTGTATTTTTAGTAGAGACGGGGTTTCACTGTGTTAACCAGGATGATCTCAATTGCATTTTTTTAACTTGGAGTGAAAGGCTGACTTTGACCTTCATTGGTGATGTGAACATGATTCGCTTTTTCAGTATCTCTTTCTCCTTTATTAATAATATAAGGAACTACCTCTCAATGCTATAGAGAAGATCACCAAAGATGATGAATATGAATATGCTAAATAATGATTGATTTTACGTGGCCATATTGTACCTGGGGGGGAAAAACTATTGTAACTTGACCCAGTGATACAAATGCTTTATGATTCCACGGTTTTTGGACTATGCTTACCAAATGCAGGTTCCTAAGAATCGTCATGTAGAGTCAGACAAATCTGAACTCCTCCCACCCCAACAACCAGACTTGTTATTTGTGCTTGTTTTTTGTGTTATCACCAAGAATGCATTTTAAAAAGGATTTCAAACCTAATATATTTTAAAATCTCTGAATTCTACAGTCTATAGCTTCTAGCCAAAGTCCAACTATTCTATGAGCCCTACCAATTATATCATATGCTAAAGAGATTTGGATACATTAATTAATTTCAATGCAAACTGCTTTTTAAGGAACTGTATATACTAAACAGGATGTTTTCAAGCTTTGGCAAAGTTCAGTTAAACCATTCTGTTGTAAAATGCTATGATGTTGGGGAGAAAGGACAAAGGAAAGGCACTCTGAGGACTGTCGTCTTCTATCCCTAATCTGACTTGATTGTAGGTATACAAATTAGCCACTATTATTCAACCCTTATAAATGACAGCATTTCAAAATACATATTGTAAATACCTCACTATTAACACTAGTAGTAAAGGAGTGGACTCTAAGAGAAAACTTGTCCCGATTTCTTCACCTATGTGTTCATTCCTTCAAAAAATACTTTTTGGTCATTTACTGAAACCCTCTGGCAGCTGCTATAGAAAAAAAATACATATTCAACATGGAAAACTAAAAATACAGAAAAGTATAGAGAATAGTTTAATATACTTCCAGACATTTGCAGTTTTGTACATAGTTTCATTATATTCCATAAACAAAACTGCATTGTTTTAAATACTGTAATATGATTTACCGACTATAAGAGTACTACATGCTGGTGTAGACAGAAAATTAAAATGAAGAAAGAGAAATCATCCAAAATTCTGGTGAATATTGTTACCACTGTATTTTCCTAAAATACTATCTCCTATGCATTTTTGAAAAATAGTTGAGATCATTTTGTTTTCTCTGGTTTTTAAGCATACTTAACATAATCATTCAGAGATCTTAAATGAAAAGGAAGTTAAGATGAAATCAGTGACAGATAACTGCCACTGGATTGTCTCCATCAAATTAAAGCAAAAGTCATCTCTTAGGTCATTTAATGTAAGTTTAAACATGCAGAAATCAGTTAGTCAAGTACCCCGGAAATTTTAAAAAGGAGGAAAAGGACACTTCACTGTTCCACTTAACCAGCAACTGGTAGAGACAAAAGGACATTTTTCCTAGGTCCCCTAACCTAAAAATTGTTAGCATCAGGTGAAACAGAACACCACCAAGTTCGGTTAAAATTGTCATCATCAACATCTACAATTTTCTCTTTCAACATTTTATTTATTGATGCAGTGTATTAGAAGATGATCTCAAAGTTCTGGGCAGTGCTTTCCAAACGTTAATGAGTAATCAAATCATCTGTGGATCTTCTTCAAATGCAGATTCTGATTCAGAGGTCAGGATTGGATCTAAGAGTCCTCATTTCTTACAGCAAGCGATGGGCTTGCTGCTGGTCCACAGACCAATGTCTCTCTCCACCTCCCACAACCCAACCATTGAAAGGTGAGACGCTTGGTAGTCTTTTGCTAGTTCTCAGTCCCTAGGTCTCTGGGTTTGAAACAGTGAGCACACTTTGAAAGAAGAAAGCGTCTGGCTACCTTGTTGTAGATGACTGAGATTGATCTGTTTCATGTTTAAAAATTATTTACAAACTACAGATTAATTTTGGGTTTTCATTTTCATTATTTTATGCATCATTATAAAGAGGTTAGTGGGAACTTGGGAAAAGAAGCATCGACTCTTCAGCACTTAAACTAGAAGTTAAAAACAAAAAAAAAGAGTAAAAGGTAACATGAGTTGTTTCAACAGCCAGCAGTAAAGAAGTTGGAAAGGAGGAGCTAGCTGTTCAATAAATTGTAGGAATAATGACTCTCCCACAGGAGGTAAAACTATCTTTTTATTCCTATTTCTTTCAATGCAAAGTTTTCAAATGATATTAGCAGCCTAAACCTGTAGTGCCGACAGGTGAGTGTGGACATATCCTAAGAGAGTCCATGCCTGGGGCCAGGCACAGATGGCTGTCAGTGATCCTGGTCAGCATTAAAAACCTCCTGCAGCATGAGGAACAGAGCAGAATATAATTTAGACCACATTGCAAACAAAATCAAGTGGGAGAGAATTTCACTTTTAAATGTTCATTCACCAATAAAGGAAATAAACAAAGACAACCTATCTACATAGCATCATTTCCCCCCGAGGTGAATGGTTGCATCTGTGCATCAATTGGTTTCAGAGAGAGCTCTGTGAGCCAAGATCATTAAGCATTGTCCTGCCCAGAAGCAGGGGGATGGGTAAAATGACCTCTTGAAGTCCCAATTCTATAATTTAGGAACTGGTTACTGACTCCTTCAGGATAACCACAGAAGTGGTGGTAAAAGGGTTAGCAGGCATTAATAGCCAACAGGCAGCATGCTTTAACTGTCTGTCAGCCACACCAGAATGTTAGCAGAGAAAATGTTGCTTCCAATAACTCGAAACTTCCAGGTTCCGGCGACCCTCTCATTCCAGTAGAAGTCATCTTGTAGTTTCCTTATAAGCATTAGGAGACTCACCAGGAAATCTAGAAACTTTATGCTAACTACTTAATAAAGCACTGTTATTTTAAACTTGTAGTTTTTATACAAAAGGTACAGAATCAAAGGCCTTAAACTCTTGACAGATCATTTTGCCTGAATGGTTCTAGACAAAGGAAATAAAACTATAATGCTGAACATCAGTTTTCCAGAATGGTGTTGGCTGAGCAATTTTTATTTAAAAAATATATTGTAAGATTTGACAGATTATACTTTATGTGGATTATCAGCTTCCAGAGAATTAGAATACCTGATCTTAAACTCTATCGCTAACCCAAGCTGACTGTCTTTGTAAAGTATAGCATTAAAAAGAAGGAAATCTGGACCAGAGACTGAATGATTTTGCAAGTCTATTACCAATTACTGAAAACCAAACCAAACAAAACAAAAAACTAAGCTCACCTACTGGTAAAGGTTCAGAAGAAGGATTGTCATTATTGATGAAGGATAGATATTCTTAAAGAGACATTATGGGTGCTGTGGAGCATTTCTGTGTAGTTTGGACTGTCAAGTTCCGGTTCAGAATCTGTAATACACTGATGCAAAAGCAATCCAGTCTCCCTGCCATATCCTCTTATAGGCTCAACCTTTCCTTCATGGAAGTCAATGGCTTATGAGTTCATTTTGGTGGATCAGTCAATGAGTCCTTCTGCCCTTTCTTCCCATCTAGATTGTAAAAAGAAACCTTTTGTTTTTCTCTCTTGATTCACAGCAATTTTGGTCTTAGTATCTTACACGTAGTAGGCCCTTGATAAATAGTCAAAGAATAAATTTTAAATGAATTTTGGATTTTTTATATGTAAATTTCCTGAGCTTACAGAGGTTCACTGCCCTTTTGATACAGACATTTTCTAGATAGAGCTTACAGTAGTCATAGGAATCGTGCATTTAAGTACTAATACTTTTAAAAGGACTATGGGCTTTATCTGTGGAACTGATTTCTTATTGTCTTACTATCTTAAACTAAACAAGCAAATTGGGCCCACATTATGGATGACGAGCGAGAAGGACAAACAGTCCCGATTAGCAAAATTAATATCCTAGATAAACAGAGAATTAAAAGCCAGATATGTAATCGGGTACTTTAAATATTTTGTTACCTGTTCTACCACAAAGTGCAACTCCCTCCATTACTAATAGAGTTCATCCATTAGCTCAATAATTATATTAATGGAAGCACTACTTAAATCACATGAATGCCTAACGACTTTTTAAAAATTTACATGTATTTAAGAAGTAAATATGCAGTATATAATTGCATCTTCATGCAATCAATAAATAGCACTTAAATTTTCTGTTTTATTTTTTCTTATGTTGTAACGTGTAACATTTTTCCTATAAGAAATAGAAGCAAGTCATCAGAAGATATCAAGGTTTATTTTTTAAACAAAGCACTCAGATAGTAAAAAACTGAATACTTCATAAAGGAAATAGGTTGCTCTCCCCTAAAATTGCCTCTAATGTTAGCTGAATATTAATAAAATTCATAAACCATTAGTACATTATAGCTGCTTTGTTCTGAATTACATAGACCTTTTATGTTTATTCCTCAGTGAAAATGCATAAAAAAATGAAATCCACTCTAATTGTACTCTCTGAAGATAGCTGGTAAAATCATTTCTAGCAGCTATAAATCAATTGTAGTATTAAAATGACCTGCCAGGTGCATCTTCTGGGTATCAGACTAATTAAGGGAATGTATTAATTGCAACTATTCATCAACACCACCAACGTTGTTAGGTAACCCTTACAATGAATCTTTTTACTGTATTATCTAGCGATAAAACTGCAGTTTTATAAAATGTGGAAAAAAAAGGAGAGAGAGAGAGCTGGGAGAATGGCGTGTGGTTGTGCTTCTACATTTCGAAAAGGTCTTACAGAGTGGCATGATGGCCAGAAAAAAATATTTTCTCACACAAAATCTTTAACTCACCTTTATGCTTGGTTTCTATTGTATATTATTTTGTAAAACATGTTTAATGTGTCCTATTAAATCAATTCTGGATTTTTTAAATCCCAGTTATTTTACTGCTTTTTATTAAATAACTGCTAACAACAGCATATTATGGACATATAAGTGCATACATATATATGTATGTGTATAAAACATAGTCTTACAAAGTTGTGTGTGTGTGTGTGTGTGTGTGTGTGTGTGTGTGCATATACATAGCTTTCCCTGAATGGAAGTCAATTAAACTGTAATGGTAATTAGCATCAAAAGAATGTCAGAAAAATGTAGGCTTTGATCTTAAGTAGTAAACTGGGTAGGCCTTTGAAATTAATTTCAAATGATGGCCATACTATTATTACAGTTTCCATTCCTCAAAGAAGAAAAGAAACATAAAATCTTGGAAATTGTTATACAACAAGAAGTGTTTTTTTTTCTTTCTTTATGAGCCAAATTCTTAGACAGCATTAAGTGGCTCACTAGCTGTAAGAACATTAATTCATTAATTCACTATGCCATTATGGCAACATTTTTGTGTGTGTGTGTTTTGATCTCTTTAGTACTTTAAATAATGAGTGACAAAATGACAAATTCCAAGAAGAGAAACTACTATTTCCATTCTTCTGATACAAATCACTGGGAGACTCTGAATTACCCCTGAATATCCCTGAGTAATCAATTCCAGAAGCTGCCTCCAAGGTTCCAAAAATGCGCTTTCTTTCAAATCAGGTCCTGGCCTCCTTTTCATTTTTGGAGAATTCCTACAAGAAATCTATTTTATGTTTAAAATATACCAAGGCCAGGCATGGTAGCTCACACCTGTAATCCCAGCACTTCGGGAAGCCGAGGCAGGAGAATCACCTGAGGTCAGGAGTTTGAGATTAGCCTGGCGAACAAGGTGAAATCCCATCTCTACTAAAAATACAAAAAAAATTAGCTGGGCTTGGTGGTGGGGTGCCTGTAATCCCGGCTACTTGGGAGGCTGAGGCAGGAGAATCTTTTGAATCTGGGAGGTGGAGGTTGCAGTGAGCCGAGATAGTGCCATTGCACTCCAGCATGAGCATCGAGAGTGAAACTCCGTCTCAAAAATAAAATTTAGAAATAAAATAAAATACAGTATGCCAAGACCACAGAATCAAGAGTAGATAGGATTCTAGGGTAACCCTTATTACACTGGCACATCTAATCTCCCTATAATAGAAATGAAGAGAAATTAAGTCACTGGAGTCACTGGGACTGGTAGAGCACACAGCAATGCTCTCAATAGCATGAAGAGTAGTCACTAACATCAGTTGCTCCAACACAAGTTGCATATTGATATTTAGCCATGAACAAACAGCCTTAGGTAAGCCTCGTGTTGAGGGGAAGGAAGTTCTTCCTCCTATATATTTGGAATTTTTAGGTGGAACAATAAATCTGTTTGTTTAATGATTTCACAAAGTCTAAGAAGAATCCATTGCATTCCCCAAAATAAGTACACTGGAGATAAGAAATTGACACGCAGTGTTGGGAAGTTCTGCTTGGATGGGTAAAATCTTCAAGTCAGCCATTGGAGGCAAAGTCACAAGCCTCACATCAGAGACTGAAGCTATAAATTCACTTTTGTTCTCCATTTCTTAAGGAGCTAAAATAAGATAAAGGAGAAACCAAAAAGGACTGAAGGCTAAAGGGGCAGACAAAACTCTCCAGGTAAGAGCAGCAGGGCAAAGCCATAGGCTAGCGTGCCCAACAACTACAGGAAAGCCCTAGTCACTGGAAGCTCATTCATTTAAGTGGCCCTGTCTCCAGCAAGCAGTGCTGGGGGCTGACCTGTCAGGATCAGCTTGTAAAGAGATAGTTATCCAAAGTCTAGGAGAGAGTGGCAGAACACTGATTTGAGTTTGCCAAATCTGTTTGGCTGCTGTACTTCTCTAGCAGCGTACAAAAAGATGATAGGTAAGATGTAACTAAATACCTCGCCCACGAATGCTGGAAATGTTTCATTTGGTTTGAAATCTTGAAGCTAGATATGAAGAAAGAAATATATAATTTTAAAGCTAGTACCATTTATTGATCATTTTCTATGTCAGGCACTGTATTGAGTATTTTGTAAACGTTTTCCTCTTAGCTTCATTTCATCTTCATCACCATCCTAGGATAAGGGAATTAGTTGATATTCAGCAAAGATAAAAACTTGCACAAAATTCTATAATTAGTTGAGAAGCAAGGATTTGAATCCAGGTCTGTTTGATGATAAGCCCATGCTCTTGATCAGTAAACTATACTGTTCCTCAATATCATCTTGGAGTTTGGAATCATCTCAATGTACAAGTAACAAACATGAACATCCCAGGATTCTCTTTCACCACTCGGATTTTTGTTAACACAACTATACCCACCAAATGATTTCTGCCTGGTCTGCATCTTCTAAATTTCCTATATATTCCCAGGAATGCACTCTTGAGCTCAAGGATTTTAAATTTTGATACCTCATGAAGGCAAGATTAGCAAGACTGATGCTCCCATTCAACAAAAGTTAAAATCCTTTGTTCATATCATATTTATTTACTGAAAGAAATAAATGTAGATTTTCAGATTCTTATTTACTCACCTGAGTTTTCATTTCATGTTATTTCAGGAAGATTTTTCTTTCTGAGTAACAGGAGATTTTAAAAACAATAGATAAATAATTGTGATATGGTGAGCCTCAGAAAACCAGAAAATTTGCACAGCACTGGAAAGTAAATGTGACATGCTTCTGTCCACTCAGTCATATTAGAGCATAAAAAGTCACACCATTGGGACACAATGATGACATCTATACTATCAGGACTGGAGTGACAACAATCATAACCATGCTGACTAACTGAAGATAAAGAATTTTCCTGAAGATACCATTAAAACATTTGTACTTTGTCTTCACATATCATTAAAGAAACACAGAAATATCTTATTTTGAAGATCTCACTTACATATAGGGCCAATTCATTTATTGATGTGAATCAAAGAGAGTAGAACAGGGAATAATCCCAAAGTCCCTTTGGGCTATGAAGTAAGTGGGTTTGGATATTTCCTTTTTTATATAGGAATTTTGTTTTTATATCCCTACTCTTGACAAACTCAAAAAGGAAAAAAAAATTGGTTTCATAATTCCTCAGACATATCTATTTCCTCTTTGTCAACAATACCATTGTGGACTCTGTACAAAATGAAATAGATTCAATTCAGAAAATGCTTATAAGCTATTCAGTTTTCCCAGTTGGTCCCATTGCTTGACACCTTCTTGAAATTATCTGTGCTGGGAATAATTAACTCTCATTCAAGCTGATGTTTTGTATGACTCTTTATCTTTCTATGTATATATCACAGGCACAAAGATCTCCGACAACATTTAAGCTTATAAATATATCGTATTTACTATGTCTCTCATTTTATCTTTGATGCAGAACCCATAATCCATTAATTCTTCCTAATTAATCTGTGGTTAGTCTCTATCCTTTTCCTATAGTATGTACAGTAACATTTTTTTCAGATATTTCAGACCCCACTCTCCGCTACATCCTACAGGTAAAGGAATTTCTTTGCCAAGCATTTTGATTCTGTTATTTCACTTCCCTAGGCCACTCTGGGGCTGTCCACCCTCTGAAATTCAAACTGAAATTTCAAAGGAAAGTGCTGTTTTTAAGTAGCACTCTTTAGAAAAGACTTTTGCAGTCTTCTCAAGAAAGTTAGCTCCTGCAAACTTGCTGAAATCATTTATTATCTCCAATAGGTGTTTTTTAAAAACTTAGGATTTTTTATATTCCAAACCAAATCTATACATAGATATAGATTTGTTTCTGCCTATTTAATCTGGATGGGCTTTTTTTCCTTGCCTAATTGCTCTGGCTACAATTTTCCCTACAAAAATGCTGAATCGAAGCAGTGAGAGAATACATACTTTTCTTGTTCTTGATTTTAGAAGTGTATATTTCAGTTACCACTAACATGATGTTAGCTGTGGACTTTTCATGAATATCTTTTATCAGATTGGCAAAGTTTCCTTCTATTATATCTCTATAAATCACCAACAATCTAAGAATAAAATTAAGAAAATAGATCCTTTTACAACAGCACCAAAAATAATAAAATACTTAGGAATAAATTTAACTAAGTATAATGAAATATGATTCAACCATAAAAAAGAATAAAATCATAGTGTTCTGCAGAACTGGAGGCCATTATCCTAAACAGAAAGTCAATACTATAATACATGTTCTCGCTTACAAGTGGCAGCTAAATTATGTGTACACATGGACACAGAATGTGGAATATAGTCACTGGAAATTCAGAAGGATAGGAGAGTAGAAGCTGGGGTGAGGAAAGAGAAATTATGGGTACAATATATATTATTTGGGTGATGGTTACACTAAAAGCTCAGACTTCACCACTACGCAATATATCCATGTAACAAACCAGCACTTGTACCCCTTTGATTTATACCAAAAAAGAAATATAAGAAAGTGTAAGACTTGTACCTTGAGAACATTGAATGAAATTAATAAACACTTAAATAAGTAGAAAGACACAAAAGAAAAAAGTTAGCTTCTTATTGCTCATTGCCATCACCATACCTTTTACACATCTCTATTTTATAACACTTTCCACTCAGAAGAGCATTGGTTCATTATTTGATGCCTCATTAAGCTGTCAGCTCCTTGAATAGAGGAATCATGGTTTATATATCTTATAAATCCAGAACCTAGTATTTTGCTTGGTGTGAAGTGGCACCCACTAAATGTTTGATCAATAAATAAATGAAGACTCTATTAATTGCCATCACCATATTTTTACATATGACAACTTTCCTTTCAATCCTATCCAATGAGTCCTGTATAAAAGACTCCACAAATTCAAATTTAAATTATCCTGCCTCCAGGTTATGGCAAAACATTCCCTCATTGAGAATGCAGAATTGCAAAGTGACTTGTAGAGTTACTCAAAATAAAAATCTTTCTAAAAGTGATTCCCATTCTCTTAACAGAGAAAATCAGAGAATCTAACTTCAATGACCTTCCCCTCCTATGTCAAGTCTGGCCCTTTCAAAGTGCTAATCAATATTAAGCTTATCTCTTTCAGAAATATTTTTATTTTAACTAACTCTACAAGTCACTTTGCAATTCTGGTTGAGGATAATCATGATGGCAAAGAATACTATTAATTAAGAGTCTACTATGCTAATCTCTTTATGTCAATTATCTCTTGTCTTTGCAACAGTTTTAAAATTTATGTAATGAATGTAATATAATCCCCCATTTTACAGATAAACAAACTCAAGCTGAAAACAGAATAAATAATCTGTTAGTCCCACTTTTTTTGTTACTGACAAGGACACAGTCTTGTATTAAAGAAACAGCAAGCACTTTAGAGTTTGTTACATCTCCTCTCAAATTCTACCTTGACCATTCATGACCTATAGGACTACTTAACCAGTCTGACCATCAGTTTGCTAACTTACAAAAAGAGGATAAGAAGCCCAAGAATTCAGTTTCCTTTTTTGTCATCCCCAACCATATTTTATTCTACATGCTAGCTATCAGTAAATGGCTTTGATCACAGGGATATTTGTAATAGTTGCTGTATTTTCTCTACATGAACAATACAAATGAAGAAAGCGGATATTGTGATTCTTTATCACCCCAAAATACTTACCAAGTTATTTTATATTTACCATTGTTCTGTATAAGCGCTGCATTATTTAAGATTTTTAAAAACTAATGAACTGTTGCAATTTCTAGTTAATCATGCAGCAACTAGGTAGACCTACTACTGCCACTTCAAAAAAATAAGCTAAGAAAAATATAACTGTACTACATTAAAAATGAGAGACTTTCCAGATAGAAAAGTAAGAAAAAAAATAGTTTAGAAATCATAACATTATTTCCATTTCATCAGGGGAGGCTTTACCAGGATAACAGCATTTAAAATAATTTTCTAATGGAATCTTTTAGTATATACCTGAATGGTCGTTTCTCGTCCTCAAAATCACAAGGGGAGATTTGACAACCTCAGTTTCTTAATGTAGCTATTTGAAACACTCCTTCATCACAGCCCTATCTCCATGCTTAGTTAATGCCCTCTGCAACCTTAAAATGGGAACCAAATGTCTCCTGTCAAGAAAGAGCCTTAGCACATAGTAATATAACCAAATGTTACAATTTATCTTTTGACTGCTCTGGAATTTTCCTGTCAGGGTGCTATTTCTAACTGATTTGGTGACATTCCCTGGTTTTTGCTTCCGACACAGTCAGAAGGGGCTCCTGAAAATTATTGATCAGCTGTGGCCCTGCAGTGAGAGTCTGAATGCCATTCAGTAACATCCCTTGCCAAGAAAGAGCGATATGCTGCAAGTTGTCGTGAAATTCCCACCATGCTGGTTTCCTTTAGGTTCATTGATGCCTCAAAAGGAAGCCTGAAAAGCAGAGAGACGACTGATGTGGATGGCAAGAGAAGGAAACGCATGTGGGATTTAAAGGTAACATCAAGAAACATTTGTTAAAAAACATAAAACTCTCTCGGGTGCATGGAGGCACCCTCTCTAGCACTGCTGTTTCAACACCGGCGCTCTGCAGTCCTTTATTCTCTGGTCTTCTCAAAGGGCTACTGAGCCATAAGCAATAACACAACAGGGAGTACTTATGTCAGCCCCCACACACATTTCTGTGAACTGAAATATGAGGTGTGGCTAAGTAGACCTCACTGTTGCCGGGGTCTACATATTTTATCTGCACACTCACTCCCTAGAATGGCTCTCCTATTACAGCCCTGATTGTAGCTAAAAACAATAAATGAAAATATGCTGAAAGATGACAGTCTAAAGTCATAATGGAAATTACAGGCACATAAAGTAGCACCGAGGTGCCTGGATGGCCATTTGACTAGGAGTACAGATGCCCTATCCAGATGAACCAGAACAGCCCGCGGCTCCCGCTTTGTAGCTGTAAAAGGTGCACTCAGCACATTGAAACCTGGAAACCTCGAGACTTGGTTTTCCTGGTAGCAACACCATGCCACTTCTTTAACTTGTACTCATAAAGTTCCTCGGACACTGTCCACCACAAATAAAAGCCACTCCAAGCTGAGGGTCACGCCCACGCTAGCATGACACAAATAGCTGAATATGTCTCATGTGGGACCTACTGCATCAAATAACACTGGTGGGACTGAGAATGTTGAATTCTCTCCTCTCTCCGAATAGGCTGTATGTCCAAGTCATTTCTGAGCCCTGTCATGGAAACTCAGTGGAAGAATGACTGTAATATTCTTAGAAAGAATAGCCCTGTTCTAAAATGTAGGAATTAGTATTCTATGACCAAAAAAAAGTGATTCCATAGTCAATACATTTGGAGAGTTCTTTGCCACATCCTGAAGATATGCAGTAATAAAGTATTGGAATGTATTTTTTATGAAATGCCATTTCATGTACTATTCCATGAAACATAGTTTGGAAATCACTACTTTAGTCATCTGAAATGACAGGTCTGATAGGTCTCAGGAAATTCTTGTGCCCCTCTTCTTTTTAATCTAAATTTTCCTTATTTTATCTTCATTATCTAACAGAAATACTAAGTCCAAACTCAGGTTATTCCAAATAAAATTGAGAAGCAATATGTTACAAGATAGTTATAGAGGTTCTACATAGGGCTGCCCTTAATTACTCTAGAAACCAAATAATTTAAAGATCTCTTAGAACTTGAAAAAAAAACTAAATCCTTATGCTAGAGAGCAAAGCTAATTCACCTTCACTAACTATTATTTTTATTTTGAGAATTATAGAATTTTTGGATGGTGATAAACATTTTTAAATTTTACTGCAGTTTCAAGACCAGCCTGGGCAACACAACCAGACCCCATTTCTAAAAATAAAAAAAAGCTAGCTGGGCAAAGTGGCATACACCTGTAGTCCCAGCTACTTGGGAGGCTAAGGCATGAGAATTGCTTAAGCCTAGGAGTTGGAGGATACATTGAGCCATAATCGTACCACTGTACTCCAACCTGGGCAATAGAGTGAAGCCCGACTCTAAACAAGAAAAATGAAAATTTTATCACTGTTGTAAAGGGGCCATGTGTAGTTAACACTATTGCAGTATTAACTACTACGCAAATTTATACCCCCAAATTCTGCCCCACCTTCACCAACATCAGTACCTCTGTTTGGAATGTCTGAAGCAAAACAAGCACTGCATTCAGCAAACTGCTCTTGCCATATAAGGATAATACTTTCCTACCCACTAATTCATTCAATTTCTTCTATTGTGGTTACTTTGCAGTGCATTGATCTCTAGATACCTGGATTTAAAACTTTCTTTGTGCCTTTTAGCAGCAATTGATGAATTTAAAATGCCATGAGAGTTTAGTTTCTATACTGAAACTAAAGAAATTCTTCACTCTTTTCCTCTCTTATTGCACTTTTTTTAATCTTCCTTTTGTCCTCTATCTCCTGCTTATCCCTCTCACCTTCTCTCCACCAGCCTCACTCTCTTGATCCATCAGACACAGCCCAGCCATCTGATAGCTATACCTTAAAGTAATTTTGGACAGAAGCAAAAGGCCCTGGAATCCTTAGTAATCCGCTTCAGATCCAGCTACTGAGCACTAGTTAGGCTCCTGAACAGCCAACCATCTTTTCGGGCAACTACCTTGGAAGTTGAAAACCTGTTAGAGCATCTGTGGAATAACATGAGCCCTGAAACAAAGTCATACAAATAAAAGAAAATGTGCTTTAGGTGTTACTTTAAGGCACCACTGAAACAATTGAAAGGAAGACAGGCTCTAGGTGATCTCTATTGATGGACCTCAAAGTGGCTTAGAAGCAGTCTGGTCATTTTGCCTGCATTTCCGGTGTCATTAGGCCTCTGCCCTGAAAACCAAGGAGCTTATTTAACTGCACAGAGCTTCCTGTCTGAGAATGAATAGCAAACCTGAGAGAATGCATATTTGAGAGTGACTCATGGGGCAAGCAACACATGCACAGAGCATTCCAGCCCAGCAACGCCTTCTACTTTGTTTAAGGGGAAGTTAGCTGTGCAGACATGCTTGCTATAGCTGCTTCCATCCTGCTTTCTGCCCCCAACTTCCACAAAAGCCCTCTCTGCACTCCTCCCTGGAAAAAAGAATGCTATGCTCTTACCTCTGCCCACCCACCTTTGACTCACTGTTCCCTGATTAGCTTTCCCTCACTAATTCGTCTACTTCTTTACTCTCTCCCCTACACCTGCTTCCTGACTATATTGCATCAAGCCAAAATATTTGACAAGGATCTGCAAATATGCAAAATTAATAATTCTGCTAAGCCCAGTTTAGAATTACATCTCTGTCGTTGAGATCATGTCAGAAATTATTCCAATGTTTCAACAATTTCATTTTTGCCCAGTGCAAGGAATATTTTTAAGCAGATAATTTTGTTTCTGCACCAGACTGCCAATATTAACAACTTCAAATGCACAAAATGTAATGCATTCCCAGGAAATCATGTAACATCATCCATTGCCTCTTCTTAACATAAGCCTCTCTTTTGTATCTCATCTCCTTTCTATTCATCACTTTACACTCCTCCATGACTCCCTTGCATCGCCATTTAGTTTCCAAGCCCCTCCCTCCCTCCCTCTCCTCTCCTCTCCTCTCCTCTCCCTTTCTAGTCTTCCCCAACTGAAAGAAATACCTCATCTGGCCATTTCTGGTCACCTTGCTACAACCTAACAAGGCAAGCCATCTTTCCTTTCCCATTTCCACCCTATTCTTCACCCCAGCTCATCCTCTGGTCCCAGGACAACTAAGCTGTGCAAGATTGGGACAAGGATCAGGAGCAGGAAATTTAACAATGGCAGAGCTGTGACAAGTTAATTCAACTCCTGCTGTTAAATTAACCAGCGTTCCAGCCGAGTTAACGCGTCACCCAGTTTCAAAAGGTTAAGCTCCAAGCTTAATCTTATTCATCATTATGAACTCTTCAAATTGGCTGAAATATTTAAAATTCAGTGAAATGAAAGGACCGCAGGAAACATTTAAGAGCCAACTACCCGGTCTTCAAAAAATGGAGAAATAATCTACAAAGATTAGGAAAAGAAGGCTTCAGAATGGGTGAATGGAGACACTTGAGAACCAGGTTAGAGTGAATAATAAAAGGACATTGAGGACAAGGGCATCTTATCTTCCCACTATCATGAAGAGATTCAGGCGTTAGGAAGAAATTTAATGGAGCACCCTGAAAATGCTTGTCCTATCTCATCATAAGCAACAGACCAAAACTGAATGCTAATGAAAAGGGCATGTACAATAATACCCACTGAGCTCTCTGTTTCTCTTTGGATTTCGGACACAGATGGGAGGTGGGTCACAGTGTACCCCTCCACTTATCACTGACTGGGAGGGAGATCTCAGCCCCCTGTGTGCTCTCTACTCAGGCTTCTGTGACAGTGTAGAGGCCATGTGAATTTTCAGAGAAGGAGCTGTGCAGTGGAAAATAACACTAGGAGCACTGAGCCTAGCATTTCTTATTTAGCACAATGTTTAGTACACAATAGGGCTTAATAAACGTTAGTTCTATTATTATTATTACTTTTACTATACACCTTTGATCTCAAACGTCTGCAAACTTTTGAACAGAATAACAACTGAGATAGAGGGAACTGATATTCCACATGCATCCCTTCCCCTTCCTCAATCTCTCGCCCCACATGGAAGCATATGGAGCTGTCTGAAATGTTCTTTCAGGTACGCATGAGCTCAAGCTACCAACTCTGCTACCCAGTACTTTTCACACAAATAGCTGCATTCTTCCCAAACTAGTCCTCATGTCTACATTTCTTTTTTACTCCTGCTTGCCACTTCATACGTGTTCTTACAATTTCCTTCATGCTTTGCCTCTTCTCAGAAGGTTTTTGTATTTGGAACATCTGTAATTACACCTCAGCTTCTTGAAAGAGGTATTTTTAAAAATTATAATTACATTGCTTTGTTGATTGTATATTTGGTCTGTTTTTTGCATATTTTATTAGATTATAGGTATCTACAGGGCATAGATCAAGCCTACTTTTAATATACACTCTGTATGCCTAGAACAATCATGTGCACCTCTTGAGTTCCTTATGTCGGTGAGCATCTATATAACCTCCATCTTAATTTTGTACATATTTACTTCTTTTCTCTCTCTTTTGTATACAGACACGCACATGCACATGCGCGAGATAGTCCTTTTCAGTTCATATGCTACCTTTAATTGTTCTGTTCTAATTACATTGGCAAAAATCCCCAATCCCCTGTTAAAGACTAGTGAAGATGGGAAGCATCTTGCCTTGACTTTGGCAGGTATACTTCTACTATCTCCCCACTAAGTAAGATGCTGAGTGTAACTGATTGCATTTTCCAGTAATTCTTATAGCACTATCTCCCATCCCAAATTTAGCTATGCAGTATGACCTTGTTACTCTCCCATCAAGGGATGGAGGCTAATTCCCTTCTCCCTGAATCTGGATCAGCCTAAGCAACTCAATTAAAACCAACAGGACACGACAAAAGTGAAGTTATGTGTGACTTTCGAGGCTATGTCAAAGGAAGCCTTCTGTCTGTTGAAAAGTTAGCTCTCCAGATATTCCTTCTCAGCATGCACCCTGTCACCACTCAGTCACCATGCTCTGAGAGGCCCAAACCAAACAGAGGCCACACATAGGTGTTCTGATCTGCGGTCCCAAGTGAGCTCAGTCTATAGGTCATCTCAGTCCAAATGCCAACCATGTAATGGAGGAAGCCCAAGAAAATTCCAGTGCCCAGCCTTTGAGTCATCCACAGCCATTTAGTCCCCAGATGAGACCCAGACATCAAGCTGCTGAGACAAGCCATCACCCTGACCCTGGTCAGAATCCTGGTCCACTCTCTTGGCTCTTTTGAAGAGGGTCAAAACAGAGGATGAAAAAGAGAAAGTCTCAAAGGAGAAGAAAGTCTCAAAGCCACAGAAGAGGAGAAAAGGAAAGAGGAGAAGCAAGAAGCCAAAGGGATCAAGGAGAAGATCAAGTTGGCCTGAGCAGACCTCTCCTGATTCATGGCTTCTTGCCAAGTCTCCCACCTTTTTCCCCTAACCCTTCAGATTTTATATTTTCTATTTATCTATTTTATATTTATATAAAAATTTATCAAATATAAGTATTCCCAGGGACTAAACAGAAACCAAGGCCCTGAGCCCATGGCAGCTATGCTGGGTGAGCTCTTCTAGGAGCTGCATTGCCACCCATCCCTCCCCAGTTTTTAACTTTGAACCATAAAAGGTGCCAAGTCTGGGTGGAAGTAATACTTTTATGCAACCATAAGACAAAATCCTGAAATGCCATGGGCCGCTTAGTAGCTTTGGAAAGGTGCCCTTATTGAGCATTCTAAAAGGGTTGGCTGGGTCTTTAAGGACCCACTGTTCTTCTCAGTCTCCTAAGGTTAACATCGCCCATTTTTAGGTTGGTTCTGTTTTCATAGCTCCCACTGGTCTCAAGTGAGCTAGGGAATTCACTCTGCCTGCCCTCTCTCTGTCTTGCCCCAGTTCTGAAGGGGTAGGGTGGTAGTCTAGTTTCCTTTTGAGATATTATTTTCATTTTTGTTTGACTCTTTGTGATAAAATGGTACATTTCCATACCTTCTTAAAAAAATCCTCATCTGCAGGATCTGTGAGTATAACATAGTTGCTTTACACAACTAATAGTGATGTTTGTTAATAAGTGTTTTTATTAGGAATTGTTACATTTTGTCAAATGACTTTTGAGCATCTGTGGAGATATTTTATTTTTTCTTTAAACATATTAATATGTTGATTTATATTGATAGATTTATTAATTGATATTACATGTAAAACAGCTTGACATTAATGAAATTAATCTTACTTGGCCATGATATATTGTTAAATATACTATTGGATTTGACTTGCTAGTATTTAAGATGTTTGCATTAATATTTATAGGTGATATTGGTCTTTGGCTTCCTTTTTTGAAATCTTTACCAGATTTAAATACCAGTTATACTGGCCTCATGTAAAGAATTTAGAAATTTTTCTCCTTCTCTGAGCTCTGGAATAGTTTAAGCAGCACTGGGATCATCTTATCTTTGAGGGTTGTACAAATATATAAGCCTGATGCTTTTCTCTGGGGGATTCATTGATTAACTATCTATTTCTTTTATAAAAAGTATGACCTTAATATTTTCTGCCTCTATTGGGGTCAATTTTGATAAATTATACTTTGCTAGGAAATTAGCCATTTTAGCAAGGTTGTCAAATTCATATGCACAGGATTGAGCAGCATTATCTCCCTTTTTAAATACATACCTTGTTCGAATGATGTTTCATGGTCATTTCTTGTATCATATATTAGTCCTTCTTGACTAATTTGCTAGCAATTTGCTTCTTTTGCTGATTTTTAAAAGCACTTTACTTGTTTAGTTCTACTGGGTTTTGTTTCCTGTTTTCTGCTTAATAAATGTTGGGTTTTGTCATTATTATTTCCCATCTGCTTTTTGAAATTTTAACTTGTTGCTGTATTCCTACATTTCTGAGTCAAATATTTCTTTTATTTTCATTTTTATTGACCTGATTATGTAATTCTTCCCACCACTGCTTTAATGTTATTCCAGAGATTCCATTATACAGTGTTTCCATTATCATTATTTTGGGATGGTTTTTGTTTCCATTTTGACCCAAGAATTTAATAAGGAGTTTGATATCTTTTAGATAAGAAGGGCCTCTAAAGATTTTTTTGATTAAATGCCTATTTTTACTGCATTTGACTATAGAATGTTGTTCATGTTATTTTTCTTCCATAGAACGGAGCTTTTAAAATGAATTGGTATAAGTCAGATTTGTTATATAGTTAAGATTCATGTGCAAAGTGAGGCACTTTAGTGCAAAGCCTACTTGGAACCCACAGCCAGAGCACTGAGTAGAGTTAGATGAGGACCTGAGATAATTAAAAGTTGGACACAAGGTGTTCAATACACAAGGTGCTTCTTTGCCAATATTATTTATTTTTATTGTTTCTGAGTCACTTTGTTTCAGATATGTCACATGCATATTGCAGAGGTGGGTATTGCTTTGTAAGCCTTTACAAATCTTTTTCAATACATGATTGATGCCATTTACATGTAATAATATGACTGATGTATTTGGTCTCAGCTCTTATATATACATAGATACATATATATGTATAATTTACTGTATTATATTTGTGTGTTTTTCACTGTTTTATTTTTATTTTTTGCATTCTTTTGATAGGAAGATTTTTATTTTTTTCTAGTGATTACTTTTGTACTAATACTCTTGTGTATTATTTTTAATCCTCCTTTTCCTTAAGCTTTTCTTATGTGATTTCTTAGCTTGAAAAAATAATTTTTGACTCCAAAATACGTGATAAGTTCATGGGCTTTCCATAGTTTTCTTTTCTCTTTCTCCCATCTCCTCTTGTTTTCTTTCTTTCTTCTTTCTTTTTTTTTTTTTTTTTTTTTTTTTTTTTTGATGGAGTCTTGCTCTGTCACCCAGGCTGGAGTGCAGTGGTGTGATCTTGGCTCACTGCAACTTCTGCCTCCCAGGTTCAAGCGATTCTCCTGCCTCTCAGCCTCCCAAGTAGCTGGGATCACAGGCCTGAGCCACCATGCCCAGCTAATTTTTGTATTTTCGGTAGAGACAGGTTTTTACCATATTAGCCAGGCTGGTCTCAAACTCCTGACCTCTAGTGATCCACCCGCCTCGGCCTCCCAAGGTGTCTCATTTTCTTCTATTTTGTCAAGCACATATAGAAATCACATGAACCTTTTCCATATTTATACTCACCCAAATGTTCTGAATTCTCACTACCAGTCCATTTGCCAAAAATTTCTCCAGCATCTGAAGGTGTGATGTAATATGCTCCATAGTGGATTCTTCAAGGAGGGCTTGGAGGTGTGCTATTTTTTGAGTTCTTGCTGTGTTGAACTGCTTTTCTTTAGCTTAATTCTTAGAAGACAGCTTGACTGGATATAAAAAGCTTTGTCATTCTATCCTTGATTTTCTTGAAAACAGTGCTTCATTATTGTCTTAATTTGTATGTTGATGTCAATAATTCTCATACCAACTTTAGTTTCCTTTCCTTTTTAAGTGGCTTTTTTAAAATTTAAACGTCTGAAGAAATATTTTTCTTTATCTCTAAAGTCCAGCAGTTTTACTAGGATGTATTTCAAAGTAAATTTTTGTCAGTACATGGAAGGCTTTCAGTACTGTATGTACAATCAAGTCTTCTTTTATTTTAGAAATGTTTTTTAGATTGTCATTTTAAGTATTAGTTCTGTTCCAATATTTTGTTTTGGTTCTTCTTGGATTCCAATCATATCAATCTTTATCTCTCTGCTCTTTTTTCATCTTTCTTTATTAATGTTATTCTTTTGCTATTTCTTCATATGTATTTTTTGTATCTTTCACTATTATCAAACATATCTACTTTCCTGTGGGCACCTTGTAATTAATCTTTATTATGGTATAACTATCTTTTTCCTCAGTTATTCATTACTACTAGTTCAGTTAGCTTTTATTTTACATCAGTCTGGTATTCGTGGTTTTCACAATTGGTCTAATTCACAGTGGAGCATTTTCTTGTCTCCATTAGCTCTTTATCTTAAAATGCTTTCACAACCAGGCTTCCAATTAATACCTCCCACTTCTATGATGTTGCTCTGTCTCCCAGATGTAGTGTCTTTCCAAGATTGCTCCTCTAGTCCAATACACTTTCCGAGTCTCTTCTCTTAAATTAACATGCCAGTTATCAGGCATCTTCACAATCTTTGCCCATTGAAAGTTTGACTAGCTTCTTCTAGGTTAAACCCTAGTTGATGTGATTGGAATTGTATTCCCAATAGGAACATTCCTCACTCTTCATTCTTCTGTTGACAATTTACTAGGTTCTCAAACAATTTAGAGCTTGATTCTGCTTATTTTGTATGTTTTTTGGGTATAATATTTTTTCAGTTCTCTCCAGGATAAACTGAGTTTCTTTAGGCTAATTCTCTGATTCTTAGTTTACTCACTTTATGTGAATTGTAGTTTGTAGGCAACTGTCTCCTAGTTTTGTCTAGCCATGGTGTTGGATAATGTTATTTACTCTCATTTATCTGCATGCTTTTTGGAGGCCGTGTGGAAAAATTTGACTGTAGGATTCAGCCATTATTTTAGTAAGAATCATAACATATCACATAATATACATATTTAAGTAGAATATAGTCCATTTAAAAATCCTTTATTGGGAGAATAACTATTTGAATATTAAGTGGTTTACATTTTGACCTATAAAAGGGAGTCAAAAATCTAACATCTTGCAATACTTTGAAAAAAAGTGTGAGCAGCAAATTAGCTTAACATAATCACATTTTTCCATAAATCAACTGACAAATTAATAAGTAAAAATGTGTGAAATTTAAAAATAATGACAATATTTTAATTTCATAAAAACCAATAAATCAAAATGGTATAGTATTATTATTTAATGGATTATACATAGTTTCTATTGGTACTAAAGGATTTATATTAGACATATAGTAAAAATTTCAGGTCGGGCGCAGTGGCTCACGCCTGTAATCCCAGCACTTTGGGAGGCCGAGGCAGGCGGATCACGAGGTCAGGAAATCGAGACCATCCTGGCTAACATGGTGAAACCCCGTCTCTACTAAAAATACAAAAAAATTAGCCTGGTGAGGTGGCATGCACCTGTAGTCCCAGCTGCTGGGGAGGCTGAGGCAGGAGAATGGCGTGAACACGGGAGGCGGAGCTTGCAGTGAGCCCAGATCACGCCACTGCACTCCAGCCTGGGTGACAGAGCAAGACTCCATCTCAAAAAAAAAAAAAAAAAAAAAAAAAAAAAAAAAAAAATTCAGCCACCACACAGAATATGTGATAATTAGTCTATTCACCACGAATGCATTGACTATACACTATATTTTGATAAGGTGTCTAAATATTGAATACATAATATCTAAATAAAGATTACATTGAAGACCAAACAACACTATTTGTTTTTCTTTTTATCTTCTCTAAAACATAGGCTAAACAAAGTGATAGGTTTCTGACACTTCCTCATTAGTGTTGTAGAAGACTTGACACCCAATTTTCACCCCAAGATCTGTCCCTTTCCCCACCCTAACTTTATAAGACAAACTTTGGCTGCACTCTGCTCCATCATTTCCAAGCCTCTGCATTTGCAATTCCTACTTCTCTGGAATTTTCTTTCATTCTTACTTTCCTGGTAAGTACTCACCCACACAATTTTTGTTGACATTTTTTCTTGATGTGTTACATGTCTGCTTCCAAAAGCTTTAAGGTTTTGCTTCTCTAAGAGACTTTTGAGATGAATTGAATTATTATAAAATTTTGATTAATGTAAGTTTATACTGCCCCCCTCACAAAATGCACTCTCCTAAGAATTATTATTTAGGCAGACCATCATATGTAAATGTAGCATGTAAATTGTAATTGATGTATTTATGCAAATTATGTCAGATAGCAGCGTTAGGATCTGTTTAATAATAAACAATTTTCCTTTTTTTATGCAATATTGAAGAAAAATACTCTAATAGAGAAAAAGCCATGATTATATGGATAGCCATGAGTCCCTGAGACTTTTAAAAACTTCATAAGCTTAAAGTACAGTTGGCGTGAGGTCACAGAGATATCATCAGCAGTTTGCTACAAACCTGTAGCTTATGGCATCACATTCTACAGTGGCCAACACTAAACATTAATTTATGAAGTATTTAAATATTATCCATACAATAGAATAGAAGCTATTCTTTAACATGCTGAGAAAGAACCTTACCCATCCCTTGAACTAAGTTTTGCTACCTCCTACAACTCTTCCTTCCTCCACCCCTACCCTACTCCCACCAAATAACTCAAGGGCCCAGTGTGTTGAGAGGCGTCTCTCAATTTCAGGTCGTTCTTGTTCTGATAGTGTCATAGAGCTAGCATGCATTGCAACCTCCTCCCTCAATGTGTGTCTCATAGGCACTTCTCTTTATATTGCTTTCACCATCAGCTCACATGTGGTTCCTTTACTAGAATGGTTCCCAACCACATCTCAACAATTTTATATCAGGTATTATATAAACATGGAATAAATAAACATACAGTAGTGTAGAAACGAATAGAGGACACTGACCAAACATTTCTAAATAGAGATTAGCTACTAGGAGGCTTATAGGCATAATACTGAGCCTGTCAATAAACACTTTAAAATGCTTCAAACCAAGAAGGAGATTAATCATCAATGAATCTGAGATCTTAGGGCAATAATGTAACTCAGGAGACTATCTTGCTTTCAAACAGGTAAGTACTAGTTTCCCCATTTTACAAATGTGTCCCTGGAACCTCAGAAAAAGTAAATAAAATGCCCAAAGCCCCACAGGTTATAACAGTAGTGGCAAAAGAAAACAGTTGTTTGTCTTCTGTGTCCTTTTACAATGCTATCACCACTTTATTGCAATGGCTTAGTTTAGAGATTTAGTTCTGTACACATAATCTTTTAATAAATTATAAAATAGTAACATTAACTGAATTGTGAGTAATGTGATGGGAAAAAGTAAAATACAGCAAATAAAAGCCATTTTATCAAATCATACTAAAGATCTACAGATCATACTAATGAAAAAAATTTTAATGTAAGCTTATTATGTACAAAGTGCAAATATTATGTAATAAAATCACTTATAAAGTTCATTAAGGAACAAGTAAGAGACAGATGATTCAACAGTGTGGGCAGAAAGCTAATATTTGAACAAAATATTACTGTATAATACCTGATGATTGTTTTTTAATTAATGTAGTAAAACTCGGTATTTGAAATATAAAGCATATTAACTCATCATATAAATACCTGAAAGCCCAAGAAGTTAGGATATTTTTATTTTGAAACATTTGAAGAAAGTCTTCAAAGAAAGCTATCAACAAAGCCAAAAGGTGATTTGAACAACAGTTGGCTAAATTAAGGCATTATGACTCCAAATGTAGTTAGAAAATAACATTTTTTTTATTCTCAATGATTTAAAAGGTACAACAAGCACAAAGCCTTCTATAATTGGCAATAATTCAATCATAATGTACAATTTCATGGAAAGAATTGTCATTACAATAAGATCTGCTTTATTGTTTTGGAACTAAATGCTAACAGGCATTATATTTAATGAGTAAAATGTATTTAAATTATAGATAAATAATATCAAGTCAAATAATACTATTGTTTTTGTGGGTTTCTTAATGTCAAAACAAACCAGAGAGAATTTTTAAGTATTATTTTTGAAAACTTCTAAAGACTTTGAATTTTTATTTATTTCTGAATATTTTACATAATTAAAAAATGCAGTTAAATACAAGTTTATTGCAGACATAACAAAATTAAAGACAGGACAATCCAGAGGAAAAAAAAGTCTATTTCATTCCATATAATGCAACCTCTAGCAAATGAAAACAATGAACTTTGTCTTGGGACTACTATAATCATTTACATAAGTGATTCTTAGAATTACTGGTAAATAAAAAAAGAACTTATCAAAACAAATGACTCTCTACTGAATATATCCATGAAACCATGCACTGAGGAGTGCTTCTTTTGAAAAAAAATATATAAGGCCATATTTAAAAACAAAAAAGAAGCCATGCTTGTAACTCTCATTTTTAATACTATAGTGGAAACTCATGATTTACAGCATAATTAAGAAGTTTATTGTTGACACTATGTGCAAAGCTCACATTTCTTCCATTCAGATTGATGTCACTTAAGCAGGCACTACTGATACATTTTAGTAATCTGCAAGAAAATATTTGAGGTCTACAACTAGATAAAAGCTCACTATAGAAGAAGGAGAAACGTACTGAAATTAAATAACATTTCAAGCAGAATCCACAGGATGTTCAACTAATACAGCATTAAATTCAAAATGATATGGGTGCATCAAACCCTGGAAGGGTTTATGTTATGGTGCTTAAATATCACCTTGAAGCAGTTTTCTATTATCACTTATGTGTACATTTTCAATTTGAGCATGATAGCATTTCCTGAGCTTCCTTTCATACCACCTCAGTGAGATTCTATCCACTCACAAACACTAACTAAGCACTCTGGTAGACCTGTTTCCTATTCTAGAAAAGTTCGCCTGAATGTTGTAAACCTGCAAACTCACCTTTTTCTTCAATGTTCTTGTTTAATCTTGTAAGTACTCATTTCTATGTATCGCACATTTGGCAAATTTGACCACATAGCCTATTAGATCTCGTAGTTTTTAAACACAGAAATTGCAAATAGTTTTTGAATATGATAAAGCTCTCTGCAAAACTGAACCAAGGCTTGATACTGTAGCTATTCTGTGAGAATATAAGAGTCATGGATTAGGCTCCCTGGACAGCTGATTGAGCGTTGCTAGGCATGGTCTGACCTTGTTGCTTAAGTTCTCACATAACAGATTTATAGCCAGTGATTGAGCTCCTATCTGATACCTCTAGTTCCCACAAAGAAAAAAATACCTGTCTTTGAAGACCAGTTTTGTTTTGGAGAACATTTGACTTTAAGACTTTATTCAGAGTTGCTCTTCAAGGCTTCTATTCCCCTAATATTACCAAGGATACTGCTCTCCAAATGCTTTTTCCTTTGTATCAGAATCAAAAAGCAAAGTGAGCAGTCTGTAACTAGACCTAGAGTTAGGCAAGAATTCATAAGACATAAAGCCAGGAGTTCCACATAAAATTCTGTGCCTGAAAAATCACGGTGAATATTTGGGGGGTCTACTTCTATGTCCTACATTGTTATATTGCTCCATGTTTATAATTTTGCCAATACCATGTTGTATTGATTACTTTGCTTTACAGCAAATACTGAAATTGGTAAGTGTCATTTTTGTGCTTCAGTATTTCATCAGCTATTCTGGGTCTTTTGTCTTTACACATGAAATTAAAAGTCAGTTTGTTGATATCTACAAAATATCATCCTTGGAATATTATGGGGATTTTGATGACCCTACAAATCAAGTTTTGAAGAATGACATCTTAACAATATTGAGTCTTCTAACCTCTGAACATGGAATATCTTTCCATTTTTTAGACCTTCTTGATACATTGCTTTGTATACGTGCATATCAAGGATACTTCTGTGATACAAACTAAAAGTGTTTTGTAGTTTTCTACATACAAGCCTTGTTATAGTATAGTATAGCCAAAGTTATCCTAAGCAAAAGAACAAACCTGGAGGAATCATAGTACCTGACTTAAAATTATACTGTAGAGCTATAGTAACCAAAACAACACGGTACTGACATGAAAGCAGATACACAGACCAATGGAACAGAATACAGAACCCAGAAACAAATTGACACCTACAGTGAACTCATTTTCGACTAAAGTTCCAAGAACATATACTGGTGAAAATACAGTCTCTTCAATAAATGTTGCTGAGAAAACTAAATATTCATATGCAGAAGAATAAAACTAGATATCTGGATCTTGCTATATACAAAAATCAAAATAGAATGGATTAAAGTCTTAAATCTAAGACCTCAAACTATGAATCTACTACAATAAAACATTAAGGAAAATCCCCAGGACATTTGTCTGGGCAAAGATTTCTTGAGCAATACCCTAGAAGCACAGGCAACTACAGGAAAAAATGAACAAATGGGATCACATCAAGTTAAAAAGCTTCTACACAGCAGGCCAGGCACGGTGGCTCATGACTGTAATCCCAGCACTTTGGGAGGCCAAGGTAGGCAGATCGCTTGAGCTTGGGAGTTCGAGACCAGTCTGGGCAACATGGTAAGACTCCATCTCTACTAAAAATACAAAAAATTAGCCAGGTGTGGTGGTGCACGCCAGTGATCCCAGCTACTTGGAAGGCTGAAGTGGGAGGATCTTTTGAATCCACGAGGCAGATGATGCAGTGAACTGAAATCACACCACTGTACTCCAACCTCGGTGACAGAGTGAGACCCATCAAAAAAGTGAAGAGACAATCCACAGAATCAGAGAAAATATTTGCAAACTACCCACCTGACAAGGCATTAATAACCAGAATATGTAAGGAGCTCAGACAACTCTATAGGAAAAAAGCTAATAATCTGATCAAAAAATGAGCAAAAGATTTGAATAGACATTTCTTAAAAGAAGACATGCAGGCAAGCTGGCATATGAAAAGGTCCTCAACATCATCATTGATCATCAGACAAATGCAAATCAAAACTACAATGAAATACCATCTCACCCAAGTTAAAATGGCTTATATCCAAAAGACAAGCAATAATTAATGATGGCCAGAATGTAGAGAAAATGGAACCCTTGTACACTCTTAGTGGGAATGTACATTAGTACAACCACTATGGAGAACAATTTGGAGGCACTTTAAAACACTAAAAACTGAGCTACCATATGATCCAGCAATCCCACTGCTGGGTATATAGCCAAAAGAAAGGAAATCAGTATATCAAAGGAATATCCATACTCCTATGTTTGTTGAAGCTCTGTTTACAATAGCTAAGATTTGGAAGCAACCTAAGTGTCTATCAACTGATAAATGAGTAAAGAAAATGTGGTAGATATACAAAATGCTGAACTATTCAGCCATAAAAATAAATGAAATTCAGTCATCTGCAACAACATTGATGGAACTGGAGATCATTACGTTAAATACAGTAAGTCAGGCACAGAAAGACAAACATCACACGTTCTCACTTATCTGTGGGATCTAAAAATCAAAACAATTTAACTCATGGACAGAGAGTAGAAGGATGGTTACCAGAGACTGGGAAGAGTAGTGGAGGGCTGGGAGGTAGGTTAGGATCATTAATGAGTACAAAAAAAAATAGTTAGAATGAATAAATACAACCTACTATTTGATAGCACAACAGGGTGACTATAATCAATAATAACTTACTTGTACATTTTAAAATAACTTAAAGAGTGTAATTAGATTGTTTGCAACTCAAGGGATAAATGCTTGAGGCAATGGATACCCCATTCTCCATCATGGCTTATTTCACACTGCATGGTTGTATCGAAACATCTCCTATATCCTATAAAAACATAAACCTACTATGCACCCACAAAAATTAAAAGTAAAATAAATTCTTTTGAAAAATCTCAGATGAATTAAGCCATATAGCCATCTCTGCTTAGGCACCAGTCAAAAGTGTGTGAAGTCATCTTAACCCTTCAGACCATCCTTCCACCAGCTGAATCCTGCCAAATGGCATCATTCAACATCATGCAGAGCAAAAGCATGGGCTAGCTGAGCCTTGCCCAAATTACTAACTCACAAAATTATGAGATATAATACATTTTTTTTTGTTTTCTGTTGTTTTTTGTTGCTGTTGTTTTGCTTTAGGCTTTAAGTTCTGGGGGAATTTGCTACGTAGCAATAGATAACTGGGACAGAGTTTGGCACCTAGATGTGTGGTGTTGTGATAACCAATAATATAAAAGCTATAGTATTGGCTGGTATGAAGTGGAGAGCAGGAACTGCAAAGAACTATCCATGAAACCTTAAATGGCCTCAGGGAGGCTATTAGGGCACCAAGGACAATGAGGAAAATGCTATTGGAGGCTAGTGAAAAGGGCCGCTGAGTTATATACAGACAGAACAGTTAGCAAAACTGTTGCCTGAAGCAATATGGAAAATAGAATTGCAGCCTAATAGTCTCAAAAATCTTGCTAAGGAATCCATAGGCACAGATTCTTCTAGCTCCCTATGACAAAATGAAAGATGGGAGAAACAAACTAAAGAAGAAATCTCTCAGTTTTCTAGCATAATTTGGAGGAAATACTAAGAGCTCAGGACAGTCTTTCCAAGCCAACAAAAACTGTTAAAAGTAAGAAATAGCCTCATAGAAAAGATCAAATCTAGGTCCTTCTTAGAAAGCAAGGTCTGAGGGTAAAGATGAAGTAAAGGATGAAAGTGTGAAACCTTTTTTTAAGACCTCAGAGAGATGTAAGGTGGTGTTTTATGAACACTTTCAGCTGGACAAAATAACTTCTAAGGATAAAAATCCTTCTTAGGCAAGCCCTGTAGACTCTCTTCTTTAAAAATATTGGGCTTCAGAGAATCTTGGAGGCATTGTCTTAGCCTCACAGAGTACCCTATGTATACAAAAGCCTATTTTGAAGATGTTTGTGGGTGTGGTGTTATCTATTGGTATGAATTATAAATTAATATACATGAAATCTACAAAGTTTTTTAAAAATTGTATCAGTTGGACAGAAAAATACAGTGATATTACAGAATACAAAAGGTATTTGGGTTCCTAATTTTCTTTAGGCAAAAAAGAAAGCTGAGAAACTATTCAGCTAGAAACATATGCTGTTTCTTACAGAAAGGAAAGATGAGTTCAATGTCAGAACAAAGTGCTCAGAGGGAGAAGCAAATAGGCACAGAGAATTATTTCCATGGAACAGTACTGAGTTCTAATTTTTTTTTAAATGACAACATCTGTTTGATTGAATTTCAGAATTGCTATGGACCAGAGATTGCCGTATGCCTCCTGCTTTCCCCCTTTTTGAACAGGATAGTCTATTGCTGTCATCCTATGCCTATCTCACCATTATATATTGTGTGTGGGAAACAGATAACTTATCTTTGGTTCACAAGTTAACATCAAGAGAAAGTATAAATGAAGGAGCCTAATATACAACTGAACTTGTTTTAAAGGAATGAGATCTTAGACTTCATGATAATATTACAATAGGATAAGAGTTTGTGGGATTTGGAAGAAGTGAGTGTATTTTCCATGTGGAAGAAATATAAGCAATTTATGCCTCAAAGCAAACCATGATGGACTAAAAATACTCAGATACAAATTTAAAAACTATAACAAGGCTTGTATGTAGAAAACTACAAAACACTTTTAGTTTGTATCACAGAAGTATGCTTGATATGCATGTATACACAGAAATGTATCAAGAAGATCTAAAAAAATGGAAAGATATTCCACGTTCAGAGGTTAGAAGACTCAATATTGTTAAGATGTCATTCTTCAAAACTTGATTTGTAGGGTCATCAAAATCCCCGTAATATTCCAAGGATGATATTTTGTAGATATCAATAAACTGACTTTTAATTTCATATGTAAAGACAAAAGACCGAGAATAGCTAATAAAATACCGAAGCAAAAAAAATGACACTTACCAATTTCAATATTTACTGTAAAGCAAAGTAATCAATACAACATGGTATTGGCAAAATTATAAACATAGAGCAATATAACAGAATGTAGGACATAGAAGTAGACCCCCCAAATATAGTCAACTGATTTTTTATAAAGGCTCAACAACAGTTCAATGAAGAAATGATAGACTTTTCAACAAATTATACTGAAAGAATTAGACATCCATACGCAAAAAAATGAATTCAGACACAGACCTTACACTAAAGCTAACTCAAAATGGATTTTACAGCTAAATGTAAAGTGAAAGACAAACAACCAAAAACCTACAAGAAGAAAGCATAGGAGAAAATTTATGTGACCTTAGTTTGGTGATAAGTTCATAGCCACTATGCCAAAATCATGACCTATGAAGGAAAAATATTGATAAATTCGACTTAATTAAATGAAAATCTTCTACTCTACAAAGACAGTGTTAAGAGGAATATAAAGCAAGCCATGGCTGGGAGAAAATATTTGTAAAATACTTATCTAATGAAGGAATTGTATCCAAAATATTAAAGAACCCTTAAAACCCAACAATAAGAACACAAACAACCCAATTAAAAATGAGCAAAATATCTGGACAGATACTTGCCAAAGGAGATATACAGATGGCAAAGAAGCATATGAAAAGATGCTCAACATGATTTCTCATTAGGAAAATGCAAATTAAAACAACCGTGAGATACCACTGTATACCTTGTAGAATGACTAACCTCCAATGATCTGAAAATAGCAATTAATATTTAGGGTGCAGACCTACAGGCACTCTTATTCATTGTTGGTGGGGAGACAAAGTGGCACAGCCACTTTGGAAGACAGAGTGGCAGTTTCTGACAAAGTTAACCATAGTTTTATCACATGTTCCAGCAATCATGCCCCTAGGTATTTACCCAACTAATTTGAAAACTTACATTCACACAAAAATATGCATGTAAACATTTGTAGCAAGTTTATTTACAATTATCCAATTGGAAGCAACCAATAGGGGACCTTCAATAAGGGAATGGATAAACAATTTTTATATATCCATACAATGGAATACTATTGCTGTCATTCAAATGTTTGTGTCTGCACAAAAGTCATATGTTGAAATCCTAACCCCAAAGTGATGGTATTAGAAGATGGGGCCTTTGAAAGGTAATTAGGTCATGAAAATGAAGCTCTTAAGAATAGGACTGATGCACTTATAAAAGAGGTCTGAGAGAGCTCCTTGCTCCTTCTGCCATGTGAGGTTCTAATGAAAAGATGGCCATCTAGGAAGCAGACACTTGCAAGAAATCGAATCTGCTGGCACCTTGATCTTAAAATTTCCAGACACCAGAACTTTGAGAAAAAAATTTCTGTTGTGTATAAGTCACCCAGTTAATGACATTTCATTACAGCAGTGTTAACATACTAAGACAACTATCCAGTGATAAGGAATGTGCTCTCAAGCCATACAGAGACATGGGTTAATCTTAAATGTGTGTTGCTAAGTGAAAGAAGCCAGACTGAAAAAAACTACATACTATATGATTCCAACTATATGGCAATCTGGCAAAAAAAAAAAAAAAATGTAAGGTAGAAAACTGATCCACTGATCACTGTACCAGGGTTTGGGGATAGAGGGTTATATAGGGGAAACTCAGGGGATATTTTTGGGTAGCAAACCTCTTCTGTATAAAACAGTAAGGGTGGATACATGACACAATGCAATTTTCAAAACTAAAAGAACTTTATAGCACAAAGAGTGAAGCTTAACATATGCAAATTAAAAAATAAGAGGTCACAGGGCTCCAAGATGGAATGGAGAATGTGACAAACAATCTAATTAGATTACACATATATGAAACAAACTCACTTGAAGGGATGAGGGAGAACTGTTCTGGCCTCAGTAACTTTGAAATAAGTGGAATCTGTAAGACAAATGGCAGAAGGAACCATGCATAAGCACTGTACTTTAGCTGACAAAGTTGTTTCTCTATGGGTAACAATTCTAAAACTACTACACAATCATACAGCAATTAAACACATAAGTAAATGAATGGCAGAAAGAACCATGCATAAGCACTGTACTTTAGCTGACAAAGTTGTTTCTCTAGGGGTAACAATTCTAAAACTACTACACAATCACACAGCAATTAAACACATGAGTAAATGAATGGCAGGAAATAGTAGCCACTTTTCTTATTGCTGGAGTAGAAGATCACAGATAGCAAGGGGAGGGAGCTAAAATGAACAGTCTAGAAATGGATTACAGTTGAAGACATCAGTATGCAAACTCATGTTTAGCTTAATAAAGACACAGATGCTTACATATAAAAATATTTATAGATATGTGTACACACGTATATGTCTCTTTGCTCTGTCAGCTGGGAGGGCCTGACAGCAATAATGCCACTATAGCAACAAACATACTTAGCTCCCAGATCTTGATTTCAAAAATGATTCTCTAGTAAAAGGAACCTGGGATTCTTAGAGAAATGGCTGAATTTAGGACTGGGACGTCCCAAATTCTGGAGAATCCTGTGGTGAACTAAAGTAAGAAAGTACTGAAAACAAATAAACAAACAAAGGGATCCCACAATATTAGGTATGTCAAAGGGTACAGAAGCCAACTGGAAGAGTTCTCAATGGCCAAAGCTGGAACAATTTGAGAAACAAAATAAACAAATTAGTATTTAATTATTAATGAAATTATAAAATAAATATCCATAAATCCATACTGATATTGATAAATAACTTTATAAATGAATAAATAGAGGAGAACATCTTGTGCAGAAAATTCTAAACAATTTATATAAATACGCTGCTGTTAAGGAGATAAAGCATACTTCAAATCAGGTAATCAAGGTTAACATCAGTAGTGGTAAGTCATTATTACATCACAGTACCTACTCTTGATATACATCAAGGTATGTATGGTACATACCTATCATATACCCCTGATGTGATAAAAATGGCCCTTCACCTCTGTGTATTCCTACTAAAAACACATTTCTTCAATCTAACCATGAGAAAAACATCAGATACATTCCAGTTATGACATATTCTACAAAACATACAATGTGTACTCCTCAAACCTGTCAAGGTCATTGAAAACAGAAAAGTCTGGGCAACTGTCATTTATAGCCAAGAGAAGCCTAAGGAGACATGATTGCTAAATGTTATATAATTTCCTGAATGGGATCCTATAACCAGAAAAATGAAGATTAAGAGAAAGCTGAACAAATCTGAATAAAGTATGTACATTATTTAATACCAATTTAACAATGCTATTTCATTAATTGGGACAAATATACCATACTAATGTCAAATGCTAATAATGGGAAAAACTGAGTGTGGAGTATATAGGAACTCTCTGTACTATGCTTTCAATGATTCAGTAAATCTAAAACTGCTTTAAAATAAAAAGTGTATTTGGCCAGGCGTGGTGGCTCTTGCCTGTAATCCCAGCACTTTGCGAGGCTGCGGCAGGCGGATCACGAGGTCAGGAAATCAAGACCATCCTGGCCAATATGGTGAAAGCCCATCTCTACTAAAATACAAAAAATCAGTCAGGCGTGGTGGTGAGCACCTGTAGTCCCAGCTACTCGGGAGGCTGAGGCAGGGGAATTGCGTGAACCAGGGAGGCAGAGATTGTAGTGAGCTGAGATCACACCACTGCACTCCAGCCTGGCGGCAGAGCAAGACTCCGTCTAAAAAATAATAATAATAAATAAATAAATAATAAAAAGTAAGTTTAAAAAAAGAGCAAGTGTGGAGAACTTACAATATGCAAATTGAAGCTAATGTAGACTATAAAGCTGTATTAATCAAGACAGTGTGATGTTGGAAGTAAGACACATAGAACAATTGAACAAAACAGGGAGTCTAGAAATATACTCACACTAACATAGTCCATTGATTTTTCAGCAAAGGTGATAAGGTAATTCAATGAGAAAAAAGTAATTCAATGAGAAAAAAATCTGTCAACGAATGGTGATGAAAAAATTGGATATCTATGTGCACAAAAACGAACCTCTTGTCTCACACCTCACAAAAAAGTTAACCTGAAATGGATCATAGACCTAAACACATAATTTTAAATTAGAATTTAAATTACTAAAATTCTAAGATACAATACAGAAAAATATTTTAAGTGTGCATAGAAAAGTGGATTGATACTCATAAATACCTCTATATATAGAGAGAGATTTAGAGAAAGAGAAATAAAATGTCACAAAATGGTAACAATTGAAGAATTTATGTGAAAAATGTATCAGTATTATTTTCACTATTCCTGAAACATTTTGTAATCTGATAATTTTAAAAATTAAAAGTTTTGGGAAAGAAGATAATAGAGTCAAATAAAAACTAAAAATGGAAATACTGCATTAGAGGACTGCTCCAAATGCCTTGAAATAATTAAATTGGACTATATTATTCTGGTTATAGCAACAAATGGCTTTAAAATAAAATAAAAGGCAGTGGTAAACAGTGACAAAGACACAAGAGATTCACGTAAGATGAAGACAATAAAAATTCATTGATGTTAGCTACATGAAAGACATCAGTGACTTAAATGAAAGTAGTTTCAATGGGGTACTAGGAATGGGAACCAAATTTCAGTAGAGTGAGGGTCAAATAAGCACTGAAATAAAACACAGCCTTGTAATAAACTTTTTTTGAGAAGATAAATGAAACTGCTTCCTTTATAACAGGACAGAAATAGAAGGAAATGGATGCAAAAGTAAGTAGGGTTTTACACTGTGGTGGGAACATCACAGATTTTGGCATCTCTTGGTTTCCATATTGTCAATTAATAATGAAGTGAATAAAGGTCTACATCGGAAATTTAATCCGGGGAAATTAAGAGACTTTCAGAGTTGGAAAGTTAGCTTCTTAGAGCATCATAGTAGGATTTCCGTGCTATTGTGGAACTCCATTTAGAAATGAATTTGTATTCATACAATATTCATGGCTGTACATAAATTATTGTTAATTAGGTAGCAGCATTATATTCTTTGCATTTATCTAAGAGAAATTAAAACTGTTCACTCAAAAAACTGTAAAGAAATCATTACAGTAGCTTTATTTCTAATTACTAAAACTTAGAAAGAACTCAAATGTCCTTCAACAGGTCACTGAGATATATCCATACAATGCAATACTACTCGACATCAAAGAGATAAAACACACTAATGATAGGTGCAGCAACATGGACTCTCAGACGCACTATGCTAAGTGGAAGAGGCCATATCTAAAAGGATGGATAATTATGATTCAATTTATATCATATTCAGGAAAAGGTAAATCTATAGCCTGGTAGTTTCTTAGGTCCCCGTGGTGAGGGGGAGTAGACTACAAAGGGATGCAAAGGAATTGTTGTACTGATGGATTTATTTTATATTTTTATTGTGGTAGTGGTTACATGACTCTGTGTTAGTTATATCTCATACAGCTGTACCGTAAGAAGGAAAAATGTTAATATATGTAAATTAGGCCTTCATAATTATTTTTAATTTAGTTGATAACAGGTAAGTGTGGCGGCTTAGACTTCTAACTTTGACTGAGTCAAACAATTATTTGAAGCATGATGAAAGTGGTCTTAACAGTTTCTCAAAGTAGAAATTCCCAAACGGTCTTCTAAGAATAAGTTACAGGTGGACCAGAGATGCTGCTCTCTTTTAATTGCAAGGGCAGGGAACAGGCCCTAGGCCCCAGAGCTCCTAAACTAGGCATTTCGGCTGGAAGCAGCTTCAACCATTTACCCCATTGAGCTGTAAACATGTTATTGTCTGTGTTAGTGTTATGTGAGAAGCATGGAAACCACTGTCGTAGAAGGAGATTGGCCCTTCTTAGAAGGAGATAGTGCTGTAGTTCTTACTACTTCGCTCATTCCTGCAAGAGCTTCAGAGAGAGTAGCACTGCAGTGATTAGGGCATGCTTCCTGCTCCAGGCTGTTACTGGAAAGGTAGTCTAGACAACAGAAGAAAACACAATTGCTATTGTCTATAAAAACTACAGTAAGACAAAAAAACTGAAGCCAAATCTATGGTTAAAGAAAATTAAGAATCCTAAAATGCTCTCATTATTTAATAAGGAAGAATAAAACTCAATGAACTTAACATGTCATTGAATAGCCTGGGGTGAAAAGTTGAAGAACAAAATAAATTTAATTTTAAAAATAAACAAGTGAAAGTAATAAATTAAGGGCATGAAATAATACATTTTTAAAAAGGAAGTTTGATATTGAAGATTCTGCTCACGCACACAAATAAATATGCAAGTATTAAAAAATTCCAAAGAAAAATCAGAAAATGAATTAACTTACAGTTACAGCAATAACTAAAAATATAAAATTTTCAATAAAAACAATAGGCTTCTAAGAAGACAAAAAATTACCAAATTGATTTTGTAAAAAATTACTAAAATTGATTCAGAAAACCTGAATAAACCATTAACCCATAAAGAAATGGGAAAAGGTATCAAATATTAAACTTAACTTCTCCATGCTATATATACTTTTCAAGAACATAAAAAAATTACATCAGGTCTATCTAGTGATAAATGGTAACTTTCTTTTTCTTTTCCATATATCCTAAATATTATAAGCAATATGCATCACTTTTGTAATTAGAAAGAAAACACTAAATTTTATTTTTAAAACAAATAGTCCCAACCAAGCTTCTGTTACTATTATCAATTAGTTACGGATTTGGCCTTTGCAATCCTGCCACCTCAACACAAGTTTTAAAAAATTATCTTCATTCTTCTAAAAAGTATTTAAGTTTTGCATCTTCTCAGTGAATATATGTCACAACTGATTAAGGAAAGTATACTTGCTTGGGAGTAGAGAACTAGTTTAAGAACATTTTAAACTGATCAATCTTCCAGAAGCCTGAATGATCATATGTGAACATGAATCATAGGAATTGTCAAATGAATCTGTTAAAAAACCTGCCTCCAAGTTCTCCCTCATCACTTAACCGTTTTATGAAAAGAAGAAATGTCAGATGACTTGAAGTGTTGAAATATAAACTCCCTCTGAAATCTAAGTTGTATTTTTGTCCATCCTAAATAGTTTCCCACATTTGTGACAAATAGGAAATTCATTTACTCTCTAAACATAATGAAAGTTTAAAGGAAAGGTGCTGCCGTATTTGCCCCATATATGCTGGCAGACAAGCCTCTAGTTGTCATCGATGGAAGACACAGGAATATACATGGCAGAAAAAAATACTCTTGTAAGGATTTGAACAGTATTGCAAAATAACAATGAGGGAGGTGAGAAGTCACTTGCTTAGCAGAGGAAAAAGCCAGGAAGAAAAATACAATAGCATGAAAAAAAAGAAAATGATGGAATCACCTAAAAGCACTCTCACTTTTTATTTCCTTTCTTCTCTATTAAAAATTTAAAAACTGAAAGATTTCAAAATTACCTAAGACAACAAACGCATTTGATTCAAGATAGACTCTAAAGATACCTGCAGCCATTGAAAAAGTGGAGGTGAGAACCATAACAAACAATGTGAGGAAGTAATAACAAGAGAACTCCTTAGATCTTTAGCAAATGTGAATAAAGTAAGAGATACATACTAGGGAATGAAGAAGCTTCAGGGGCATGAGGAATTTCAGTATCCATATACTATTCACTGAATAAGTATTGCCCATATGTTCTTTAGGTAAACTAAGTTCCTTTTCTATAAGAGAAAAGTAATGCCAATGGGGAATATGTAACTCATGGCTGCACATTTTTCAAATATCTCTAGATTTTTTAAGAGTTGGGGTTGGAATTCAGGGAATTAACAAAAGAAAAGGTAGCTAACTCTGTTCCTTGAAATTATGATTGGATTAATAATGGAGTAATGGACTAATAATTATGGCATTTGATTTTTATCACATATTGTATTGTGTACTATATATGCATTGTTTAAAAACATTAAGAGGAAAATGTATTAGAATAACATGGGGAAAACAAAAAGCAACAGAATAGCCAGCGATTACACACAGAAGGAGGCCATTTAAAAGTGGCTGTGTCCATAAATTTTCAGATAAGACCCATATGGGATGAAATTTAGTCATATTCTATTTCAGAATAATGATAAAATTCAAAATATGTGAGCAATGTATGAGAAATCACAGAATGCAAAGAAGTATCAAACAACGGAAATTGGCAGGTTTCTAATTTTTAAATCAGGGCAACATATGGGCTTATTCACTCACCAAATATTTACTCAGCACATGATACATATTACTTCATATATGTGGCAAAGAAAAATAAAGTTTATTCTCTTATCATTTGACAGTAGGTACCATGGTTCAGAGAAAATAACACAATTCATTAGGGTTGGTGTATTACTCTGTTCTCACGCTGCTATGAAGAAATACATGAGACTGGGTAATTTATAAGGAAAGAGGTTTAATTGACTCAGTTCCACATTGCTAGGGAGGCCTCAGGAAACTTACAATCATGGTGGAAGGCAAAGCAGAAGCAGGAACCTTCTACAGAGTGTGGAGGGATGGAGTGAGTACAAGCAGGGGAAATACCAGATGCTTGTAAAACTGTCAGATCTAGTAAGAACTCATTCACCATCATGAGAACAGCATGGGAGAAACAGCCCCCAATATTCAATTACCTCCACCTGGTCCCACCCTTGACACCTGAAGATTGTGGGGATTATAATTCAAGGTGAGACTTGGGTGGGGACACAGAGCCAAACCATATCATTCCACCCTGGGCCCCTTCCAAATCTCATGTCCCTTTCACATTTCAAAACCAATTATGCCTTCTCAACAATTACCCAAAGTCTTAATTCATTCCAGCATTAACCCAAAAGTCCAAGTTCAAAGAATCATCTGAAAAAGGCAAGTCCCTTCTGCCTATGAGCCTGAAAAATCAAAAGTAAGTTAGTTACTTCCTAGATATAATGAGGGTACAGGCATTGGGTAAATACAACCATTCCAAATGGAAGAAATTGGCCAAAACAAAGGGGCTACAGGCCCCATGCAAGTCTGAAATTCAGTGGGGCAGTCAAATCTTAAATCTCCAAAATGATTTCCTTTGACTCTATGTCTCACATCCAGGTGATGCTGATGCAAGAGGTGGACTCCCATGGCCTTGGGCAGCTCCACTCCTGTGGCTTTGCAGGGTACAGCCCTGTTCCTGGCTGTTTTCATGGGCTGGTATTGAGCGTCTGTGGCTTTTCCAGGTTCAGGATGCAAGCTGTCAGTGGATTTAACATTCTGGCATCTGGAAGACAGTGGCCCTATTCTCACAGCTTCACTAGGCAGTGCCCCAGTGGGGACTCTGTATGGGGGCTCCAATCCCACATTTCCCTTCCACACTGCCCTAACGTAGGGTCTCCATAAGGGCTCCACTACTGCAACAAACTTCTGCCTGCACATCCAGGCATTTTCATACATCCTCTGAAATCGAGGCAGAAGTTCCCAAACCTCAATTCTTGACTTCTGTGCACTCGCAGTTCCAAAGCCATGTGTAAACTGCCAAGGCTTGGGGCTTGCACCCTCTGAAGCAGTGGCCTGAGCTGTACCTTGGCTCCTTTTAGCCACAGCTGGGATGCAGGGCACCAGTTCTTGAGACTGCTCATGCACAGAGCAGCAGGGTCCTGGACCTGGCTCACAAAACCATTTTTTCCTCCTAGGCCTGTGATGGAAGGGGCTGCCATGAAGCTCTCTGACATTCCCTGGAGACATTTTCCCCATTGTCTTGGTGATTAATATTTGGCTTCTTGTTACTTATGCAAATTTCTGCAGCTGGCTTGAATTTTTCCCCAGAAAATGAGTTTTTCTTTTCTACTGCCTCATCAAGCTGCAAATTTTCCAAACATGTATGTTCTGCTTCTTTTTTAAACTAAGTTCCAATTTCAAACCATTACTCTCCAGTTCAAAGTTCCACAGATCTCTAGGGCAGGGGAAAAATGCCACTTCTCTCTTTTCTAGAGAATAGCAAGAGTGACCTCTTTTCCACTCCCCAAAATGTTCCTCATCTCCATCTGAGACCACCTCAGCCTGGACTTCTTTGTCCATATCACTATCAGTATTTTGGTCAAAATCATTCAACAAGTCTCTAGGAAATTCCAAACTTTCCCACATTTTCCTCTCTTCTCTGAGTCCTCCAAACTGTTCCAACCTCTGCCCGTTACCCAGTTCCAAAGTCACCTCCACATTTCAAGGTATCTTATATCAATACCCCACTCTTGTTACCGATTTACTGTATTAGTTCATTTTCACATTGCTATGAAGAAATACGCAAGACCGGGTAACTTATAAAGGAAAGAAGTTTAATTGACTCATAGTTCTGCATTGCTAAGGAAGCCTCAAGAAACTTATAATCATGCAGAAGGCAAAGGGGAAGGAAGAACCTTCTTCACAGGGCAGCAGGACAGAGTGAGTGCAAGCAGGGGAAATGCCAGACACCTATAAAACCATCAGATCTCGTGAGAACTCAGTATCACAAGAGCAGCATGGGGGAAACCATCCCTATGATTCAGTTACCTCCACCTGGTCCCACCCTTGACATGTGGGAATTATGGGGATTACAATTTGAGGTAAGATTTGGGTGGGGACACAGAGCCAACCAAAACAGTTGGCAATAAAATATTAGAATTTATCTTAGTATTTTTAACCTTAAGATAAAAAGACATGAAGCTACATGAATATTTAATATACAAATTGGCAAAGACATCCACATTGAGCCCAAATGTGAGACCATCAAACATGCTGTATAGTTTATTGGAGCATCCTAATGGAACAGTAGGAGTTCAATAAGACAGGTGGCCTTTGCTCATATTTGAACTATTGTAATTTAAGCACACCAGTTAAGTCGATTTACAGAGTACATTGTGTAGTTTTAATGAAATTCACCCTCACAAAATGAACAAGAAATTTAAAAAGACTCCCGCAAAGGAGCCACAGATCAAAGGCAATTCTATTAACATACATACAACTGAACAATTAGAAAATGGCAGTGCTAGGATCTCTATTCTTACTTGAGCACATTTCTCATCAGACTCTTATGAGTTAAAGATCAATGATAGTCTCATCAGATCTAATGCAGTCAGGAGACTTTCACTAAAATACTAAAAATAGAAGTAACATTAATATTGACTAAAATATAATTACTAAAATCTAATGAGAAAAAAAGTTTTTCACACTGAAAAGATAAATAATGTTGCATTCTACTTATCTTTATACTTTTTCAATTCCTATAATTGGTCAAGTTTTATAGTACATCTGTCATATTTGTATTATGTTTATATTTTAGTACAAGTACATAATTAGACATATATTGGAGTGCAAATGCATAAAAATATTTTACTGAAAGGGGTGCACTATCAAAAACATTTGGAAATCATTAATCTGGAAGACATGCATTCTCTAAATAAAAGTTCTACGAGGCTAACGTCAATAATCAGGAACATGCTGAAAGAGATTTTATAAAGAAATATAAATATAATTTTTAAAGTGTAATGATTAGAAACCAACATGACTTAAAAAAATAAGGCATGCAATTGACCTCATTTGTCTTTTTAATAATGTTACTCTGACATTAATATAATGGAGTAAATACTACTATTTTGAATTGAGCAAAGTACTCAGAAAATATCAGAATGTGAATAAAATAGTAGAACTTAGATGGCACACTCTAGGAGGAATAGTAAATATTATAGACAACCAGAACAATCTTTCCAGCTCACATCCTTTAGTACCACCAGTTCAAAGTCCTTTGATCACTCTGATAACGAGTCCTAATGTCCGTTGATCTATCACCCTTCACTGATTTCCCAGCCCCTGATGCCTTCACTACCCTCTTTAGCCACTTTAAATTCCATGGTCCTGTCATTATAACCATTGTCTTACACAGGGTCTTAGTTAGCTCCCTTGCATTTCCATTGAATTTCTACCCTCTACATCTAAGTCTATGCTTGAATCTAAACATGAATGCAACTAAACTAGTCATAACCATACTCTCTAGTATAACTTTAAGTTCAGGAAGAAGTAACTCTCAATACCACCAAGGATTATGTGATATTTCCCTGGACTGTTCACACCTTCACTCTCCTAAACAATTGTCTCACACTTTTTTGTCTTTTTAAGACATCAACACTTTCTCTTGTCCTCAGTACATTCTAATGGTCTTGCTTCCAATTTCACTGAAAAAAATGAAGTCATCACAGCCAACCACCTGCATCTATGTCCATAAACTCTATCCACCCTTCTGTACCCTTCTATTAACATGGAGAATAGCCCAGTTTCCTAGCTGTGACCTGTCAGGATAGAAAGGGTCTGAGATTTGACTCTACTTCCAACCTAAAAAGTTAGCTTACCACATTTTTGTGGATAACACCAAAAGCCATGACACTCCTGGGTTGTATACAGAGGGCAGTTTACTACTCACAGAAATTGTAGTAGCTAGAGTGTCATCATTTGCTTGTGATGGTTCCTATGAGGGTTGATTTTATGTGTCAACTTGAGGAGGCCACAGGTGCCCAGCTATTTGGTCAAACATTCTTTCTTGATGTGTCTGTAAGGAGGTTAATATTTGAATCTGTAGACTGAGTAAAGCAGATTTTCCTTCCTAATGTAGGTGGGCCTCATCAAATCCATTGAATGCCTGTGCCTGAATAGAATAAAGTGCTGAAGAAGAAAGAGTTCTCTCTATGCCGACTGCCGTTGGACTTCTCCTGCCTTTGGACTACAACTATACTATCAGCTCCCCTTGGTGTCTAGTTTGCCAACTACAGATCTTAGACTTCTCAACCTCCATAATTGTGTGAGCCAATTCCTCAGAATAATTTTATTCTTATAGATCATATATAACACAATATGTAATATATATGTGTATGTGTATAAAATCTCCTATTGGTTCTGATCCTCTGGAGAACCCGAATACAGTTCCCTCGACCTCAATTCTCACAGGGCAATGTAATGAGGACCAAGTGAAATCTGCATATGCAGCGGGTTGCATTACAGATAACAAAATTTGAGCTTAAGGAATTTGAATATTTTATAACAGGACATAAGCAACCTCATCTGATTTTTCCTTAGAGGAAAACATTATCTTTATTACATTTGGTAGTAAGCAAACCTGCTTTCTCTCCAAATGGAGATAGATAATATCTCTAACTTCCCAGGCTCTTTACTGTACAAACATCCTTAAAAAGAGAGTCTAGAACAAAAAGGCAATAAGTGACATTGTTCACAGAACATGTAAAGACATAATAATTTCATGGAGAATTGTCTCCTAACGTGGCCAACCCCTCCACTCATTGTACACTTTAGCCCATACCTTCTTGTCTACATTGCACTAGCTTTGGTCTGTTCTCAACAGAGCAGCCAAAATGATCCTGTTCTAAGGTAAAACATATCACGTCATTGCTTCTTGAATATGTTGCTTTAGCGATTTTCCCATCTCTCCTCTAAGTAACTGTTTTTCCTTCTCTATTGGCCCCTTCCCATGTACATAAATTTCTCTCATCTTAAAAACAAAACAGACACAGTTTCAGCTCGTAATTACTATCTCCATTTGTCTCCTATTCTTTACAGCAAATCTTGTGAGAAAAAAACAAACATAACAACAACAAAACTGCTTCTATTCATTGCACCTTAGTTGTCTTCTCCAATTGTCTCCACAACTCATTCTAATTAGACTTCTCCCTCCCATCACTCCAGCAGCCCTCCTCATATCAAGATCAATGTCTTAGTCCATTTGGGCTGCTATAGCAAAGTACTATAGGCTAAGTAGCCTATAAACAACAGAAATTTATTCTCACAGTTCTGGAGGCTAAGAAGTCCAAGATTAAGGTACCAGCACATTTGGTGTCTCAAAGGGCTACTTCCCAGTTCATAGAACAATGCCTTTTCCCTGTATCCTCACATGGTGGAAGGTGCTAGCTAGCTTTCTGGGATCTCTTTAAAAGGGCACTCATTCCAATCGTAAGGGCTCCTCCTTCATGACTTAATCACCTTCCAAAAGGGCCCACGTCCTAATGCCATCACCTCAGGGGTTAGGATTTCAACAAATGAGTTTTGCAGAGAAATAAACATCATTAAAGCCATAGCAATCACCAATGACTTACATGTTGCTAAATCCAATGGTCAGTTATTAATTCCCATCTTGACCTATCAGCAGCATTTGAGACAGTTGTGTTTCCTCTCCTTTTTCACCATGTTATTCACCTGGTTTTCAGGAAACCACTTTCAACACATTTCCCACTGACCTGACTACTCCTTCTCAGTCTCCTTTACCAGTTCCACCTCATCTCCCCAACCTTTAAATGTTGAAACGCCCCAGGGTTCAGTCCTTGTATTACTGCTATATTCTATCTCCACTCATTCTCTTGATAATTCATCTAGTTTTATTATTTTTAAATAGCATCTGTTGTACTATATGCTGTTGACTCTCGAAGTTATGTTTCTGACCTGTACCTTTCCTGGAACTCTAGACTTACATGTCCAACTGCCTAGTCAACATTTTCTCCTGGGAGAATCACTTGATCTCTCAAATACATAAGCTCCTGATATTTCCTCCTTACCTCACTCCTTTTGTAGTCTTCCCCATTTAGGTAAATGGAAACTCCATGCCTTTAGTTTTGGCTCAGGCCAAAAATTCTAAAGTCATTCACGACTTCTCTAATATTCTGCATCCTATTCTTTAACTAATCCTGCCTGCTCTCTACCTTTAAAAACATCCAAAAGAGAACAAATTTTCATTACTTGCCTGCTACATCCTAGTCAAAGTCACCCAAAGCTGCAATAGCAGCTTCCCTTGCTCCCAACCCACCTCCCATTGCCCCGAAAACCTGATTTCCTTCCTTTTGTTTATGGTCAGCTTTGGTCTGTTCTCAAGAGAGCAGCCAAAATGATCCTGTTCTAAGTCGCATCATGTCATTTCTCTATGCAAAATTCTCCAGGGTTTTTCCAAAGTAAGAGCTCAAATTTCTTGCAGTGACATGCAAAACCAGCTTTTTTTCTCTGATCTCATCCTAACCTCCTCTTTGCTAATTCCACTTTAGTTACACTATCTTCTTTTTGTCCCTTGAACATACCAGGCATATTTTGCCCTCAAGACTTATCCCATTCTTCTACCTGGAATGATCAACTCCAAAAAACTAAATGGCTCACTATTTTATTACCTTTACCTGGTGAAACTTTACTTGCTTACCCCGTGTAAAATTCAAGCACCTTTCCTCTTCCCCTAGATTTCCTGTCTCCCTTTCCTTTACATGTTTTCTGTAACATGTATTCATTAATATTCTATAAATCTTCTTTATTTATCCTGCTTATTGCCTACCACTCCCACACTAGAATGTCAGCTTTATAAGAGCAGAAACCTGTGCCTGTTTTTTTCATTGCGCTATGCTCAACACCTACAATAGCACTTGGAATATGGTTGGTACTCAATATTCATTTGTAGAGTGGATTAATAAACCATTCAGTGAGGAGAAGTTTAACAAACAGAGATGAATTAGATTTAGATGCAAAAATTATGGATAACCTGAAGGACATTATGCTAAGTGAGATAACACACTCACAGGACAAATACTGCATGATTCCATGTATATGAAGTATCTAAAATAGTCAAACTCACAGAAGTAGAGAGGAGAATGGTGGTTGTTAGGAGCTGGGGGAAAGGGGAATTGAGGAATTGCTGCTTAATGGGTATAAAGTTTCAGTTATGCAAGCTGAATAAATTCTAGAGATCTGCTAGACCAATTGTCCCCAACCTTTTTGGCACCATGGACTGGTTTCATGGAAGACAATTTTTCCATGGACTGGGAGGTTGAGGGAATGGTTTCAGGATGAAACTCTTCCACCTCAGATCATCAGGCATTAGTTAGATTCTCATAAGGAGCAGGCAACCTGCAACCTAAATCCCTCGCATGTGCAATTCGCAATAGGGTTCGTGTGCTCCTATGAGAGTCTGATGCTGCTGCTGATCTGACAGGAGGTAGAACTCAGGTGGTAATGTTTGCTTGTCCTTGCTCACCTCCGGCTGTGCGGCCTGGTTCCTAACAGGCCACAAACCTGGGGGTTGGGGAGCCCTGTGCTATACAACATAGTGCCTATAATTAACAATGATGTCATTCATTTTAAAAATATATTAAGAAGGTAGATTTCATGTTAAGAAGTGTTCTCACCACAAAAGAAAGATCAGCTACAAGGGAATTCTTGGAACTGATAGATGTGTTTATTACTTTGTGTCGCCATGGTTACAAGCTCACCAAATTGTAAACATTACATATGTACAGTTTTTAAAATATATCAAATGTATGTATTTCAATAAGGCTGTTTTAACAAATCAATTCTAAAAATAAAGAAGGGGGAACTTGATTTAGCTATTCTCTTGGAATTTCCCACACATATCTTGTTATTTGGACTCAGTGCCTTTGCATATGCTTTCTCTCATGCCTTACATTCCCTTCCCCACACCATTCACTGCAGGTGTCAATTGCTCAGTGAAGTCTCTCTTGTTACAAGACGTCTCCTTATAAATCTATTAAATCCTCTTCTACCCTGCCTGTGTAGTATGCTCATATTTCTATTTTCACCTGTGTTATACCATGTGGTAATTATTTGCTCTGAGTCTCCTTATAAGTTATGCATTTCTACATGTTAATTAAGACCCATGTTTGTGATATTCTGTCTTTCACACACGCACATCCATGGTATATCTATTTTTTTCAAATGTAACTCAATTTCTGTTTTTTTAAAAAATATAGAATGATCTAATTTTCCAAAAGCTTTAGTATAAGCCAAAGTTTTCATTAGTAGATATACATTATTTGGACTGTGAAAAGTGAATCCCAAAATTTTGCTGAAAACATGGCCACAGAGGGTGTGAGCTTCCCATCACTGGATGTAATTAGGTGGAGCCTAGAGACCAGTGCTCAGGGATCCTTGGAAAAGAGATTCTTCAATCAAAAAGGAAGTTAAATTTGTGGAACCCTCCGGGCCCACAGAATTCTGGTTACCTCATTCCCTGATTTTTCTGCTTTTGTTTGCAATTTATGTTAGCCTGAGTTTTTTAGCATACTATACTATCCTAATTTATTACAATTTGGATACAATGTATAGATAAATAAAAATTTGATCTAAATGTACAGTGAATACATTTGCTCAAGTATCTGAATGATTTTGTAGGCAAAATATATTTTAGATATAAAACTGTCAATCTATTTTCATGTCAAATGTTACTTTTTATTTTAGTGAGTTTAGCCTTCATGTTATAAACAATATTTTGCAATTCTAAAATATTATTACTAGGAATATTATTCTTTTGCTCTTATTCCTCATTTCTTTTCTTTCACCCTCCCCTCTTTTAAATTTTAAATGTGAATGCTTCCTGTATTTCTGTGGTTTTTTAATGATTTTAAGATGTTTGGAATTTAGGAGCATCATTTAATATTGAGTGTTTTCTTTAGAAAAAGTGTATTTAATCATTTCAGTGTTAATGCTTCAATAGTAGCAAGTTTAAAATATCTTAGGGAATACTAAAGACATAAAAAACAAACTTCTACTGATGCTTAATCACTCATGATATTTTACCAAGTAGTTATCATATTTCCTCACTTAATCTTAAAAACAATACCAAATGTAGAAAAGATAGATATTATTATCTTCATCCTATAATGAATATTCTAGCACATAATCATACAGCAAGTCATGGCAGGCATAGCAGTAGAATTTTTTCCTGATTCTAGCCCAGAGTTCTGTACATTTCAATCTGTATGTTTAACTTCCAGAGGCTGCTTGATGAGTGGATACATTTTTTAGAATTTTTTTTGTTTAAAACAGAAACATTCAATTTTATTTTTTTCAAACCAAGCAAAAATATACTTCATGTTTTTGAAGTTGAAATTTTTAAATTTATTATTTATCCAAAAAAATCTGACTAGATGCTTACAATAAATATCCTGTACTTGAAATGCAGTACTCCACTATATATTTCTTTCCTTTAAGTCTCCCTCACCTGCCCGTCATCTCTAGAAAGATGCCCTCACATAGGAATTCCCATCTGTCAGGAGACATTTCCCTCTCCCAACTTTAAAAGAAATAGATGTAATTTAAAATAATTCAAATTCCAAAAAGCACATTTAGCTTATTGGCCAAATATTTTGGCTTTTTATTATGCAAAAGTGCAATGCCTTGTTTCTTTTAACATAAAATAAGTCAAGTTACTTTCTGCACATTAGTCACTATTATCAACAAATGCACAAAAATTCACAATAACTAGAAGTTGCTAGCACAATAAGTATTCTCCGAGGAGTCACTTTTGAAGTCCAGAAACCTGCAGAAACTGAGAAAATGTTCCTTAAAAGAACATGTCTTGTGAGTTCAGATTCCATTTGCTATGTCTGTGATAAGTCCATACCTTTTTTACTAAGATACTTGCATCACACTAGTAATATATTTTCTTTGTTAATGTCACAGTAGGAATAAAAATGGTGACAGTGAAAATAAAGATTTTGAACCTGATATCTGTATATATTGCCATTCAGTAAATCAAAATATCCCATGGCATATAAGCAATTATTTGAGGAAATTAGTATAGGAAATTTGAATTAGCCTTAGTAACTTCGTAAGGATATACAGAAGTTGACAAACATATTTTACTATTTGTATTTAGGTGCAAAAGTGATTGCGGTTCTTGCCATTATTTTCAGTGGCAAAAATCGCAATTGCTTTTGCATCAACTTGATACAATATATAAATCTTTATTTTATATATATATATATCATTCTACTAATCAGTAATATATATGTATATATGTACATATATATGTGTGTGTATATATATATTTCTCCTAATCAATAAAATCTATCCACTGTCAAGAACACATAATGTTCCTCAGCTTTTCCTTCTTTATTTTGAGTCTACATAATAAAAATTATCCAGCAGGAAAATAGCAGTTTCCAAGAAAACAAAAATGTTAACCAATTGGTACATATCTTAATTCCTGCTATGTTAGCCCTTGGCCTCTGGGAGATAGATGAAGAGATAAATGTACATCAAAAACTGCCTCTTATTGGGAAAGTTTCTACTAAGATGTCCAATAGTTGCAACAAGTGATTAATCAGTTTCCTAAATGGTATCGACTCTCCACAGGACAAGCCAGGTTGGAGCATATTACATAAATTATCAAGACATTACTAAATTGTCCAAACAAAGTCTTCATATCTTGAACCTGAAGGAGCAGTCAAGGATATATGTACTGCTGACCAGTACCTACATAGCACGATCTGCTTTAATGATACGAATTACCAAATATTCTAGATCACCTCCAAAGATTATTTCAAAAAAATCTTGCCCTGATCCTCTCATCCCATGTTGTCATAGATTCATATCCAGAATAAAATTCAATCCATCCAATGGGCAACCCATCCAAATAGGCCATGTTAGACATTTTAGAGGCCCTACAGATCCCGAAGATAGGAAGGGAAGAAAGAAGGAACAGAGGGAGGAAGGAAATGGCTGACAACAATCTTCCAACACTTCTATATGCCTGTCTAGAAAGATTATACGCATGACAAGAATCGAGCTTGGGTATTCCTAAACTGAATTGTAATTTAAAAAATAGCATGTTCATCTAAGTAAGGTCTTATATGAAAAAATGCAACTCAAGAAAATGTCCTTCCTATAAGCTTTTATATACAGAGGTATATATATAGCTATACATATATATGTGTATATATAAATATATATGCATAATCTTAAGTATCCACATATGATATTTAAATATTTATATATAATGTTAAAATATCAAGTTTCAAAAACCTGTACCACACAATTGTCTCAAAATCTTCTGAGAAATTCTACGTGCTTGCCTATTTAAAAAATAATTTTGTTCGAACTTCTTTGAGCTTAAAAACCTTCTTCCCGAAATTTTCACTAAGCACAGAACATGTGTAAGTCATGTACACAATATAAATTAGATGGAAATAGGCATATGGCAAGTTTATATATTTCATAAAGCATAATATATATAGTACATACCTTTCAATTCCTCAGGTAACCACAGAAAAGAAATCTAGATTATCAAAGTGATATTTTTATGTTGTTTATGTCTCAGTAATGATGATGGAAACTGAGAAAGACAGGACTCATTCCTTGGATGTTTAAATCAACCGAAACATTCTATTTTCATGGTGTATTGTGGCACAAGTGAGGATATATCCTTAGCTTCGTATGTTTTGCTAATTTCCCTAGGCTTATTTCTTTCTGTTTTTTTTTCTTACACTTCCTTTGCACTTGCTCTCTCTCCGTCTCCCTTTCCCTCTCCCGCTCCCTCTCTCTCCTTTTCCCTCTCTTCTAATTAGGCCACTTCTTTCTTCTATCATTCTTGCTCTAAATATACTTGCTAAGTCTATTGCTGCTATTGCCTCTTTTCCACGTTATCTTTTTTTAGGCACAATGCCAGTGCCATTTTTCTCGTGATTTGTGAAAGTCTTTCTTTCCTCTGTCCCTGCCCAGGCCTCCTACCCCCTGCCTAAGCTTTTCCTTTTTCCTCTATTATCTAGTATGCTCTCTGTTATATTTCTAGCCCTTAAAGTTCACAGGGCTCGTGAGAAAAGAAAACTACAGCTGTGGTGAAACAACAGAGGTTTGTCCAAAAACTATCCTTGATTATTTGGATCTGGTTTACCGTGTTGCTTCTAAACAATAGCTTAATTGCATGTCTTGAAAAAACCTGCAAAAATCAAGCAAAAGCCCTAGAGAAAGTGCTTGCTGTAATATGTTTGCTCTCAAGTTTTAGAACCCTCTAATTTGCCCCCATTTCTCCATCCATAGGATAAAACAAAGTATATTTACATTTTCTCTTGTTTACAAGGGAAGTAGAACAAAAAAAGCTTCCATTCCCCCGATTATAATGAACTCTCAATACTAATATGACACACAATATATGCCATCTCAATAAGAAATATACATTTAATTTGGATAGGATGTTTGCAGTTTTATCCAGAACACTAGGAAAAAGGTGATTAAGTACCTGATGCCTGAACTCTTAATGACATGCAGAGAATCTCATGAGCTGAAGAAATTCCCAGAGGAAAACTGGAATATAATAGCCAGTTTGGGTTTCTACATGTGGATCACTTCTTTGCTTACATATGCAATGATTTGGAAGTCTTTAATTGTATCAGTGTTGTGTTTTGTTTTACTATAACAACCTTTTAAGTTTATTTTTATTGCCGGTTTAGTTCCTAAAAGCATTCCCCTTACTCCATAGGCACAAGATGCCAGGTGAATTTGCTTCACTACTGATCAGCATTTTTATTTTCATTTCACTGATAAATACTTTCTTACATGCTTTGAAAAAAGGATAAATATATTTAAAATCTTAATAGGGAAATTGATCATTGCAAACATAATTGGATCCCTTGACCTTCTTTCTTTGGTCCACATGCATCTGCAGTAGTGTACTGAGCTGCAGACCTATGGAGGGAAAAAAAAATCTTTCTGATTATAACTGGAAACATTTTTAAGTTCTATATTTTCAGAATCAAAATTACAAAAAATGATAGCACTGGGAATAGCAAATTAAGTTCTCTATAAGCTACCGCCAGAAGTTAACAATACAGAGATAGTTAACGCAACTGAACTTCTCAACAAAATCCTTTCGCAAAACCACACCTGACTTAGTCTCACGGGAAAGAAAGGAAGTAGAAAATATATGGATTCTAAATAGATTGTTAGGAAATCAAAGATGAACGGAATAGACAAAAAAATAGAGAAAAAGCAAAAACCAAGGATGCCACTATATAATTAACACTGATGTGTAATCATGAATACAGTATAGATAGAAATTCATACTCTTGAGTCTTTTAAAGAGAAATACTGCTGTGATAAGAGAAAAGGAAGCATTAACACTGACCAGCTTTTGAACAGTGATATTTCGTCCTATGAAGTTCTGTGAAAATTGCACTTTACCAGTAATATTTAATTGTAGCATAAAACTTAAACACCATTTACTTGATATAAAATCGGGATAGTATGTAAATTAAGTAAGTTTCAATTCATGTCTTCTTACTCACATCTGTTGGCAGTTTAAATAGTTTTAGTGTCATTAATTGTTATAAAAGTGCAAGATTTGCTGTATGCTTGCCACTTAGGACCAAAGGCACAAAAGTCTAATTGAACTAAGTAATTAGTAATTTGTCATTTCCTATTGTCAGCAATTACTTTCCATTAGAAATCCTCACTGAAAATTCTAATTTGAAGTGAGGTTTGCATTTTATTGCTGTCCATCCAAATTAGTTTAAAATTGACAGCTACATTTTCATTTAAAATTTTAAAGATATTAAATATGCTTGAAGAAACTGGAGCATACGCAGATCTACATAAGCGCAGGCGCGTGCACACTCACACGTACACATGGGTGTGTGTGTGCATGCACACACTCACATTCATTCAAAGGAAAAGACGGTGAACACCAAAGGAGGTGCCTTTTATTTCCCCAAAGGTGAGTTGCTGTGCAAATGTCACATCATCGTTGCTTCTATAAAATTCTAGGTTTCTGATTTTTACATTTGCACACAGACCCCTGAAGTGGTGCTCTCACCTGAACACAGATGGACAAGGAAACAGCACACTATTAGACTTCTTTCTGGGGTTCCAAGCTCCCTCTGGGATATGGCTGTTGGATGGTTTTTTATTTCGCTCTTTCTTCACGCTCCACTAGCCAATCAACACCTTTCCTCTCCTAAGTTCTGAGTACTGTAAAAAGCTAAGGGGGAACTTAGATCAGCCCTTCAAAATAATACTAAGGAGGTGATTTATAATTAGCATGGATCCACTGATCTACTTTAAACTAAGGGCAACTCAGTGAGTCAAGCTTATACTTAGCTCCCTTTGTAAAAGTCAGAGCACCACATGTTGTCCCAACTAGGTATTCTTCCTCTTTTAAAACTTAACAAGTCTGTTTCCCTTAAAGTAAAGCTGGGTTTCTTTAACAACTAAACTAGCTTTCCAATTTTCAAAATTAAAAATGTAGAATTAAACTTCACACATTTTTCTCTCTACCCCATTGTTTAAATCCTAAAACCGTATGACAAATCTTTAGCTGGAAGATTTCAGTTAATATACATGTACACAAATGTCCAGTTTCTTAGAAGAGACTAACAAAAATTGCTTGGGGAAAAGCATACTCATATTTATTATGATAAAGTTGGCAATGTCCATAAATAACAGATCTGATTTATTAACCTAGAGTTAGAATTACATTAAAGGGCAAAATACAATGAAATTTTACAATTACATGTCTAATAATTGAAGAACTAATAGGGTGGTGTTTAATGCATCTCTATATTAATTTAAATGATATGGTTTACTAATTTTTTTCCTAAGTTGTATAAATGCTAAAATTGGCTTGTAACACTGGAAATGGTAATGAATTTCTCTTATTTTTTAAATGACATTCTAATCATTACTCTAAATTAATATACTTTTACAGAATAAATTTTCTACAGTTACCCCTTTGGTAACTAACTACATATAGCACACATCTGTAACACTTAAGTGAACATTAATTAGTGCTAATTTACAATCAAATTCCAATGGAGAAGCAAATTACGCTTTCTTGAACATCAAAAGTCTTTATCATGACCATTATAATGAAGAATGCCAGAACATCTTAATTATTTCTGCTTATAAATAATGTTTTCCACAAACCTTAAAAATGCGGAGTACTTCAGAAAGAGAAAAAAAGCTAGTCTCATTATTATTTAGTTTCTACTTAGTGCTAATCCAGTTCATTTCATTGAGTATCTTTCTCTTTCCTTCATTATAATAGAAAAAAAGATCGCCTGAAAATTCACGAGTAAACTTTTTCCATTGGGCATACTGTTTGCAATCTTTTGAAATAGCTTTAAGTATTATGACACTGCTGCAAGACTTTGCTACATAAATCTAAGATTGTCCATAATATTCAAGTTTTATGTGAACCAAAAATTAAAGTGTAAAATATTTGCTTCCTTACATGTATCACATTTAAATAGATTCATAGTTCTAAAGTAATATGCTTCACAGAAGAAAAATAAGTAACTGACACATAGAAACTCTCATTTGGCTCATTCCAAAAATGTGAGTAATTGCCAATAAGGCACTGAAAAGAAGAGAGAATTAAATTAAAAGTTCAATAAACACTGATCAATATGCTTGTAAATACCAAGTCTATAAAATGATCTTCCCTTTAAATGTAGTTATACCACAGGTACATGTTCTGTATTTTGGAATTTGGCTGATCATTTTAAAATCTACTTAAATTTGTTTCTAATAGAAACATTCCAGAAATCTAGAAAGGCTGCCCAAGAAGATTTCTTTTTAAAAAAAGAAAGAAAAAGAAAACAGCAGCCTGGATTCTCTAGCTATCGCTATCTCCTGGTTTAGCATTAGCTCACAATCAGCTGAATAAAGAAGTCATCCCTGTCTAAGATGTAAATAAATCACAAGCCTCAGTTACTTTACCACTAGCTGTTTGTCATTCAGGAAAATAATGGTTAATCAATGTCTAATCAATGAAGATGTGTAACATATTAGTTTGCAGTCCTTCATCATCCTATTTTCTTCAATTGCCTGGGGGTTTGTGTTCAGTACTTACAGAATCGATTACAATTGAGAATGATCATTCAGCTCATGTTGAGAGCTGTCAGCTGTGCTTTCCACAGGGCAGCTTTACTCTTGTGTTTAATATGAGATGCTAATATTTAGCTGCATCCGACAACCTAGGTTCCATGGTGGAACATTTTATGAGAAGTGCTTAAGTAACTAATTGTATCACTACATGTCACTTAATGAAACTAAACTTCTCCTGACTTCACAATAATCATAAGCATTACTGGCTTGCTGTGGAAAATTAAAGAGAAATAGCTGCCTGCTTGAGTCTGATCATGCCTGCAGGGAAGGTCTAAGAAAGGCAACTACCAATGACGCCTTTATAAATAACTGCAGGGGGTGGACGGGGGTGATGATTCTACAATTTCATATAAAACAACATTTATAAGGATGCTGTATCCTCATGTGCAAGCATCCCTGGATGCCCACAATACCTCACAAATACCATGAGAAAAGTTGGACTGCAGACTCTTGATACATTTCCTTTAAGAAACAACCTTTTCTGACTCTGCGCATTTAAATTCCAAATAAAATGTTAATTGCCTGACAAGCCCGTTTTCCTTGTCATTTATAAAAATGTATACATCCTGAATAAAAAGTGGGAGAATACTTAAAAGAGTAGGAGAAGAATCTTGATTTTAACAACAAATAATTGTCACGCTACGGAGTTCTTGGCTTTAATTGCTGTTTTTGTGATTTGTTTTGGAAGTTGGGCTGATGACAATCACAGAGCCCAGTGTTAAAAACTAATAATGATATAGTATTTCATTCGAAACATTTTTGGATCTTGATAGTATTGATTTGAAAGAACAAGTTTAGGCCACTCATTGTTAGTATTAGTTCCAAGAGCACCCTCTAGTGCCCACAGCTTTGAAGAACCCTGTGGAAGGCAGAAAAGTCATTTGTATGCAGCTCAAGCTCATTGACACTTGCTTTATAGGCCAATATTAAGAACCTTTAAAAAGTATATCTGTCATCAAAAGTGACCTAAATGTGCTCTTAAACTTAAAAATGTTTTAATATTATTCTGTGATCAAGCATACTGAAGAAATTTAAAATGATCTAAGATTTTCTTTAAGTTATAATAGTGCATTAACTTTATTAGAGTATTGCTTCAGTAATACATTGTCAAATTTTATGGATATTTCAGGAGATGTGTTAATTGTATAAATTGCTGGGATAACTGAGAAAAACTTAACTAATGACAACACCTTAAAGAAAAAGGTTACTTCACACCCAAAGCCATAATGTACAATGAAAGATTGAATTTACATTGTTTCCAGTAACAGTGAAAAAGAAAAAAAAAAAAACTTTATCTCTGAATTCAAATTTTTAATTAATCTTATTTGTTTTAATCAATACCAGTTGTAAAGGTGAGCAAAAAAGACCCCATCAAATGATTAAATGATCACTTTTGTTTGCTCTCAGTTTTAACTCCCTTCATCTCACAAATAAATCACATAATAAACCTGCGTACAATGGGCCTGCTGAAAAAATGAAAGAGTATCTGTAAAACACTGGTTTTGTTTATATTTTGAAATAGAATTTCATGGTTGTAAATAACAAATACAGGAAAGACGTGTGTATTCAATTTTAAATCACAGATACATCTTTCCAGGTTGGTGTACTAAAGATGTAGTAGAGGAATTCAAAATTATGGATTTATAGTAATGCAATCATAAATGGCATTTATAGAAACAAACTACTTAGTTAACCTGACCTAAAAAACAAAAATCTCAGGCTTTAAGTACATCAAAACTGCCAAACCAACATAGTTTGTGCTTAAGCACACAATAAGGAAAGACTGAAGACAAAATTGCTAGAGGCACCGAATTCCAGAGAAATTCCCAACCCACAAAATTGCTATAATTTTATCAAAATATACATGATAGTGTTTTCCTCTTTTACACCCACATTTCTTATGGAGAAACAGTTTATACATTTACATTCTGAGATGTTTCAGCAAACTCTGTTAGATTATTTCTTATGTATCTTTCTAGTGACAAATAGAATGTTTGGAAAGAAAATAAAGCTAACACGTGCACAATACCTCATAGGTAAGTCTCCAGATTGGGCATTAAAGTATGTGTTACCTCACATAGAATCAGATCAAGCTCTGAATTAAACGTGGTCAACATTTTCTAGAAGTTACTTTTTTTTCCTATCACTCACTTTGCTCAGAATATGGGAAAACCTGTTAGCCGGATGTCTTACAAGCTGGGTTCGCATATCTGTGCAAATATTTATAGTCTTCTTAAATTACCTTTTTACCATCAGCAGTTCCTAAATCAAGCACATACACTATAAAAGGCAAACCAACAAAGAAGTATGTAAAAGATCTTCATCTACCTCTGCACGGCTACCAGGGGAGGTGAGCTTGCCCCACGAATGCCTACACTTTGATAGGAGAACTGTGATAACGATGAAAAGTTAATAGATTTTTATCTATATGAACGTGATGATCATAGACCTTGTTATTTTTATTATTTTTAAGAAGGGAATTGGTGCTGCATGAATATGAAGGCATATATTCACAGAATTTCTTAGATTTATAGGTACAGGAGCTACAAAGACTTCTCTTCTTTCTGAGGTAGATAAATTGAGTTCCATGCAGTTTACTACGTAGGGGTCTTTCAAATGAGACCACAAAACCTCAAATCCTTCCTCTTCTGTGTGGACATTAAAGATCTCATAGCAATTTTCATAAGAGTAGGGGTTTGTCACCATGCCACTGGGCAAATTCCTAGGACTTACCTTAAAGTCAAGCAGCCAGCTTCTCTCCACAGGATTTTAGTGTATTAGATACCTTGAAAAGTTCAGTATATTTACTCAATTTATTTAAAATGTTCTCCTAATGGTTCTGAAATATATTTTTAAGCAAAAAGGAACCAAAGGTCTCCTTAGGTGAAGTTACAGTAATGTTTGTTACATGAAATCAAACTTCCTTCCAAAATATTTGATTAGTCCCTTTTGAACACAAATGCCTACAGTATTAATTTTATTTTAAAAACAAAAACAACCAACATATAATAAAAAAATCTTATAATCCATGATCCATGCTTTCTGATACAGGTAATGTAAAATAAATGATATAATCTACAAAACAATGACAAATGAAAGACTTGGAAAAGGTTATGGTTTGACAAGGTAACATTTTTGAAATCTGGACACGAATCAAATTGATGTAACTATTGGTGATGCAACACTCTCTGACACTAAAGTCTTTACCACTGTCTAAAACATATAGAAGAGCCTATTGTGATTGCTTAATGTCAGCTTTTGTTCATAAGCTCTTTCATAAAATTGAAACCAGGAAAATGATTTAAAGCAGTTCAATTTGTCTATTTACCTTAATCTTTAACTATTCCCATATGTCCGGCTACATGATGTATGACTCTTCATAAACCAATTTTTCAAAGATATACACGACAGAAAAAAGTCAGGCTCCTAACCTTTTATGTGCTTAACTTTTACAGAGCTCTAGAAAACAAAATGCTTTTAGGTTTCAGAAAAGGGAAAAAAACGAGAGAGAAAGATTATTTTCTTTTTCTCTCTTGTTAGTAAATATTTGCATCAGTGAAAGTAGAGCATGCACTAATTTCTAGGTATGTGAAAAGTTCTTCTGGATGTCTCATTCACAGGCATCAATGTAAAGGTCTTTGTTTACAAGTACTACGTAATAAATGAGGATACATAAATTAAGATCATTAAACCCTTACAGGTCCCATAGTTGAGGTAGGAATATTGTGCTAGGTATAATATCACTTAGCAAGGGGGAGGAGAAAAAAAGAAACGCAGATTAGGGATTCCTCAGCACAACCTGAATCATAATCACAGTAGAACTGATTTAGCTTCAGTCTTAGTAAAAAGCAATAATCATAACAATAATTTAGTCAGAATTGAAATAGAATGTTCTGATTATTTTTAAAATACCACAAGATCATATAAAATTTTAATTTATGTACATGTCTTTGTAAAGATAAAAACAAAGGGAAAAAGTAGCATTTTGTTCATTCATGTAAAAAAATATTTGCTGGGCACCTATTTTGTGCTCGTTGCTGGATAAACAACTATGAACAGGACAAATTCACAGCCCTGGCCTCCTGGAACCTACTTAGTTGTAAACCAGAGAACCCCCTTAAGGAATATTACTATCAGGTTATGATTATGCGACAGTGTAGGAGTGAAATTTTTCTACTACTTTTAGTCCTCATACCCCCTTCAGCTCAGTCCTTATGCAAAATTTGCATCAGGTCAGTCTTTATGCAAACTTTGTTCTATAGGCTGTGTTATTTTCAATATACACTGTAATTTCTCAGGTGGTTTGTCCAAATTAAAAAATGTAGTCGTCTCTCATTAAAAAAGGGGACAAAACATTAAAATTCTTATAATGTAGAATGCAGAACAGAGAAAGAGAGTTAGCATTTGTTACACATCTAACTATGTGCCTAGCCCAAATCCAGGCACCTTGAATATATTACATAAAGATGTTTTCATAAGATGCAAGTATAAACATTTGTACTGTGAATATTTACATCTTTCATAAGATTAAGATCAGCTAAATCACTTTATAGATTAGTATAGTCTTTATCTTAAAATAGAAGAAATTCCAATAGAAAAACCAATGAATCATTACAATTAACTCTTATTTCAGTATGTGGATTGGTTAACTTGTATTATACCACCATTTCTCCATCTGTAATTAGCACTTTCCTTACGCAGATTTTGTGAAGAGGTCTTAATGAACCACTGTATTAATTGATAAGCCATAAGATTTAATGCAACTTCCCAAAGTACTTTATATGCTGAAAAAGGTAAGCCTGTCAACCAATACAGAAAAAAATTAGCATTCAAGTTATTATCATTATTAAGCACTTTCAAAATCTAACATAAAAATTGCATTATAAAAATCAATGAGATATTGTCTAAAGCTCATTAGAAAATTTTATTCACAGCACCAACATCACAGGATGATTTTATGATTTGTCTATGCCATTTGACCAAATAACCATAAATGCCAAACCAAGATTTTAGTACCAGCTTCTAAAGTGTGTGAAATTTATGTCTTGTTTATTTATTTACTATCCCCAAGTGAAACACTGAAAGTATATCTTTACACCTATGTATGTATACACAGACATTATTTACATATATTTACTGTAATTCATTCAAGTTTACTTGCAGTTCATAAAAAACAAATGTAGCTATTTTCATAATTTTGAAAATGAGAAACCTACAACTTCCAAAATAGGTGCTAAGATTCATCTGATGTAGTATTATTTTAATGTACATTCTCAATTTATTAAAGCTCTGCAAAGGAACTCTGAGTAAATGAAGATAACAAGACATTTTTGTAAACCTAAGTATATTCCAATTTCTGGTTTTTTTTCTACTAGTAGGAATTCTAATTCCTAATCTTACTCCAACTTCAGATTAACAAAAAAATTGTCATCTTAAAGCAATTTGGAATAACTACATGAATGAAACCAGTTAACAATTAGAAAATGTAAAATTGATATGTGTTTAGATAAAAAGATACTGGCAATTCTCAGAATGTAGGAAAAAGGAAACACATTTGTGTGACATTAGGTAAATGGCTCTAATCTGTTTACTTAGATACCTTGCTACTTATCTTGTTCTACTTATCAGTTTTCACTGATGAAATATAGGAAAAAATGTAATAGAAATCAGATAGACATCACAAAGGTGTGTGTTTATGTGTGACTATTTGTTGCTTGATAATCAGATTTTAAAAGGGTGAAATAGATGAACTATACATATAAAAATAGAAATATTTGTATGTAACTTTAAATTTTTAAAATTATTTTATTAAATTATTTTTAAAGTAAAATAATTTTAGATACATTTAAAATACAAATGATTAGATTTTGCTATTCTGCTCATTTGAACTAATAAATTTAAAACTATTTCAACAAAAAAACTCATTTAAAATCGATTTTTTTTAAATTCCTAGCTTTTTTTCTTAATGGCTCTGTTTGAAACTTCAAGTATGCTTGAGAAACTAACTGTGGATCATATATACAATGTAGGGTCAATGCTGTATTGAATTTCCAGACCATTTTCAGACTACCTTCTGGCAGTGGAAGCATTTTGACCACTGACACTCCCTATGGGTATATCTGACTATCCTGGTACAATGCACCATTCCCCATTATTGAATCTACAACAAACTGCTGTAGGTTATTCATTGATTGAGTGTTTAAGTATATTCTTTAGGAGCAAATAGAGAACTAATCTGTAAGCAATCACATAAAATAATGAAAAAAAAAAAACAGCAGAATTCCCGCGTCAAAGATGCTTCAAGCTATAGCACTTAATTATGTGCATTCTTTGATTATATTGTGTCACATTCAATAAAGATATACAGGAATTGTATTTCGTTATATCACCCTAGATTCTTCTCAGTGCTTCATTGTACCATGCAAGGGAATTAAGAAAGCATCTGCCAAACCAACCACACCAATTTAAAGCACAATTACTCTCTTTTTATACTTATATTTTTGGGGGGGAGGCCTGGATCAATCACAATATTCACCAGAATGTTTATTTAACCAATAAAGATACAGGCAGTGATTCTATATTTTCCAATACATGTAAAACTAAATATCAGGTAAACTGTTTCCAGCCTTGACATAAACGTACATAGGTGCTTGAGTCTTCATTCATCTTATCTAGACTGTATTTTAAGAATAAGCTTAACGACCCCTCACACAGTCTTCTTAAACAATGCAGAACCTGAGAGTGTGTGGTGGCATGTGTGAGAGAGCAGACAGCTCTACATCCCTTCACAGGGTCCCTCTGTGTGTATTTAGGACAGCTTTCTAACATGAAATCAGCTCAGCTGCAGTGTCGATTTCAGAGGGTTCTGAGAGAGACAGAAAGGGAGAATGCTTCAACTCCTTAAAATGCATTTGCTATTTCTCTTCTCTGAAAGCCTGAAAGTATTTTCTGATTTTTGCAAAGAAATTACTTTTGAGAATGTCTGCCATACCAAACTGATTTCTTCTAGTTTGCGTTAGCTTGGTGGGTTTTGAATATTTTAACAAACACACATTTAGAAATGTTTAAGAACAGAGGATAACACATAATACGTGCACACTTTAAAAAATATATAAAATATGTATACCTTAATACTTGGCATTTTCAAAAAAGAAAGGAAGAAAAATGGGGTGAAAATATTTTTTTACAATCATATGTCACATAATGCTTTATCTTATTTTTTAAGTGTATTTTTAGTTGCCTAGGTCTTCTTTGTTTTGTTGTGTTCTACTGTAAGCAAAGTACTCATTAAAGCCACCATCTGTGTAAAAGAGGGAAGAGAAGCTCAAAGTGTTAATATCAATAAACATAAAAATCAAAATTTTATCTAGATTATTTTTCTGAAATGCAACTGTAGCACTGCTTTGATGTCCATGCTTTTTATTTACTGAGTTATTTTCATTTTAATGGCAGCATAGAAGGCATATGGAAGAAGATGTCACTTTGCAGCCTTACTAATATAAGAGTTCAGTGAAACCTGGAGTTTATTCCAGCTAATGAAATGCTTCAGTATTTTGAGAGATTGCTAAATGTGGAAGTAGTTTATTTCTAATAAAACATTTCAGTAATATTGTTCTTCAAGTGGAAAATAACCAGAGAATAGAAAACAATTTTAAAATACAAGCTAACCAACAACGAAGAAAAGGAAATGCCACGGTCAATGTCACACTGCTACTCACCTCTCTGATCAAGTTTGTGGAGTTCTTACAGTGTAACAATTAACGATCCAAGTGAGTTAATCTATGTGATTATGCTGTAGGGACTTGAATGAGTAAAAAATGTGGCTCATTCACAAAGGACTTCACACTACAGAACAAGAACATAGAAAGAAAGTCAGTTCCTTATAAAATAGTAAAGAAAATATACTTATGATGTGAGAGGTTAAAAAAATGATTTCATACTATTTACTAGCAATCTTCCCTCAAAGTTATGGACAGTTTTTAAAGTCTTTTTTTAAAAAAGTGAGGAGTAAGTGTAGTGCAAGTATTTTTTACAATCCTTTTTACAATGAATATGTAAAGTTTAATTTTATTCTTTGGTAAGTTATTCTTCTGGTTGTTTAGGTTTTATAATGATACTGACAGTACTTTCAACGAGCTCAAGCTTTTACTTATATATCATACTTTTATGGATTTATTACTACATATATTATATTATTAAAAATGCATATATTTAAGCAAGATACTCAGAAAGGCATTGGGGCACTCTCCAATAATTTTTAATAGAGTCATTTTGATTCCTCCAAGGAAATGTCTTTCTTCAATTTAAGAAAGACTCTTTCTCTGCTAAAGGTTAATACATAAAGAAATGTCCATTATCAAACAAAATTTTAAAAATTCAAGTTACCAAGGAATCCCAACTAACATTGTCTTACCAGAAATTTTTGTTAAAACTATACTTATACACTCATAACACTGGATTATTATCTTTTATATATAGAGAGAGAGAGCGCCCTTAGACTATGACAGTTTTAAAGACTTGAATCATTATTTCATTCAGATCCTAATTCAGAGAGGAATATGTAGGAAATTTCCAATCAGTATTTGTGGATGAAGAAAAAAATGGAAGGAAAGAAAAAAAAGAAATATCAAAGAAAGGATGGGTAGACTTGAATAAGGGAGCTAAGTAACAGGAAAACCCAAAAGAAAAGTAGTAGTATAAAATGTATAAAAATATTAAGTTAAACAGCCTTTACTATCAGATGTGGAACAACATTAATCCATAATTAAGTAAAACAAATGTTAATATAGTTGCTGGGCTGATAATTTATCCATGATTAAAAATTTCAGCGTCTAATTTGTTGTTAAATAAGGTCACCTTACTTCATTATAATTCCCCGAGGAAACATTTTAGGAAGGTAAGTTTATGTTTTTGTTTCTAATAAAGAGATTGCATTCCACCTCTCCCTGCCTCAGTTCTGAACCACATTGTCATAATTAAGATTTCCTCTGCAACAAACTCCCATAAACCATAAACAAATCACCCCCTGGGAAACCACTGGACAGTAGCAGCCACCAGCAACACACCTAGGCTCAAAATCCTGTGATATGGTTTTGCTGTGTCCCCACCCAACCTGTAGTTCCCATAATCCCCATGTGCCCTGGAAGGGGCACTGTAGGGGGCAATTTAATCATGGAGGCAGTTACTCTCATGCTGTTCTCATGATAGTGAGTGAGTTCTCATGAGATCTCATAGTTTTATAAGGGACTTTTTCTCCTTTTGCTGTGTCTTCTCTTTCCTGCCATCATGTGAAGAATAATGTGCTTGCTTCTCCTTCCATGATTGTAAGTTTCCTGAGGCCTCCCCAGCCATGAGGAACTGTGAGTCAATTAAACCTCTTTCCTTTATAAATTACCCAGTCTCAAGTATGTGTTTATTAGCAGGGTGAGAACAGACTAACACATCCTGTCACATGGGGAGATTCTACTAGCAAGAGTCTCAGACTGACCTCAAGTCTGACAGAGAGAGTTGCAAACATCACCAATTTCTGCTAACAGAGTCTATCTACAACAAAAGAACAATCCTCACATATGTACAATATGGAAAGGATTACTCCTGATGACCTCAAGAAATATATTCTTTTTCATGCATTCATTTTTGAACTACAAAGATTAGCAGGGTCTTCCTAAAGTTCCTTTGAAATTTTAAAATTCTTAAACATCATTCAGTTGGAAATGGAAGTTCTATGTACTAAACTTTTCTGGTAATAAGCAATATATTTTCTTCTCAAAGCTAACAGGGATTTTAACTCTACCAACCATAGGACATGGTTTACATTATGATTTACAGCAACCATCTTTCATTTGGCATAGGTTCTGAATGCATTGCCTGAATTTGCATGATACAGCTCTCTTGAGCTTTAGAAGTTAATAGATAATGAATTCCAGTGTACTGTTATGCAGTGAACCTATTATTGTAAAAAGTAAAGACACTACAATTATAGAAAATAAAGGCTTGGAAAACAATTTGGGGATAATTCTACAAACTCAGAGAAGGAAGAAAAGACACCTAACATGTTTACTTCTATGAAAAAAGCAGAGTGGAATTTAATTGTATATCTGAAAAGGGAGGAAGACTATTTAATTTCTCTTGAATCTGCCTATTAGCAAATTTTAAAACAAATTGGATAATTTATAATATAAAATCATTTATTAACCTCTATTATTTATGTAAGTCGATTATATTTGCCTTGAGAACTGGGCATCTTTTCTTTCTCAGTATAAGGGCCTAATGCCATGTACATACACACAATATATCTTGCTGAATTTGTTGCATTTGTTTGAGTAGAATGAGACATTGTATAGCTTTCATCTAGTTCACAAATGATGATAATGCTAGCTAAAAAGAGTGAACAAGATTTTGAGAATCTGTTTGTGAAAAGAGAGAGATTGAAAGAAAATGATTAGCCAGTTAAGCCTTAAGCTTAGCTGAGAGAACCTCAGTAAAAGGTTTATTTGGTATTGACATATACATGTATTTCCCTCTCAGCTGGAATGACTCCAGAAGGGTTGTCATGGTTGGTTGAGTAAATAATACATGCTTTAAAAACAATTATAAATCTGTATTCACCTGATGGACTTTGTATTCATTCCAGTCAATTGGGCATATAATACTCGTTTAAAAAATAAGTACATATAATGCATTAAAAACTGCTTAAACGCCCATTTAACCGGAGGGGCCAAAACAGCTCTAAAATGGAGCATGTGATTAATGCTAATGGAAGTTATGCATATGTAATGAAAGGAGAACCCCAAACCCTTTTAAAGAGGGCTATGACAGGAGAATGACAGCTGGGAAACACCACAATTTGCAGCTTCTATTGCTTTGTAAAGCAGTCTCTGCCCTCATAGCAACCAACAACTCCCAGAGTGGTGAATCTTGGGGTTCAAGGCAATAAATGTACTGATATTTAAGGTAAAACAATGCTAAGGGGAATGGCAGTAACAGCCTGATGATAAATAATGCAGCGCTGTAATTGGATTGCATCTCCGTACTTAAACAGCTATTCACTGATGATGGCTCCCATCCCACTCAAAGGTCTTACCCAAGATTCCTTCTTTATAATATCAAACACAAGAAGGACATATTTTATGTTTTTAATGAGTGCAATTCGGAAATAATCTCACAATGTTTTAGGTTCACAATATTTTCCTTTTATAAAGGATGAAGGAAATAAGCAACAGTTGGCATAAAGAATAGAATTCTGGCTTATTTCTCTTTTGATCAGAGTTTCAAGAAAGTATTTTTCAATTAGTCACATGGAGGGTAAGATTTGGGAAGCAAATAAAGGTCTGCCTGTCAACAAAATTGTTTCTCCATTAACCCTTCTCCCAGCCCCCACCTCCACCAAAAAAAAAAAAAAGTTTGAAATTATCAATAGAAGTGCTTTGTAGGGGGTTGGGTTCAGATGATAGAAACTCACTGCTGAAAATGCAAATACATACATTACCTGGACAAAATATGCATCAATTCATTAGTGCTCCCCAGCCCATAAATTAACTTCGCAGGTGAACTCTTCACGACCTAGGGAAACTGGTCCTGTATGACAACAAGGCATAGCAAAGAGCAGTTCCATTGGGACAAAAGGAACAAGGAACATATATTGTACTTTGAAGTAACACAAAAGAATAGACTGTAAGCAATCAATGGGAAGAAGGAAAGCACTGGGCTGTGTCAAGGAGTCCTGAAAACAGACCTCCATGGTCCCACCCATTACTTTGCTGATCTCTTGCAAAGTAATATCACACTGGTAACTACTAGAGTTCCACCTCAAGTCTCAGTCTCTTTTCCATTTCCAATATTAATTGCAGTAGTTTGAATGTTGCTATGGTGTGAGTATCTTGAGGGCAGGGACTTTGATGTGTAGAGCATCTTAGATATTAGTAGTAGTAGTAGTAGTAGTATATCGGTATTATTAGTATTGCCAAGAAGAATTATCTGAAATGTACGAGATGCTCACTATGTATCTGTTGAATGAATGGAGTGAATAAATAAGTAAATATAATAAAGCTTTCCATAAGCACAGGATTAGAACTTAATTTCAAAGTCAAATGATGAGCTGGCTTCCTACTTCATCTTCTAAGGTAGAATGAAGACAATTTCACCTCTAAATAGATGATTTGACTAAGTAAAACCTTCCACATACAAAAAGGGAAATATGTAGTAGAAAATGAGTAAACCAGCTAGCAGCAAGAAGGGAAAAGAGAAGACCAAAAAGAAACAAAAAACCCTAAGAATGTCTTAAAGTGCCATTGACAGAACAGAGAAATGACCCATAAAACAAAAGTCTCTTAGATTTCCTTGAATCCAGGTCTATTCTCTGCAAAGAGTGGCATAGTATGTTTACTAGTTTTGTATTCCCATGAGATAAATGCTGCCTTCCTAACTGTCAAATACAGTCTTAAAATAAATCCCTATAACCTGACCCTGGGCAAACTCAAAGTCTCAATCCTCTGAGAGTCACAAAATACTGAGTCCCATGCGGAAGGCAGAAGTGTTTCCTTCCAAACTCTTTGCACACGTTATCACCTAGGTACAGTGCAGCCTTGAAGAATCTCACCACTTCTGCCTCTTTCTCTATAGTCATCTAAAGGTAGGCCCCAAAATGTGAGTTGGTGGTGGGTTGGAAAGGTGATTCCATTTTATCTCCCATCCTCCACTATGCTCCCTACATCATACACCAAATCTCTCCTCTCTAGTGATCAAATAAAACTCTCAAATGAAAGGAAACAAACCAATACTGTGGAAGTGGATGGCGAGGGGAAGCACAGTCATCTAAGAGTAACCTGCCAAAAATTCCTATTCTACATATGTCATTTCATGTAGTTCTCACCACCTCCCTAAGAAGGTATCTTCATCTTTGATATGTGGAAACTGAGGCTAACTTGAGAGATTAAGTAACTTGCCCAAGAATGTATTATCTCCCATGAGTTAGCACTAGAAGCCCAAGGTTCAACCACGAAGACATAGCCCTTGCCTTCATGAAGCATATTAGGTAGAGAAATGGAAAAATAAACAAGAAAAATTAAATATACTATAGAAGCACCTAAGGGAACTTCTAATGCACACCTGGAGAGGCAGATAAAGTGTTGGCTACTTTGAGATCTAAAAGATCAACTGGATTAAGCGCCAAGAAAAGAGGCAGTGAAGACAGTCCATGTGGAAGAAATGATATCTACAAAAGAGTAGATACATACAACCTAGAAAAACTGCAAGGGTGAAAAGTTGCAAAAAGTGCTACTGAAGAAATCAATAGAGACAAGCTCTTGCAGGACCTTGTAGGTCACAAAGAGGAATTTGGACCCTATCCTGGGAACAATGTAAAACTGTTAAAGGGGTTGAACAGGGGTGAGATACGCTTATATTTGTGTTTTGGGAAGACTTCTCTGGCCACAGTGTGAAACAAATGGATTTTTAAAGAGAAAGGAAAATAATTTAGGTTGAATTAAATAAATTGTCAATATCTGAGTATTTTTGTCTGACAACATTGACAATTTCATATGGTTCAGCCTAATGGTTACACAGCTGTTGTTTACACTAAAGCAATGGTAGGGAGAATAAAAAGATGTAGATGCCTTTCATACCTTCTGTAGCTATTTATGAGAAGACAGATAGCACTCAAAGATTGATTGAATATGCTAAGGGAGGCAAAACGGAGCACCAAGAATGACCCCCCAAAAAGCTTCTAAATAGAGCAACTGAATAGATAATGATGTCAACCATCTATGTAGAAAAAGAGGTGAAAGAATTAGGAGGAGAACATAAACAAGTCAACTCGTTGGAGGAGGTTACGTATCCCAAGAACTCTCCATACAAAGAGTAGAAAAAAATGCCTTAAAATGAAAATTCTGAATTAACAAAATAAAACTGAGTTTAAAATGGGTAATATTGTTAAAGGGTCTATCAATGCTTATATTAATAAATAAAACCCTTAAGCTAAATTGCCAATCTCCATCTTTCCATAAAATAGGTATCCTTCTTAACTGAAAAAAAATAGGCTTTTATTTTTGCATGGATTCATAATCTGACCTTCTCCAGATTGTCAAAGCCTAAGAAATAGCTTCAAGACTATAGATTAACCTTTATAGGGTGTACTTGACATGAATTTTTAAGAGATATAGTGTCTTCAACTAAATGATCTCAATCCAAATTTAAGATTCAATCAGCATTAATGGTGGTATTAGAAATGATAACTTCAATTATAAGCATAATGCATTTTCCTTTGGGATATTAATTTATGTAGAGTACTCAGAGTTTGCCCTGGTATAGTCATACTTCAAACCTCCTTGTGACCAAGAAAAGGCATTTGTGCTAGTTTGATTAGCTAGTTTGATTATACTAGATAAAATATAATATTTTCGATGATTAATTTAGATAATAGCAAATGTTTAAAAAATAATGTTACATAACTCATTTTCCAGAAATTTGTTTTTCTAATTATCTGAGAAAAAGGGTATAGGTTGAAATTAAAACAGATAAGATATGGAATTCATAAAAGTAATCTGTGATTTGGTCCTCACGTGAATTTTATATTCTACTCAATCTATAACTTTAAAAGGAATAGCTATAAGAATATTGTGCTACATGAGAATAAAATAAGCAATTTCCCTCAGTATTCTTTTTCATCATTTCACTTTTTGAAAGAAAAAAGTTCTCTAAGGAGATATGTGACTTTAAATCTATAAAGTAACTTTTAAGGTTGTTGACAGCTATTTTTAAAATGAGAACATTAAGCATTCTCTTGAAAATGAAAGTGAAAGTATCTATAACATCAAAATTATCTTAAGCTGAAAACTCAAATGTAAAATCTTCTTCTCTTGGTAATTTAGAAAAAATCTATATTATTAAAAGAAATTTCCCTGGGGACTTTGTCAAGGTATACTCTAGAGTACAGTATATAGTATACAATAAAATATATGGATTGATATCCATATATAATATCTCTAAAAACACATTAAATTAACATAATTAAAAGTTATTTTAAAACTTTAGAGCCTAGAGTGTTAATAATTACATGTGCTAACCGATTTTTATATGCCATGCGAAATATATCTGTTGCCCTAGGTACTTAGATGTAGGTATAATTATAATTCCCATTTTACAGATGAATAAGCAAAGCTTGAGGTTTAAGTTACTCATCTGAGTTCTCCCAGCTAAGGAGTGGCAAACACCACTTGCATGCCTCTAAAGCATGAGCTTAACTCTAGCATGCTATGTATTAACTCTCTAGGAAGATGTAAGGTGACCTCCCTCTTATCATTATATTTATTTTAGATTAGTGTGTCTTTTCATTAGTAACATTTAACTAATGGGGAAGAAAGTGGTACTCAACGGTGAAAATAGGCTACACTTCTGGCTTGATCACTGAGTTTATACCAATTGGATCTTTTTTTTTTTGAGTCGGAATCTTGCTCTGTCACCGGGCCGGAGTGCAATGGTGCAATCTCTGCTCGCTGCAACCTCCGCCTCCCAGGTTCAAGCGATCCTCCTGCCTCAGCCTCCCAAGTAACTGGGACTACAAGCGCATGCCACCATGCCCAGCTAATTTCTGTATTTTTAGTAGAGATGGGTTTCACCATGTTGGCCAGATTGCTCTCGATCTCCTGACCTTGTGATCTGCCTGCCTTGGCTCCAAAAGTGCTGGGATTACAGGCATGAGCCACCGCACCCGTCCTGCATCATTTATCCATTCAGTTTTTCTATCTGCAAAATGAGAATTAAACTGGATTAAACAGGTGTACCATTCTAAGTACTGGTATTTCTGATGTTGGTATTGATGGTTATGTGGAGTCATCATATAATTTTAAGCATTTAAATTAAAAGCCCCTCATTAAAACTTATTTTAAATAGTTCAATATAATATTCATACATCCAAAACACTTTGGTGGGTACTTTGAGAAAAACAGAAATCAAAGGCAGTCTATGCTTTCCATGATATAACAATCTACTTGGAAAGATACAAAACACATGCAATCAGCATAAAACTGCTAAGCAAAATACACAAACCAGTACAAAACAATGTAGTAAAAAATATCCACCCAAGAAATGAAGGCTAAGGAATAAAGCAACAGGTGCAGCTTGGAAAGAGAATGTGAAGGATGTGTTTTAACCCAAAGAATTAAGAAAGTGATGAAAATGATGCTCAAAACGAAAAGGTAAGTAAGCATAAAAATTTGTATTTGGGGCTAAGAAAAGTGTACAAGAAACAAGAGCTGGAAAGTGGAGCGAGGGAAATTGACAGATGGCCTGGAAGATCACACAGCAGATTTAAATGAAATAAAAACAACTTTGTTTTGACTTGGTTCTTCAACTTACTTTTATAATTCAGGGAAACAAAAATTCTAATCTAATATACCATTTGCCCAAAGTGTTTGCAATGAGCACCTGTCAAATTAATGTTTTTATAAGTTACTCTATGAATTTTACTCTACAATTAAATAGGAGGACCAAATCCAAATATTTCCAATACAAGTTGAAAGGTGGGTTTTCTTAGCCCAAAGATTTCTTTAAAAAACAAATATATATATATATATATATATATATATATATATATATATATACACACACACAAAAGCTTTTAAACAAAATCTACATATGTATAAATGTATCTTTTGATGTTTAGAGCTTAAAATACACATTTTTCTCCAGCTCTCTTCAATGTGGTCTTAATGCTAGTTTTATCTTTTGTTTTAATTTAATCCCCCTTGTGTAACTTTTAATGCTTCTTGCAAAATTCAACAATTCAATCTGGAGCCAAAGAAATAAAACCTTGATGACTCTTAAAGAGTTTTAAGATTAATTCAGGAAGAAATTACCTTGGTTAGTCATGCCTATTCTTATTAGTATCCTGAAGTTTGCTTTTGCTGAAGAAGTGGTGAGAGTTTGATGTGAAGCCAGGACTTAGTGCACGATGCACATTTGGTTTCTAATCACTGAATGCAAGAAGATAGAATAGCATTTGGAAGGATGATATTATTGTACATGCTATCAAATAATAGCAAATGAGATAAGACATTAATGTGCATGATAAACAGAAATGAATATCATTCTTCCTGGTTAGATTATGTCAACGAAACAAGTGAATATTCTATGGTTCAGAAACAATATAAGTAAATTTTTAATGGAAGCCTACATATAACTGTCATAAATGTCTTTGTGAGTCAGGATATCGTGAGCAACTACTCAACATCAAGACATCTATTACGTTGGGGAACTTGTAATTGTTCTTCCAGAATATGCTATGAACACTGCCGTGTTTATCAATTAATCATGCAGTTACTGTTATGCAAACCCTCTGCCAGGTGAGCTGTGAGTGCATCTGCATACTGCACATGAACTAAGAATGAGAACACACACAAAAAATGGTCTTTTTCTTAACCTGCTTCCTCTTGTTCAAAGCAAAAGGCACCCAAGCCAGTTGAAACTCTGAATTAAGAATATTCACATGTGTATGGAGAGAGTGATTGGCATCACCTAATATCTGCTTTATTTAGTATCAAATAAAAAATACTTCTCATATTTTTATAAATGGGTAAAAAAAAAAAACCCAAATATCTATTTAGCAATCATTATATGCTAGATACTATGCCGAGTGCTTTGCATAGAACTTCATTATTCCCACCTTAAAACTATTGTAGTTGTTTTCAGCGATGTCCATATTGCCCACTGGGGATATTCGGCAATGTCTGGAGTCATGTTTTGTTTTGTTTTGGTTGTGAGAACTTGTGGGCAATGGTTGTTCTATTGACAATTGAGAGGTAGAAGCCAGGGATGCTGATAAACATTCTTCAATGCACAGGACAGCCCCTACATTGAATTGGGGGCTTTTAAATTATCCAGTCCAACAGGTCAATAGTGCTGAGGTTGAGAAATCCTGCCCTATTTTAATCTTGGTTTAACAGATGAGAAAAACGAGGTTTAAAGTAGTTAAGTAAACTGCTCAAGGTCACAAGGCTAATGAGTGGCTGAGTTGGGACTCAAACCCAGCACAGTCCAACTGCAAAAGCCCAGATCCTTGCCACTATCTCACACTCCGGCTGCTTTGCACCTCAGTGTAAAATCATTTGCTTCACTGTACACATTTCATAGCACTGCAAACCTGGTGCCTTGAATCAGAGGCCCTCCATTTTGGTGTAGGTAGAGCTGCTCTCTACCTCTTTGATCTTCACGAGTCATTCAAATTCTTATCAGTAAGCAAGGAACCTACAGCTAGAGGTTTCCTATTTCTTCTTTCTATGATTCCAACCATGAGCCATCTAGAAAGGTTACCTGATTGCCTCTCCGTTTCTCCACCAGGTGTTAGCTTAGGCCTCCCTAAGGCTTTGCCCTTATTCTGTTCTCTGCTCTTAGCAAGCAGCAAAGGAGTCCCCAGAGTCGCCTCCTGCGGACTTTTCCATCTGCTCTGTGGAATAGAATCCTGCCTTCAGTTGTGCCAGGGGTGACTTTTTCTTCCTCCAGGGAACAACCCGAACTCCTCTGGGGCAGTAAGGGGGATTTGGCACTGCCCTTTCCCTCCAACTGTCTGTGGAGTATCAGTTATTCTGCAGGGAAGCCACTAAGAGTTCACTCTCTCCTACTCTGTAGTAGTAAAGATTCCTAGGGGAGGGGATCCACAGCCTGACCTCCAAACCAAATAACTGAGGACTCAATGTATGTTGCTCAGTTACCTGTGTGCACCCTGGGGACGAATCTAAAACAGCCCAACCAGCGTTAGCTGGCAGGTAGCTTTGGGGGATTCTCATGACCCCAAAATAGCCATTTGGCTAAACCACAGCATAAGGAGCTGTAATTTGTTTCTAAATATAGACTTGAAATAAAAGAACCAGTATTTTCTATTACATGCCCTTTTAAGGGACCAGACTTCTTTCTGTAGAAAATGGGATAGAGAACATGCAAGAATTGCAGTAAGATATCAAGCAGAACCCAACCCACTAATGAGGACTCCATTGCCTCCTTTTATTGCCAGAAAAGGATTTCTGGCTCTTGAAACCTGCCTATGCGATCCAGAGGTGATTTCCCAGTTGGAATATATCACTCTCACACAAAGATCTCAGTTTTGCAAATAATAGTAGATAGGCAGAACATAGATTCGTCATCATAACCAGGTAATTGAAACTCACATCAGGGCCGGGCGCGGTGGCTCAAGCCTGTAATCCTAGCTCTTTGGGAGACCGAGGCGGGCGGATCACGAGGTCAGGAGTTCAAGACCATCCTGGCCAACATGGTGAAACCCCGTCTCTACTAAAAATACAAAAAAATTAGCCGGGCGTGGTGACGGGCGCCTGTAGTCCCAGCTACTCGGGAGGCTGAGGCAGGAGAATGGCGTGAACCTGGGAGGCGGAGCTTGCAGTGAGCCGAGATGGTGCCACTGCACTCCAGCCTGGGCGACAAAGCCAGACTCCGCCTTAAAAAAAAAAAAAAAAGAAAAGAAAGAAACTCACATCAGAATCTAAACTTTAGTAATTTCTTCTTAACCTTCCTCTCCAAGGCATCTCTCAGTTGTGCCCATAAAGATCAAAATTACTCAATGCCAGCTACTTTTCCCTTATCTCCCCTAGACCAGCTTCTCCCTGCTGATGGTTCCAGTCATGATTAAATTCCACGTAGCAGAATGAGAGAGAAACAAGAACACTACAATATCAAGAAACTTGAAATATCTTGTGAATAAGTACAAATAATCTGCATTTTAACTACCCGTGTCATGAAATTGGGCTTACCTTACTCCTACCCCCACCCAATTCTGCCTGGCTTGGCACAGTTTCTGCTTCAGTCCCTTCTGGGGGAAGCAAGGGATTGCTTGTTGGAAAGGTCAGCACAGTTCAGAAATACGGGCATACTCCCCATCAGAAAAACAATCAAAGATGATGAGGTGATAAGAACCCCATTTCTGGCCCTGTTGCTTATGGCACTTGAAGCAATGACATTCTCTGCATCCCACAGTCCGGAAGGTAGTTGGTGCTGAGTGTAGCACAACTGGTTAGACTTAAAGTGGCCTTCCCATAATCTGAAAGCAAACCAAGGGTCTTATCACAGTATCTTTCTACTCTTTGAGATTTGAATACTGTAGAAATGGAATCAGCTGCTTCTAATGGAGATTTAACCTAATTTGATTTTAAATCATTATCTGTTTTCTGGTCACCCCTATCCAACATCCTACCTGAATACACACACACAAAAAAACATGCACACACATACACACTGTTTATTCCATGTATTTCCAAAGATTTAAGCGGGATGAAAGTGAGAGAGCTAAGCCAGGCTAGAGCTAGGGCAGCTGAAGCTGTCACGGAGCTCTCTCCCCCTGACATATAAGTCTGCCAAATTGAACAGCCAACTAGCAATCATTTATCTTTTCCCTCATCTCCTCAGAGCAGAAGCTGATGTTCAGGGTAGTTTTAGAATATGGACAGGGGTCTCCACGGCCAAGAAAAGACATCTGACGCTTCCCCCTCCCCTTCCCCAAGCCCTGCTCAGCGGATGTAACTCCTCTAAGGCTTGGATGCAGGTCTCCAGAGGTGAAAGGAGCATGGACCAGCCCACTATGCTGCCTTGCCCACAGCATAGTATAATATTAATTAGTCACCTTCCTTATTATTCAGTCAAAATATGCCAGACTGAAATAAATTACATTCTTAGCACATATTTCACACCCCTGGATCAAGTCTTGCAAGGTTTTTCTTTTATTATTTATAAGATCATGTGCTGTCTTCCTGCAGAAAATGAGATGGTCTGCATGAGGAAAAAGGTAAAAGAAATGCAGAGAAATGAAACAATCAGATATTCCCTAATGATATTTAAAAATAGAAAATTTGCTACTGTTACATACAGCATGTTCCATCTTTTGAGATTTAATGGCTCTCTTGTGGTTTAATGGAGAATTACTTTCAGTAATTGATTATTAAAATTTAAAATTGCTAACCATCTTCATTATTAGATGAGCGAACATGTTATCCTTGTAATTAAAAAAGCCTGAGACTCACTTTCATCCTGTTGACAGAGCGGGCAGACTGTCTCCACACTCAGACTTGATGGTTTCAGGCTTCTTGTTTGACAAAAATAGCCAGCCAGTCATTTGATGATGAAAATGCAGAACATCCACAGAGACTCAGCAGAAAATATAATGAACAAAAATAAAATAATAAAAAGCCCTACAAGCAAATTAAAGTTTTCAGTCCCGACTCATTAAATGCTATGCATCACTTATGTGATATTTCAATGTGCCGGTGCTCAGGTAACACAGGGCGCTGTCAGATTTTTCTCCAGCCTCAATCAACGTGCCGTTTAAAAGCAGCACAATCTCCCAGCACTTTGGGAGGCCGAGGCGGGCAGATCACGAGGTCAAGAGATCGAGACCATCCTGGCCAACATGGTGAAACCCCGTCTCTACTAAAAATACAAAAATTAGCTGGGCGTGGTGGCACGTGCCTGTAGTCCCAGCTACTGGGGAGGCTGAGGCAGGAGAATAGCTTGAACCCGGGAGGTGGAGGTTGCAGTGAGCTGAGACCATGCTACTGCACTGCAGCCTGGCGACAGAGTGAGACTCCGTCTCAAAAAAAAAAGAAAAAGAAAACAGCACAATCTTTCCTCCTCCAACTGCAACAGCATTTCCCCTTTGACATTTAACCTCAGATATTTACCATTATAAATTTTTGGTTTTGGCAACATATTACACGAAGTGGACACTGGAAAAATCCAGTGTGGTTCCCTGTTCTCTTGAATGTGTATAGGATGTCTCCAGCTTCTTGTATGGAGGGCTCCAAGGAGTAAGCCCCTGCCAAGTGAAAAGAGCCCTTCCTCAAAATCCCTCACCGTGTCCACATACTGAGAGATGCAGCTTTATCAGTCAGTTATCCACACACCAGGGGTGAGGGATTTGTCTGTGTGGGATCTTGCATTTCCTTGAACGTTTTCATCATATTAGAGTGTTCATTTTGTGAAGGCAGTACTCAGTGCTTTCCAAAAGGAAATTTTGTAACTGTCAATGAAAAGAGCCTATCAAAAGGGACATTTTTCACAACTCAAGTATTAGACAGATGTCAGCCTTCAGGAAAGGAAAATCCTGCAGACTCGAGGAGTACAAACATAAATGAAGCAAAGATTTTTGTACATGAAGATTTCTTCTAAATATTAAGGAAAGCCATCTGTGTATCAGCATTCCCACAAAATCTCAATAGTTTAGCTCATAAAATCTCTGCTCAAATGTCAATTTTTAAAAATTGACTAATCAATGACTTGCCAATATTTCCTTAGGATCTAGATTCTCAAGGATGTCCTCTCTAATTTAGCCCAGCCGACCTTCATTATTCCTTAATGCAAATTAGCACCCTACACTTTGTACACATTCATAGACTATGATGTCACTGGGCAGAATTTAGATCATGCTATAAAACTGTTCTTATGTATTCGTCCTTGTGTTTGCCTTCCCAATTAGATTACATGACCCGCAAGGGTAAGAGCAATTCCTTTTATTTCTTTTTCTATTTTACCTTACCTACAGCCTCTCACCCAATGTCAAGTTCAACAGACATCAGGCCTACCACCATCTTGTTTGCTTAGGGAGTTAGATATGGAGGTTTGACAAGGAGCTGAACTCTTCTATTCTAGTTAAATATAATGTTGAATTTCAGTTATACATAAATATAACCTTGAATTTAGGACGCATAGAGACTGGATTAGCCTTTCTGAAGCATGGAAAAATTTTCGTAATCCTCCCAAGGATGGTATATAACTAATCCCTTTCTAGCTACATATAAGTAAATGTGTTACATACAATGAGCATTGGGGCTTAATTATCAGAATTTCTTGAGAGTCTCATCTAGATTGTTCTTTCAGATTACTTTCAACAATCTCATAAAATCATTAACAGATAGGAAAATGTCTTTCCTCTTTCATGGTCTTTCTGGCTTTGGTGATGTGGCAACCTTCATCCAGGAATATAAAATGCCAACCTATTTTTAAGGTCATCTCATAGGGCACTACTCGCCATAGTCACTTGCCTATATCCAAATATCATGGTACTTTACCTGTTTTAATGAATCATCTTTCTACCCTCTATCAGGTACCACTAATAAATTATATGTGTGCTGACAATATAATTCACATATGAACAATTTTCTACCTCTCCCAGCACCTAATTGGGTGATTTTAATGTGTAAGAGATTGCAGTACATATTAACTAAATTAGTAAATGAATGCATGAATGAAATTAAAAGAATGGCTGAGTCTTAGATTTTTTTCCCATTTCTAAGTTTCCTTTCTAAATTTAAATATGAATGAAAATAATTACTCAATACAGGTTTACTGAGTAAGAATTTAAGAAACATTTCTTACTCATCCAGGCATCAAAAACATATCTGAAGACAAATTCTTCATATTCTCATCTCAGTTGATAAAAATTCCATAGTTTTAACTTCTCAAGCCATAACCTCTGTGTCATCTTGGGCTTCTCTCTTTCTCTCATATTCCAATTTATCAACAAATTATGTTAGCTCTTTTGTCAAAGTGGATCCAGACCACTTATCAACACCTCTACCATTACCACTTTGTTCCAAGATATCATCCTCCTTCCCCGGGATTATTCTTATTGTCTCTTAGCTGCACTCCCCATTTATTGCCAGAAATATCCTATTGCAACAACACTTGGAAGTCATTCCTCTGGCAAAACCCAAATGAGTCCACATTTCATTAATGCCCTACAAAGTCCTACAAAACCTGCCTTCCCCTCCTCATCTTCAACCATCCTCTCCTACTTTTTCTCTCTCTCTCTGACACCAGGAATACTGGCCTTTTTGCTATTCCTGCAACCAGATACTCTCCTGCCTCAAAAAATACTTTTAGGCTTCTGCACTTGCTCTTCCCTCAGCCTGATGCTCTTGACCAACATAGATGGGAATAAAGTCTTGCTCCCTCAACTTTCTTTACATTACTATTCTGATATCACCTCATTATTCAGACCTTCAGAGATGTAGAAATTTATTTTTCTCCAACTAACTTAAACTAGTTAATTTATCAAGGCAGTTTTAAAATGATCCTATTTTTCTCCAAGGAATAGGGCTCAGGTGGTAAGGTAGAAAGGAAAGGGGAAGAAAAAGTTAAAAGAAAGAAAAAACTTTCATTTACTACTTCTTTGTAGTCAGATAAATCAGACCAAAAACAAGATTCATTGAGCAGCCAAAGATTTCCCCCCAAGCTTTTGTTTTTATGTTTTTTTTACTGGTTGTTCCCACACATTATAATGTCTTGGCAGCAACACAGATAACAGCCTGTTGGCATTGAAACAATTTCTGGAAAATTTTCGAGTTTTCTGAAATTCTGACAACCTAACATGTTATGCGAGCTGATCCCAACTAATTTTTGTGGTTGAAGCAATAACTTTGCAGTAGGAACTTTCCCTGATGAGAGATTTCATATAAAAAAAAACTCTGAAAATTGGAGCTGAATGTAACATTGGCCGATTCACTTTCTCATTTTACAGATGAAGACTCAAAGACCCAGGGAGATTAAATGATTTGCCCAAGGCACGTGGATTGTTACCAGCAGAGCTGGGAATAAAATTCAAGCTCCTTGGCTCCCAATTCACTGTTCCTTCTGCTTTGCTGTGTGATGTGCCCTGTTCATGATTGTGCCATTTAACTACTCACAGTGAAAATCCCACCGATGTCAGCCCTACTCTCTGGGAATTTGTAATCCAAAATGTGAAGCCAAATGGATAACATGAAAATAATCATAATCATAATTATGATGAAATATATCTTCCAGCTTCCAATCCTCAAAGTATTTTCATATCTATCTCTTCATTTTATCCTCAAAAGAATACTCTACAAATTATATAATGTGAAACATTGCATAAATATTAATAGGTAATATTTAAGTAATCCAATGTGCTCTCTGGGGGATGATCAGGGAAGAAAAGCCACTACGGTTCTTTACATGTGTGAATGAGATGGCTCTCTCACCACCTATGCTAGATTCCTCTAAATTGGTTTGATGGACCAACATTTACATAAGTATATATGTTTATACATTTATATGTAATTTTATATATCTGTACATATAGATAATTTCTGTTCTCTGTTATCATATTCATAATTGGAATCCACTAATGCTCTTCACTATATTCTATGTGTCAGCACAGACGAAAGCCATCTCAGGTCTCTGGAAATGGCAGAGAGTGAATAATTAAGATCAGGCATCAAGACATTGACGTGTCATTCTCTGATAACATGGACAGACGGGATGCCAATATTACTTTCTAAATATGCCACCGAGGGAGGTATTTCCTAGATCCTTAATAAAATTGGCCCCCATACATAATGGATACTACCAGTCAGTACCTATTTTCCACTGCATAGTTTATGTCAAAATTATGAAGGGAAAAAAGAAGAAAAGGATATTGTCCATTTGCTTATGGGGTAGACAACTGTCTTTTGTGAAATGTGAATGGTGTCAGCAAGGCCTCTGGCCAACAGTATATCCCCCTCAATACCTGTCATACTGCCTGAAATCCCAACCTTATTGACTCCAGTCCTTTGTGTCTTGAATCTTTTTTAGGCCCTGAGCAAACCCATTAAAATGCATATACCCCTAAAAGGAACACAGTCTTCTCACAGATCAGGCCCTTAATTAATGGAACCCAGGATAAATCAGGGATAAGGAGAGTGATAGTAAAGGAGCTTTTTTAAAACAATGGAGGGGCCGGATGCAGTGGCTCATGCCTGTAATCCAAGCACTCTGGGAGGCCAAGGCAGGAGGATCTCTTGAGCCTGGGAATTCACGACCAGCCTGGCCAACCCAGGGAGAACCCTGTCTCCATGAAAAGATAAGAAATTAGACTGTCATGGTGGTGGGTGCCTGAGCTCCCAGCTACTCAGGGTGTTGAAGCAGGAGAATTGCTTTGGCCTAGGAGTTTGAGGCTGCAGTGAACTATGCTCACGCCACTGCACTCCAGCCTAAGCAATAGAGTGAGACCCTGTTTCAAAAATAAAAAAAAAAGAAAATTAAAGCTAGTTTACCCTTGCTGGTTAGGGGTAGGTTCTGATTCTTTTTCTATTAGACTTCCTATTTGGATCCCACATACCTACCAACAAGTTTTAAGAGCCAATTATGCAATTACATATATCCCTATTTTTTTTCTTATAAAAGTCAAATGTTATGATAGGCTCACCAACTGGGAAAACCTAACTCTAGCTGACCCAGTATCATTAATGCTCAAATTCTAAAATCTACCAGGTTTAACTAACATATGAGAGCTTAGACAGTAGCCAATTAAATCATCTAGTATGAGATTAAGAAGATAAAGTGGAAAAAGCAGCACTACTGTAGGAGAACTTCCTGAGCGGGAAGTGGCAGCAAAGTGATCACAAGAACTGCTATGACCACCAGCCATCCCACACTATCCAACCAAACTCCACATGCCTCCCGAGGCCATGGTCTGAGGGGTTTGTGCAAGAGGACTGCGGAAGACAGAGGGATACCAGCAGCCTACTCTGCATGCCAAGGAAAAGCCAAGGATAGACTTTTGCACGTTTAATCGTATTTCTTCATTTGTCCACCAGTAAATGTGAAGGAAAAAGTTGTCCCAGATCCTCCATAGGAAATTCTTACTTATAATTGGATTAAACCTTAAGTTTGAGAACGACTCACAGTATTGCAGAGGAAGAGGGAAAAGGTAATAAAAATTCAAAATGCAATGAAGCCTAATATGTACTCTTTCTTGCAAAACCCCCTTAGTCGTACTGAACTGTGATGCATCCCAGGAAGTAGCAGCTCCTTCGGAGAAAGGATATTCTATGCCCCCAAAGAGGACAGTGCTAACACCAGGGACAGATTCTACAAACCTCAGTAGACAGAGTGAGGAAAGGCTCTATTCGCTCACTGGAATTTCCTGGTACTTCCATAAATGTCAATAAACACTGGTCTAAGGGGCATATGATGTTCCAATATATTTTGACATAAAAGCTGTAACCAGGAGAGTCTTAAAATAAAAGTACTGGAGGGAAATGTATGAGTCAGTTGGGGAAGTCTAAGCCATTCTCAAAGGCAGCATATGACTGCAGAGGGGGGCTACAGTCTCCCGAAGCCAATTGAATAATCTGTTTCATTGACACAATTATTAAATCATTGATTAGTGTGCTGAGTGGTTGGTATTGGTTGTCTTTATTACAGGTGAATTGCAGCTATTGCCAGCTGTTTCTGTGGCAAGTTCTTCAGCTGCAGAAAAGCTGGCATTGTGCCCAGATGCAGCCTGGGAGTCCCACCGCTTCAAAGTGCTTTTTTTTTCCCCCAGCGAGTGCTTCTCCCTGTCATTACATGGTTTCCCTGTGCTCTCATCATTACAATAGAATCCATAAAACCAAACACAGAAACAAAGGGATAACTTATTGGCAACTAATGAAACACAGAGAGATTGTTCAAGCAGTGTAAATGCGAAAGGGCTTTAAACCAGTTTAAACAATCTACGTGTATTCCATCGCCCCATTGTTAACACAGGCGTGAAGGCAAGTGTCTCAGCTTCATAAAAATTACACCATCGTTGCCTTAAAGATCTGCTCTCTTGTTGCCTCTGCCTCTGGCGCTCTTTTTAGAGGGCTGGTTTGCTTTTTGTCCACTTATTCAAATTCTGCCCATTGATCAAGACTGGTTCATCTTCCAAGTTTTCTGAGAAATTGTCCATGAACACTGCAGACTCCACTGAGCTTTCCTTGCTTTTCTTTTCTCCAATAACTTAGGTGTGTGCCACTTATTTAGCCAGCCAGAGATAAGGCAAGTATAGGCAATATTGAGAATCCATGAAACAGCACAAGTGGACCAAGGCACCTTCCTCTGATCCCAGAGGTGCTCTGAGAAACATTCTCAACCAACTTTCCAAGTAGAGCCCCATCAATGACTCAGCTTTGACAGATGGCATGGGATGAAATGTGTGTGTCATCCCAAGTGCTGTGGGAATGAGACAGGTCTTGGTGTCGGATCAACCAGGATTCAAACTTCAGATCAACAGTTTACTAGATATGCCACTATGGTTTTTGTGTGTTTCCTTTTTTAATTCCCTTGACTCAGGATTTTAATCTACAGAACAAAAATGAGGCCACCTACCTCAGAGAGTGAAGACTGCCCAGTTCCTGGTACACAGAAAGCATCTAATATATGAATATTTCTCATCCCCTGGGCCCCTACTAAGAGTGCTTATTGTTGAAGTCTTACCTGCCCAAGCAAATTATAAGTTTCTGGAGGATAAGGCTACAGAAGGTGATTCATGCTAAGGCTAAAATTGTATGCATCTAATGCAACATTTGTAACCTTTTTCCTGAAACACTAGGTATAAACTGAAAGAAACTTAGGTGATGTTATGAATAGAAATAGGGGATTAATGAGCTAACACTTTAAGGTAGTTGATTCCAGCAATATGCTCATTCTCTATAGATGCTATGATATTAAAAAAATTATAGAATAAAATAAAGCCCTGCCCATTTGTGGCCCAAATATATAACAGCCTTAATAATCTGCTTAATAATCTGTCTGAAAGGATTCTGATCCATTTTTTTACTGTCTGTAGGGTCTGCTCAAGTCTAGAGATAAACATTCTGATTTGGTCAGGCACAGCTTTGACAAACGCCAAGTGTGAACCACAGCTGCCATATTAGTTTGATGTGTTTGTGCCAAATTGTGTTTGAGAAGCATTTTGAAAGAGGATTGGAGTTAGCACAGATAACACGTTATTTTCCTTGGTAACCTATCATGAATATTGAATTGCACCTCTAACCTGAGCCAGAGGGGTTTTTGAATGCTTTCATGCTCCCCACAACTCTCTCAGTGTGCTACTAGACAGGCAGGTGACTATATGTAGTCTAAAATATAGTAGACATCAATTTCTTGAATTCAAACATTTCCTTCAAAATCAAGCTTGTGATGCAAATAAAATTCAAACTTTCCAAGTTAGGTTTCCTTTGTTTCATTTCTACATATGGTAAATGCAAAACTTCCAGTCACTAGGAAATAGATTAAATAATCATAGAATCATAGAATTTTCAGTGCTGGAAGGGACCTTAGAGATCATCTAGTCCAACCCCCTCATTTTAACAGATGAGGAGACTGATGTCTGTGGAGGATTATAGCCTCAGGGGGAAACCAGAGTTCATTAACTCATCTCTGGAAAGACTTGGTTTTTTTTTTTTTCTTTTTTTTTTTGGTTAGAATAAATGATTAAATCATTCCAATTTCATGCTATCTCCTTTATTCAGAAAGTTTACATTTGCTTTCTCCTTTTGTCCATGTAACCATGACAATAGTGGGGAATAATAGAGCTATCAGTATAAAAATAGCCTCATTAGCATCAACAAGGGGCTCGCCAATCAGCTTGGACCTATTACAGGACTGATAACTACCTCCCCTGCCTTCCAGTTTGCAACAAACACACTCTCTGGACTCCTCCCACAGGCTGGCTCTTTCCTCTTCTGAAGCTGTGTCCCTCACAGTTTGACAGCTGGGATTTACAAGTGGAATCATACCTGAGAAAGCCCTGTTCTCAAGCAGGATCAGCTGGATCTGCCCTGAGATTTCCAACCTGCCTCTGCTTTCCAGAACCCCTATTTGTCAGGCCTCTGAGCCCAAGCCAAGCCATCGCATCCCCTGTGACCTGCACGTATACGCCCAGATGGCCTGAAGTAACTAAAGAATCACAAAAGAAGTGAATATGCCCTGCCCCACCTTAACTGATGACATTCCACCACAAAAGAAGTGTAAATGGGCGGTCCTTGCCTTAACTGATGACATTACCTTGTGAAAGTCCTTTTCCTGGCTCATCCTAGCTCAAAAAGCACCCCCACTGAGCACCCTGTGACCCCCACTCCTGCCCACTGAGCACCTTGCAACCCCCACTCCTACCCGCCAGAGAACAAACCCTCTTTGACCGTAATTTTCCTTTACCTACCCAAATCCTATAAAACGGCCCCACCCTTATCTCCCTTCGCTGACTCTCTTTTCGGACTCAGCCCGCCTGCACCCAGGTGAAATAAACAGCCATGTTGCTCACACAAAGCCTGTTTGGTGGTCTCTTCACACGGACGCGCATGAAATTTGCTGCCGTGACTCGGATCAGGGGACCTCCCTTGGGAGATCAATCCCCTGTCCTCCTGCTTTTTGCTCCATGAGAAAGATCCACCTACGACCTCAGGTCCTCAGACTGACCAGCCCAAGAAACATCTCACCAATTTCAAATCCGCTATGCGGCCTCTTTTTACTCTCTTCTCCAACCTCCCTCACTATCCCTCAACCTCTTTCTCCTTTCAATCTTGGCGCCACACTTCAATCTCTCCCTTCTCTTAATTTCAATTCCTTTCATTTTCTGGTAGAGACAAAAGAGACATGTTTTATCCATGAACCCAAAACTCCGGCGCCGGTCACGGACTGGGAAGGCAGCCTTCCCTTGGTGTTTAATCATTGCAGGGACGCCTCTCTGATTCTACACTCACGTTTCAAGGGTGTCAGACCACGCAGGGACGTCTGCCTTGGTCCTTCACCCTTAGTGGCAAGTCCCGCTTTCCTGGGGCAGGGGCAAGTACCCCTCAACCCCTTCTCCTTCACCCTTAGCGGCAAGTCCCGCTATCCTAGGGGGCAAGAACCCCCCAATCGCTTATTTCCGCACCCCAACCTCTTATCTCTGTGTTCCAATCCCTTATTTCCGCACCCTGACCTCTTATCTCTGTGCCCCAATCCCTTATTTCCATGCCTCAACCCCTTCTCTGCTTTTCTGGAGGGCAAGAACCCCCCATCCCTTCTCCGTGTCTCTACTCTTTTCTCTGGGCTTGCCTCCTTCACTATGGGTAAGCTTCCACCTTCCATTCCTCCTTCTTCTCCCTTAGCCTGTGTTCTCAAAAACTTAAAACCTCTTCAACTCACACCTAACCTAAAACCTAAATGCCTTTTCTTCTGCAATGCCGCTTGACCCCAATACAAACTCAAGAGTAGTTCCAAATAGCCAGAAAACGGCACTTTCAATTTTTCCATCCTACAAGATCTAAATAATTCTTGTCGTAAAATGGGCAAATGGTCTGAGGTGCCTGACTTCCAGGCATTCTTTTACACATCAGTCCCTTCCTAGTCTCTGTGCCCAGTGCAACTTCTCCCAAATCTTCCTTCTTTCCCTCCCGCCTGTCCCCTCAGTGCCAACCCCAAGCGTCGCTGAGTCTTTCTAATCTTCCTTTTCTACAGACCCATCTGACCTCTCCCCTCCTCCACAGGCCGAGCTAGGTCCTAATTCTTCCTCAGCCTCCACTCCTCCACCCTATAATCTTTTTATCGCCTCCCCTCCTCACACCTGCTCCGGCTTACAGTTTCATTCCGTGAGTAGCCCTCCCCCTCCCGCCCAGCAATTTATTCTTAAAAAGGTGGCTGGAGCTAAAGGCATAGTCAAGGTTAATGCTTCTTTTTCTTTATTCCAAATCAGATAGCGTTTAGGCTCTTTTTTATCAAATATAAAAATCCAGCCCAGTTCATGACTCATTTGGCAGCAACCCTGAGACACTTTACAGCCCTAGACCCTAAAAGGTCAAAAGGCCATCTTATTCTCAAAATACATTTTATTACCCAATCTGCTCCCGACATTAAAACTCCAAAAATTAAATTCTGGCCCTCAAACCCCACAACAGGACTTAATTAACCTCACCTTCAAGGTGTACAATAATAGAAAAAAGTTGCAATTCCTTGCCTCCACTGTGAGACAAACCCCAGCCACATCTCCAGCACACAAGAACTTCCAAACGCCTGAACCGCAGCGGCCAGGAGTTCCTCCAGAACCTCCTCCCACAGGAGCTTGCTACATATGCCGGAAATCTGGCCACTGGGCCAAAGAATGCCCGCAGCCCAAGATTCCTCCTAAGCCGCATCCCACCTGTGCGGGACCCCACTGAAAATCGGACTGTTCAACTCACCTGGCAGCCACTCCCAGAGGCCCTGGAACTCTGGCCCAAGGCTCTCTGACTGACTCCTTCCCAGATCTTCTCGGCTTAGCGGCTGAAGACTGACACTGCCCGATCGCCTCGGAAGCCCCCAGACCATCACGGACGCCGAGCTTCGGGTAACTCTCACAGTGGAAGGTAAGCCCGTCCCCTTCTTAATCAATATGGAGGCTACCCACTCCACATTACCTTCTTTTCAAGGGCCTGTTTCCCTTGCCTCCATAACTGTTGTGGGTATTGACAACCAGGCTTCTAAACCTCTTAAAACTCCCCAACTCTGGTGCCAACTTAGACAATACTCTTTTAAGCACTCTTTTTAGTTATCCCCACCTGCCCAGTTCCCTTATTAGGCTGAGACACTTTAACTAAATTATCTGCTTCCCTGAATATTCCTGGACTACAGCTATATCTCATTGCTGCCCTTCTTCCCAATCCAAAGCCTCCTTTGCGTCCTCCTCTTGCATCCCCCCACCTTAACCCACAAGTATAAGATACCTCTACTCCCTCCTTGGCGACCAATCATGCACCCCTTACCATCTCATTAAAACCTAATCACCCTTACCCTACTCAACGCCAATATCCCATCCCGCAGCATGCTTTGAAAGGATTAAAGCCTGTTATCACTCACCTGCTACAGCATGGCCTTTTAAAGCCTATAAACTCTCCTTACAATTCCCCCATTTTACCTGTCCTAAAACCAGACAAGCCTTACAAGTTAGTTCAGGATCTGCGCCTTATCAACCAAATTGTTTTGCCTATCCACCCTGTGGTGCCCAACCTGTACACTCTTTTGTCCTCAATACCTTACTCCACAACTCACTATTCCATGCTTGATCTTAAAGATGTTTTTTGCACTATTCCCCTGCACCCCTCGTCCCAGCCTCTCTTTGCTTTCACTTAGACTGACCCTGACACCCATTAGGCTCAGCAAATTACCTAGGCTGTACTGCTGCAAAGCTTCACAGACAGCCCCCATTACTTCAATCAAGCCCAAATTTCTTCCTCATCTGTTACCTATCTCGGCATAATTCTCATAAAAACACACGTGCTCTCCCTGCCAATCATGTCCGACTGATCTCTCAAACCCCAGCACCTTCTACAAAACAACAACTCCTTTCCTTCCTAGGCATGGTTAGCGTGGTTAGAATTCTTACACAAGAGCCAGGACCACACCCTGTAGCCTTTCTGTCCAAACAACTTGACCTTACTGTTTTAGCCTAGCCCTCATGTCTGCGTGCAGCGGCTGCCGCTGCTTTAATACTTTTAGAGGCCCTCAGAATCACAAACTATGCTCAACTCACTCTCTACAGTTCTCATAACTTCCAAAATCTATTTTCTTCCTCATACCTGACACATAGACTTTCTGCTTTCCGGCTCCTTCAGCTGTACTCACTCTTTGTTGAGTCTCCCACAATTACCGTTGTTCCTGGCCCAGACTTCAATCTGACCTCCCACATTATTCCTGATACCACACCTGACCCCCATGACTGTATCTCTCTGATCCACCTGACATTCACCCCATTTCCCCAAATTTCCTTCTTTCCTGTTCCTCACCCTGATCACGCTTGATTTATTGATGGCGGTTCCACCAGGCCTAATCGCCACACACCAGCAAAGGCAGGTTATACTATAATACAAGCCACTAGCCCGCCTCTTAGAACCTCTCATTTCCTTTCCATCATGGAAATCTATCCTCAAGGAAATAACTTCTCAGTGTTCCATCTGCTATTCTACTACTCCTCAGGGATTATTCAGGCCCCCTCCCTTCCCCACAACAGTGGGTGTGGTTGGTCTTTTTAATTTCAGCCATTTTAAGAGTGATGTAATGGTATCTCATTGTGATTTTATTGTTTATTTCCCTAATGGCTATCATATACTTCTTCCCAATCCTTATATCCTCTTCGATAAAGTGGCTATTCACATTTTTTGCTCTGCTTTCTTATTGAATTCACAAGCAGGTCTGACTGCAAACCCCCCATGCCCTAAAATGTGCAGTTCTTGCTGCTTATTCAGAAAATAAAAGCGATATATTGCATGTGCAATTAATAGCAAGTTCTCTTTACTTCATGAGTGTATCCTCTGAAGGGGCTGCCCTGTTCAAGCACATGGTCTCCCCTTCATGCAGCTCAACAAAATGTATCCTACTCTAAAATGAATCCTTGTCAGAGTTTACTCTTCAGGGCATGAGCAGACAGGAAAAGCTTGCTTTTCCCTGATAGTAAAATTTAAAGACATGAAATCACGGATGAAAATAAGTGGAGATAAGGTGAACTCAGATAAGTAAGATGGAGCAATGAGACAGAGAGCCACTAAAGGATGCCGTGTATAGCTGTGAAATTTGTTCATTGCACAGGGTAAGTGGCTGAAGGAGCAAGTGGAGTTTGTACCTAGACTCCATTTACTACTCCCAGGCTTATCCCCTTGCCCAGGGCTTCACTGACAGAGGGCGCTTAAAAAAAAAAATTGCACAAAGCTACAACATGAACTAGGGGTGGCCTCGATGAACAGATTTCCTTTGTTTGTCTTTTGTTCTTTTACTATCTTCCAAACTCATAGCATCACATTACCATGCTGGATTCTGCATTATTCATGTCAAATAATCTGCTAAATAATGTGTCCTAGAAGGCATGATATGAACCAAGGTAGCTCACATAAAAAAAGAAAAAATAATGGCATAAATGATAAATGAAATACAGATTCTTAAAGAAATTTTATGGTATTTAATTAATCTACCAGTTTTACTAAGTTGCTTTCAAGTGAAATGGCTCTTTACCAGTGCCTTTTGAAAAGGTTAGAAGTGAATTCCCTGAGCTACAATCATTAGCATATAGATGTCTCTAAGTGTTAATTTCTGTTTTCACTGAATGAATGTAATTTAAAATGAGGCTCTTTCAAATCAGTTAACTTCGGCCATTTGAGAAAGATAAGAAAAATGGACTCAAGCATGAACCCCCAGCAGAACCTGCTTCTTCGGGATAAGTACTATATGCCACAGTCACGCACTACTTTGGGAAATTACAGATCTTTTCAGAAAGAGAAAGAGAGTTTGAGGTGAGCAGGTTAAAAGGACCCAAAACATTTGCTTTCGATTTAGCTAATCATGAAAAGGAAATTGAAATTGAATGAAGAAATCAATTTTGAAAAATATGGCAGTTCTGTCCCCACAGAAAAGCCCAGTAATATTGTAGATCAAATCCTGCAACAATAACTTTCTGTTTTTGCACAACGCTTGCCATGTAGAGGTTACTCAATACACTTTTGCAGAGCTGTGTTATGTAAATAGAAAGATGAGTCTAATAGTGATCATTAAAGACAGCTAAAATTTTACTCATACTCTCTTTACAACCTGTCTTTGTTTGTGATGCTATAAGGAAACATCTGAGACTGAGTAATTTATGAAAAATAGAAATTTATTTCTCAAAGTTCTGGAGCCTGAGAAGTCCAAGATCAAGGTGCTGGCAGGTCTAGTGTCTCTTGCAAAGACCCTTTCCTCATAGATGGGGCCACCTAGGGAGCCCTTACATGGTGGAAGGGCTCAAAAGGGCAAAAAAAGGATAAATGCTGTGATGTCACATGGGAGAAGAACCTAGGCTAGTCCTTCCAGCCCTTTCATAAGGGACTAATCTATTCATGAGGGCCTAGCAACTTCATCAATTCCCAAAAGACCCCAACTCTTTTCTTTTTTAACTTGTGTTGAAGTGTGGGATACACGTGGGATACACGTGCAGGTTTGTTACAAGGTAAATATGTCATGGGGGTTTGTTGTGTAGATTATTTCATCACCCAGGTATTAAGCCTAGTACCCATTAGTTATTTTTCCTGATCCTCTCCCTTCTGCCACCTTCCACCCTCCAGTAGGCCTCAGTGTGTGTTGTTCCCCTCTATGTGTCCATGTGTTCTCATCATTTAGCTCCCACTTATAAGTGAGAATATGCAGCATTTGGTTTTCTCTTTCTGTATTAGTTTACTAAGGATAATGGCCTCCAGCTCCATCCATGTCCCTGCAAAGGACATGATCTTGTTCTTTTTATGACTTCATAGTATTCCTTGGTGTATATGTACCCCATTTTCTTTATCCAAGACCCCAAATCTTAATACTGCCACAGAGGATATTAAGTTTCAACATATGAATTTTGGGACACACTTTCAGACCATAGCACAATTCCTTCTCTTTACTTCTGAAGTAACCCTTTAATAATACAAATCAGAACCCGTCAATCCCATGCTTATAATACTTCAACAACTTCTTCTTGTCATTCTTTGGATAAAATTTAGGATAAAATTCAAAGTCCTAAGCATGGCCACAAGTCCAACATGTTCTGCCACATTGACCTCCTCTCACCCCCATCCCCACTAGGCTCAGCTATACTGACTTCGCACAGTCTTACACACACAGCTCTGTCCTGCCTCGAGCCCTGATTTTTGATGCTCTGTGAATGCGAGGCTCTTCCTGCAGCTCTCCTATGGGCAGCTCACGCTCATCCCTCATGCTTCAGGTCCGATGTCACCTTCCCTAAGGAAGTCTGTCCTCATCAGCATACCTAAAGTGATCCGCACCATGCCACTGGTTCTAAATCTCACCACTATCTTTCTATCATAGTACTTATCAAAATCTGACATTATCATTCTTATTTAACATCTACCTTTCTCATGAATGTAAGGGCATTGTGAGAACACAGAACTTCTTTCTTGTTTATAGCAATATCCCTGGTACCTAGCACAATAGGCACAGTGCCTGTTCCTTTGTAGGAGACTGAAAAATATTTTCTGATATAATCAATAAGTGAATGGTGAACAGGTGGATTTGCCAGCTCCACTCTAGATGTTTTTCAATGGTATATAGACCCAAAGATACATAAGCCCATTGATTATACAGAATGGATTAAATCAGAGCATGAAATCACTGCCTTCAAAATACTACTTTAAAAAGCCAAATCGTGTCTATGTTCCCCCATAGCACTTATAGCACCCAGTAGCACAACAGCACTTAACACATGGTGCTGGACTGTCTACCACATTCATGTTATACTTATCTGCTTATAGGACAACTCTAATGTCCTAAACTGTAAGATGAGTCAGGAAACAGATAACGACTTTTTTTTTTTTTTTTTTTTTTTGAGACAGAGTTTCGCTCTTGTTGCCCAGGCTGGAGTGCAGTAGCGCAATCTTGGCTCACTGCAACCTCTGCCTCCCGGGTTTAAGCGATTCTCCTGCCTCAGCCTCCCAAGTAGCTGGGATTACAGGCATCCACCACCACACCTGGCTAATTTTTTGTATTTTTAGTAGAGATTGGGTTTCACCATGTTGGCCAGGCTGGTCTCGAACTCCTGATCTCAGGCAATCTGCCCGCCTCAGCCTCCCAAAGTGCTGGGATTACAGGCGTGAGCCACTGCACCTGGCCAAGACCGCATCTTGTTCAACTTTTTATCCCCTAAGTTCCCTTGAACATAACAAATACATAGTAAACATTCAATTTGTTCCTACCTTCTCTAGAATTCAGACACACTGCCAGGTGAAGTCCTTCTCTAAATTGGCTTCACACTCACAATTCTGCCATAGCAAAGAGAAAAAGTCAGGGCCATTAATTGTTGGATCCTCATGAACATAAGAAGCTCTTGGCTTAGGGCTCCAATCATGTGACTAACTCATGGAACTATCCATTTATTTGCCCATTCTTCAGTCAACAAATGCTACTGAATACCTACTCAAGGCAGATTAGGGTCCCACTTAGAGCTCACATCCTAGTAGAGAAGAAAGACCATAAGCAAGTATAAACAAACTAACGAAAACCTATAATTGAAATTGCAAAGTGTTTTATGAAAGTATGAATAGAGCTAATGATAAAGAATAGAAGGTGTAGGGGTTACGTGGCCAGGAAAGGCCTCTCTGAGATGGTATTTAAAAAGAGACCTTAAATATGAGAAGGAGACTGGGCATGGTGGCTCACAATTGCAACCCTAGCACTTTGGGAGGCTGAGGCTGGTGGATCACCTAAGGTCAGGAATTTGAGACCAGCCTGACCAACATGGTAAAACCCCATGTCTGCTAAATTCAAAAAATTAGCTGAGTGTGGTGGTGCATTCCTATAATCCCAGCTACCTGGGAAGCTGAGGCAGGAGTATCACTTGAACCCAGGTGGCAGAGGTTGCAGTGAGCCAAGATTGTGCCATTGCACTCCAGCCTGGGCAACAAGAGCAAAACTGTCTCAAAAAAAAAAATGAGAAAGAGCTATTTATCCGTAAATCTGTGGGAAAGTATGTGGCAGGAACAGCATGTGTGGCAACCCCCAGGTGGAAAGACACTAGGTACATTGAGAGACTTTAAGAGGCCCTGGGTCTGGGAGCATGCATAGAGAGGAGAGAAATGCATGGCAATGCAAAAGGGAGCAGAGCTTGGATCATAGAGGATGTTGTAGGTTGTAGCACTAACTTTCTTTGTATTCATAATGCAATGAAAGTCCAATGATGGTGTTTAAACAGAGGCATGACAGGCTGTATTCTCATTTTTAGAGATTATCCTGGTCGATATGTGGAGAATAGATTGGTCATGGAAATTCACAAGTGTCTCTCTGCCACATGCTACTTTATATTGTGCCTGAGAAAAACTTTTCTTAGCTAATGGGACCTCCTCTAATCATCTCAGAAGACTCCATTGGGGTGCCTCACTTATCTGGGTATCTGATCACAGTGTCATGCTCATCATAACTTCAGAGTGAATAGGGCCGTTGACGCTGCAATATACTGGTGTATGTACATACTGCTGACTCCCTTGTGCTTTGACATTGGATCTATAATGGGTTTCCTCCTGAGGGGCTTTATTCTTTTGAGAGAAGGTCATTTCTTCATGCTTATTTGTCTGCTTCATGCTATTTGCTTGTTTGTCTACATAAGCTCCAGTGTTACAACTATAAGGCCATATTTTTAAATGCAGACATTTCAGATACTATGATTCCTTCCTCCCACTGCGGTTTTCTCAGCCAGCAATCCCTATCCTTATCAACAAAGACAGTGTGAGGGTCACACTTCTGCACACACAGACATACACAGGAGGGCCTATGGATGAAGAAAGCCAAGAGTTTTGTAGTTTTGTTTTCCTTTTTTCAAGGGCAAAAGTAGAATAAAACCTTGCAGGTCATGCAGCAACTTAGTGGCTCAGATCGCTACAATAGCTCCTTCCATCTGCTTTAGGAGCTGTTTAAAAGACTTGATGCTTCAATGCCCATCCTTCTTCAGTTCAGGAAATACCCATGCATAAAAAACATATCCATTCCCTATGCTCTAAATGATATCCTAGGTAGCCTGAGTTGATGTGTCAACTAAGATGGCAGAGGGAGGACCGTAAACTGCAAGATAGCATAGCTAAATGAGGGGTATTTCTCTATATTGAAAGTTAATCTTCAGAGTTCATGAAACATATGTGTCACTAGTTAGTAAATTCAGAATACAAGCTGGTTTATCTATGTCCCTTATAGCCCTATTTGTGCAAAAAAAAAAAAAAATGCATCTACCACTATGACAGTACTCAACTTAGAGAATACAGATAATTATAATAGCTAATTTACATTGAACAATTATGTATTGTAATGCATTTAATCCTTCTAATATAACATTCTGAAGAAGCAAATATTATCTCCATTTTACAGATGATAAAAACAGAGCTTCAATAGGTCAAGTAATTTGCCAAGGCCACACTTTGAATAAGTGACAGACCTGGGATTCAAATCCAGGTCTGTCCAATCCCAGGTCCAAACTCTTAATCCTATATAATGCTGATTTTTGCTGTCAAGATACTCACAGTAGGAGAGATAATAATGAAATCTATTAATATTCACCATGGAAAGTGCTATGTATGTAGCAAAGTCTTGTGGATACTCAGAAAACAGACTCCCTGAGTGGGAGAAGAGTTGCAAAAACAAGTGAAGTTTGGGTTGAATCCTGTGTGGTGCCAGTCTAACACAGAAGTCAAGATATCCTGCCCTGAAGATATACTTTAGGTTTTAATCTGGTAATCTGGCTTCGCCTTCTTTAACAAATTACATAATATTTCAGTGTTTCAGTTTTTCCATCGATCAAATGGTGTTACATATTTTGGCAGATCGATATGACGATTTAATGAGTTAAGTCATGTCATGGGCTTAAAACAGTGCTTGGTAGATAGTAAACATGCAATAAATGTCACTAATTCTTGCTTTTAGCAAAGAAAATTTAGGAGGTTATCAGGGTTGATTAGATGGTGGCAGGAATGGCATTCTAAGCTGAAGAAACATTTTCAAAAGCTAGTAAGCAAGAGAGTGTGACAAAGTCAAAGAGTTTTCAGACATTCTGTAGGTTGGAGTTTTTGGGTTTTCATACATAGAGGAAGGAGGTATCATCATATGACAGGAGAAGGAAGCAGCACCTTGACATTAAAATGATCTTGTATGTAACCTTTGAATTAGAGAATATTTCTTACTTGGTTCTTATCAATAAAATTGCAGAATTTGATGAAATGACCATATAGCCCCTTGCAGTTCTAATAATTACCAAAGTCTACAATTCCTATCCTCTCCATTGTCAATTTCTTGCAGAATTTATGCTTGGGTCTTTTAAATCTAACTGTTCACTTGCCATTCTTATTACAGAATCCCTAATCAGTTGATGTAAATAGTTGACTTAAATTTAATGCCATCATTTTTAGTAGGGATAATATCCCCGTAAGTAGACAATCTTGAAATTCTGATGATTTTTGTATTTTTGTCAAATATCTGGTAATTAAATATGTTTTCATTTAAACAAGTCTGAAAAAACGTAAGTGTTCTTCAGAAATGATAATAAAGAGAAACACTAGCGACACAAAATATTAACATTAGTTAATGCCAAACAGTAATATTTATCTAACAAATAAGTGCAGTGTGCTTGACATTTTTCCTGTTATCAATTTGTTTTATTTAGGATTTTTGTTTCACTTATGGCAGCACAAGTATATTTAAATAGTAAGTTTGCCTTTTACCTAAAATGTTCACAGTCATCATAAAATTATATACGTCTTGTTTTAATAGCTTGTTGACACATCTGTTAGAGATGAATCCAGCACCCATATCCATACAAAGCCCACTATTAGGGAAATCACTTGTTTCCAACCAGCCCAATCACTGCAAAAATAGGAATTGCCATTGTACTGTATCTACTGTGCAATGTTATTTATGAAGTGCTGCAGTGGAGCACAGCAATGCCATTCATCAGTATCCAATCAACAACAAAGCTGGCAGGGAAGTGGGGTGTACAAGAATGCATTGGCACAGATCATTTAAACCAGGAGATTCTAGAGCTTGAACTTGGCAATAGTTATTGCAACTAATTTATTTGTTATTTGCGGGAAAGGGTTACTACTTTGAAACACACTTGAAAAGTTTCCAATTTCAGGACACGGAAGGGTCCAAAACGCAACTAGCATTCTTGTGTGATTTCCTCCCAGCACTCCCTTCCCCCATCCACACACCTCATGTCATTTCATTCTCTGCCATGGTTACATTTTTTTTTTTTTTTTTTTTGCTCATTCCCTATTTCTGTTTTTAAAATTGAATCCTCTCCAAATTCTTTTCCTTTTTTAAACACCACCTGCTCTTCTTTCTAAAGTACCTCCAACACAGGTTCACATTTCTTGAGAGTGCCATTAGATTCGGAAGTGATACATACATGCTGTTTGTTGCTTAGCATTAAAGGCTAGAGTATGGATCAAGTCTTTATTCACATATATTAGTACTATGTAGATGAGTCAAAATGCCATGATCATTTATAAATACAATGCAATTCAAATCCAAAGCACAATAGGATTTTTCATACACCTTGACAAACTGATTCTTAGCTCTATATAGAAGAACAAAGCTCTAAGACTAGTCAAACATTTTTCAAAGTACAAGCAGCAAAGAGGTCTTGCTTCACTAGCAATGAAGATTTGTATGTAAAGCCATGGTAGTTAATACAATGTGGCTATAGAACACAAAAAGACAAATTGATCAATGGAACTAAATAAGAATCTCAGAAATAGAAGTACGCATAGAGGTAAACTTGTTAAATAATAAAAGAGGCATTGAAAATATGTTAACAAACTATTCAAAAATGGCACTGAGATGTTAGCTTCTGATACTAAATAATAATAATAATAATAATAAAACTCAACAGTATACACATACATAAATTCCAAGAGGATTAAAGCTTACATATAAAAAGACAAAAATGGCCGGGCGTGGTCACTCACACCTGTAATCTCAGCACTTTGGGAGGCTGAGGCGGGCGGATCATGAGGTCAGGAGATTGAGACCATCCTGGCTAACACGGTGAAACCACGTCCCTACTAAAAATACAAAAAATTAGCTGGGTATGGTGGCGGGCACCTGTAGTCCCAGCTACTTGGGAGGCTGAGGTAAGAGAATGGCGTGAACCTGGGAGGCGGAGCTCGCAGTGAGCCAAGATCATCGCGACACTGCACTCCAGCCTGGGCGACAGAGTGAGACTCTGTCTCAAAAAAAAAAAAAAAGACAAAAATGTAAAATGTTTGTGGCCTTCGGATGTCAAACACTTATAAGTTATGAAGGAATGGATGATTTAATTTGGCCAGATCAAAATTAAAGCCTCTGAACGAAAGATACTATAAACAATGTTTAAGGACAAGCCCTACCCTGAGAGAAGACATTTGAAACACATATGACCAGGAATTAGAATTTTAAAAAATTGTTTAAACTCCTCTAAGTGATGATACAAATACGACCAAATAGTAAAATGTGCAAAAAATTTGAACAAATACCAGAAGAGGAAACTTGAATTTTTAATTAACACAATCCCATGAAAATAAATTCACATCCATTAATATTATTAAAATACTATTTCATAACAATCCAACTGGCAAAAAAAAAAAAAATGTCTGTAACAGTAGGTGTTGATGAGGATTTAGGTAATCCCCATACCTAAGTTCTCATACCCCTGCTGGTAGGGGTGTAAAGTATTAGGACCAACTACAAAAGCATTTTGGCAGTACATGTAATACAGAAAATTTACAAAATCTACAATCCAGCAATTCAACTCCTAGGTAGATAGTCTAACAACACAAACAAAAACAACATAAACAACACAAGCAAAAACTCTCATAAGAAGGTACAACTTAGAATATTTTTGCAGAATTATTTGTAATAATGCAAACTTCATAAAACACAAATAAAAACATACAGGAAATAAACTTCGATATAACCTTAAAAAGCAGCAAAAGTGAAATATGCACACACACACACACACACACATAGCTAGATAGAATTATAGAACAATACAGAGATAGATACCAATATGGATAGACTTCAAAAATACATTTTTTTTGTTTTTAAAGCAAGTTATAGAACAATATGTATAGGATAATAACACTAATTTTTTTTCAAATACACAGAAAATAACATATATCATTTATGGGTAGTTACATAAGTAGTAGAAATATAAAAATAGACATAAAATTTGTGAATGTTATTACCTTTGGAAAGGAAAGAAGGGAGAAGGCTATAAAGTTTTATTTCTTTAAAAAAACAGCATGAAGTAAATGTGACAAAATATTATTTATTAATTTTGGAGAGTGTGTAAAATGTCTGCTGTGGAAAATAAAGCAGAGGGGAGGAAGTATGTAATATTTCTGCCTGTTACATACTCAGGAAGTTAAGGTCTTATCTCATTTATCACATGTTTTACCTTTCTGAACTAGAGCTATGGTTATTTTTCACATTAACACTTGAATAAATTTAACTTTAAAAAATATCTACCCTTTAAGAAGCAACTGATTTCTGAGCTTAGATGCACATGAGCTAATGGAGAAGGTTTAGGTGTTCAGGAAGCACTAGTCTTTATTGGAACCACAGACAAAAATAAGTACGGGCTTTCACTCTGAATTACCTTCCCCTATCAGTCAGCTGTAGGGCTACAATATTCCGCCAACAGTTATTTCCTTGGGTAACAACATGGCTTCTCATCGCCTCTTTCCTACCACCAAGGGGTATCTGTATCTATGCATATTTTCGTATAAGTGAGATTTTTAAACACCTTTCTAATCTAGTAGAAGAGCTAAGATGAAAACAGTTTTGATAGGAAGAGTGAGAGTGGAAAATATCCTGTGTAAAGACGTTTATTAATTTGGTTGGACTAGGTTTTGGTTGGCAGAAAAGAACCCTAAAACAACTCCAAAAATCCAATTGGTTTAACATAAAAACGTTTCTTTCTCAATCATATAATATGTACAAAGCGGACTGGTGGAGGGCTCTTTTACACCCAAGAACCCAGGTGATAGAGGCTTACCATCCTATACTATCAGCTATACTATCTGGAAGATGTCATCTTCTCAGCAGCACCTTTGTCGGGTCAAGAGCAACTGGAAAAAAGCACACAAGCTTTTCACCACCATACTTTGTCTTTTGGCCAGAAAAAGTTCCAGGGCCCTTTCACCCGGGGATCTGTCTTCCATATGCCTGACATTAGAGAAAATTGAATGTTAGTGACCACTAGTAATATCTACCAAGATGTAGAACTGGGGTGCAGCCAGGTGTCCTAGAGAGGAAACCTGGAGAAGATAGCAAGTTTAAGGCTAAAAGAAAAGATTGACAAGGTACAGAAGGAGCAAACTATCAAAGCTTTGCCTTAGAGTGTCAATAGATTCAAATATTTGATTAACATACAGAAATTAGGGGGAAAATAACTTTAATGCTTTTAGTGTAGAGATTGTAGTATGTGCAAGATGCCCTGAATAAGAAATACAGAACTTGCATATTTCAGGTCTTCATTTTTTCAAAAACTCAAACCAGTTATCTTTTATTTTGCTGGTGACTGTAATTGTCAATTAGGTGCTAGGTCTTTTGTAATTTGAAATGTTTATGAGAAAAGACAAAAATCAAAGAAGGAGTATTTGTTCTCATTCTTTCACCTCTTTTTGTAGGATCCAGTATAAGACAATAAAAATTTGTTCATGTCCCACATACACTTTGTACAGACTTATTAGAAAACCTCTTGAGAGGATTATATTGTTTATCTTCAGTGATGCCAGGGTTTGTGCAATTACGCCTAAAATTAATCTTATTAGGATGATTCTCTTTACCAAATTCATTTATTATACTGTAACATCCATAATATATTTGATTCTCTTCTAGCTTAGCTAAATTTTAATTATCTCTACTGGCAGTTGTCTACGTGAAGTTGCACACTAGGTATTCTTAAATCCAACGCAATTTAATGCCAAAATGTATCCATGTTCTGTAACAAGAAATTCTAAATAAATCTAACAGAGCTTGTCTGCTTCCTTTATCTTTTGTGAAAACTACTGGTAGTTGCAAACATAATGTAATCTATCCTCAAGCATAACATTTAATTATTGGCTCATAATTTTATTAACTTCAATGCAGCAACTATAATGAGTTTGTGTTCAGTTTTGCATTCAGAATCAAGATCTAGGGATTAAATAATCTTCTTATATTCTTATTTGTCACTAAAATCCAAAAGCACTATATCAATTTGATAAGATGTAAAACCTCAAGAAAAGTGCTGTGGTCAGCTGGATCTACAGTTTTAATTTTGATAGCAGAGATAATTTGATAAACTTTTTTAGGAATTTTTTTCTTACAGTTAATTTAGACATACTGTACTTATTTCCCCACTCCTTTCCCCTTTTTTGGTAAAGAAAGAAAACATAGTCAGGAAGCATTTTTTCCCCTAGAACAAGAGCAGCAGGGCCTTTTAAAGGATCTTCATTATTTTATGGGGTAAATATTCACAGCTCTCAAATTTATTGGTACAGCTGTCAACATGTATATTCAGTTTGATAATAATGTTCCCGCTTAACGAGGCCTCTTGGAATTATTTATTATTAAATTTCATTACTTTCTGCAAATGTTCATGCTGATTAAGCCCACCCTTTCAGGCTCTACCACACTTAGACCAATCACAGTGTGATGAGATGGTGAAATTTAAGCTAACTTGCTTTCCACAGGACTTGTCTTGTCAAATCTTTAAATATAATTTAATGAAATGTCTGTTGATGTAACAATGGTAAGTGGAAAAACTCATTTATAAAATCAACCAACCATACCTGAAGTACATTTGCACTCCTTGACATGACAAGAATTATTTAAACATTTTGGACTGCCTTTGTGTGAAAAGAATTGCCACGTATAGTATTTGCCAAATATTCTGAACATTGTACTCTGCAATGAACGTGGCACATCTTTCCTGGAAAATGTTACTCCCAAAACTCAGATCTCTAATAAAAAATGCCTTCAAAAGCACCAAGTGGTATAGAAATATAATCATTATCATCTTTATAGATATTGACAGAATAGATCTTGTCCAAATTCTTGGTTATTTTGCAAGGTGATAGGGGCGTAATAAAAATATATTATCAGTATTGCCATAGGAAGGAATCAAGAGAGTAATTCCATACATAAAATAGAGAAGGCCTGTGAATGGAATATACATACACAAATGTATATATGTGTGTATGCATATACATATACATATATATACACACAGAGAGACATATACGCACACGTACATATAATTTTCAACATGGAATATGAAAATCTTAAGATTTTCTGAACTTAGTAGGTAAAAGAAGTGCAGAGATACGAAAAACGGTACAGGCTAACTAAACTAAAACCTTCATGGGCAAGCTATGGGATAAGAACATCTCATTTTGAAAATAAAGGCAGCTAAAAGCACGTTAGATTTCCCCATTTGAGATGCTTCCATTATTTCTATGAGTTGCGTCACTGCACTAACCGCGTTTTTATACTTATCTGTCAATGGGTTTGTTCTCACTTTCTGTGAGATCTTTGAGGACAAGGACCTTATTCATTATACGTTTCATTTCCTTAGTACCTAGAACAGTTTCTAAGACATAATAGACAACCAATAAATGTTAGACTGATGAATTGAAGGTAGAAAAAACAATCATGGCCAAAAACAACTTTGGAAATCTCCTTACATATAAACTGGTTTAAAATTATTTTCATATTCCTAAAAAAATAAAGAAAATAAAAGAAAAAGAAAGTACTGGCAAAGATGGAGAGAAAAAAATAGGCAAAATTATTTCTAAAATACTATAGAAGGATTATTTTATCTTCTGTCTTTCTTATATGGTTTGGTTCAAAATGTATCTATTATTCAAATCAGCATATATTTCAGCATCTAGAGGATAGAAAGTAACATATAAAATACATTCCCTGCTCAAGAAGACCTTATAATCTGTTTCAAACACATGCTAATTCGAAAGAGACCACTTCAACCTATCCTCAGAAATGTAAAATTTTGAGAGAACTGTTTGCCATGTGAATCTTTTTTTTCTTCTCTTGGAAGGTTTTATGGAAAGCATATATTTTAAGTTACGCTTTGAAGCATAGCAAGATTTGAATAAGTGAAGGAGGACTTGGGTGAGAAAAAAAGTCTACTTTTAGGGGGAGTAGATGTGAAAGGGGACCATGAAATCCTCCAGAATCAATGCAGTAATCAGCAGTAACAGAACCCAGAGAGGTGTTAGCGACCACAGAGTCATGTTTAGAGAAATTTAAAAGGTAGGATGCTGAAAGATTATGAAAAAAATGATGATAAGGAGATGATAATTAACAAATTGATTTAAAAGTTGCTTATACAGTAGCAGTCATTTATCCTTTAATGAAAATTTATTGAATGATTATTATGTTCCCAAAGAGAAAGGGAAAAAGAAAAGGATTTTAAAAATAGTATGTATTGATCTATTTTGTTCCAGGTTCTAGGCCTTGTGTTTTGCATGTATTCTGTCAATCTTTATGACAGTTCCTTTTGTTAAAGGAAACTGAAGAGCAGAGGAGTTATTTATTTGTCCCAAAGTCACAGAGTTGGTAAGTGAGCTTGAACCCCCAGTCCTTCCCTACCTAAAATTATGGTCTTTTCATTCCACCTCCTTCATGCAGACTCTTTCCCATGGGTCCCTTCCAAATGAAATGTCTGCAACAGAGTTCCTATACAAATAACTTTTGGTCTAGATTTTATAAGCTATCTAACTAGATAGATGATAGAAAAATAATAGATTATAGGTTAGATACATGAAAGACAGATGATAGGTAGATAGATGATAGATAGATAGATAGATAGATAGATAGATAGATAGATTGATAGATAATAGCTAGATGCATATTGTTAGAAATCACCATTAAACACTTCAAAACAGCACATGTGAGCGACAGCAAAATAAAACCGCTTTATCGAAACCTTAGAAACAAACAAACCCTGAAATATGAAGGAATAGAAAACAAGTTATCCCATCAACATATTTATTCTACAAAACCAGAACCATCGTTTCTTAAGCATTTAACCTATTTTAAATCATTTCAAAGTTGCTATTTTATTTATTCACAATGTTTACCCACAGATATAATTGGGTCATGCTGAGTTTGGGATGATATTCAAGCACATAGTTAATGATAACCCAGCAAAAACTGTAGTTATGGAAGCAATCTTTGGAAAAATGTCTCCAACAGGAGTGGGATTGATAATCCACTTCAAACCATGAGTATCCAGGGCCTAACATGAGAAGGGTTGGTCAATCGTAGAATTAAGTCCAGATTCCTGTAATGGCCTTGAGGCTACTATTTATATTCACCATGGCTTTTCATCTCTAAGTTAAGATTGAAAATATCATCTTCAGTTTCTTGTCTTCTATGATAATGCTTCAAACCTTAACTTATAAACATTAATGTTCTACATGGCTCTGACTCCACAGTCTCCAAAGTGTAAGTAACTGGATTCAGTCCCAGGGGTCAGCACAGACAGAGCCCACTTCAAAGAGTCCTGGAAGAGGCTTCGCAGATACCTCTTGTTCAGGAGCGTTGGACTTTGACATCAATGACACTCATGTTAAGGCATGTACTGTTGGTCAATGTACTACCTATGGGGTATATTCAGTGCAATGCCTGGGCCTTAGAAAGTATGGCAACAGCATTATCTATTGAAAAGAACCCTTTTGAAAAATATCTTAGGCATTTGAGTTAGACATCCCATGATTTAAAAGCAAGCTTCAGCACTTTACTTCTCTGTTCTCTGTGACATCAGAATAGCAGAACTTTCCTTATGGGATTTTTTCAATGATTAAAAAAGGTAAATTGTGCAAAGAGCCTAGGGTGGTGTCTGACATTCAGCAGAGTTCCCAAAATAATAGTTATTTCTGCTATGGGTATTTTTTGGTTTGCCTTTTAATACAGGGGGGAAAAAAAGGAAGAAGAAGAAGTATAAAGCATTTAAATGTCTTTTCCACTGTTACACAATGGAAAGACCTGGACAGACTCCAGACTCATGTTCATAACAGAGAAGAATCCACGATTTGGAGAAAAATGCATTTTAAAACTTAGAATTTGGGGGTCAGAGCTGCTTTGGGCAATTTTATAATTAACTAAAAGTAGCTTTGTTGTAAGCCAAAGGATCTCAACAGCAGTCCCTATTTGATCTGGACATCTATGCTTCACTGCTTACACTTCACAACAAACCTTCAAATGGCAAAATTCACTGAAGTAATTAAAATTTTTAATTGGAGAGAAAAGTATACAATTCACAAAATGTATTTAATTAGCCCTCAGACAACTCACTGATCCAATATATAATTTCCAAAACAGTTGTACAAGTCTATAACATGAAATTTGCTGAAAAGGGAGCCACATTTTTAAAACAAAGCAGCTATTACTATCTTTTAGGGTAAATGTTTCTTAATCGAATGATAATCTTACTTCTTAGCATTTAACCCCATTCCCTTTAAATATCTCACTTCTTTCTTAAATGCTTTCAAACTTGTTTTTTATTAATTATACAAATCATTTGTATTAAAAGGCAATGTAGTAGTTTCAAGAAGTAGCTTCACAGACTATCTGCATATTTAATCAACTGCCTCTAAATTTTTAATCATTTGAGTCCAGGTTCTTGTCTTGAAGCTTAACTTGATAACAAACCTACCCACTGGTAGAACTAATTGGTACAGAATCAGTCAATAATTTATAAGGAAAAGAAAAAAAAGATTGTATGTTAAGAAGGTATAAGACCACCAGCCAGATATTCCTGAGAAGTAACAGCAAAAACAACACTTGCTTCTACAAATCCGTGGCGCACTGGTGACATCCACTGGCTGTTCCTTAGCATTATTCTGATACTTTGGATTTTTAGTTCAAGACTTGTGAAAAAGAATCAGTAGGTTTTACATATTTGTGCCTTTCCTTAATGTTAACTTCAGTTGGATTAATCTATATGTCTGTTACACTTAGTGCATCCTGTGTCTAACATTTTAAACCTTGAAATTCATTGATACATGAGAATCACTTCACGTATTCAGAGTTAAAGTGACTTCAATAAACCTTGTTACCATTGTGGGTTTGAAAGAACACAAACCAAACTATAGTGAGAAGAGAAAGCATCATCACTGGTTACATGATCAGTGGAAATTAATACTGTCATTTTACACTAACAGGAATTTGGCAAATTGCCTTGCTACTATAATTGTGAAAACAGTGAAGCATTTGGAAAGGACTAGTACTAGGCAGTAATAGTCAGGTGGACTAAGATGGTGTTTCTCAAAGTTTAATAAGTATTATAAACATCTGGAATGTCTATTACAAATGCAGAATTCTGGGTCCCTTTACAGACCTGCACCAGAATCTTTGAGAGAAGTTTTTGATGCATTTGGCAACAAGGGGAAGAGCTTCAACTTTATCAGAGGGACAAACTCTTCAGAAAGAATGCCTTTTGTATGAAATTTTATATTCTTAAAACTTCATCATCAAATCAATTAAAACTTATTTACAAAAGGAAAAATCATTTCTCCAAATCTTCCAGACCATGCATTTAAGATAGAAATAATTTATGATTCTTTATAAATAAAAATCAGATGCCCGGAAAAACTAAGATCAAATGGATAGGGGATAACTAGTATTAAATGCTCGTAGACAATACATAATTTATTCTCATTATACATATTGGTGCATTAGCAGTACTGTGTTATTTGCAGGTGGCAAAATTACAGATGTCTTGGCTTTTTGCGGTTTTTTTTGTTTTTTGTTTTGCTAGTGTTGCCTAATTTTTCTACAATGAAGATGTGTTACTTACATGATTTTTTAAGTGTAAATAAACATACCCTACAAGTTCTGAGGAAATAGTGCTTGTGCAGATAGCACTCAATGATGCATTCAGCATTCTTGCTAATATTTAACCAGTCATCATCATCATCATCATTACCATCATCATCATATCGTCATGATCATCTCTCTAAATCCCACAACCAAGCTTTCGATCAACCAGAAGCTCCATGGATAATTTGAGTTACTGCAGAAAGTTTGGGTATTTGCTTGGAACTACAATGTAATAGCCTTAAGTTAATAATTGTGACATGGAGTGAAAGACAATTTTGAAAAACACCAAGAAGGTAAGAGATACAAGGGCAAGAAAACACAAAGGCTAAGCTATTTTCTACAAGAAACCAAGAAAAGGGTATTACAAGGGTGGGTTATAAAATGGTAAGAGTAGGAGAGGTAGCATCCAGCACTTAGGGGAAAAACTATTTTTTTTTTTTTCTGGAGGGGCTGACAATTAACCAGGTAGATAGCAATTCTAGGTAAGTTATTTCCTTTTACTGTAGTAAAATGTTACTATATTTCACTTAACAGCAACAGGGAAGTAATGTTCTTTCAGGAAATATACTCAAACAACCTTCAGACTCCCAAGGCCCTGTGTAGGATTCATGTATGTCTAGAATAATGCCACTGGAAGAAGACTGGGGAGTTTGAAGCTGAAACCACTTTGTGATCTTTACCAGTCCTTCAGGATGAAAAGCTGGGAGCTAGCCTAGCCTCAGAAGATAAAAACAGGTCTCTTTTATTGAAAATTCTCTAGTTCCTTTGAGTTACAAAGACCACAGCCTAGGGAGAGAGCCTAAATTTAGACTTCTCTTGTTTCCTTAAGGAATAGGCAGGAATCTGCCAAGGTGTGTGTTCATTGTCCATTGAGAACTAACAGGAAATAATGAACCCACATGTTTTGACAGAGGAGTAGCATGCTCAGATTGAAATACTAGATTAGATAGAAAACATAACTAACAATTCAAATGTGTATTGTATTAGAAAAGAATGCCAGCTCACATTAAGAAATGGCAAACATAGTCAAATTTAGGAAAGTGGAGAGTGTAAGATGGCTAAATAATATTCCCTTGCCTTTTTTCTCTAGAATGAAAAGGAAATTATTTGTATTCCTGATTATAAATAGTATGCTCAATCATAAAATGTTACATAGAAAAAAAGATAAAGCAAATTATAAAGTCACCCCAACACCTCACTAATTTTATATCATAGGGAGAGCAGAGTCAACTACTTTTATCATTTTTGTGAACATCCTCCTAGCATACGTGTACACAAGAAATACTTGTTCTCAAAAACTGTATAAATTTTTCCATATCAGTGTGTACAGATATATGATCATCCATCTGGTTATGACAAATCCCTATTGATAACTACTTGTTATTTATAATTTTTCACTATTATAAATGATGTTGTCTATCCTTGCCCACTTCCAAACCATTATGCACAAAACTTCAAAGTGACGTTGCCCAAATGTAAATCTCAATTTATCTTTTCTGTTTGATTGTGTATAAGCCATCACTGGCTTTCCATGGCCCTTGGGATAAAATCCAAACTCCTTTTCCTGTCCTAACAGGGGTCTGTGTGGTTTGAATGTTACTAGTATCTTCACCGTCATCTGTACCACCCCCTTCTTACCCACCATCCCCAATCATCCTGGTCTCCCATGTGTTATTTTTGCCTTTGGGACTTTTGCACACGCTCTTTCCACTGCCTGAAAAGCTCTTTGCCATCATGGCTCTCACATGGTTAGAACCTTTTAACTGTGTCTCCACATAAATGGAAGTCTTCTCTGGACCTCTTGTTTAATATACATTGCCCATTCTATTATGTCTGTTAGTACTTCCTTATAAGTAACTTGGAACTATTTTTAAATTTGTTTTTATGGGTTTTTTTGTCTGTATCATTTACCAAGATATAAAATCAGTGATCATGTCTTGCATGTACCTGAGTTTTTCCCAGTCAAACATGTACTGGGCATTAAGAAAATATCTACTGCATGAACAAACAAGTAAATAAATTGAGAAATACATCATGATACATTACCTAATGAATTTTCTCCTGAGAACAAATTTCTAGAAATAGATTTTGGGACTGGGTGCGGTGGCTCATGCCTGTAATCCCAGCACTTTGGGAGGCCAAGGCGGGCAGATCACGAGGTCAGGAGTTCGAGACCAGCCTGGCCAACATGGTGAAACCCCATCCCCGCTAAAAATACAAAAATTAGCCGAGTGTGGTGGTGGACACCTATAATCCCAGCTACTCGGGAGGCTGGGGCAGGAGAATTGCTTGAACCTGGGAGGTAGAGGTTGCAGTGACCAAGGTCACGCCACTGCACTCCAGCCTGGGAAGAGCAAGATTCTGTCTCAAAAATAATAATAATAATAAATAAAAAAAATAAAAAAAGATTTCTAGCAAAAGGAGAATTTACCTTATCTCGTTACTATTAATATTGCCTAACTGTTCTCCCTAAAATGCGTAACACTTGAAATTCTCACCAATGACATGGTGGGAATGTTTAATTTTCCCCCCACACCCTTAACAATACTTAGTAACAATGTATTAGGCCAAAATAACTGATTTAAATTTTAGTTGTTGGATATTAATGAGGCTAAACATCTTTTTATATATTTACTTGTGATATTTACTTCTTTTGAAATAGCCAGTTCATTTCTTTGCCTTCTTTCTACTGGAATGCATGTTTTGCTTACTGATATGTAAGGCAGTTGCATAACAAAAATATTAACCTTATTTATTGTTAATAATGTTATAAATATTTCATCCAAATTTTTGTTTTGTCATTAAGTCTTATTTATTGTGGTATTCTTTTTTGTATGTATATATTATGGTATGGTGTGTCTGTGTCCCAATCCAAATTTCATCTTGAATTGTAACCCCCATAATTCCCATGTGTTGTAGGAGGGACCAGGGTGGGGAGGAGGTAATTGATGGTGATCTGAATAAGTCTCATGAGATATGATGGTTTTATAAAGGGGAGTTCCCCTGCACACACTCTCTTGCCTGTCACCATGTAAGATGTCTCTTTGCTCTTCCTTCGCCTTCTGCCATGATTGTGAGGCCTCCCCAGCCATACGGAACTGTGAGTCCATTAAACCTCTTTCCTTATAAATTACCCAGTCTTGCTATGTCTTTATTAGCAGCGTGAGAACAGACTAATACAATATTTTAATTTTGTATTTAATTGTGTATGTTTCAATACTTTGTCTCTAGCTTTAATATCATGATTAAATACAACCACATTTTTAAAAAATATGCATCCATTATTTTTCTAGTTCTTTATGACTTCATATACCATGTATTATTTTTGACCTATCTGAAATTTATTATGGCATAAAGAGTGAAGTAGAGTTAGGAAATGATAGTTGTCCCAACAAAACTTAAAAATCAACTATTTCTTTATTGATATTAAATTCCATGTAAATTCCTGATTCTTTTACTGGTTTCTCTTTTTTTTTTTTTTTTTCCATTTGAAAGAGATGAATTTGCTCAATGACACTTGAGTGTAACAGTGTTCACCTTTATAGAAATTCAAGGCATGGTCCCAGACAATGAGGGCTGTGACTTGATCTTGCACTTTGGTGATCAGCACCATTTGATCCTTTTGCTAAAAAAAAAAAACAAAAAAACAAAAAAACAAACAAAAAACACTGATGTCAAATGAGTCTTCTGCCATCGGATCACACTTGATGTTCTAAAGAGTCTACTTCTGAATACAAGTTCTGCCACAGAAGCCTTGTCTCTGCTCTAAAATATAAAATGCTTAGTCTTGTCTTCTGGGCATCCTCGAATCATCCACTCAACAACAGAGCTGTATATAAGAGGGGCACAGATTTCTGATCCTCATGGAAAGCTCCTAACAACCATCTGTTTCTTAATTTCAGCTGAACTAGACTACTCTCTCTTCTGGTTGAGCCACTTCCATTTCTTACAGTGTAGTAATACACTTTCTCCTCTTTGGATAATCTACCTTTCAATATCCATAATCCTAAATAACAAGAATTTACCATCTCTTTCGAGACTGGTAGGAGACAAATGTATATGGGTAGCTCAGATGTTTATAATCACAAAGTTGGTCTATGCTTCCTGAAGTCAGGGTAGAAGAAGGATGAGATTTCTTCTTCTCTGGAGAGTCCTCAGCAGTTACAACAAAAACAAGTCCTGTTAGCTCAATTAAACAATGATCATATCAGTGTCTTTATTTAAACACTGTTTTAATCACTCTTATTTTACAATACATTTTAATATGTGTTGTAGTAACACCCCATTATTTTCTAAATGTTCTTGGATATACTTGTATGTTTATTCTTGTGGACAAAGTTAGAACCATTGCATTAAGGGAATAAATATACTAGTCATTGTTAACAAGGGTTGTATTGAATTTATTGGTTTTGTGAGTATTGAGACTCCAGCTATTTTTAAAAGCACAATGGGGAAGACACTGTGCCACTGGTCCAGGAAAACAATGGAAACTTCTTAGGTGTTTTCTACTGAATTTAATGTAACTGTTATCTTTAAATGAGTTTTAGTTCAATATAAATTTTCAATAAAGGAAGATAAAGTAAGAGGATACAGTAGTCTCTCTTATCTGTGAGGGATAAGTTCCAAGATCCCTAGTGGAGGCCTGAAACTGTGGATGGTACCAAACCTTATACATATTATGTTTTTTCTTATACATACATACCTATGATAAAATTTAATTTACAAATTAGGCACACTAAGAGATTAAGAGATTAATAGCAATAATTAATAAAATGGAACAATTGTAATTGTATACTATAATAAAATAGGTAGATATGGTGTCTAAAAATATTTTATTGTACTATATTCACCCTTCTTCTTGTGATAAGATAATAAAATGCTTACATAATGAAGTGAGATGAAGGATGTAGGCATTGTGGTGTAAATAAACAATTCCAGAAATCAGCAACTCCTAAGTTTTAAACTGCACACTCTTCTGAGTAGCATGATGAAATCTCACACTGTCCCACTCCCTCACACCCCATACACAAATCACCCCTTTGTTCAGCATCTCCACACTGTACATTCATTACCCACTTGTTAGTCACCAAGTAGCTGTCTCAGTTATCAGATCAACTGTCGTGATATCCCAGTGTTTGTGTTCAAGTAAGCCTTATTTTATGTAATAATGGCCCCAAAATGCAAGAGTTATGATGAAATATTTTTAGACTGCAGTTGGCCATGGAAAACTGAAACCATGGAAATGAAAACCATGAATGAGAGGGGACTATTACTGTATATTTGAATTCAAATTTTAATCTTACAATGTCTGAAATCGTATGTATGTGTATATATATATGTTTTCCACTGTTACAAAAGTGAAAAACTTTTTCACTATCACAAATCTGTGGAGGAAGTGATCAACATCACTTTACCCTCAGATTTTAACCTTCTTTTTTTTTTAAACTACATTATATTTCTTCCTTTTTTGTTAAGCTTCTAATTTACATTTCCAAAGGATTGGTGTCACTTCCTCATATATTGATTCATTTGACAAATCTCTATTAAGCACTTACTATTAACCTTAGGCACTCGACTAAATTCTGAGGCTATAACTATGAACAAGATACTCCTTCCTTGCCAGGAGTTTACGCTTAGTAGGAAAAACAAAAATTAACACGAATTTCATACAGTGTGATAAGTATTACAATGGAAAAGCTGAAAGAATCTATAGTATGGCAAGTTAAACTAGCCTATAGTCAAGGGAATTGTCCTGAAGGAAGTGGTGTATTTCACGAGCTTTTGAAAAGGAAAAGAGTTGATAGAACTGGAGACAAGGAAAAGGGATATGTTGGAGATAAAGGGAACAGTATGTGCCAACCCTAGGAAGAATAGACTTTATCCAAAGGCACTGGGAAGTCATTGAAGCTTTTAGGTAAAAGAGTACTGTGATCAAATAAGTGGAAAGATCACTTTGTCTTAGACTGGAGGAGGGAGGGTAGGTGTGGAGAAAGACCAGGGGATGAAAGACCATTCAAGAGTCTTCTGTAGTAGTGGAGGAAAGAAAGTGGCCCAGATTTGTGTAATGGCAATAGAGGTGGAGGGCAGCCCACAAATATAACAATGATATATATAGAACTCAGTATTATTTGGATGTGGAAGATGACAGTCTCTTGATACCTTTCAAGGTTCTATTTGGGGAAACTGAATGGTCATTCTCTGTTTACTGAAGCTCTGGAGGTCAGTTTTAAAGGGAAGACAGAGATCCATGGAAATGTAGAGTTTGATGTAACCATAAGATGTACAAATGGAGATGTTGGCAAATGCCTGAGTACCTGGATCTAAAGTTCAGGAAGGAGGCAGAGATTTAAAAGTCACTTAGTATGTGAAGCCATGAGAATAAAGGAAAGAGTCTATAGGGATGGAGAAAAATAAAAAAATAAAAAGGAATTGAGTGTATGACCTAGCTAAGCATTGCAACATTTAAAGGGAGTAAAAAGGAAGATGAGTATGGAAAAGACACCAAGAAGAGGTACCCAGACGGACAAGAAAAATATAAGCACTCTTTTGACATGGAAATCAAGGGAATAAAGTAATTCGAGGAGGGAGTGATCAAAGCACCAAAGTTGCTGAAAAAGCAAATAAGAAAAGTCTGAAGTTATCAGTTTCAGTGAGGTTGAAGAGACATCAATGATTTTGAGTAATAGGAAGTAAAGAAGGGGTGATGTGCAAGAAGGTAGATTATGAGTGAGAAAAGCAGAGAGTGAGTTAGAATTTTTGCTAAGGCAATGAAGTGTTCTTTTTTAAAAAATGATTATTATAAAAAGTGCAACTTACATGTTAGCTGAGGGCAGCTTGGTTTTTGGTTTTTGTAAAATGAAAGTATGTCCACTTGGAAGGCCGATGATGTCCAATTCAAAGTTTCTGACAGTTGGTTGGATTTTCTATTTCTGCTAAACTTGTATTTGCCTGTATTCTACCTTTACATGCCACCTAAATTTTGGTGTGGAGTATGGCCCTTTCTTTCCCTGGACTTTCTGTAACACCACTCCTCCAGGTCAGTTGTATGTGCGGGAGCTTTCTTTCAGGATTGGAAGGATGAAGGGTGGCTAAATTGTAGAACCACATAGTAAACATCATTAATACTGTGTATTCAATACCTATGTTCTTAAGAGTCTTTTTGCCACCTGGTCTCTTTACTTTCTCAATGACCATCTTTCTCCTCAGGTTCCTGCCTCCCACCATCTAATTAGGCCTCTTGACTATTCTCTAACTGCCCCACTTCTTCACTTCTGGGCCCTAATTCTTACTGTCCTGTACAAAATAAAATTCTCTGTGTTTAACTATTTTCTTCAGCATGGATCCTTAAAGGCTCACTTTCCTGTATAAAAAGGTTCTGAATGAAGACTTTTTTTCTCTAAAAATTTCAATGACATCTGTTAAAATTATTGTTTTTTGTTGTTGTTGTTGTTTTTTACCACCATAAATATCAACCCTCCTAGTTTCTCTGGCCCTAAACCTACAAATCATATTTTACTCCTCTCTTTGCTCCCTCTTATCCCTCTCAACCAATTGCTTATGACATCAGTGATGATTAACCCTCCATAAAAATCCCTGTTTCATGCCCATGGCTTTAGAACAGGCTCTCCTGATTATTGTCAAGACTATTACAACCACTCTTTGCTGTGCCACCCTCCTTTGATTCTTTTCTTCATCTTTAATCATCTTATCCACAGTTGCTCGTACAACTCCAGAAATTATCAGCCTACTTCTACCCTCTAGATTGAAGAATAAATTCACTCATTTGTTTGATAAACAATTGTTGAGAACTTATAATGTGCAGGGTAGAGATTAAAAGGTAAATAAAGTTCATTCCAGGTAGAAATTTAATGGGGTAAAGCATTGAGGTACCTGGCTATGCTTTTCCTTAACTAAAATATAAACTGCTTTGCCTAGCATTGAAGTTCCCCCTAATGCCGCAGCCACTTGCTTTTCTAGTCCTATTTGCCACGACTTTCCTCTGTTATAATGAACTGTATATTGAAGTCACAATGAAGTTATCATTTGCAGAAAAACTCTTAAATTCAGTATGTGTCCTTTCCACGCTGCCTGGCATTGCCCCTCTCCCTTTGATGAGACCATACAGTCCTTTCTCCAAGGCTTTGTAAATTGAACTCCTACAGGCCTTCCGGGAACCCACTTTATTCCTCCCATCTTTCAGCAAGTGTAAGCAATGTCTCTCTCCTATTGTATTTATAGTATAACACTTACCCATCCTAACTTCTAGGATAGATACTTGTGTATCTATACTGTATTATTCAATTTTGCATCTCTAAAAGTTCCTTCTACATAATAGGTACTCAATACATCCTGAAGTGAACTTAACAAGCATACAAGACAAGAACATTCAGCTCCTAATCAGATTGCTAACCACAAAAGAGCTTCTGAGGGGGGCAGGGTATACTGAGTGTATAATCAGCCAGAAGAAGGATACATTCATTTAGCTAAAGTCTATTAATTTTTCAGAGATGCACCAATCACCTAGGAAGAGCTTTTTTTCATATTCCCCCACCCAGCCATGCACCATCCCATGCCCTGTACTGTCCAGGCATGAACTCTAAAGCAGGTTTTCAACCTTCTGTATTCCCCATCCTATCAATCACTGTAATTTGGGGAGAGGGGACAGGATGAATGTGAGAATCACAAATCACACTTAATCTTTTTAATCAGCAGGTTTAAAATCACAAATAACACTTAATCTTTTTAATCAGCATGGTGATCTGTATGATCTTGTACAGACGGGCACAATATGGTTTTCCACACAGTCCCTACTGATGGACTGGGCAGCACCCTATTGTGGAACACATGGTTACTTCCATAAAAGCATCCTTATAGAAAGAATTGAAATAAGGGCAGAGGCAAATATGTAATGTACAATATATTGTTCCTGGCAGGAAGAAGAGGTAGCAATGCAATGGCACTCAGTGGAAAGAGCAATGTCCCTGGGAGGTAGAGGACCTAAATGTATGATCGCTAATGTAATAGACGTATATACCAATGAAGATCTAAGCCAATGATTTGACTGGCAAGACAACTTAATAAGTGGTGGTTATGATGGTGGTGGTAGTGATCCCGTCTAGAGATGAAGAAATTGGTTTGACCAAGGCTACATAGCTGCTATATAATGACTTGGAATTTGAATCTACAAGGTATAATACCAGAGCTATAATCTTAACTCTAGTTTCTAAAGTTTTGTGTATTGTGTGATGTTGAATTATTCACACTTACAAAGTATATTAACATGGCAAAGAACTAATCACATGATATCCCAATCGCAGGCAAGTACTTATGCCGGTTAAATTCAGCTGGGCAGATCTCTGCAATGAGCTCTTAGCTGAATATCGTTATGTGCTCAGCCAAGATGTCTACGCAAATAATGTGTCGTGACCTGAGGAGTATGAGATTAGCAACGTTACAAGCAGTGCCCCAGTTATGAGCACTGCGGCTCATATCACCACACATTCCTGTGAATGTCACAGACAGTCAAGCGTGGGAGCCAGGACTGGGCTGCAGTGATGCATCCCACAAGATATAGGCATGGAGGTTTCGTTGAGTGAATTTTCAATGCTACAATAATCTTGTAACAACAAGGTCCTTGAAACAAGTACCCTGAATCTCAAGCAAACTACTTTGTGCCCCACAGGTATTGTAACACCAGGAATCACCCACTCTGTTCTCTAAAGAACTCAAGATGGAAAACTGGAGGTCTTATATGGGCAAAATCAACACAGCCAGGGACACAGCAGGTCACAATATGGCAGCATTTCTACCTTCTGAGAAGGAGGTCCATAGGCTTCACCTGGCTGCTGAATGGATCCAAGACACCATCAAGCTTAAAAGTGGCTGGCAATATAGAGAGCATTTTAGATGGTGGAGCCAGGTTGAAACACCAAGCTGTAACCATTACCCACGACAAACATTTCCTCTTCAGAGAAGTTATGATCCAGGAAATAATCCGACATCACCACCAGAATACAACTACCATGTGTAGAGTTGTCATGATCGGTGTTCAAAAACCAGAGACCATATGAGGCTCTGATTAACTGATGTCACCCACTGTAAAACAGCTAAAACAAAAACATCCATCTAATCTCCTCAAATCAGTCAGGGCTTATACTGTTATCCACATGAAACAAGTAATTGTTCTGAATTGAAGCACTACTAATAGTTTTTATCCTGTAAAAACAATATTTACTAGAGAGTCTACTGTGCTAGCTTCTTTCTGGGAGAGTGAAGCATATTACCTCCAACATGAACAGAAATGGAAGAAAACAGAGACCATTTGTCTTCATCCCTATCCCAAATGGTGCAAGATAACAGAACATGGCTAAATCAAAATGGAAAGTAATCCAAAGGTAATTCACATTTTACTAGGGAATGCACTTTAATACTGTAGTAACCGTGAATGTGTCTGAAATTCTCAGATTTCATGTCATATTAGATTTACACACAGACACACACACACACACACACATACACACACACCCAAGACCCATTTTCAGAAGGAAACAAGAAAATAATGATTTCCCTTTGTCAACCTTTCCTCAATAATGTTTCTTCACTCATACTTTAAGATCAAATTAAGCAATTACATACAAAATCTGAGCCCCTCAATAATACACTTAGATTATGAAGTTAGAGACACAAACAAAGATAAGCACAAATTGGCCAATTTGTAAGAGTTTGGTATTCAAGATAGTACATTTTCTGATATTGTCTGTTTAAACTGGGTACAACCTGAGAAAATGTATTCAAATTCAAAACACAAAGTCTTTTTAAAAATCAAAATTAAATCAGAAATACTCAGGGCCATTCTGAGAGGTTGAAAAAGGCAAGTGTGTTTACTCATGCTGTTCTACTTAGAAGTCCTGTGTGCCTTCCAAGCCTTTGCGGAAACCAGACCAGTATTTTATAACATCAGATTAATGTTCTAAGTTTCAGTGTTTTAGCAATTAGGCTTGCATTAGCTAAAAGTAAGTTAAATCTTTAAAAATTCAATAAATAATTCTTTTTCAGTTATTATTTTATTAGCATTTCATGAATGCTTTCATATACTTTGTCACCAAAAAATATACAGCTTTCATTTAAAACTAAAGTATGCATTTATGAATATTGCTTTAAAAATCTTTCTCGCAATGTTGTCATAAAGGTCAGTTAGAGGAGATGGCCAATAGTTAGTATAATTGTAATGTTTATTTGATGTTTTGTTCCTCATTTTTTAGGAACAAGTAAAATCCTTCCTACAAAAAAATGGGAACAAAAGAATCACAGAATCTAAAAACTATTCCCAGATGGTCTCGAAGAAGTGATAAGGAAGGTTAGTATTTCAAGTTTCAAAATCTTTGGCTTCCTTCTTGATATTGCCTGGTAAGAAACTGAAAAGGGGGAAGGCAAAGAGAAAAAAACAAGGATTTCACTATTAGTATCCTTATAGATTGTGAATCTTTGATTTCACCTATATTGATTTGGTTAATGATCTATTAGTGAAAAGAGCTAAAGAGTGTTCTGAAAGTTAGAGAATGGAGCAAGTGTGAAATGTTAAAGTAACAATGTCACATTGTCATAGATTATATACCATGAGAAGGTGTATGCAAATTACATATATCTCTTCTACATTTCAATTACTTCTTTAAAAACAAGTAGTATTAGCCAATCATTAAATGAATGGAAGAAAATACAATGAAAAACATGCCACTAATGGGTACAATACCAGTATAAATTTTATAATTAACTATTTAATAATATTTTTAAATTACCTGGAAAAAATCAACATATTTCAAAATGGTTTAAAGCTACTATCTCAAAATATGATTTCATTTTAAGATGATCATAAACCCGGAAAATATATAATTCAAAATAGTTTTTAGTTTCATTAACAGGTTGTGGATAGTTTCTTTTAATTGATAAGTTATTATCATATTTCTTAACATTAAAAAATAGTATAATTGAAATTTAGTGCACAAATAATTATTCCTGACTCCCAATTTATTTCATATTTTGTGTTTCAGAATTCTGATGTTGCTATATGGTAAATAAGGGAGACATGTTTTAAATATGCATATTTGAAGAAAATATTATAGCAATGTAAAAATCACACAAGAACACACCAAGTCATTTTTTTCCTAAGGTTTAATTTTAACTAATGAATTTTAAATGATGAATGTAAAGTCAATCCAAGTCTTTGCTTATTTGCAATGCACAAACTATTTTTTTGTAACTTGCAGGTGAAATACATTCTTTTCACATGGTAATGTTTTCGCCCTTATTTATGGTCTTTTATTATTTTTCTTGAGTCCTTTTCCTTCAATAGTTTAATAAGTCACTTCTGGCTTGTCTAGAGAGCAATCCTAGCACAATAATGTTTCAACTTGCAAGGAAGAACGCCCTTATTGAGTTGATAGAACTCCACCAGCTGTATTAGATCTGTAAATCTTGTGTGGCCATCATCCAGTGTGTGGAACATTTCACCGTCATCTTCTACCTGCAAAAAGAAAAGCAACAAATAAGTAAAGAGGATAAATTACACAGAAGGACAATCATATTCGATTGCAAACTATCTCCACATGCCAAAACTGCCAAGTTTATAAAACTAAAAGACAGTGAAAAGAATGTTACGGCATATCTACTTGTTTTTTTTAACATCACTTGCATTTAAAAGAAATATCAGCTGATCCCTGAGAAGCACTGCTACTCTACTTCATCTAGTTCTAATTCTCCCAGCATTCTGTTAGTAAAGACAGTATGAATATTTTGAATCAATGAAAGAAATCTACAATATTCAGAGTAAAAGTAAATGAAGATTTTAATGCTCCCACTTGAGAAATTAATTTCCTTTTCTAAATGTTGTCTACTTAGCCACAAAAATGAATATTTACATAATTTTATGAGATTTATTCTGAAGTAATCACATATTATGCTAATGGAATGTCATTCTGTCAGTTTTCTTTTTTTTAAATCAGTGAAGTCTTCTGGTACTAAACAATTCGTATTTGCTGGGGACATTGATCACAAAATAAAAGAAGTAGGGAGGATATTTTATATAGCCTTTGGATAACTCCAAAAAGAGGCAATTCAAAAGGACGCACTAGTAATTTAGCAATACTATGGAATACCTTTCCAAAAAGACTGAATCTTCACTCCCCACCATTCAGTTCCAATATACTATACACATCACATACATACATGCACACCCACACAGACACACAGCAGAAGAGGCAACAGAAATCCCAAAGCAAGTTGTGTGTCACAGAGAAGCCGAATCACAGAACTTTTAAAAATGTGTTCAGAAGTCTTCACCAGTTCCATAGAATCTCTGTTTCTAGCCATAGCCATTAAAAACAAAACAAAACAAAAAAAACATTTTTGAGAGAAGAGAGGAGAAAAGGCTTTAAAGTAATGTTTTCTAAAGAGCCGTTAGTGGAATTCAGGAGAAAGAAGCTTTAGTGCCCTTTTAACAATAGGTGGCATGGGGTCTATACAATATTGCTAAATCATATTTCATAGAAAAAGGAAAATTTAATTTTTACAATTCCTGTATTTCTTATATTAATTCAGGCTCATAAAATCATTTCTGCCAAAGTTAACTCTAGTCAAAGCACAAGCTGCCAAATTATATTTAATAAAAAGACCAAAAGAAAACCAAAGTTTCCAAAAGCTTATGCATTAAGATCAAAAGCTTATGCATTAAGGTCATTTCTAATACACAAATGTGAAATCACGAATTACTTACTGGTATAATTTGAAAGTGCTTTATTTTTTGTCCATGACTCATTGACAGTACGAAAGTTTTGGGGTTACTCTGACTATCCCGTACCAAGAAAACTCTAAAGAGAGAGAAGGAATTTCAATGTTTCTATATTTACTCATGGATTTCATAGAACTATAGCATTAATAAATCCAAGAAGTGTATGCATAAATGTAGCTGGGGACTCCTTTACTATGTATTCAATGGGTGGGATTATCCAACTTGGCAATCAATATGGTATAATATAATCTGCACTATAAAGCTGTCATCACTGCTACTGTAATTTTAATAGGCTAAATACACAACCCATTAGTCAGATTGTTTGTTTGATCACAATAAACAATACACTGTTATGTCTGCATCAACAATTGGTGCTACGTTCTCTTTGCACTGGGAAACTGGGTATTCACATGTAACTGTTTTGCCTAAAGATTAAGGCATTTTCATACTGTTATTTTACCTTCTGGGTCATGTTAAGTTTTGAAAGAAGGTAAGAATTTAGAATGAATTTTTTTTTTTCTTTTGAAACAGGGTCTCGCTCTGTCACCCAGGCTGGAGTGCTCTCGGCTCACTGCAATCTCCGCCTCCAGGGTTCAAGCAATTCTCCCACCTCAGCCTCCCAGGTAATTGGGACTACAGGCACATGCCACCAAGCCCAGCTAATTTTTGCATTTTTAGCAGAGACAGGGTTTCACCATATTGGCTGGGCTGGTTTCGAACTCCAGACCTCAAGTGATCCGCCTGCCTCGGCCTCCCATAGTGCTGAGATTACAGGCATGAGCCACCACGCCTGGCCTGAAATTTTATTTTATTATAACCCCCTCTTCTATACTGGATACCCTTTCTTTTGATTCTGGTTTCAACTGTTCATACACAATAGCAAGAAAGAAATCAATATATTGTTTTAAAAAAATCTTGAAATTATTTATTAAATATTTAAGCAAAATGCTTTAAGTAAAAAAAATCATCCAAAAAACACATACTTTAACCTTGAAGAATGCAGCAGAAAAGCCTCTATAATGTCAGGCTAGAAAAACAAGACATGGCCTCTAACAGCCTAAGAGAAAAATGCTGCCAGAAGTGGATTCTTATTCACTGGCAGTGCAATGCAAAACCAGTTTTGTATTAACTGCTGGTAAATACACCGTGTAAATGATCCCCACTGGTGAATCCAATATGAATCTCACTGTGCCTGGGCAAAGAGGCAGCCAAATTTAAAGCATCACAGATGTCTGACGAGTTTATCCATTTCATTTGTGCTGTGTGAGATTCCGACATTACATCACTGGGAAATGGGACAAAAGGGCGTTTCACTGGTAAATCAAGCTGTAATTCTTTTCCCATTCCCAAGTAGATCACCACTACCACCTAGTGGATCACTTGGCACCATCACATCTCTCCAAAAGAATACCAAAAATACTAAAAATAAGATAGTATCTTTTTTTATACGATCATTTCATTCACTTTATAAATACTGGGCTCAGAAATAAAGAAAATTACAATCTTTCAAAACATTTTAATAATTCTTTGTGACTCATTTATTTTCTTGGTTTCATCAGATTGTAATTCTACTGATTGTTCAAATTTATTTCCAAAAAGACTGCATTCCATGCAAAGAAACGTATTAAAATATCTTATTTACAGTCTGGGGAAATGCTGACTTCCTATTAATAATCTTCCATGTGAAGAAGCATTGTTATCCAAATTTCAGTATTAAATCACCTTGAAATCTTGTCATGATAATGACATGATTAGCCAACTTTTGAAGATAAAAGATCCCATCACCACTTGTTTAAATTGATAATGATTTCATTACTCATCTAAACCACAATACAACCTCCCTCATTTGTACTGCATTTGGAAAGGGAATTCAGCCAGTATTATAGAAAGTATCTGAAACACTGAGTAATTTGAGAAAAATAAAATTCTTCACATTATAAATCTTTCATAATACATTTTATATTTCTCTTTTGTATTCCATGGTACCCCACTAAAAGACAACATGAGAAACAGTTGAAAGGTACTCTTTTCACGGATCTATATTACTTTAAGATGTTAAAATTTAGAGAAAGGACAATAGGGATGTAAACACACAAAAAAATAAGTGTTCAAAACACTTAAGAAACAGCTTTTTACTTAATACATGTTGCATCATACCTAAAAAAATACATTTGACATAATGTCATAATATAAACCATACTTCGAAATCATATGTTCAAATCAAAATATTGACACTTAAAAAGAAGTTCATTTTCCCCCATCAATTGATATCTGAGATGCTAGAATCAGGACATAATGGGTAATATTAGTGATCACTGGTTAAGAACAAGATACTCTATTCCGTTATTTGTCCATTTATATACAAATACCAGACACACACTATGTACCAGGTATAATATAGATACTGTTAGAATACAGTGATGACCTCATTTATAGAACAATGTCACTTCTGTTTTATGATAAGCCCAAATCAAGAACTCTTTGTGGCTATGGAATAAATAATTTCTGCTTATAGGAGAAATCCAATTCACAAGTACTCAAAATTAAAAATACCAAACTTACCCATCCACAAGTCCTTGCTGAATAATCAATCGCTGAGCCTCATCTCTAGAAATTTTGTGGTGAAACCATGGCTGGGACCGGTGGATAGCTAAAGAAATAGGATGGATGAATGCAAAGCTTTGTTTGAGATGACTGCAATTTCATTACATGTCCTTTCCATGTCTATCCGTCTACTCAGTGGCAATGACTATGAACAGACATACCCATGTTTGTGGCAGAGCTCTGTGAAGAGGCAGTGGGGCTACCGTGAGTGCCCAGGCGTAAACATCCTTTTTTCTGAGCAAGGAAGGAGAAAACAAATCTCAAGTTTTTAGGTGAAACAAACTGAAATCATAAATATTTTGAAGCATGTGAAGCTACTTGTACCCTCCAAGCGAGTCCTTCTTCAACCGCAACTGAAAGGGCTTCAGTGGGATTTTCTATAACTCTGCTTTTCTGGCCTGAGAAGTCCATTGCTACCAGGGAATTCTCTGATATACTTCTCTGGAAAAAAGAAACACATTTGAGTTATGAAAATTTCTTTGAAAGTTATCTTTCAAATAAATTGAAAGTGTTTTTCAATTTCAGTGTTTTTCTCTCAGTGTTTTTCTGGCAGTACATTTCCATTCTAGAAGGTGGTGCCTGAAGGGGCTAGCAGAATATTTAAAGTGAAAATACATATTCAAGATATAAAGGTGCTAAAAATATTTTTGTTAAAAAAGCTAAATAGTAATTTGTTAAGGTAATTGAAGAGTTGAATAAACAGATTAAAAGCTTTTAAAGTATGTCTTTCTTCTAAAACAAACTTATCTTTTCACGTTCTCTAGTAAAATGGGAAAACTTCCATTTAGAAAGGAATAGCTCTTCCTCTGGTTAAAAAGATACATTGTTTCTGAATTGATGTCTCCATTAAGCTTTGAGATCCGTCAGTCATCAATTAAATGTCAAATCCATCTACTTATGAAGCAACTAGTTTTTAAGATTCAAGATACCCAAAAGTTATAACTTAGATTGACATATATCTCTTGAGAAATAATACTCATTATTTTTAATGAGTTTTATAATGGAGCAAACTAGAATATGTATTTTAAAAGTTTATCACATCAACTTTCATCTTACTTAGAAAATAAAATTTAGTGAAAGAATAATCCTGATAATTCCATAACCTTAAAATTTCCATGATTTAACATATGAATACATTTTCATCTTGTGAGAATACACTTGGCCACATGAGGGCTGCAAAAATAAGCCTGAATAAGAACTGATAGAAGGCAACTTTAAAGAAACTTAGTTTAAACAAATGATAAAGTCATTGTTTTTGCTAACTACTTCTTGTATTTATATTCTTTGAGTTGAAAGTAAAATATGCAAAACCCGATCTTCTTTTTCTTTTTTGTTTGTTTGGGGCTCTACTTTACAACCATCTTTTAACAAATATGCCACCCCACAACAAGTCATGAATCCTAAGAAAGACCATTGTCAAAATCTCTAGTCAAGAATCCCACTCAGTTCATAAGTTCATACAACATCAAGAAGGAATTAAAATTCTCCAAAAGAAAAATTTTAAAACACCCATGGAAAATAACAGTTATTTTCTACTAATTAATAGAAGAGCAAAACCCAAAGTGGTGTTATAATAGTAAACTACTAGCCAGCCTGCATCTGGGGCCCCCTGGCTTAAAAGCATTTTATCTCTCTTTATGTAGATTCAGCTATACCTGGCTTGGTTGCATAGACTATAGTCAAATGTAGGCTTCAAACAAAACCTTATCCACAGATAACTATAGGACTCCTTTATCACTGCTTCAACATATCCCACTTTATTAGCATTTGTAATTTTCTCTTCAAACTATGCTGTAGTGGCCTACAATCTTATTATGGTTCATCTATATTTCTAAAGATCTGGCATGCAATCTTTCATTTGTTACAGGAGCCTTTATAACTGACAGCTGCTCTTTCCACACAGATGCTGTCTCTGTAATCTCTATTTGCTGTCACACCTTAGTTTGCCCTTCTCACCCCGTGATCTTCTGTGCAGGTCTGTAGACCAGTCAGATATACTTGTGCTTTGCTGACATTAATGAAAAGCATCCACCTGCCCAAACCACAGAGTAAGCTTCCTCAATCATAATAGCTTTATCCTTATAATATCTCTCCGTTTACATGCCAAGGTAGGTTCTGTAATCTCAACTCCCTGGCAACATAAAAATACCATTATATTAAGAAAAAAATAATCAGCTGTCCTATTTTTCTCCCTCTAGTATAGCAGGCCAGGAAATAAAACAAGATCCTGTGTTCCCTATTTACTTGACATACATAAGAAGACGACACTACAAATAAGGAACGTTTTCATTTGCTACATTAACTAGATTAACGGAAAACACAGGACTATAGCAAATGTCTTCTACTGAATGGCAGGTGGTAGATAGAAAATTAATAGTTTACCATTGGTGGACAAAAAAATGGAAGTAAAGCAGAGTCTGACAAACTCAAAAGGTCATTTTCAGATCAATTTCTTTCACATAGAAAAGCAATGTTGATAACATTCAGAATTGGTTATATTTCTCCAACACTTCTCCCCTTTTCTAGCTCTTCCTTCTTAGGAGATGAACAGAGAAGGCCCTAAAAAAGGGGTCCATGATTTTAATGGCATGACTTTCTTTCTTTTTAAGAAAAAAAATAGGTCTGGGTATACCCTGGATTATCCAGCCCATACTTTGAGATCACATCTACTAATTCTTAGTGAGGCTGCACATAAAATGGTTTTTCAGGAAGTTTGGCTAGGTGACAACCAGTATCATCCCATTTGAAGGATTTAGATAAACTTACAGTGCCATCATTAGCAAAAGGGCACACAATTTCTTCAGATATTTTTCTCTCATTTGCTTTATACAAAGCTACAGACATCAGAAATGTAATGGTTTCTAGATTATACAACCATCACCCTCATTTTACACTGCAGGATACCAGTGACTTGACCAAAGTCACACAGGCAGCTTATGGTAAAAGCAGTAACAGATATGTCTGTTGTAGGGTTCTTTTATGTTCCATAGAGTGGGAAATACAGTGGAGGAATTGCAGTTTAGAATGTCTATCCTCAGGTCAAAAGTGAAGCATAAAAAGAGCTTGAGTAGACTCGCCTTCCCCAACCCTCCGTCCCCTCACTCCAGCCAGGGCAATATTGATAAATGCTCCTTTAAATGAATCCTTTGTTTTCCCTAAAAAGGACCAAATATATTTGGCTTCCTGAAATGTCTGCTGCTGATTGATTCTCACTTCAAAGGCTGATGGGGTGGCTGTTACATCCTTTATATAGCTAAGATGTTCATTATGGTTTGAGAATTTTTTTTCTCATTTCCTTTCTCAAAATGTATACCTGGAAAAGTTAGGAAAAGAAAGAAAATAATATTGTTCCTTTAAAAATATAACTAAAGTTTTATACTACAATATATACTAAAAACTTATATGTTAATCGCTGAAAATAGTCCCCGGATGAAAAGCAACAAAGGCTGGTAAAGAGTACTGGCATCTTTTAGGCCCCTGATTCTTCCCAAATAATCTGGAAAAGTGAGATTTTATAGAGACACCAAAGTCAACACAACTACTTCCCAAAACAGATTCTAAGTTTCCTTCATGTAAATTAATAATATTAAAGATGTAATTCTCACATACTACTGTATCTGATTAGGACAAGTGCTAGACAGGATGGTTCTTTACCACACAGGCACCTGCATCCTCCAACTGCTATTCCCAACCAAACTCACTCAAGGAGTATCTCTTCCTTTACCTGGCACTGAACAAGGAAAGCTACACTAAACTGTTATCCACATCTAGATCAATAGCAGCATCACCTTCAATGGAAAAAGACAAGGGTAATACCATACATGTATGCTGACAGTGATGAGAATAGGAAGAACTTCATTTATAACCATTTTTCCTATGATTAAGAGGACATTAAATAATTGCCTCCAAATATTTGGCTGCTATTAACATGTTCATCCTAATAATTTTGGACTCTAAAAGAAATTTGGAGGAGTTTAGGAAAGGATTAATATAATAAAATTCATTATTATTTTTATATACATATGAATTGAAAGATAAGAGTAAGCTGAAAAAATGTAAAAACATTCATCTTAACATGATTGCTTTTATAAAAATTCACTGTGCCCCTTAGTTTCTTATTTTAGGGCTTAAAAGTAATACCATACAAAGATGGAAAGTTATTCTTCCATAAGTTAAAGTGACGTAACTACAAAATTGGAGTTCTTTTTCTATATAGTCTATCAGGTTTCATAATCAACATTATTTCATGCTTCATTCCTAGAACTGAGCATTTCATCTACTACATTACATGTGGGATAAATGCACCTTCCCTGGTCACATACATGAAGAGCATATTTTTAACCTAAGTGAAAATGTAGATTAAAAAAATGCACATTAACTGATTTGTAACACATGTGCATACATCTGAATTCCTAATATACCCTATCTTAAGGAGTGCAGCAAAAATAGCAGAACATAAATCTTAAGTTCAGAAATACATTTCTTATGTTAATGCACACAAAATTAAAATTAGATCCTAAAGAAGGAAAAAGATGTGTCTGTGTGTGTCTGCAAATAAATATCCAAGTTACATTTAGTATAAGTCTGAAAAGCAGTGCTAGAGTTAATGTAACACACGACCTATATTTTGGCTTGCAGTTTTTGGGTTTCCTGGAAAGCAGTCTGCTTTTAAAGGACCTGGAACTTAAAAAAATTATTGTTAGCCAGAATGCAAAAGAGCTCACATGTGTATACTGTAGCTTTTAAAATTCAAATCACTGGCATCTTTATACTAGATTGTGACAATCCCAGAATCGGTATTAAAATAAAATATGAAACCACAATCAAAACCAATAATTAACAAAACACAATCTACAATGCCAAGGAATATGTTCTATAAATTATATTTTTAAGATCTAATCTTCAAATGTTGTAATGACACAGAAAGACACATAATTGTTTCAAATATTTAAAACTTTAACATATACTATTATATATTTTATTAAATACTTTATGTATAATGATATGATTTTATCACATAGATTGCAAGCAAATAAAATCCAAAAATAAAAAATTCAATGTAACATTATACTAGAATGGTGCCAAAGAGTTACTTTACCAACAGAAAATAACATAAATTATTATAAGATACTGTTATGTAGTGTAATTTAAATTAATATAATGTGAATGTAAAATAAAACACAGGCTCAAAAATTTGGTCCTTACCATAGGTGATATGCTCTGTGAACTGCAGCCACTTCTACCTTGATATGGATGCATATAATTCTGGTACAGCTGCATGCCATACTGCAGAATAAATAAATAAAACACATTCCCACCACTTTTACTACTCTGATAATCTATGAAAATCAACACTTTCATCAATTATACAATATAAATATAAAAACAATTAAAGCAAACAAGTAAAGCAACCAAAATTTTGAAAGATGAACTTTTAGTGCCCTGCAACAATACATTTAAAAAGACAATTGAAGTCTTTTACTTAGACCTACAACTTAAGGTCCAGCTCACCAGTACAGACTTCAGGAGCTGACATATCTACTCATTATTCTTAGCACCAAATTGTACCACAACTATCTGGAGTAGTACACTGCCTCATGATAAAAAAAAAAAAACTCACTTGGGAAGGGCGATGTGCTTTCTGGTACAAAGATTCCAAAAACTTCACACACATCCTAAGCAACACTGTGCAAAATTTATTGTACCTCTCTGATGAATGACTAATGATTTACTTTCCCTCTGGTAAATCCATAAACATGGGCCTATGTTGAAAATTATTGACAATATAGCATCCTTATATCAAAACTATTAATGCCATTATTAATTTTTTACTTCAAATTCCTGGAAACCAAAATAGTGAGGAATCAAGCTGATTTCAAATGAAAGCTTTCAAGGTACAATATAAGTGGTAGAAGATAAGAATTTCAGTGTCTTCACTTTCAGGAGGCAGCATCATATGGATTGAGCTGGCAGGACAGAATTGGAAAACCGGTCTGGATTATAACTGGATTATTAGTTTGAAAAACAGTAAGAATGCCAACTGCCAAAACCAAACTTGTCCTGGAGGTTTCCACATCTGAATTTGGAAGCTAACCTCCTTTAGGTTTAAGCTACTTTGTTAAAAAAAAAAAAAAAAAAGAAAAGAAAAATAAAACAATGGAATAAACAGCCTTTTTTCCCCTAGATTCTGCAATTCTGTCCATTTCATAGAGCCATAATGAACTTAAAAGTTAGGTTTTATATAAAAGAGATTAAATAGACACCATGGAATCAAATCTTACCTGAAGGATAAATTCTATTTAAACATTCCAGCAGAGCTGTTTTTCTACTAAAGAAAAATAGTCATTCCCTTAAAAGCAATTCTAGCACAATGGGTATATTTGGTAATTAGGCAAAAAAAAAAAAAAAAAAAAAAAAAAAAAAAAAATCAGAGGAGGTCTAAAGGAGTCACTGTTTTCAAGATTTTGCTTTTAACATGAATGCAAACCCACATTCATTTAAAATTCTCTGTGTTGACTTCTTATCCAATTATTTCCCAACTTCTAAAAATTATTTTTTAATTTAAGGTTTGATTGACATTAATGGGACCTAATGAAATTTATTTCAAATCAACTCTAAGCCTACAATAGCTTTAAAAAGAAGGCAAAGGAGCTTAATTCCTAGTCAAATTCATTTTGGAGAATATATAATAACCTCAAACCAACACTTTCACAAGAAACATGCTGTTTGGCCACCTTTTATTAATCTGCATTGAAAAGCCAGCTGCCTACTAATAAGTCTGTTTTCTTCAAAGATATATTGTCCCTGGTACCTGCAGTGTTAGGTAGTTGCCTCTGTGCTTCTGAAGGTCTTTAGTAGGCATTTAACTCTGGACAAGAGGTAGGGCGGGGGTCACCTTAACATTTCCCCATCCTATGGAGGGGCAGATAAGGGACCAAAATATGTTAGAGAGGACCTTGCAGAGTTCTAATTGAAGGGAAGGAAAAGAGACAACATGTAACTAGGACATTACATGTGAGAAAATCTCCCATTTTCTAAGTCTCAGATATTCTATAATTCTATATGTAATTAGAATTTATCCAAAGAGAAAAAGAGAGTCTCCATCTGATCCATATGAAGACTTTACATATATATAAAAGAAAAGGACGTAAGAATAAAACAAGTGGCCAAATTCTTGGTGGGAGGCTGTTTCTAACAAGTGGTGTGTGATGAAAAAAGAGGGCACTCTCGGTTTAGCCAAGATAATATCTCCTTGTTCATTCCCGCTAAGTACAATGGTAAACGCTGGAAATAACACAGTAGACAACAAAAGAAAACAAAGTAGGTGTTAAAGACACTTCTACCATCAGGTGATCCCAGCTGCACCAGCCAGGGGGATCCAACAGGAGGAGCCCTGCTGACAAGAAGTTGCCAGGGAAGCCAACTCACTCCACCATTAGAATGCCACAAGCGTGTCTGTGTTGTGAGACCTGGAGCAAGCCCTGGCTTCCTGTGATCTGGGTATTTTACAGTGTAAAAGAGATCATATCATGTCTCTTTCCTGTTTGGGTTCTCACAGGTTCCAGATAAAGGGCCTCACAGATGCCTCCTTCCCTCTTCAGCCTCATCTGGAAAAGCTTCGCCATTATTGAAATGAACAGGAAACATGGATGTGGTAGGTAGAATAATGGTCCCCCAAAGATGTCCACATCCTCATCTCCAGAGCCTATGTTAAGCTACATGGAAAAAGGGAATTAAGGTTGTCAATCAGCTGATTGTAAGGTGGGGTGATGGTCCTGGATTATCCATGTGGGCCCACTGTAATCACAAGGGGCCTTAATAAGTGGAAGGGAGAGGCAGAAGAGGCAGTACCAGGGAGATGGCAGTGTGAGAAATACTTGCTGTGACAGTGTTGGCTTTGAAGATGTTGAAAGGGCCCCCAGACAAGACGTCTGGGTGGATTTTAAAGGCTGCCAAAAGGCAAGGTAACTGGATTCTCCTCTAGAGCCTTCAGTAAGAAATGCAGCTCTGCCAACACCTTGACTTAATCCAGTAAGACTCATTTCAGGCTTCTGAACTAAAGAACAATAAATTTATGTTGCTTTAAGTCACTACCCTGGTGGTAATTTGTTACAGCAGTCATAGAAAACCAACACAATGACGCATCTTTGAACTGGGAATCTGATTGAAAGATGCCTTAAGAACAGTAAGATGAGAAAAAATAGTGAGAAGGGAACATTATTCCAGAAAATAAGCCTCATTGAAATGGAAGAATTAAAGAAAGCTTTTAGTGTATTTCACCCATTTTTAGATGTGCATTTCGAAATTTAACATCTATAAATTCAACTGCATCCTATAATCTATAACATCTTACATTCACTATGGACCCAGTGATTTGTCATTGCCCGAAACCTTTGGTGGGATCAAGAAATCACCAGCATCAAACCTTGCACACGCAATATCAGTGGAACACAGCCCCATGCCATATCCTGTGGAAAATACAGGTATCTGTGACTCTGAGATGAAAATGATTCAGAAAAGCCAGGCTTAGAATAAGAAGAAGTTTTAAAGATACCTCAATTAATGTATTCTACTTATATATTTTATTTTATATTTATGTGTGTATATACTTAATGCATATATATGTGTATGTGTAAAATACATTTATGTCCATATGTATATACATCTGAGTGTATACAAACAAAAGTGATTAAATTACAAAAATCTAGGTTCAAATAAACCTAACAAAACTATCTGAATAAATAAAACAAAAATTGTAAGTGATATGAAAGCATCATATCATCATTTTATTGGCATCATTTTTTTTCCTTTTAATGCTAATAAAAATAGTGATGTCTCCTGGTAAAAACCAATGGCTTCTTAGATTAAGTGAAATGCTGATTAAAGGAAGTGGGCTTACCACCTGCTTCTGTTTTGGGTGTCAAACTTTAAGCCCAAGTTAGAAGGGAGGAAGATGGGTTAACAAGGTTGAAGAACATCCTCTTTGCAGCCTAGCCTGATTTCCAGTTTTGAAAAACAGAGAAAACCAAAAACCACAAGAAATTTTCTCTACCATAACTCTTGATGGAGTAGAGCCTTCCAAAGAGTACCAGCCTCTTTATCTGTAAAACTGGAGGGCTGGACAAAGTTAGTAGTTCTTATTCAGAATCCTTAAGGATGGGGCGGGGACCACATGTAAATTCAGAAAGCTTCTCAGGTGACTTTAACAGCAGAATATTTGAAAAACAAGCAAACCTCTCATAAAGAAGTAAACATGGTGGCTATCTGCCAAAACAGCAAAAGAATGTAAATTTCAGTTAAACAAAAAGCTTCATTTAAATCATTTGTTAAAACTTTCTTCCAATACCACTTCACATCCACTAGAATGACCATAATTGACAAGAACAAGAACCAAAAAAAGTAAATAACAAGTATTGACAAATATATGAAGAAATTGGAACTCTCATGCATTACTGGTAGGAATGCAAAATGGTTCAGCCACTGTGGAAAAACATTTTGGCAATTTCTCAAAAAATTAAATGTACAATTACCATACAATAAGCAATTTCATTACAACATGTATTCCCCCAAAATCGAAAACCTGTACTCAAACAAATACATATACACATATTCATAGCAGCACTATTCACAATAGCCAAAGGTAGAAACAACCTAAATGTCCATCAGTGAAAAAATGGATAAACTGTGTTTATCCAACATATAGATAGATATAGAGAGCTATATATACAATGGAATAGTACACAGCCATAAAAAGGAATAAAGAGCTAACATATGCTTCAATGTTGGTGAACCACAAAACACTATGCTAAGTAAAAGTCAGAAACAAAAGGTCACATACTGTATGATTCCATTTATATGAAATACCTACAATAGGTAAATCCACACAGACAGAGGCAAATTGGTGATTGCTAGGGTGTGGGAGTAGCTGCTTAATGGGTATGGAGTTTGCTTTTGAGGTGATTAAAATGTCTTGGAACTGAATGCACTAAACGCCACTGAATTATTCACATTAACAATAGTTTGATTAATTTTATATTTTGTGAATTTTACCTCAATTTAAAAATTGTAAGAATACAAAATAAAACTTTCTTCTAAACCTGGTATGATAATGATTCTGATTATTACTATTCTGTCCTTCTTTACCCTGATATCTCTTAAGTTGGATGCTAGGAAAAAGTCAACAGAGAGCAGAAGAGGTAAAAATGGCAAAGGCAGAAGAAAAAAAGTACACCTGGAAAATATACAAACTGCAAATCAATTGAAAAGTTTACTTCATCCCCTTCTTCAGGGTAAATGAAATGGGGGAACCTAAGGACTTCACAGTGCTCCAGCTTCTCTGATTTTCATTTCTAACTATATTGAAAAGCTAGTTTTAGTACACGCATTGTTAATAATCTAAATCTTCCTGTGGTAAGAAAAGGATTATATATATCTAATACACATATAATATGCATAATCAATATATTGGCAAATTATATTAGTGCCTAGGCATAAATTATAAAGAGTACCTTAGAAAATGTTAATGCTCTTATTTTAAACCAAAAATTTAATAATAACAATAAATTATGTATTTTGTTGGCTTCAGCAGCAGCAATACTAACTAATGTGGACGGGCACTTTCCCTGGATTGTATCTTTTCAACAACAAAATTTTGTAATTTCCTCCCTAACTGTGACTACCAAATCAGTATCTTTAAAAGGAAATAGTTGATAAGTATACAGTTTAAGTTTTGCTCAATTTTCTGGCAAACAGTTTTTGAAAATAAATATGCTTTCTATACATTCTGGAAGACATCAGTTCTGCTTTTATTTCCTATGAGAGTCTACCTTTAGAATATTGTTACTCATTTCAAAATTGCTCAGCAGCAACAAATTATGCTTACGGAAGTTGTAATTTCTACTTAGCACGAGAGTAGATGTTTAAAAAATATATTCATAGTAAAATTGTACAATAATTTGAGTCATGCTTATTAAACTAGAAAGCAATTTATAAAACACGAATCGAACACAAAACAGTTACATTAAATATCTCAAGGGTGGGCACATTTTAAAATACACTTTACCTTGGATTGTTGGCAACGTTTTAAGAGTGCAGACTTAGTCATGTATAGGAGACATTTCATTCAGTTACACTGGCTATGTAATACCTTCACAAAAGTGAAAATCAGAACATTTCTAGAAATGGAATACTTACTCCACACACAAAACAGAAATGTATTAGGTTATTCCACTCTACTCCGAAAATGTTTATCATTTAGAATTTTAAAAACATACACATTTGGTGGTTATTTTTCTTCTTTCTCATGTAGCCACCCAGTGAGACTTCACGTTCTGAAATACAGATATTTTCTAACTTTTATGGTACTCACAGCAGTTAATAGAAATTCATGCCTCCGGCGAGATTACCTTAAGCAATCTAATCGCGGTCACCCAGCACGTCCTACTCTGCTCTTCTTCTGCACAGAGCATTTTCAGGTCTCGGGGCCCTCCCGCTTTGTTAGGCTAGAAGGCCACAGCACATTGTTTATCGTTAATGCATATCTTGAAGGTAACACCTGTTGAAATAAAAGCCACTAAAATTCTCCTATATATAAGAGAAAGCTGTCTCTTTTCAAAAGCAATTAAAGGAAACTCAAGCTTACCTAAAAGGCTGAGGCTTGCTTTATTCATCTATCAAAATATTAAGCCTGTACCTTAAAGCAGAATCCATAGTTAGTCGGTGCTCCATGTTTTTTTTTGCCTGCCAGTGACACATAAATATCACTATTGCCAAATTCGCTGAAAAACTGCAAATGCCGCGGTTCCTTAAAAAAAAAAGTATTGACATGGATACATATTTTTGCATTATCTTTTTTGTGTGTTTATATTATATAATTTATACCTTGGGCAAAAACTTATGACCAACAGAAGTTCAATATGATGCCACAAAAATAAAAGGAGAAAAAAAATCTAAGCTGCCATATCTTTAATTAACCAGGAGCTGGATACAATTTTATTTAATTTGAGAAGTGAAAATTTTGTTTATAATTTAATTTCCAATAATATAAATAAATTCCTGTTTTAAACTTCCGATTCTCTTTAACCACCATTTCAAGGAATCTGAGAGAGAAAAAAGTTAGCAAAGATTGGCTTTTGGAAACGTATTCCTCATCCAGCTTTCAAATAATGGTAGCTCAACAAAGGGGAGAAGGTTGGTTTGAGCTTCCATAGCAGTTAGAGAAGATAAATGAGAACAAGACAATGATTCCTGCTTCATTCACACACAGTCATCCCTCACATTTGTGTACAGTGGAACACACCACAGGAAGCAGCGACTCTAACTTTACAAAAGGAAAGAAAGAAAGTCTGTACAGATAGATGAGTTCAGGGAAATTAGCTGGCAGAGGAATGTTTCTGATTTTCAACGCAAAGTGGAATCATGAACAGCTATTTCTTCTCTGGGAAATCCATGAGATTTAAAACTGGTCATGGGAAATCACTAGGTCATATTATTCTGTGATAGGTTAATAACTTGGAGAAGTGCTTAATTCTGAGGTTGAATGTATAATCAAATCTGACCAAAATGCATTTGTTCTCTAAAACCTTGCTGCTAGCAGTGTGGTCTCAGACCAGCAGCATCAGTATCACCTGGGAGCTTGTTAGCAATGCAAACTTTCAGGGCTCATCCCAGACCTCCTGAATCAGTATCTGCATTTTAACAAGATCCCAGGTGATTCATAAGCAGTAAAATTTGAGAAGCAGTGGAAAAAAAAAAAAAAAAAAAAACACCCCACAGAAGAACACACTGAGCAAAACGGGCAACCCCATTCAAATCCAAAAACCAAAAGAATCTTTCATTGTCATTTACCGGTGTTATTCCACCTCTGATAACTGGCAGAACAAGAGTTTCTCTGTATTCACTGTTCTTAAGCATTTTAATCGAATGAATGACTGTAGTTTCTAACACCATTGGAGAATAAGACAGGAAAGAAAATTGCTTTAAAAAGACCCAGAATAGGACCCTCGGAAAAAGGTAGGAGGAAAGAGAAAGGTAAGCTTATTGCCCTGGCTTTAAAAATCTTATTCCTGGATAAAAATTAATTTGCTGGTAAAAATGTTTGATTTCTAGTAAGATGGAATAAAACCATTCCTGTCCACTGATGCTGTAGAAGTCAATATAGTTCAGTTATTCAAACAAGAGTAAAAGGTAGCTTGAGAAACACTGGAAGGCAATAAGAGGTATGATGAGTTTTTTTCTCTTGATTTTTGTTCCACCACTGCTAAGGCTTATGGCACTATAAGGCTATGAAGTTGAACGGGCATGGTTAGCAAAATCTAAGTATGTGTACATTTGTACATTTCCCCATGTGTACGGACATGGGGAGGTGGAGAGAAGCGTACTTAGAGATTTCTCTGTAAATATATTCATGACCACATCTTTAAGATTTGCAGCAGTAGTTAACTAAATTTAGAACTAAAACCAATCAAGACCTCCTCAGAGAAAAGGATAGGAAATGGTTTCTTTGCAGGTAGAAATGCCATATGTGACATTAGGAGGGGCAGAGCAAGATGTCTGAACAGAAGGCTCTACCTATCCTCCCCCAAGCAGGAACACCAAATTTAACATTTACACCAAAAAAAAGCACCTTTCTAAGAACCAAAATCAGATGAGCACTCACAGTACCTGGTTTTAGAAGGGAGCCCACTACCATAAAGGGTGAGTCTCAGTCCTGGTGCATTCACCACAAGATGACTGGAGAGCCCTTAGGCCTTAAGTGAACATCAGCAGTCCCTGCAGTACTCCCTGGGGACTTCATATCACTGAAAGAGGCACTGAAGGAGGTAGGAAAGACAGTCTTACATTGTCAGTACCTCCCCTCGCCTGTTCCTTAGCAGGAGAAAGAATCTGTGTACTTGGGAGAGGGAGAGCACAGTAACTATGAGACTTTGCATTGAACTCAGTGCTGCCCTGTCACAGTGGAAAGCAAAACCGAACTGAACTCAGCTGACACCTACCCATGGAGGGAGGATTTAGACCAGCCCTAACCAGAGGGGAACCGCCCATCCCAGCAGTTGGAACTCGAGTTCTGGCGAGCCTCCCAACTGCGGACTAAACTGCTCTGAGCCCTAAATAGACATGAAAGGCAGTCTAGGCTGCAAGGACTGCAACTCCTAAGCAAGTCCTAGTGATGAGCTGGGATTGGAAGCCATGCACTTGGAGGGCACACAAGCTGGTGAGCAACAGCTGGGGTGGCTACGGGAGTCCTTGCACTACCCTTCCCACAAGCCCAGGCAGCACAGCTCGTGGCTCCAAAAAGAGATCCCTTCCTTCCACTTGAGGAGAGGAGAGGGAAGAGTAAAGAGGATTCTGTCTTACATCTTGGATACCAGCTTAGCCACAGTAGGACAGGGCACCAGAGTTGTGAGGCCCCTATTCAGAAAGTAGCTCCCAGATGACATTGTTAGACACACCCTGAGCCAGAAGGGAACCCACTGCCTTGAAGGGAAAAACCTAGTCCTGGCAGGATCCATCACCTGCTGACTAAGAGATCTTGGGCCCTGAATAACCAGCAGTGATATCCAGGCAGTAATCCATGGGACTTGGATGAGATCCTAAGATAGATCCTAAGACATGCTGGCTTCAGGTGAAACCTAGCACATTTGCAGTTGTGGTGACTATGGTGAGAGATTCCTTCTGCTTGAGAAAAACAGAGGGAAAAGTAAAGGAGACTTTGTCCTGTATGTTCAATGTATGTTCGATGCTAGCTCGGCCACAGATGGATAGAGCACCAGGATGGTTCTGAGGGGTCCCCAGTTCTGGGCCTCAGCTCTTGGATGACATTTCTGGACATGCTCTGAGTCAGAGGGGAGTCCACTACCATGAAGGGCGAGTCCCAGACCTGGTGGCATTCACCACAAGATGACTGAAGAGCCCTTGGGCCTTAGATGAACATCAGCAGTTGCTAGCAGTACTCCCTGGGGACTTGTAGTAATAGTGGCCAGAGGTGAGGCTCCTCTGCCAGTGAAAAGTGGGGGGAAGAGTGGGAAGGCCTGCGTCTCATGGTTTGAGTGCCTGCTAAGCCACAGTAGAATGGAACAACAGGTAGATTTCCAAGGTTTTTTGTTTATTTGTTTGTTTGTTTGTTTTTGTTTTTTGAGACAGAGTTTCACTCTTGTTGCCCAGGCTGGAGGGCAATGGCGTGATCTCGGCTCACTGCAACCTCTGCCTCCTAGGTTCAAGTGATTCTCCTGCCTTAGCCTCCTGAGTAGCTGGTATTACAGGCTTGTGCCACCACGCCTGGCTAATTTTTGTATTTTTAGTAGAGAAGGGGATTCACCATGTTGGCCAGGCTGGTCTCTAACTCCTGACCTCAGGTAATCCACCCACCTTGGCCTCCCAAAGTACTGCGATTACAGGTGTGAGCCACCACACCTGGCCGATTTCCAGGGTTTTTGGCTATAGTCCCTGGCTCCCAGATGGCATCTCTAGACCAACCCAGGGACTGGGGGAACTTGCTGCCCTGAGGGAAGGACACAAGCCTGGCAGGCTTCACTACGTGCTGACTGTAGAGACCCAGGGCCTTGAGCAAACATAGATGGTAGCCAGGTAGTGGTTCATGAAGCATTATACCACAAGGAAATACATGCACACACATAAGACCCACACACAAGAACAGCAACAAAAGAAAACTGTGTATGAGGGAAAGAAGGAAGCTATACAAGAGCAGTTGGGGGAAAATATGGGAAAAAGTCAGGTATAACTATTTTGCAGCTCCATATCTCCTATCAAGACCATTACCCAAACATCTGGTCTCCGTCGTTAGCTGTTTTGAGCATTGCCATTTGTTTGCTTCATCCTCAATAAAACATATCCAGAACTAAGATCACTATTTGTCTTCTAAGAGAGTTACCTTCTAGTAAATATGCTATTCCTGTTTATTTTTATTTTCTATTTCTTAATTTTCTTTTATCTTTAAGAACATTTTTAACTGCTTCCTCTTCTTTGATATCAATCAGCCACACAAATCTGGCCTTTTGCCATTTAATCTTGTGGCCCCTCTCTCTCTACTTCTCTCTCTTTCTCTTTCCTTCCCACTCCTCCCTCTCTGCCTCCTTTGCCTTCTTCCCTTCAGTCTCTTTTTCTCTCTTTCACTCTCTGTCTCCTTGATCTTTTAAGCTCCCTGTGACCAAACTAATCTCAAGATACTCTTTTGGTAATTTCACTCCCTTGTTCAAACACTTCAATGGCTTTCTGTAGTGGATTGAATAGTAGCCCCCCAAAAAATATGCTCATGCCCTAATACCAGGAAATTATAAATGTAACCTTAATTCAGAAAAAGGGTCACTGAAGATATAATTAAGTTAAGGATCTTGAGATGAGATTATCTAGGTGGGCCCAAAATCCAATGACAAGTGTTGTTATAAGAGACATACAGAGAGAAAGGGAGAAGGCCCTGTGAATACAAAGGCAGAGACAAGCCATGGGACATCTGAAGTCATAACTAGCCAAGACAGAAAATCCTAAGACAAATGCAAAAGATCACATAACAAGAATAGAAAAGAAGTAGTCAAATAAATAATGGATGTACATTTCTAGTATGAAAAAAAGATGAGTTTGCAGATTGAATGTGTGTGCTAAGAATCAAGCAAGATTTAGCAGACTATATTTCAACACACCTAGTAATATAGCAGGGAAATTACTGCACACCAAAGCTTATAAGAATGTTTGAAAAACTGCCAGAGAAAAAAGACAGTTTAACCCATAAAGAAGCAACAGTGTTGTCATTGACAACTATAGATGCATGAAAATAGAATAATAATAACCTCCCATAAAAATTCTCAAAAGAATTTTTACTTGAAAGACACCAATGCGTTGCATAAAATGTCAACACTTGTATGCCAAAGACTATATAACATAATGGACATAGACTAGACACAGAAACCAGGCAGCACTGTAGAATACACATTTATGTTTAAGTGATAATGTATGTGCATATAAACTTCTGCACATGTGTATCTATGTAACCATTATATAGGTAAACATATAAGCATGTAGACAAATATATCTATTCATCCCTGATGACAGCATCATAACTTCCTCTAGGAATTTACAATGTATGTAAGGAGACAAAATAACACACACAAAATAACTAAAGAGAAGTAAAGGAACAGGAGGCAGGACTAACTTGCAGCTCCCACTCTGCGGAACAGCATGAGGAGATTCACATTGTGAACTTTTGCTCCAAGAACCACCACAGGAACATACAAGGAAAGCCAACAGAATCCACAGACCCTTTGAAGGAAATGAATTGCTGCTTCAGGGCCCCCAGAAGACAGCCAAAAAACTGTGAGTACCCAAAGTGTGAAAAGGGGGATCGTCCACCCCTGAACACACACCCTCACTGCGGAACCTGAAGGTCCAGATCACAGGAGAAGGATTTGACATTACCTACAGCTGAGACAAATTTAGAGTTGAGTGAAATACAGGGTAGAAAAAGCAGCAGGAAGAGCCTGTGGGCACTCTCGGTCCCTGGGGAAGCCTTTTCTGACTGTCTCACAGGGGTCCCTGGGGAGGGCTGCCAGAGGAACTTGGAAAAGACCACAGAGAGAAGGAAAATTCCAGCTGAACTTTGTAACAATTTCAACTGACTCATTGTTTCCTAGACAGAACCTGGGGGAGGGGGTGAATCAGGAGTGCAAACACAGTACAGAAGCCTTGGCAGGTAGGGAGGTGCAAAACCTGAAATCCCTGCTTGCCTCCTCAGTTGGGAGGCTGGTTGCCTGAGGCAAGTTCTCAGCCCTGTTCACCTGCTGCCTGGAAAAATACTCAGTGCTGTTGGCGGGGCATGGAGTGAGCTAAACTGAACTTCTGGGCTGCACAGGAGCTGCGTGAGGCCTGTAACTGCCGATTTTCCACCACTTCTCTGGTAACCTGTATGATGCAGCAGAGGCAGCCATAATCCCCCTGGGAACATAACTCCATTGGCCTGAGAACAACACTTCCATCCCCTACAGCAGCCGCAGCAAGCCCTGCCCAAGGAGAGTCTGAGCTCAGACATGCCTAACCCTGTCCCACCTGATGGTCTTTCTCTACCTGCCCTGGTAGCCAAAGACAAAGGACATAATCTTTTGGGTGCTCCAGGGCACCATCCACCACCTGATCCTCCTTGTACTACTGCAGCTGATATGCTCTTGACAGTGCCAACTCCGGGCTGCAGGCCAACCAACACAAAACGAGCACAATAAACAAAACTACAACTAAGGACCCTCACAGAGTCCACTTCACTCCCCTGCCACCTTCACTGGAGCAGCTGCTGGTATCCATGGCTGAGAGACCTGAAGATGGTTCACATCACAGAACTCTCTGCAGACACTCTCCAGTACCAGCCCAGGGCCCGGGAGCTCCACTGGGTGGCTAGATCTGAAAGAGAAATAACACTCACTGCAGTTTGGCTCTCAGGAAGCCACATCCCTAGGGGAAGAGGGAGAGCACCATATTAAGGGAGCACCCTGTGGGACAAAAGAATCTGAACGGCAGCCCTTCAGCCACAAATCTTCCTTTTGACATAGTTACCCAAAATGAGAAGGAACCAGAGAAACAATACTGGTAATATGACAAAACAAGTTACTTCTTACCCCTAAAAGATGACACTAGCTCACCAGCAATGGATCCAAACCAAGAAGAAATCTATGAATTGTCAGAAAAAGAATTTAGAAGATTGATTATTAAGCTCATCATGAAGGCACCAGAGAAAGGTGAAGTTCAACTTAGTGAGAAAAAAAAAAAAAGCCATGATACAAGATATGAAGGGAAAAATCTTCAGTGAAATAGATAGCATGAATAAAAAACAATTACAACTTTTAGAAATAAAGAACACACTAAAAGAAATGCAAAATGCTCTGGAAAGTTTCAACAATAGAATCAAACAAGTAGAAGAAAGGACTTCAGAACTCAAAGTCAAGGCTTTCAACTTAATCCAACAAAGACAAAAAAAAAATAATTTAAAAGATGAACAAAGCCTCCAAGAAGTTTCGGATTATGTTAAATGACCAAACCTAAGAAGAACTGGTGTTCCCGAGGAAGAAAAGAAATCTGAAAGTTTGGAAAACATATTTGAGGGAATCATCAAAGAAAACTTCCCCAGCCTGCTAGAGATCTAGACATCCAAATACAAGAAGCTCAAAGAACACCTGGGAAATTAATCACAAAAATCATCACCTAGGGAAATAGTCATCAGGTTATCCAAAGCCTAGTCAAAGGAAAAAAATCTTAAGAGCTATGAGGCATAAGCATCAGGTAACCTATAAAAGAAAACCTACCATGGTGGCGTGCGCCTGTAATCCCAGCTACTTGAGAGGCTAAGGCAGGAGAATCACTTGAACCTGGGAGGCAGAGGTTGCAGTGAGCTGAGATCATGCCACTGCACTTCTGCCTGGCAACAGAGGGATACTCAAAGAAAAAGAAAAAAAAAAAAAGAAAACCTACCAGATTAACAGTGGATCTCTCAGCAGAAACACTACAGGCTAGAAGGGATTGGGGCCCTATCTTTAGTCTCCTTAAACAAAATAATTATCAGCCAAAAATTTTGTATCCAGCGAAACTAAGCAGTCTTTTCCAGACAAACAAGTGCTGAAAAAATTCGCCACTACCAAGCCAGCACTACAAGAGCTGCTAAAAGGAGCTCTAAATCTTGAAACAAATCCTCAAAATACACCAAAATAGAACCTCTTTAAAGAATAAATCTCAGCATTTTGGGATGCCGAGGTGGGTGGATCACTTGAGGGCAGAATTTCGAGACCAGCCTGGCTAACATGGTGAAACCCTGTCTCTACTAAAAATACATAAATTACCCTGGCATGGTGGTCCTTGCCTGTAATCCCAGCTATCTGGGAGGCTGAGGCAGAAGAATCACTTGAACCCAGGAGGTGGAGGTTGCATGAGCCGAGATGGTGCCCCTGCAATCCAGCCTGGGTGACAGAGCAAGACTCCATCTGTATTAGCCTGTTTTCATGCTGCTGATAAAGATATACTTTATCAGCATGAGACTGGGCAATTTACAAAAGAAAAAGGTTTAAGGGACTCACAGTTCTTCATGGCTGGGGAGGCCTCACAATCACAGCAGAAGGTGAAAGGCACATCTCACATGGCAGTAGACAAGAGAACTTGTGCAGGGAAACTCCCCTTTATAAAACCATCAGATCTTGTGAGACTTATTCACTATCACGAGAATAGCATGGGAATGACCTGCTCCCATGATTCAATTATCTCCCGCCAAGTCCCACACACAGCACATGGGAATTATGACAGTACAATTCAAGATGAGATTTGGTTGGGGACACAGCCAAACCATATCACCATCTTACAAAAAAAGAATAAAGCTCACAGCTCACAAGACCTATAAAACAAAAACATGATGAAAAAAGAAACAAGGTATTCAGGCAACAAATAGCACAATGAATAGAATAGTACCTCAGTACCTCACATCTCAATACTAACATTGACTGTAAATGGCCTAAATGTTCCACTTAAAAGATACAGAATGGAAGAATAAATAAGAATTCACCAACCAAGTATTTGCTGTCTTCAAGAGACTCACATAACACATAGGGACTCACATAAACTTAAGGTAAAGGGGTGGAAAAAACATTCCATGCAAATGGACACCAAAAGAGAGCAGGAATAGCTATTCTTATATCAGACAAAACAGACTTTAAAGCAACAGCAGTTAAAAAAGACAAAGAGGGATATTATATAATGATAAAGGAAATTGTCCAGTAGGAAAAAATCACAATCCTAAATATATATATGCACCTAATCCTAAGGCACCCAAATTTATAAAACAATTTCTACTAGACGTAAAGAAATGAGATAGACAGCAACACAATAACAGTGGGGGATTTTAATACTCCACTAACTGCACTAGACAGGTCATTAAGACAGAAGGTCAACAAAGAAACAGTGGATTTAAACCATATCTTAAAACAAATGGACTTAACAGATATTTACAGAACATTCTACCCAACAACTGCAGAATATACATTCTATTCATCAGCACACAGAACATTCTCCAAGGTAGACCATATGATACGCCACAAAACAAGTCTTAATACATTTTTAAAAATTGAAATTATTTCAAGTACTCTCTCAGAACACAGTGTAATAAATTGGAAATCAACTCCAAAAGGAAACCTCAAAATCATGCAAATACATGGAAATTAAATAACCTGCTCCTGAATGATTGTTAGGTCAATAATGAAATCAAGATAGAAATGAAAAATTTCTCTGAACTGAACAATGATAGTGACACAACCTATCAAAACATCTGGGATACAGCAAAGGTAGTGCTAAGAGGAAAGTTCATAGCCTTAAATGCCTACATCAAAAAGTCTAAAAGAGCACAAATAGGAAACCTAAGGTCATACCTCAAGGAACTAGAGAAACAAGAATAAACCAAACCCAAACACAGCAGAAGAAAAGAAATAACAAAGATCAGAGAAGAACTAAATAAAATTGAAACAAATAAAACAATACAAAAGATAAATGAAACAAAAGCTGGTTCTTTGTAAAGATAAATAAAATTGATAGACCATTAGCCAAGATTAACCAAGAAAAGAAGAGAGAAGACCCAAATAAGGTCAATTAGAAATGAAACAGGAGATATTACAACCAATACCAGAGAAATACAAAAGATCATTCAAGGCTACTATGAACACCTTTATGCATATAAACTAAAAAACCTAGAGAACATGGATAAATTTCTGGAAAGATAACCCTCCTAGATTAAGCCAGGAAGACATAAAAACGCTGAGCAGACCAATAACAAGCAGTGAGATTAAAATGGTAATAAAAGAAATGATCAACAAAAAAAAAGGTCCAGGACCAGATGGATTCACAGCTGAATTCTATCAGACATTCAAAGAAGAATTGGTACCAATCCCATTGACACTATTCCACAAGACAGAAAAAGAGGGAATCACCCCTATATCATTCTATGAAGCCAGTATCACCCCAATACCAAAACCAGGAAAGGACACAACAAAAGAAGAAAACTACAGACCAATATCCCTGATGAACATAGATGCAAAAATCCTTAACAAAATACTAGCCAACCGAATCCAACAGCATATTGAAAAGATAATCCACCATGATCAAGTGGGTTATATATCAGAGATGGAGGGATAATTTAACATATGCAAGTCAATAAATGTGATACAACACATAAACAGAATTTAGAACAAAAATCACATGTTCATCTCAATAGCGTTAGTCAAAATCCAGCAACACTTTATGATAAAAAACTTCAGCAAAATTGGCATAGAAGGACATACCTTAAAGTAATCGAAGCCATCTATGGCAAACCCACAGCCAACATTATACTGAATGAGGAAAGGTTGAAAGCATTCCCCCTGAGAACTGGAACAAGAAATGGATGCTCACTCTCACCGGTTCTATTCAACATAGTACTGAAAGTCCTAGCCAGAGCAATCAGACAAGAAAAAGAAATAAAGGGCATCTAAACTGGTAAAGAGGAAGTCAAACTGTCATCGTTTACAGATGATATGATCGTATACCTAGAAAACCCTAAAGATTCCCCCAAAAACTCCTAGAACTGATAAATGAATTAAGCAAAGTTTCAGCATACAAAATTAACATACAGAAATAAATAGCTCTGTTATACACCAATAGTGACCAAGCTGAGAATCAAATCAAGATCTCAATCCCTTTTGCAAAAGCTGTAAAAAAAATAAAATAAAATACTTAGGAATATACCTAACCAAGAAGGTGAAAGAACTCTACAAGGAAAACTACAAAACATTGCTGAAAGAAAACATAGATGACACAAACAAATGGAAACACAGCCCATGCTCATGGATGGGCAGAATCAATATTTTGAAAATGACCATACTGCCAAAAGCAATCTAGAAATTCAATGCAATTCTCATCAAAATACCATCATCGTTCTTCACAGAACTAGAAAAAAAAATCCTAAAATTTGTATGGAACCAAAAAAGAGCCTGCATAACCAAAGCAAGACTAAGCAGAAAGAACAAACCTGGAGGCATCACATTACCCGACTTCAAACTATACTACAAGGCCATAGTCACCCAAACAGTAAAGTACTGGTATAAAAATAGGCACATAGACGAATGGAACAGAATACAGAAATAAAGCCAGATACTTAACAGCCAACTGGTCTTTGACAAAGCAAACAAAAAAAAGTGGGAAAAAGGACACTCTAGTCAACAAATGGTGCTGGGATAATTGGCAAGTCACATGTAGAAGAATGAAAGTGGATCCTTATCTCTGACCTTATACAAAAATCAACTCAAGATGGATCAAAGGCTTAAATCTAAGACCTGAAGCCACAAAAGTTTCTAGAAGATAACATCAGAAAAACCCTTCTAGATATTGGCTTAGGGAAAGACTTCCCGACTAAGAACCCAAAATCAAATGAAACAAAAATAAAGATAAATAGATAGGACTTAATTAAACTAAAAGCTTCTGCACAGCAAAAGAAACACTCATCAGAGTAAACAGACAACTCACAGAGCAGGAGAAAATATTTGCAATTTCTACATCTGACAAAGGACTAATATCCAGAATCTACAAGGAACTCAAACAAATCAGCAAGAAAAAAAACAAAGAATCCCATCAAAAAGTACGCTGAAGACATCAATAAAAAACTCTCAAAAGAAGATATACAAATGGCCAACAAACATATGAAAAAAATACTCAACATCACCAAAGATCAAGGGAATGCAAATCAAAATCACAATGTGATGCCACCTTACTCCTGCAAGAATGGCCATAATCAAAAAAATCAAATAACAGTAGATGTTGGTGTGGATGTGGTGAAAAGGGAATGCTTTTGTGCTGTTGGTGGGAATGTAAACTAGTACAACCACTTTGGAAAACAGTGTGGAGATTCCTTAAAGAACTAAAAGTAGAACTACATTTTGATCCAGCAATCCCACTACTGGGTATCTTCCCAGAGGAAGTCATTATATGAAAAAGATACTTGCACATGCAAGTTTATAGCAGCGCAATTCACAATTGCAAAAATATGGAACCAGCGCAAATCCCCATCAATCAACGAGTGGATAAAGAAATTGTGAGATAGACAGACAGATAGATAGACAGACAGACCACGGAACCATAAAAAGGAATGAAATAATGGCATTCCCAGCTGCCTGGATGGAACTGGAGATCATTATCCTACGCGAAGTAACTCAGGAATGTAAAACCAAAAATTGTATGTTCTCACCCATAAGTGGGAGCTAAGCTATGAGAATGCAAAGGAATAAGAATGATACAATGGACTTTGGGGACTCAGGGAAAAGGTGGGAGGGGGTGAAGGATAAAAGACTATACAATGAGTAGAGTGTATTCTGCCTGTTGATGCGTGCACCAAACTCTCAGAAATCACCACTAAAGAACTTACTCAGGTAATCAAACACTACCTGTTCCTTAAAAACCTATTGAAATAAATCCATCAATCAATAATAAAAGAGCAATAAATGACTCAGAAGAGACATTTTATTAACTGTTCTATTATTAACTGTTCTGTTGATGTTGATCAACAGAGATTCAGAAGTAGACAAGATCAGCAGTATGACCTGGGGTAAAAAGAAAAGGTATACACTACATCAGGCTTCAAACTCTGAAGCCAAGGATGAGGAGAAAGGAGTGAATTCAGAGTGAGGACAAAGGAGTAACATACGTTGTACTGAAATAAGAGTATCCAGACTCCATCAAAGATACTACACTTTGAAACCAGTGTGAAGTAAAGCTGAGTAGTGTTTAAATAATCAAGGCAAACGTTTTAAATCAAGAAAATCAAAGACCAACCTTTGACATCAAGTAATAAAGTAATAAATACAACAAAGTCAACGTGTTTTAACTTACAGCTTAATATGTCAGTCATAACACATCATGGATACTTCAATTTACCTTTGATGTTCCTTTAGTAGAAAAATATAAACCAGATCTTCTTAGAAAAAAGTAAATTTTTTTCCAAGACTTCTTTCCCTGTTCTTTCGCATGTAAGAAACCATGAATTTCAGGATATGTGCTTGAACTCAGAAACATCTGAAAGAAAATTTATATATTTTCAAACTATGATTAAATCAATGATATGGTAGCCTTATACTAATCATATTAAGATTCCAAATATAAACATGTAAAAATCACACAAGATCATAACATATAACATTATGGTAATTAACTATGTGTTTGTGTATACTGCATTGCTTTGATAGTCCTTGGTATATCTCTCTCCTCTGTCTCTCTTTCTATCTCCGTGTGTGTATACACACACACATACACACACAGAAAATAAATCAGTCTTCCAAAAACCTAAGATGTTTCAAATGAAAATGAGTTCACAAAATATACATTCTAAGTGATAGTACATAGTTATCTAACTACCAAAATTATCAGCTAATTGAATGTCCATTCAAAAAGTTGGACGTCATCTATTGCGTTAAGTCCTGATATGCTTTTCATCGTTTTCCATGGTTTTCCCTGAGATTACAGGTTTACCTATTAACTTCATTATGGTATAAGTAAGACCACAATCCTGACTTCAATTGTGAAGCAGGAAGTTGAGCCAAGTTCACCTCCTTGAGGCGGGTAAAGCAAACAAAACTATCTCTTCTTTGTCATCTGTGGTTCTCAGTTGTGGGTGGATGTGGCAGGTCATGTTTTCCAAAGAGGACAGCAACAATGTCTTCCATCCCACATGCTCTTCTGTAATGTCATCTTGCCACTGAATCACAAAAAGGTGGAGTCTTTCTCCACTCCCTTGAATGCGAGCAAGCCTGTCATTGCTTTGACCCATACAATATGTGGAAGTGACCCTTTGCCAATTCTAGGTGTGGCCCTTAACTAGCCTGGTGATTTTCGTGACTTGGCCCTTGGAATCCAGCTGTCACATAAGAAATGTGACTACTCTGAGACCATCACAGGTAAAAAGTCCAATGCAACTGGAAAAGCCCTGCAGGATGAGACACCATGAGACAGACAGAGAGAGACAGTAAGTGGGGGGAAACAGGGGAGAGAGACAGAGACACCAAGGAGTATCAAACGACATGCAGTCAAAAAACTCTCTTAGAAGGGGACCTTCAATCCCCAGCACTGAGTCAACGTGCCTCAGAGATGACCCACCCAGCTAAACTCTTCCCAGATGCCTGTCCCACAAATTGTTGGCAAAATGTAAATGGATACTTTAAACCACAAAGGCTTGGAATAGTTTGTTACATGGTAATAATTAATTGAGACAGTGGGCATGTGTTGGTCAAGAAAATGAGAATGAAAAGGAATAGCTCAACTGAGCGTTTGTGCTCAGCATCCTTAATAAGACAGTGGAAATGCATTAGTGTCTCATTTAAAAAAAAAAAGAAAATAGAAATCCCTCTGAATAAACAAATGGAAAAAATTTGAAATAAGGGAATTTATTAACTAAAATAGTGTAACACATTTTAAAAGGCTACTAAAGGAAATGCTGACAGTAGATATTTATGTTTTTTAAAGTAAATTACTAAAAGAAATTTAATTTAATGAGCCACAGATATTAATTAATTGACATGCAAAACAGGCAAGTAGGTTTTTTAGTTTGAGTGCTTTCCAAGTTATTAAACCAAACCAATTAAATTTTAAAAAGAGAGTCATAGAGGTCACACTAGAAAAAGAAGAAACCTTTTAAAAAGGGGAAACATTGCCTCAGTGGAGAGAAGAGGTCAGGGGCACATGCAGGACTATCTGATTCCAAAGCCTGTGATTTTTCTTGTTTTTATAATTTAACATTAAAGCAACATAACTGTGCTACAGGAAGACTTGCAAAAGGAGGCGGAATAAAAACTCCATCCCACCACTGTGTTGTAATACAGTGGTGAAGCATTCAGAGGGCTGAGATCTGAAAGTCCTGGGGCACAGCTGCTGCTGCCATTTACCTAACATTTTGACAGGGTGTCTCTGTAAAAACCCAGGAGCACAGAAGCAGCTTTTAGAAAAATCTCTGGGGACTAATCATGTTTCAAAAATATTCTGAAGCACAAAAATGAAATATAACCTATTAAAAAGCCCACAGAAAAATCCATGATAGCTCTGCCAACCTAATATTTTTAAGGTCAAACAATACTGGAAATATTAAAAGTTGTCTTCATTAAAGATCAGGGGATACTGAGTGGGTTTGGGGATGCATGGGGCTGAGCTCAAACGGCAACCATTATAAAGACATTGCTCAACATTAACCTGTAAAAAACAACTGTAGAGCTTCTGATGTAAAATCTACAAATCTATCGAAAATTAAAGAAAATAACTGAAATTATTCATTTATTGTAATGACAATGTCTTTGAAAATAACCATTTCAAGCCACTGCCAGTTTGGAAGAAATGAGTCCAATAGACACAAAAATAAGGAGATTTTTAATTAGATAACTAGTATTCTTAATTCAGCTAAGAATATTTCACAATTCTATGCAAGGATTTCCATAACAGCTATTACAAACGCTAGTGAATACATTTGCATCCTGTATCTTTTATCTCCTTTCATTTATTTGCTAAACATTTTATTACAAATAGGATTGAGGGTGTTTATTATGAAAGCTGATACTGAGTATCTATTGGTAAGATATCTGTATTTTACAAAGAATTCTGATTTTTCTAAAGACTAACATAATATTTACACACATCACAGAACAAAATTGCAAGTTTCCTTTTAAGACACACATTTTTAAATATGTAAAATCCTTTGACAATTGGCTAAAACTGGGAAGAAGAATATTGTTAAAGAGCTTTATTGATTTAGGACATTCTTTGCCTGGGTGCATTTTTTTTTTAGTTTTACCTCCAGCAAAAAATATTAATAATAATTCAAAGCATAACTTTTCAAAATCTGGGCATGTATAAAAAAGGACTTAAAAGTTTTCCTTCATTATGCTATTATTTATATATGTTAATAAAAATATATTTTACCTGCAAAATCTGTGTGGGGGATATTTCACCATTGGTTTCAGTTGCAAAAGATACCATATGCTCTGGAAAAAAATACTGTCAAAAAGACACAGTTAAATTATCACAAAATTCATGCTAGAAAAGATTCAATTATGACCAATATAGTAATCAAAAGCAAAAGTTCTTTAAACTGGTGTGACTAAAATTCACCCAAAAGTGCTTTTGAAAATGCCCGTCCTTAGACTCTACTCATAGGTACCTTAATGAGAATGTCTGGAGTTGGGCACAAAGATTAGCAAATGCCCCCAGATAATGCTGATGTGGATGGATTCAAGTATCTGGAGTTATAAAACACTGCCCTGAAGTTGACAATGTGCTTGCTCCCACATCTTATTCCTGAGTCCCGCAACCAGCCTATCAGGTCAAAAGGACTATCCATGACATTTTACAAGGAACAGGCTCACAGAAGTACAGAGTTTAGGGTATGCCCAAGGTCATAGCCCACAGCACAGTGGAGGTCAGGACTTAAACTGGGCTGGGAGCTAAAAGTCCAGTTCTTTCTACCTACCATTTTTCCAAACTTTTTAATCATAAAATTCACCCAGGGCAGTTGTTTAAAATAGGAATTCCCAGGCCTCATTCCTGGAGTTTCTGATTCAGTAGATCCGGGCAAGTCCTGGATTCTATGTTTTTAATAAGCACTCTCCCCTCAGTAAATTTTATGATTAGACAAGTTTGGGAAAATATATTCTACTATATTTCCTCTAGGACAGGGTTTTTCAACAGTAGTTCTACTAACATTTTGGTCTAATAATTCTGTGTTGAGGGGGGGCACTCCTGCATATTATAGATGTTTAGAGTATTCCTATCCTCTGCTCACTAGCAGCCCTCCCCTCTACTGCCAGTTGTGACAACCAAAAATGTGTCCAGACATTGTCCAATCACCTCCCAGTTAAGAACCACTGCAATAGGTCTACAAAACAAATGTCCAGCCTTGTTTAAATAAAAAATAAATAAAAAACAAGCATTGAACAATATTTCTTTAAATATATCTTTTTAAATTCTTGTCTTTAATAAGGACTCACAACAAAAAGAAACACTTTCTCTTCACAGTTGAATTTATTTAATTTTTATTATGACTAATTTTCTTTGCCAAAGATCATCCCATTATGTTTCTATTAATAGGTTAAGATAAAAGACAACGTGAGAGGTCTTTCAGGGTTTGAAAATATTCTATTATGGTGTGTATCATATATTTTTCATAAAGAATCATTTCAATCCAATTATCATCCAAAACTTAGTGTAAAAATATGCTTCAGCTGCAGAGACAAAAACAATTTAAAATAATGAGCCCAGAGGCTATTCTGACTTTTCTAGATCCCTAGTCTTCATTAGAATGTGACACACATTTATTTTCTTTTAAAGAGAACTACAATGAAAGTAGTATTTACTAGATAATGCACTGGTCTTTATCTCATTTCTACTTAGTTCAAAAATTACTGCACCGAAAACAAAATAATTTGGAATAGCAAGATTCATGTCAATCTTAATTTCTGGCTAAGTTATAATACTCTCAACAATCATTAGTCTGCTTTTACTTTAGAAAGCTATTTAAATTTCCTAAATTCTATAGAAAGTGTTAAGATATAATATTTTGCTTAACACTTGTTCCTAATCTGGGTGAGAACCTATAGAAATTCATTTCCCACATCAAATGTATAATTGTTACCTTTTCACAAAAGGCAAAACTAGGTTTCCTAATACTTTTAAATTAAATAAACCAAATTCATCTCAATTCAGACTTTACCAATACGGCTTTAAAAAGTTTTGCACCTGTGTATCTGAACTTCTGTGTATAATGTTCACTAATCATTGTTAGCATAAGAAATATGGGTATAATTTCAAAGGACCAGAGTCTTCATCTACAATTTACCGAATAGGACTGTATTTTATTTACAGTGACTATCTTCTTCACATAAAATTTAACGGGTTCATTTATTTTCCGTAACTATTAGGAGGGATTTCACTTACCATTGGGTTTTTAAAGAACTCATATTTGGCATAATTTTTTCTAAAGTATAGTTTGTTTTCTTCTTCTATCCCCCAGTTGGATAGCACTTCAATCACCAGTTCGTGGTCTTCTATTGTTCTTTCTGTAAAGAATGTTTCAATGAGTATGTTGACAGATAGACAAATATATATATATATATATATATATATATATATATATATATATATACACACACAGACACATACAAACATATAAAATGTATTACGCATCTTTGTTAAACATAGCAGATTTCAACTTAATTATGAGATAGCCAGATTGATAAAATTTGTCATCAATTTTCAATTACTAATGTTCATTTTTATACCAAAGCAGACTGTTGTCTAGAAAGAAAAAAATGTATAAAATATCATAATGTACTTTTTGTTATCTCAATTTCCTTTTATTACTGTGTAAATAATATAAGTTTGATAACACATCTGCATTAAGTATATGGGAACTATTTTTTTCTCTGACTCATCATGGTGCCAAAACTAAAGTATTTATTTCAAGGTTGGACAATTCACCTCATTAAGAGATGAAGAATTTTGACAGGTTCATGTGCATTTAAGACTGTCCAGACTAATCTGGATAGCTGAGAAGAATTAAAATAAATGCTTTAAAGGAAAATTTTAATACAAGAAGATACAGGTTTTTTTTAAGAAGCCCAATTCCTTGGGGCACTTTATACTTTCAAAGCTAATACCAAGGAAAATATATTTTGTATTAACAATGAAGATAATTAAGTGGGTGGGAAGGCACTTGGCAGAAAAGGCACTTAAATGAAGTAAGCAAAGGCAGTTTTAAAGAGGTGACTATAACATGCGAAATTCCTATTTTTATAAGAAACTGTGAGGATGTTGACAGTAGTATTATTCATAATAGCCCCAAACTTGAAACTACCCAAATGCCCACTGACATGAGAATGAACAAGTAAATTGTGTAAAAGCACACAGTGAAAATATACTACAACAACCCACAACAGTATGGATAAATACTGCATTTCATGAACACAATATTTAATTAAAGAATCCAGACACAGATAGTATATACTGCATGATTCTACTTACATAAGGTTCAAAACAGCAAAATTAATCTACAGTGCTAGAAAGGGTTTTGGAGACATTAAGTAAGTGGGGGCATGAACGGAATCACTGGGGTGAGTACAATACTGTTTCTTGATCTTGGGGTTGGTTACTCCAGTATATGTAATATCTGAGAGTCCATTGAGTTGTGCACACTTGGTTTGTACACTTTTCTTAATGTATGCCATACTTCAATAAAAGGTGGAGAAAAGAAAAGAAACTGGAAATTACCAATGCAAAATAGGAAATGGAGAACAACCAAATAAGGAATATGGAAACTCTCTGCTGTTTTACTGTTTCTAGGATGTTTTTAAAAAGCATTTATGTCTCAGAAATTCAACATTCAGTAGTGATTTGTGACCTACAACACCCAAACTCTTGAAAGTAATATCATTCTTAAATAGACATTTATTCATCCAAAAAAGAAGTTCAGTTAAGAGTGTTCAATGAATATGGATGAGTTTGAGCTAAGTATATATCAACACTTGGGGTTCTATTCCTAACTCTGATTGCTCCTTTTCTATCCCATCGACTGGCTCCACTAGCTCCTTCTCCTCCTACAATCTTGGTTCAACTCTTTTCTTTCTCCCCCTATAAATTAATCCATTCTCACCTCTTCAACCATCTAATTTGTCAGGTTTTCTGAAGTGAAATCTCTGGCTATAATTGTTCTCACCCATGCTCCTGTCCTAACTACTATACTGTGCACCACCTCAAATACAGTATGTCTAAAACCAAAGTCAAAATATTACACATAAAATTACCATAGGATCAGCAATTTCACTTCTGGCTGTTTACTCAAAAGAAGCGAAAGCAGGGACTCAAACAGAAATTTGTATACCAATGTTCATAGCAACATCATTCACAATAGCCAAAAGGTGGAAACCTAATGTCCATGTCCATGAACAATGAATAGATAACAAATGTGGTATACGCAGTACCTACAATGGAATATTCAGCTTTAAAAAGGAATGTAATTCTGACACATGCTACAACATAGATGAACCTTGAAGCTATTTTGCTAAGTGAAATAAGACAAATACAAAAGAACAAATGCTGTATGATTCCACTTATACAAGGTACCTAGAATAGTCAAATTCATAGAGATAGAAAGTAGAATGGTGGCTGCCAGGGGTAGGAGGGAGTAGGGAATAAAGGGTTGTTGTTTAATTGATGCAGAGTTTCAGTATGAGAAAATTAAAATATTTCAGAGATTGATGGCCAGTCGTGATGGTTGCACAACAATGTGAATTCATATAACGCCACTGAACTGTACACATACAAAATTTCAAATGGTACCAAAAAACTTTTTAAACTTAAAAACGAAACAAAGTCATCTACATTTTTCCCTTTCAAATGACTTTTTCTTCCTAAATTATCCCGTCTCCATTACTGTCATTTTTACCACATTCCGTCAAAAAAAGTAGACTACAACTCACCTTTGCAACTTTCTCTACGTCTGCTCCAATATCTTCTACTCCTGAAATTCTCAGATAGCAGGGATTCTTTCTCTGAGTGTCTCTTACACAACAAACAACCCCCACACCAGGTCCCACTGTCACCATTTCAATTTAGACCTTTGCCTTTTGTTGTTCAGCCTAACTAATCTTCAAGCCTCTACTTTCTCATTCTTCTAATCCAACGTGGACACCGATAGCATAGCAAACCTCCTAAAACATGTGTATGAATGTGAACCCTGCCCAAAAAGCTTGTCTGCTTCTGCCTGTTATAGATAAATGCATATAGTCTGGCAGTTAGTTATAACTTAGTCATTTGTTCATCCATTCAACAAATATTTGTTGAAGGTTCACAGTATGTCAAAAACTCATCTTAGGGCTAAAAATTTTGTAGTGGAGAAGACAGTAACAAAATAACTGCCCTCATGAAGCTTTCATTCTAATGGGAATACATGGACAATAAATAAAATGTGAATCATAAAAAGTAGTGGTCTTAATCCATTTTTTGTTGCTGTCAAGAAATACCTGAGGTTGGGTAATTTATATAGGAAAGGGGTTTATTTGGCTCATGGCTATACAGGAAGCATGGTAGCAGCACCTGCTTCTGGTGAGGTCTCAGGAAGCTTACAATCATGCAGGAAGGTAAAGGGGGAGCAGGCGTGTCACACGGCAAGAGACAGCAATAGACATGCCAGGCTTTTTTGAACAACCAGCTTTTGTGTGAACAAATAGAGTGAGAATTCACTCATTACCACAAGGATGGCACCAAGTCATTCACAAGAGACCTGCCCTCATGACCCAAACACCTCCCACTAGGCCCACCTCCAACACTGGGGATCACATTTCAACATGAAATTTGGAGGGGCATATATTTAAACCATAATAGTGGTGATAAACCTTACAGGGAAAAATAGAGCAGCGAAGAGAGAGAAAGTGCTGAGGACAGGGGATAGGAATCCATTTCCATCAGCTTATCAAGAAGGCCTCATTGAGAAGGTAATGTTTAAACAGAGACCTAAAGGAGAAGAGGACAGGAGCCAAGCAGATAGAGAGGAGAAGCAAGAAAAAAAAACCCTTGAGGTGAGAGAAAGGCTGGTATGTTTGAAATACAGCCAGGAGGTTAGTGTGGCTAATGCTGAACAAGGAAAAGGGGTTATCCCAGGAGAAGAAGTTAAGGAAATAATGGGGATGAGATAGTGGGTTGTAGAAAGCCCTGCAGTCTATAGTAAGGGCTAGGCTTTTCCTCTGTGTTAGATGGGAAGTCATTTTGAACACAGGAATAACATGAACTAACAAGTTTCAATAGGATCACACTGTGGAGCAGAAAACTGATTTTAAAAGGCTGAAAGCACAAAGACCATTTGGTAGGCTATTGGAACTAACCCCAGGAGAGATGATGCAGCTTACATTAGCATGGTAGCAGTTGATGTGGTTAAAAAAAATACACAGAATCTTGATGTATTTTGAAGGTAGGGACAACAGAATTCACTGACAAATTGGATATGGAGTGAAAAAGAAAGTACTTGAGGAAGACATCAAGGTTCTCAGCCTTAGCACTTGGAAGGATGTGTTACCAGTAATAAGCTAGAAAAACTGCAAGACAAACTGGAGGGACATCCAGTGATCACTGAGCTACCAAGGGGGAAGTTGCATCCTTAAAAATCTGTCCTTACTTCTGTTTACTTTTCACACAAACTCAGCTGGTATTTTCAAGATTATGAAACACAGGTACACATTATTAAATGCACTATGTGCTAAGCACGGTATCTGTATTCTTTGCAACTGCAGTGGGAGACAATTTCAAGATATCAACAAAGATGCTTGTTTGTTTGTTTGCTTTGCCAACCTGTGTTTCCTTGGACCCATTACCTTCCTCTACCTCTAAGAAAATAGTATGAATTCTGCCCTCATACTACACTATAAAGAAAGGAAAAAATAGCAAAGAGGCATTTTGTTGTTTTTTTGAGTGTCACAGTAGACTTTATCAATTTTTGACAAATATAATTATTTAGGAAGAAGCATGCCTAGTCAATCCTCCATTGTCACTTGTGGGGACCCACCCTCTGCCCTCTGAGAAAGGAGGCAGAGTTAAAGGGTTATTGAAGGAAACTGGTGGAGTGGATGGAGACTGTGAGGGAACTAGATGGTAACTGGATGGTGTAGGTCCCAAGTGACCCCATATCCTGCCTCCTTCCTGAACAGAACCCTCTATGAGTTGTAAGACTCCGGATAGGTTTAACAGTGGTATGTGGCTCAAATCAGAGCATAGACTTAGGAAAGTCTATACCCTGCCCTTAAATAGAAGCCCTTCACCAAGCATGACAGAGAAGCAATAGCTAAGTACAATGTCAAGTCCACAGCATCCCAGTACGGGGCAAGAGTATTGTAGTGCCACATTCCTGAGAAGAAATGTGGAAGGACTAAAGGAAGACCATGAACCTAAGGGTCATCATGATATAAGCAATAAGCTTAAAAAGCAGGAGTTTCTACAACATGAAGACAACAGTTGGATAAAAGTTAGACAGATATCCCTCTGGGGATTTACATGTCCCAACAGAGTGCTGGAGGAGTGAAGGTAGGTCTAAACCTTCAACTGAACACATTTCAAACGTGTATGGAACTCATTGATAAAAACTGCATTGATTATTTTCCCCAAAAAGACTAAGAACAATCCAGAGAACAAACAAATAATAGAAGAATAACCTGTCTGTTCTTAAGCCAGGTTACTCAGTATCAGAAACTAATTCAAAATACAGTAATTTCTGCATGTCTGAGTCTGACAGCTGTTTCATTATTGTATTTAATTCTTATAATACCTATAGTAAGCTAAATAATGGCCCTAAAGATATCAGGTCCTAATCTCTAGAACCTGTAAATGTTGCCTTATGTGGTAAAGCCTCTGCAGATGTCATTAAATTAAGGATGTTGAAATGGGGGGAATATCCTGGATTAAGGTAGGACCTAAATCCAATCACATATATCCTTTTAAGACAGAGGCAGGTGATTTAACACAGACAGAAGAGGAAAAGCAATGTGATCAGGGAAGCAGAGGTTCAAGTGAAATCATCACAAGCCAAGGAATGCTAGTAGCCAAGAGAAGCTGTTAACGGGCAAGGGGTGGAATCTCCCTAAGGTTCTTGGAAAGAATGTGACTCTCCAGAACTGTGAAAGAATACATTTCTATTTTTTAAGCCACCAAATTTGTAATTTGTTACATAAGCCTTAGGAAATCAATATAATAATGTAATAAGCAAGTTATAGTTCCATTTTACAGATAGAAACAGAGGTTCAGAATAGCCATGTATATGGACCCACCCTCTGCCCTCTGGGAAACGAGGCAGAGTTAAAGAGTTATTGAAGGAAACTGGTGGAGTGGAGACTGTGAGGGAGCTGGATGGTAATTGGATGGTGTAGGTCCCAAGTGCCCCCTCTTGTAGGTCCCAAGTGCCCAGGTTGAATGACAACCACATGTCTGAGCCCAAGTTGATGTTCTTTTCCCTGCACACATTGCTTCAACTTCATGGAAGTTCTCACCCAAGGGACATTCCCTAGCGCCTCTGCTGGATCTATTTACATCCTGCACATTCTGTCTATATCAACTAAAATTGCTCTTTCATGCTCCTGCCGTTCTCTACCTTAGTTGTTTCCAATTCTTTTTTTTTTTTTTTTTTTTTTTTTTGAGATGGAGTCTTGCTCTGTCGCCCATGGTGGAGTGCAGTGGCGCAATCTCGGCTCACTGCAAGCTCCGCCTCCCGGGTTCACGCCATTCTCCTGCCTCAGCCTCCCGAGTAGCTGGGACTACAGGCACCCGCCACTGCGCCCGGCTAATTTTTCCTATTTTTAGTAGAGACGGGGTTTCACCATGGTCTTGATCTCTTGACCTCGTGATCCGCCCGCCTCGGCCTCCCAAAGTGCTGGGATTACAGGCGTGAGCCACCGCGCCCGGCCCCAATTCTTTTATTTTGAAAGGTATTCAATAAATATTTGCTAATTAACTGAAAGTAAATCACATTTTAAGTGTAAGGGACAAAACAGTAATGGGCAAGATTTCAAATTATGTCAATCTTCAAAGTACAAATCATTTGAATTTGGACTGCATCAAAAAAGAAAATAAAACAAAAAAGGTTGAAAAATCAAACTACATTTGAACAGCTATGACAAATGTGTAACTAAAGAACTAAGCAGGTTCGGTGGCTCATGCCCATAATCCCAGCTACTCAGGAGTCTGAATATAAAAAAGAACTAGCGTAATGTGTATGGTTACCAAGAAGTGGAATCTAGTCAGGGGTTTTGTTGACTACATGCAAATAAAAACCAGAATACCAATCTTGAAAAAATAAAATAAAGGATAAAAGATTTGCAGAAAATGTCACAGAACTATAAAACTGAGTATTTACATACTGCAATTACTAGCACTAGGAAAATAATCTGGTAATCTTAAGAAAAATACATCTTTTAAAAAGCCATCAAGAAATAGAGTATGTGAGAAAGCCAAAGACATACATTCCATTCCTTCGAAAAAAGATTTCTAGTACTATTCTATCAAAAATTCAGATAACATATTAAGGAAGCTAATAAAAGTCAAGTGGATTGAATGCAGCTATAGTTTTTTACCTTATATACTAGCCTGGTAATGAAGATATAATTTTCTTATTGTAGAAACTGATTTTTAGAAATTATATTACATATTCTTTTTAAATTTATATATCACCATCCCAATTTGCATGAATTGTACCTTCCCCCAACCAATCTCATTATGTTAAAGGATTAATGTTACAATAATCCAAATAACCCTGGGAGGCATAATTGAATATCAGTTAATCACATCTCACATAAAATTAGCATTTCTTTTTTCAATGCAGATATCTGACTAAATACAGGCCCTAGTAGACAGAAAATTCAACAGGAATATACAAGATGACTAGATGGACTACTTTGAGAAGAAAATAAAAACGCTGCAAAAGGAGGTGAAATGTTGCTGAAGACCAACTTTCTCTTGCCTTGGTCTAGCCAAAAAACACCATCACCAAGACCTAAGAAAAGGGAAAACAAAACAAAACACTAAAACAAAAGGCCTTTAATAAACTTTCTTGGACCTTTCTCCTACCAAGCAAATTTTAACCAAGTAAGTAATCCTACTAAGTTATTTATCATTTATTTCAAATATCAAAAAGGAACAATATGAATTCTACAACTAGGGGCTCTTTGCTGCTATGTTCAAAACCCAGAATGAACTCAGGTACTTTTTGAATTACCATTTGAGAAGTGACCACAGGTAGGAATCACATGAATTCAAAATTATTATTTTAGACTTTATTTTTAAAACTTTATAAAATCCATCTAAAATACTATAATAAAACATGTTATTAAAACTTCACAGATACAAGTCTATTTAAAATAAAACTTTCTGACGTTATTTTTCGGGCATTGGAAAGTAAATTACAATTGTCAACTACCACTCATATGTAGGTAGAAAAATAGGAGGGAAGCCCTCTTAAATTACTTCAACATAGCAATCAAGAAGATGGAAAAAGAAAAGCTTCAAAAGCATTTTAAAGGCTTTTTCAAAACAAAAACAAAAATTTCCTATTGCCTTAAGTTGTGTTTTTTGTTTCTAATAGGTCAGTGAGGTCTTATGGTAATAAAAAGAAATATTACCAAATAATGATAACTACATGTAATTCTGTTTTTGAATTTTCAGAAACTCTTTCTTTAAAAAAAGAAAAAGAAAAGAAAAAAGAAGAAGAAAGCAAGAAGTTTCTTCTGAAACTGTTGATTTAACATCAAAGTCTTTTTAAAAACCTCAATCCTCCAAGAATGGAGAGTGCTCACCTGTGACCTTCTGCCTGGATTTCTTTGCTGAATCTACTGCCAAGTACAGCGTGGAGCTCAAATAGAAACCTGAGTCCCTACTCTTCTCTCACTTGATAAGAGAAGAAACAAAAGTGGCTTTTACCTCTAATTCGCTCAGAAAACAATTTTTTGAATACCTTTTTTACAGGAAACTCCAGGAGACAAATGGTCCTTGTACTTCTCTATGCTGGGTAGAAACTACATACATTTTGTCAATCTTATTTTCAGATAAAAATGAACAGCCTCTGGCCAAGCAAAACAAAAACTGGAGAAGCAAAGAATAAAACACAGCTCAATTTCTAAAAGGTTCCTTAACCTAAGAATACTACTTAATACCAGCAGGATCCCTCAGAAAATTGCCATCAGACACATTCAACTCCCCAAGTGCAATAATAGGAAAATTGTGACACTTCAGCTTGATGGCTATAAAGCCCTGCAGTTCATTCTTCTGCGAGGGGAAATAGTCTCCAATTAACTCCGACCCAACCATTGGAACTTATATTCAGAGGCAGCCTTATTTTTCCACAAAAATGCCTGCATATATATGATCTCGAGTTGACTGGGTAAATATCTGAAGAGCTTACAGACAGCTTCCATTAATTCGAAGGTTCTCACAGCATTCTTTGAGGACTCAAGAGTAAATTCTATCTGAGCACAGCATGTGATTTCTTTGGCTTCTTTTCCAAGCCTATTCCTTCTATGTACTTTGTAATCCATCCTTTTAATTTTTTGATATAAATGCCTTACAGTTTAGTATGACTTAGTTCCAAACACATTTATTTGTCTTAGACCCTGGGTTACAAAGATGCAGTGTACAGAGAGTCCCAGCTCCATGGAATTACTGTCTAATTTTAATAATTTGATCACTGTTAAGATAGTTGTAGAAACTGTTACAGCAGCAAAGAAGATGTGTATTTTGTCCAACTTGGGGCTTCAGAAAGATGTCTGAGCTAAGGCTTTAAAAATCTCTTTAAAAGTTTTTAAAATTGTGTTTATTTCTTTTTTCTGATTATTAAAATAATACATTCCATTAAAGGAAATTTTACAAATACAGATAACTTACAATCACAATACATCTTTAAACCTGTCAATCAGGAATAAGCACCTAACCTTTCAGTATATTCCTTTCTTGTCGTTTTCTCTTGCTCTATATGAGTGTATGTGTATATACTTTTTATAATATTAGAAAACATCATATGTTTATGCACTGATTTTATTCAATCGTCACCACAACCTTACATTTACCCACATCAGTCTTCAAAGGAAGAATAAAAGCATGATCAAAAGCTGCATAACATTACAACCTATGGATGTACTATAATTTATAACATTCTCCTTTTATACTGAGGTTTTACTTGTCTAGTTAATTGATATTATAAACAATCTACTTTGAACAACCTTGTATCTAAATCTTGTCCACACGGCTTGTTTCTCACACCCACCTATATAGTATGTCCTGTGGAAGCATCACCTCCCAGGACACAATTCATCACTAACACTCTTAGTGCCTCCTGCAGCTCTCTGCTGTTTTCAGGATTTGCAATTGCCCAAGGGGTGTATGAGTACGGACGGTGGCAGCAAGCATCCTGATCATCTCAAGGAACAGCCCTGGAGCAGCAGCAGCAGTTTGCGCCATGCAGTCAGGCAAGTGTAAGAGGCAGGTGTGTCTCCCGGCCTGCTGTCAGATAGATGGAAAGGGTGATTCTACTTCACAAGGCTGAGCATGGGATGCCTCCAACTGCTTTTCTCTCTCCACTCTCCCTGGACAGTGGCACTACGTTACCTATCAGTCAGCTTGGACAGCTCAGAGTTTTCATCTTTATTGCCATAAGTATTTTTAAGAAAAGGCTGGGGTTTTACTTTCCTGACATTTTTAACTAAAATAACTAAGCCCTGGAAGATACATAGCAGTTAGCCAAGTAAAGATGGACAGGAAGGGGTTTCCTGTGACTCTTAACATCACAAACAAGAAAACTGAGTAGAAACTGTAGTATATGCAGGCATCTGCAGGCAGTTCTCTAATGTATAAACTAAAAGGAGGGAGGGGTGAGACATTAAGACTGCAGCTATGAAGGGCAGACAGGTCACAAGATGCTACAAGCCCCACAGAGGACCTTGGATCCAAATGCAAAAAGAATCAGGTCTGCATTCAGATGGATAATGTTGGTACTACCAGAGGCAGGAGGACCAGTTGTGAGGCTAACATAATACCTGAGGGGAGAGATGCTCGGACCTGAATTCATGTAGCCGAGGCTATAAGAATATGTAGAAGAAAAAATCAGCTGAATCAGAAGCAGATTTAGTTGTGGGCACTTACTATCTTTGCTAGTTACATATTGCCCATTTCCGGTCTGTGCGTGCCACCAGGACACCATGTCTCCTGAAAGCCCAGAGGGTCAGGGCACATGGTTCTCTTTATGGAAGGAAGCACAGTGCCACATGTCCCAAAGGCTTCACAATGATTTCTGCTGTGATGAGGGTGGTCACAACTCTGATGGCTGGTATGTTATAAACTGCACAGGAAGTCCAACTACATGTCAGCTCCAGAAGAGGAAAAACACTTGTACTTCCTTTGTTAAAAAAAAAAAAGAGCGAAGGAGCAGCTTCCAAGCAGGAGGCTGTGAACCATTCCCTCACTGTCACTGTGCATCGCTTCTGTCTTAAGGCGATCACGTGGGCATAGCTGCACACATTAAAATGGTTTCATTAAAAGCCTCCAGTCATTCATTTTGCTTATTAAAGCCACTCCACAATGATATTCACAATGGAAATCTCAGCTGTCCCTAGCAATGATACTAAAATACAATTAATTCCTCTTCCCGAGGAGTCTGTAGGTATGCGCTTGAGGTATTGTGTTAATTGCCACTGCTTCATACCATGGCTTCAATTAGGAATCAGAATGGGAGCAAGACAAACATGGATCCCATTAAGTTTCAGAGGACTTGAAGCTAAAGTTTTTCCCCCACCCTACTCTTACATTGATTATAACAGCACAGAGGATTCTATCTGGGGAACTATAGTGACATCCAGTGGCTGTGAAGCAAACCACACCAGTTGCAAAACCTGGTTTACTACATCATGAAAGGAGAAATATTTGTTGATGTGCTGACATTTTAAATTCAATGTCTGTCAAAGTGTGTGTACAAGTAGAACCATATAATAATATGATCCAAAATCAGGCCATTCAGAGATTCATAACAAAATCAAGATATTTAGTTGTCTTCCATGACTGACTCTGCCTATTAAAATTCTCAGCAGCCATATATTAATAATTACAGGTAGAGGATATGAAACATGGACATTGCATTCAAAGTTCCAAACATAGTATTATTATACAATTCATGTTTTGTACAAATTCAAAAACAGGTAACTTTTAGCATGATTCTCTCTCGCTCAGCCAAAATAAATATCTGGCTCTGCTATAAGGTGAACTGGGTTGGCTCAGTTCAATCTCAGTAATTTCATTACCACCTGGGTTAGGAACGTTTATACGAAAGTTTTCCTGGTGGTTTGCAATTTAAATTATAGCATTCCTGAGAGAGATGTAGAGTGAGACAGAGGCAAACCGACCGCAGAATCTCAGGAACATTTGCTTGAAATATTGTGGTGGGAAGAAACCAACTTGCTTCAGTGGAAAATGCAGATTACAGAATCTAATGGAATCTAGATCTTTGTATTCCTGCATGTAAATGGATATTAAAATACATACTCTATGCACACTAGTAGTAGCTATCACACATATGCATTTATATTAAAAATACTAATAACGGTCGGGCGTGGTGGCTCACGCCTGTAATCCCAGCACTTTGGGAGGCCAAGGCAGATGGATCACTTGAGGTCAGGAGTTCAAGACCAGCCTAGCCAACATAGTGAAACCCCATCTCTACTAAAAATACAAAAATTAGCCAGGCGTGATGGTGCACGCCTGAAATCCCAGCTACTCAGGAGTCTGAGGCGCAAGAATCACTTGCAGCTGGGAGGCGGAGGAGGCAGTGAGCCAGTATCACATACTGTACTCCACCCTGGGCGACAGACGGCGACTCCATCTCGGAAAAAAAAAATACTAATAAGATTGAAGTTTCCTTTGCCACAGAAAATTTAACTCTGAAATTAGACTTCAGGTTCAGGAACTTACCACATTTTGAATTTCAAGTATTCCCCCTTCTGCTTTTAGTAGCTTGTGATATGGTTTAGACAGATGAGAAGCAACGATAGTAGCATATGTATTCACAACTCGGAATGTCTCTGAAACTGGCCTAAGCTTATCTTGGTCACTAAAAGTGAGCTAAAGTGCAGAAAACCCTCAACTCTCATCTATCCTATAAGTCAAAATATCCTTACCTATGAGGCCTCAGGATCTCACAAACACTAAATCTCATAAACAGACCACGTGTGAAGATGGTACAATGGCTGCATGTACAGCTAGTAGAAATGACAGATAGGTGGGGATCATTCCAGGGAGCCACAGGTAGTCTGATGGAAAAGCAAAATAAAAGGTCAAATCTTGCATTCTGGTCTCCTTAGTAGTATACTTTTAAAACTAAATCACATCATATTCTTCTCTGACTCAAAGACCTCCCCTTGCTTTTTCTCTCACTCAGTGTAAATGCCAGGCCCACTTCTTGGCCTATGAGACCCTACACGATCTGGTCCTGGGGCAACTCTGTGATGTCCTCTCCCATTACCTTCCACCTTATTGACTCCACTCCAGGTGCAATGGCCCCTAGGCTGCTTCCTGAACACAAGCACACTGCCACGTCCAGGCCTTTCCACTTGCTGTTCCCTCTGTCTAGAACAATCTTCCACTTAATTGCACAGCCTGCCTGCTACGTGCTTCATTTCTCTACTCAAACATCACTCCGTCAGGGAGGCTTTCTCTGATGCCTCTTTAAAGTGCATCTCCCAGCTGGTTGTGGTGGCTCACACCTGTAATCCCAGCACTTTGGGAGTCCGAGGCGGGTGGATCATGAGGTCAGGAGTTCAAGACCAGCCTGGCCAAGATAGTGAAACCCTGTCTCTACTAAAAATACAAAAATTAGCTGGGTGTGGTGTCAGGCTCCTGTAATCCCAGCTACTTGGGAGGCTGAAGCAGGAGAATCACTTGAACCTGGGGGGTGGAGGTTGCAGTGAGCTGAGATTACACCTCTGCACTCCAGCCTGGGGAGCAGAGTGAGACTCGGTCTCTAAATAAATAAATAAAAAATAAAGCACATCTCCCTTCTGCTCTAGCACTCACTCTCCCTCTTTCCTCCTGCTTTCCCTCCCCAGAGCTTATCATCCTCTACGGGATAACAAATATTAGGCCTTGTTTCCTGTCTCTCTCCCAGTGAAAATGCAAACTCACAAGGGCAATACTTTTTGTCTGTTTTGCTCATACTGCATCCCCAGAATCTACAGCAAAATATAGGCTTGGTACAAAATTGTCAATAAATATTTGCTAAACTGTTTGGGTAACGCAGCCAGAGAAGGCAAGAGGAGTTACTGATTTTTGTGGAATCTGTAAAATGACAAGTAAAAAACTACAAATACTCAAGATATATTTTAAGTGCACAAAAGAAAAAAGAAAAAGAAGGTAGTCTATAAGAGTTAATACATATAGCAACTATGTTAAAGTAGAGAAACTGATTAAAGAGTTTTAAAAAATGTTAACATTAGTTATCTCGGTCTTGAAATTATGAATAATTTTGTTTACTTCATGATTTTTGAGGTATTTACAATGAGATAGATTATTTTTGTATTTAAAATATTTTTTAAAATAATAGGCCAGTCGTGGTGGCTCTCGCCTGTAATCCCAGCACTTTGGGAGGCCGAGGTGGGGTGGTTCACCTTAGGTCAGGAGTTCGAGACCAGCCTGGCCAGCATGGTGAAACCCTGACTCTAGTTTAAAAAATACAAAAATTAGCTGGGCGTGGTGGTGGGTGCCTGTAATCTCAGCTACTTGGGAGGCTGAGGCAGGAGAATCACTTGAACTTGGGAGGCGAAGGGTGCAGTGAGCCAAGATTGCGCCATTGCACTCCAGCCTGGGTGTCAAGAGTGAAACTCCGTCTCCAAAAAATAATAATAATAAATAATAATAATAATAACAGAGGCTGAGGCTGGAGGATTGTTTGAGTCCAGGAATCTGAGGCTGCAGTGAGCCATGACTCCACCACTGCACTCCACCTCAGGCAAAAGAGACCCTATCTCTAAAAAAAATTAAATAAATAATTTAAATTTAAATAAATAGATACTATGCCCTTCCCTTTACAATTCTATTTATTTATTTTTTATAATTTCAACTTTTATTTCAATTCAAGAAACACACACACATATATATATATGCAAGTTTTTAACATGGGTATACTGTGTGATGCTGAGGTCTGGATACAATCGCACCCGTCACCCAGAAAGTGAGCACAGTACTCGACAGTTAGTTTTTCAACCCTTCCTCCCACCTCTTCCTCCCCTAGTAGCCCCCAGTGTCTATTGTTGCCATCTCTATGTCCATGAGTATCCAATGTTTAGCTCCCACTTAATACGGAACCCAAAAAGAGACCAAGTAGTCAAAGTAATCCTGAGCAAAGAAACAAAGCTGGAGGGGTCACATTACCCCACTTCAAACCATATTATAATCCTACAGTAATCAAAACAGCATGATACTTGTACAAAAACAGACATATTGACCAATGGAACACAACAGAGAACCCAGAAATAAAGCCATACTCCTACAGCCATCTGAGCTTTGACAAAGTTGACAAAAATAATCAATGAGGAGGGGACTCCCTATTCAATAAATGGTATTGGGAAAACTGGCTAGCCAAATACAGAAGAATGAAAGTGGACCCCTACCTTGCACCACATACAAAAATTAGCTCAGGACGGATTAAAGATTTAAAAGATTAAAACCTAGGAAACACCATTCTGGACAACAGCCTTGAGGAAGAATTTATGACTATGTCCTCAAAAGCAATTGCAACAAAAACAAAAATAGACAAGTGGAACCTAATTAAACTAAAGAGCTTCTGAACAGCAAAGGAAACTATCAACAGATTAAACAGACAACCTACAGAATGGGAGAAAATATTTGCAAACTATGCATCCAACAAAGGTCTAATATCTAGAATCTATAATGAACCTAATTCAACAAACAAAAAACAACCCCATTATAAAGTGGTGAAGGACACGAATCAACACTTCTTGAAAGAAGACATACAAGTAGCCAACAAACATGAAAAATTCCTCCACATCACTAATCATCAGAGGAATGCAAATCAAAACCACAATGAGATACCATCTCCCATCAGTCAGAATGGCTATCATCAAAAGTAAAAAAAACAGCAGATATTGGCAAGGCTGCAGAGAAAAGGGAATGCTTATACACTGCTGGTGGAATGTAAATTAGTTCAGCCACTGTGGAAAGTAGTTTGGAGATTTCTCAAAAAATTTAAAAAAGAACTATCATCCAACCCGGCAATCCCATTACTGGGCATACATCCAAAATAAATAAAAAGACACCTGCACTCTTACATTCATTGCAGCACTATTCACAATAGCAAAGACACAGAATCACTAACAGTGGACTGGATAAAGAAAATGCAGTACATATAGGCCAGGCATGGTGGCTCACACCTGTAATCCTAGCACTTTGGGAGGTCAAGGTGGGTGGATCACCTGACCTCAGGAGTTGAATTCAAGCCTGGCCAACATGGTGAAACCCCATCTCTACTAAAAATAAAATTAAAAAAAAAATAGCTGGCTGTGGTGCCATGTGCCTGTAATCCCAGCTACTCTGAAGGCTGATGCACAAGAATAGCTTGAGCCCGGGAGACGGAGGTTGCAGTGAGCTAAGATCGCGCCACTGCACTCCAGCATGGGAGACAGACCAAGACTCTGTCTCAGAAAAGAAAAAAAAAAAAGTGGTACATATAAATCATGGAATACTATGAAGCCATAAAAAAAAGAATGAAATCATGTCCTGCATAAAAAGAAATAAAGCCACACTCCTACAGCCATCATGGATGCTGGACTCCCTATTCAATAAGGGCATTATCCTAAGCAAGTTAACACAGGAACAGAAAACCAAATATAATTTTATTTATTGAAAATTCATCATTTTGGACAAAAAGAGTGCAAGAATGGTTCTTAAACAATATGCAGAGCCGACTAGCTGATCACTAAAGTTCTGGAAAATAGTTCATCCTTTGGTTCTTTACATCAGTAGCACTCACAGAAGACTTGCAGTAAAGATGTCAGCGGTTTATTCTGTTAACAAAGAGTATCTGTAGCTGCATATCACATTTAAGGAGAAAAAAACCACTGTAGTTCTTTCCATTCATTTAAATATGCAAATTAAATTGAACATTTTACTTCCTACCACAATTAGACTGAATAGATATTGCAAGATTATAATAAACTAAGCAAAAAGGCAAAACTAAAACAAAAAACATTTTAAAGACAAAACTGTTTATATTTTGTGCTGAGGAAGATGACAGTACCTCAATAGTGATTACTCTCCTCTTACATCGGTAAAGAACTGGAAGCTATTAAATCTAATACATGTTAGTTTTGGGGTAGCATTAATGTTTTCAATTGTTCTGTTTAAACATATAATCTGAGTGAAAAACCAAAGGAAAACAAAAACACAAGAAGGCTCTGGAAATAAAATTCTTTCTTATGAGCTTTGGTCTAATGCATGGTTGATGAAGTCATGAGAATATGCTCATATCTTTGATTTTATTTCAGCAGTTTCCAGAAAATACAGTAATAAAGAAATAAACTTCTATTGCTACTTGATGCCTAAAAGTTTAAATTTAGTATGTGGATCAAATTAATTCCCAGTGTTCCACTTTCAGCTTTTGCATTAAAAGACCTGTGTGTTTTATTCCTTAATACAAATAATTTGCAGTGTTCTCAGGGAAAAACACTTCTTGATTTACAGAGCAGATTTTTATTACTGAACTGCAAAGCTATTTGTTAGAGATAAATGGTAGTGACTATAACAAAAAAAAATTTAAGTCCCCCCGAAAGAAAAATTTAAGAATATAAAATACTGTAATAATATATTATGCTAATTAGGAGCTAAATGAAATAGCTTGGAATAGGGCAGATATCTATTGAGAATTAACACCATACTTCTAGGAGATTAATTATCATGTATAGAAGTTAAACTAGTCACAAGTGGCAATGAAGAAAATATATGTTGAGCCTCTTCTGTCCTAGAAGATGAGGCAACAAGTCATATTGGCCAGTATGACATACCTTTAGAAGCAAGCGTCCTTGGCAGGTTGATAACTATCTAGGCTGAGCTGTCAAAGTCAGTTGCACTATTGTAGCTCATCAGCTATCAGCTGAGGATACCGTGGAACAATTCTAGCTTCCTCTCCACAGGCCTTACTCTATCCCCTTCACGAGGTTCTGACATGTCCTAGGACACCAGTTGTCAAATCAGAAGTACAAACATTTTCTAAATGGTTCAGGGAATGCATGTAGTGTTCAAAAAAACCACTTCCCAAATCTTTAAAAAATGAATCCTTCTAAGAACACACCTTTTCTGCCAAAATCATTTTTAATTCCATTTCATAAGAGAAAGGATGTTCATTTGAACAGAACCTTTCATTGGCACATTGCTCTGAGGCATAAACTCTTGAATGCATCAAACAAAGGGACGATTTTGTATATTGGCAGCTATGCTAGAAAGTAAATGACTCTAATGACTATGTATAAAATTCTTTCACAAGTCTGAACAAATTGAAGCAACTAATGGAGCTGTCACTGATAAATTATTTAAAATGATTTTGATGATTTCTTACTAAAAGTTGTTAAACATATAATGCAATGAAGTTTGTGGCAGGCTGAACTATAGCCCCCGAAAGATAACCACATCTTAATTCCTAGAACCTGTGAATGTCACGTGGAAAAAAAATTTTGCAGACAGTATTAAATTAAGGATCTTGAAATGGAGATTATCCTGAATTATCTGGGTGGGCCCGAAATGTTACCGCTTTTATAAGAAAGAGGGAGACTTGACACAGACAGAAGAGCAGAAAGCAATATGACCACAGTGGCAGAGATTAGGTGATGCAGCCACAAGCCAACAAATGCTGGCAGCCACCAGAGCTGGAAGAGGCAAGAAATTAGAGCTTCCAGAGGACACACATCCCTGACGACACCTTGATTTCACTCCAGTGATATGGATTTCAGTCTTCTGGCCTCCAAAATGTGAGAATAAATTTCTGTTGCTTTAAGACGAGTTTGTGGTAATTTGGAACAGCAACCACAGGAAACTAATAAGGAGTTCAAAGAATCGAATGACACTGCCATAACGAACTCCTTCCTGTCTTATCTACTTATATGTAAACATGTTTTGAAAACAAATCTATAAAAATAAGAAATCAGGGGACAAAATTGTTGCCAAATCCTGTCTCACTCTAGTAGAACGAATTCTTTAGAACATACTAAAAGAATATTTTTAAGCCCTTCACACTTCACAATAGAGATGCATTTCCAAATAAAACATTTTAAGAGGCTACTCCTTGTGTTTATGTCTTAAAAATGTGAAGGACTTACTTATTTCTTCAAGAAAAATTTAGGGTCTACACTACCATAAAGAGAACCACTGCTATGGATATTTGTACCTGTCTGTGCTACAATTGACTCAAAATGTGGTCCAAATGACAGCTTACTTTTTTAAATAAATCAAACACTTTGCATTGTGCTAATAAAATTATTATGAAATGTATTCTTCCATCAATTTGAGCTGTTTTAGGTCTAAAATTCCCATAGATCTTTAAATGAAGAGGGGTGGGTAAATTATAAAAATTTCTAGGCTTGTTTCTACTTTGCGCTACTTTCTTTCTCTTGTGACTACAAATAACAAAAAATAAAAGAATAAAGAAATGATTATTCATAATTCTTTTCTATTTTTGTACCTCGGAAGAAAATCTTCACCATAGGATCTATACTAAAATAAACAGAAAAGCAGGACTTCCTGAAAAATAATGGCAAAGAAGCCACTGGCTTCACTCTCCCCAACAGAAAACCAAAACCAAATAAATAGCACTGAGATTTTCCCCAGAAGTATCCCAGAACTCAAATATGAAGATGAGGCAGTTCCACGGGCGACAGGAAAGTAAAGAAAAGCTCCAGATGGTAAGAGAATCAAACTTCCATATCCACCACGATGCCCCTCCCACAAGCTTGTGAAAAACTTTCCCCCAACTCACTGTGTTTACACCAGAAAAAGTGAGATTAAGGTAGACAACCTCTTACCCCATCTTGGGTTCCCTGGCAGAAGATCTGCCTCTGTCTTAATCATAGGAAGCATCGTGATTGCCTGATGGGAGAAATATCCCTGAGGACAGGCAGAGACATAAAAGGGGGCAGGACAACCATTCCCAGCCCCAGAAACTCTGCTCTGCAACCCAGCCAAAGGAGACACCAAATCAGAGTGGCTGTTCAGCAGCACCACACGATAGGAGGTTCATCCCACAGGTCCCCTGGCCATGGGTCCCTAGCCAGCTGTCCCAAACTGTTGGGATATCCCCTTTGGGAACCTCTCCCATTTGGAAAGTGCAGTGCTCTGACCTTCACTAGAGCCAAGGCGAACCTAGGTTTAAGGCACCACCTAGAGCCAAAAAGAAGGCAATGACCTATGGGCAAAAACCTCTAAGGAATATATCCAATAAAGAACAAAAGAAGCCAGGTAAAGAAGGCTCGAATAAATAACTAATCCTTCAGTGCCAAGATACAGACACACATCCACAAAAACAACAGCGAACAGGGAACCTTGATCTCTCTAAACAGACACAAGGAACCAGTTAGTGACCCCAGCAAGACAGCGATATGTGAGCTCTGACCAAGAATTTAAAATAGCACCTTTAAGGAAATTCAGTGACTGCCAGGATGAAACTGATAAAATCAATTCAGATATTTATAAGATAAATTTAACAATGAGATTGAATTTTTTAAAAAATACAACAAATTGTGAACCTGAGAACTACATTTTCTGAACTGAAAAATTCATTAGAGGCTCTCAACAGCAGAATGGATCAAGCAGAGGAAAACATCAATGAGTTGGCTATCTGAAAATACATGATCAGAAGGAAAAAAAGAAAAAAGAATGAAAAGGAACTGGGATCACCTACAAGATATAGAAAATTATCTCAAAACACCAAATCTAAGAATTATTGGTGTTCAAGAGGGAGCTGAACAAGAAATAGAAAAGCAATGATGTGAGACAATAACTCCGTATCCTTACCTACACCTATGTGAGGCAGGTGCTCAAAAAGGGTCCAGCTGTGGTCATCAATGTAATGATTCTTCAGGATCAACAGCTGACAAACATCTCGAGCCGTTATGTCACTGGGTACATCTAAAGCCCTGCTGGTTTCATCTTCACTGTATACTTTAATCACCTGTGTAGGTAGAAACAAGAAAAAGACCTAAAATATTCCTGTTTGTGTTTTTAATAAATTTTATTGTATATATTTAAAGTATACAACACGATATTATGAGATATATATAAATAAATAGCAAAATGGTTATATAGTAAAACAAATTAACATGTCTATCACCTCACATAGCTACCCATTTTCTTGCAAGTGTGGCAAAGGCAGCTAAAATCTACTCATTTCTCAAAATTCCAAATTCAATACACTATTATGAACCATAGTTCTCATGTTGTGCATTAGAGCTCTAGATGTGTTCATCCCACACATCTGCTACTTTGTATCCTTGATCTACATCTCCTCATTTCCCTCCACCCCACCACTGTCCTTGGTAACCACTGTTTTGTTCTCTATCTCTGCATATTTGACTTATTTTTAGACAGCACATCTGAGATCATGCAATATTTTTCCTTCTGTTAGAAAAGAAAGAAGGACTTATTTCACTAAGCTTAATGTCCTCTGGGTTCATCCATGTTGTAGCAAATGGCAGCATATTATTTTTTAAGGCTGAATAGTATTTCATTGTGTGTATCTGTATGTGTGTGTGTGTGTGTAATGCAAATATAAAATAAATTATGTATATATGCTCCAATATACACCCATCAGTGGGACATGGTACTTAAGTTGTTTCCATATCTTAGCTATTGTAAATAATGCTGCAATGAACATGGGAGTGCAGGCATCTCTGTGACATGCTGACTTAAACTCCTTTGGGTATATATCCAAGAGAGGGATTGCTGGGTCATATATGGCAGTTCTATTTTTAATTTCTTTACAAATATCCATACTGTTTTTCAGAATGACCGTATCAATCCACATTCTCACCAACAGTGTACTAGCATTCCCTTTTTTCTACACTTTCACCAATACTTGTTATCTCTTGTCTTTTTGATAACAGCCATCCTAATGGGTATGAGGTAATATCTCATAGTGGTTTTGATTTGCATTTACCTGATGATTGGTGATGTTGACCACCTTTTCATATACCTGTTAGCCATTTTTATGTCTATTCAGGCCCTTTGCTTTTTTTATTTTTTTTGAAGGAGTTTCATTCTTTCACTCATGTTGCACAGGCTGGAGTGCAATGGTGCGATTTCGGCTCACTGTAGCCTCCACCTCCCAGGTTCAAATGATTCTCCTCTCTCAGCCTCCTGAGTAGCTGGGATTACAGGCATGCGCCACCACACCCAGCTAATTTTGTATTTTTTTTTAGTAGAGACGGGCTTTCGCCACGTTAGTCAGGCTGGTCTCGAACTCTGACCTCAGGTGATCTGCCTTCCTCACCCTCCCAAAGTGCTAGGGTTACAGGTATGAACCACCACACCCAGTCCTTCGCTCATTTTTAATTGGGTTAATTGTTTTTCTGATATTGAGTTGTATGAGTTATTTATAAATTTTGGATATTAACCCTTATAATTACATGTGGTTTGCAAATACTTTTTCCCAATCCACAGGTAGCCTTTTTATTAAAATATTTTATTAAAATATCATTCTGGTAAGTCAGCAAAGATTAATCAGTTATAATTCCTTATACAGTGTCTTCTACATTTAATTTTCTTATACACTGAATGAATGTTATCTATCCAAGACTTGTTTATGTGCCAAAGCTACTTTGTCCGACAACTTTCATTCTCTTCAGTGTCTAAACTAAAGGTCATTCAATAACTATTTAGTATTACTTCCCCACCACTTTGGTCTATGAAAAAGCTATGTATCTCTTATCAATATTATAGCTGGGCACAGTGGCTCACATCTGTAATCTCAGCACTTTGGGAGGTTTAGGCAGGCGGATCACATGAGGTCAGGAGTTCAAGACCAGCCTGGCCAACATGGCAAAACCCCATCTCCACTAAAAATATAAAAAATTAGCTGGGCATGGTGGTACATGCCTGTAATTCCAGCTACTTGGGAGGCTGAGGCACAAGAATCACTTGAACCTGGGAGGCGGAGGTTGCAGTGAGCCAGGATCGTGCCACTGCACTCCAGCCTAGGTGACAGAGTGAGACTCCATCTAAAAATAAAATAAAATAAAATAAAATAAAATAAAATAAAATAAAATAAAATAAAATAAAATAAAATAAAATAAAATTTCATATTCTATATTTAAATTCCGTAAATAACCCTAGTAACATGGGTGATTTATTGCAGATATACTCAAGTAGTACAAGGAGGGAATAGAATCAGACTTTATGAAAAGATTTCTCCATCTCAGGTATGAATATTTCAGTAAAAATTGGCCAGATGTTCACCCAATCCTTTCTCTTTTCTCCCCTGCAATTAGTTGTGGCCAAAGAATTGAATTTTAGTCAATGGAATGTAAGCATATAGAATGTTACACTTCCTGGCCCATGAAAATCTCCTACATATTGTCCTCCATTGCTTTTTGCCATTCTCCCACTGAACAGAATGACTACAAAGGCCTAGAGGAAAGGAAAGCCATAAGACAGAATGAGCCTTTGTTCCTAAATAACCACATAGAAGACGCCTAACTATGAAAACCCATATAAGACTCTGACATGAGCAAGAAATAAACTTCTATTCTGTTAACTCACTGTGAATTAGGATTTATCTATTACAGCAGCTAATGTTATAAATTAAAATGATATATCAATTCTGTCCTATCTTTTAAAAATTATACTTAATGACAGTGCAATGAAATAGTTGCTCTCTCTTACAATGATATAAAGTGGTAAAACTATTTTGTACATCTATTGGAGAATATTTACCAGAAGTATTAAATGGTCTATTCCTTTGACCCAGCAATTTTTCTTAAGCAAACTACTTTAAACATCTGAACTAAATATGGAAAATGGCTTTAGGCATTACATGTCCAGCAAAGCATTATGTGTCATTCTATTGACCTAAACATCCAACAATAAAAAAAAAAATGCAAACTACAGTATTTTCACAGAATGGAATATTATATGGTCCCTAAAAATGTTATTCAAGAAAATGATATAAGAGCACTTAAAAATTCTTCAGTGGTACGTGCAAAATTACTTGGCTTTGTCTACCAGTCGCCTACTCCTCTTCTGATAGATAGATACATTTCCTTTTAGAGTACCACTCCCTCCCTCACCAGCAGACTTGGTGCTCTGGTAGCTCCACCTTCAGCTCAGTGACAGTTTGCTGGAGCTGCTGGAACTGGCTTGCAAGAGCTGATTATTAAATATTCAGGAGCTCTAAAAGCCAGGCATCTTAAAATCAGCCATGATGGAAGTATTTATATGATAGAAACCAGTAAATTTTACATATAAGGTCTTTTTAAAATTTTTATTTTTAGAGCCAGTTTATCAGTGCACCATCGCCTCAGCTCCAGGGTGGAAGATGTTTTCTATATTGACTAATCAGTACCCAGACAACAGTGATTATTTAACAGATGAGCATGTGACTTAATCAGAAGCAGTTAGAGCCAATTTAGATATATGTTCACATAACCTTGGCACACACTTCCTTTTCTACTGGACCTAAGCCTGGGAAAATGTAGGCTGGAGCTGCTACTGTTACTAAAAGAACAACTGTGGGCAAATGGGGCCCACACAGAGTAAGTCATAATGCAATAGACTGAATGTTTGTACCCTCCAAAATTCACATGTTGAATCCCTAGTCCCAGATGATGATATCTGGAAGTGGGGCCTTTGGGAGGTAATTACATTATGCAGGTGGGGCCCCTATAAATAGGATTAGTGTCCTATGGAATAGATCACTATGTGACCCAAACCAAATAAGACAAACACTTGCAAACCATTCTTTCTTAGTTGCACGTGTGATTCCTTCTACCTGGAAGAAATTTCAGTGCTCCGCTCACAAACAACATGCTTTCTCTGGCAAACTTCCACCTAAATTTGGCCCTGGTTCCAATCACACTTGCTCCAGAAAGCCTTCCCTGACTGTCCAAGGGTTCATAATGCGCCTCTTTTATGTGCTCTCATTTTGTAACTTTTTGTTTGCATGTCTTTCTCCCCAGCTATGTGTCTTAGACTGTTTTGTGCTGATATTAAGGAATATCTGAGGCTGGGTAATTTATAAAGAAAAGAGGTTTATTCGGCTCATGGTTCTGCAGGCTGGAAAAGAAGGATGGTGCTGGCATCTGCTTCTGGTAAGGAGCTCAGGATGCTTACAGTCATGTCAGAAGACAAAGCGGGAGCAGGGGTGTCACATGGCAAGAGAGAAAGCAAGAGGGAGGGGAGGGCGGTGTAAGATGCTTTTTAACAAACAGATCTCTTGGGAGCTAAGAGTGAAAACTCACTCAATCCCATGAATATAGCACCAGGACATTCATGAGGAATCTGTCCCCATGACCCAAACACCTCCTGCTAAGCTCCACCTCCAACATTGGCGATCAAATTTCAACATGAGATTTGGAGAGGACAAATATCCAAACTGTATCACCCTCCTAGCAAAAACTCTTTTAAGAAAAGTCTCTCTTTATTCATAATTTATCATTGTATCACAGGAACCTACCCCAGGGTGATACATGACTTAATACAGATATGTGGAGCGAGGGAACTTTGTACCACTTACAAAGCCTATCACAGTGCATTGTAAATGGTAGGTACTCTATATAATGGCAAATTTTAATAGAAAAGTATTTTCTGCCTTTGAGTATATAATTAATTCCCATTTTTATGCTCAGAAAATTAAAAATATTCTCAATGAGTAAGAGACAAATACTTTCTCATCATACAAATTCCTAGGTAGGAACTGACTCAATATGGCAGTTCTGAGTTTTTGAAGTCATTGAGGCTGATACTAAGTCATATGAAAAAGGTCATAAAAACACACTGTCAAAATCAGATGCTATTCTCTCTGAATTTTCACTTCATTCAAATTTTGGTGAATACATGTCATGCCCTATGATGTCAAGGTCTATTTGGAGTCTCAGTGTTTCTCATGTTTGCATCTTGGTAGGCCACTGCTCTTAAGGATATATCTTCAGTATGTGCATCTATACTAGAAAACTGATGGAATTCTGAGGCATGCTGCTGTGCTTACAACTGCCTGGACTAAACACTCGTGGGTGCTTCTGCCAAAGATGATGTGAAGATGACCACTCCTGAGAGAACAAGAGGAACCAACTCTGGGACTGCTCTTTCATATGCAGCAATAACATCACTGTTTCTGTTCCCTGCTGCACATTCCATGCCAAGAAATGGGGGGCCTGAAGAATGATCTAGGGGTTGCTGAAAATGTTCTCTGCACCTCCTGACTACCCCCATATGTTTTCCTACAGTAAGCTCTCATCACCTGGGGTAACAGAAGTATGCCTCTTATTTTGCATGTTCTATCTCTTATTTCAGAGAAGCTAAGAAAATGAAAAACTAGAGACATTCTGAAGGCTAAACCAATTTTTTTTAAAAAAGGGCTAGAAAAGAGCAAGAGGTAAAGTTGGATAAAATGAGAAAGTGACTAAATAATCAGGATATGCCACTATTTTCTTCAGACTATGTCACTGCAAATTTAGACATAAGTTGACAAGAATTGAGATGCACAAATTTAGAGGGGCTTAGGCCAACTTGAATTTCTGGAATAAGTGCATATATTTCATTGTTAGAATGAATAAAACCTGCTGAGAGAAAAATTTAATATTTTTGTTTGAAATCCATTTCAAGCCCTTATTTTTTAAAAATCCTATTTAATGCTCACACTTATCCAAAATACACGTTCATCTATGAATAACGGAATTATATTTAGGTTGATATTCCACGCAGTAAATCTCTGTCATCTCTTAGATATAGTCTGTAATTATCAAAATTCCTTATACGATGAATGGGATGCCTTTGTTAAAAAGTCTCATTTAATTTCTATTTATTCCTCCTTAAAATAAATGAAAGGGCCAGTGCGGTGGCTCACACCTGTAATCCCAGCACTTTGGGAGGCCAAGGCGGGCAGATCACCTGAGGTCAGGAGTTCGAGACCAGCTTGACCAACATGGAGAAACCCCATCTCTACTAAAAATACAATATTAGCCAGGAGTGGCTGTAATCCCAGCTACTCAGGAGGCTGAGGCAGGAGAATCGCTTGAACCCAGGAGGCGGAGGTTGCGGTGAGCCAAGATCGCGCCACTGCACTCCAGCCTGGGCAACAAGAGCAACACTCTGACTCAATAAAGAATATATATATATATAAAAGGAAAAGACAACTGAAGCCTTAACTCTCTAGTAGAGTTGAATATGCCTCTTGCCCAAAGAATTACTACACTAAACCTTCCTATTTAAGAAGAATTCAACTCATCACAAAAACTGCATGACTATATGGGTTAAAACTAAGTTAAAGACTTTTGTGATCATGTAAAAAACAAATAGCAGAGCTGTTCTTAAGAACCACTGAAGCAAAATATTAGTATTCTATTTCCTATACATACTAAAAGGTAAAAAAAAATTTAAACATTATATAATCATGCTATTTAATAAAGGGATATTATACATTTCTTTAATAAAAGGATATTATACATTTCCAGTGCAGTGGCCCAAATTCATAGCTTGCTTTAGAGTGAGGAGTATATTATTCATATCAATTTATTTACAAGATCTTTTGAAATTGGATGCCAACAGGAAGAAATTCTTCCTGGACCCTAAAGAAGAATAGGAAGAAATTTTGTTCCATCAAAGGATTGAAAGTTGACTAGCAAAAGAAACATAGCACTGATAATGTTTATCTATAACAACCCACCAGCATAAACAGAGCGTCCAAAGAAGGCCAAGATTGTACACACTGCCTGTGTTGGAAAGCCCTTCTGTGTCACTCTAATCCTGACAATCACAACAACCTTGGCCTTTGGAGTAGTTTACAGCTTCAAAAACTGCCCTAGGAGCACATGGCACCTAGCAATGCAAATTTAATACGTAGTCACTGCAGCCCTTGCAGGGATATGCTGGAATGTGGGTGAAGCAAATCTCTGTTTTGGCTGACATTCTATCAAGGCATGTTTATACACTTTACACATCAACTCCTCCCCTAGACTGCTCTTCATAAAAAGTAAGTGGAGGAAAGAGATTAAAAAAACTAACACAACCCATTTTTAGAATACTAGATGCAACAATGTTAAAGCACAAGAAGAAATGGTAACTTTTCAGAAAAAAAAACTTGAGGCCTTTTAAAGCCTCTAGACTAAAAGCGACAAAATATTTAAAATGAAAGTCAAAGGCCATTTCTAAAAATAAATAAACAAAATAAAGTCAAGTCAGTATGTATCACCTTGCTCCCAAAGCATACTTAGTATTTCTCTGCATCACCTGAAATTCTAAGAACATATTTGGAAAGCTATAACTAAGGAAAAAAGTGAGCAAAGGCTAAGCAGTCAGCCTTTCTCCTCCTCCTTGCTGACTCCAAGGAATGGGATGGCATGGGATAGCCAGATCCTTTTCAATGTGAATTCATTCTAGAATATTTGAAATGAATTCAGCATTGTCAATGGTCGTTTGAGAATGTCACGGAGCAGAAGAGGGCTTTGGATCTGCCATGACTGGAAAGTCATTAATTATGCCATAGGTTTGCCCCACTTATTCTTTGTTTCTTCAAGAATAGAGAGAAGAGAAATCATCATTCAGCAGGTAAAATAATGAGCATGGATTAAACATAAAACAATGAGTAAGAATCCATAAGATGAAGCAAGAGAAAGAAAAAAAAGAGCAAAAGTGAAAGAAAAAGATATTTGGGCATAGTTATCTATGGTTATCTTCTGTGTCAAAGTTTCTATTTTAGGAAATTTTAAATTCAATAGTTAAACCTAACTAAATTACTATTAATTAATTAGTCTTCAATTTAAAATAATTTAAATATTATATTTATTTTAAATTTATTTTAAATATCATATTTAAATATGACCTTAGCATGATGAGACATATATAATTTTTAAACAGAAATATAAATTCATTAATTTATGTATTGTATCTATTAATTATATATGTATAGTTAACATATAGTTAATACAAGATAAAAGAAACAAGGCTCACAGGAATTTGCTCTGAACTGTGTCCTAAAGCTAAGCTTATTTCTACAGCTCTTTGAAAGTTTATCATCTAACCACAGTAAAATTATAAAAGAGCTTATAATGTTTCAATATTTTTCTTTATTATTTTTAATAGATAGGCAATGTACTAATAGATAGGCAATGTACTAATATTTCATGAGAAATATTTTTATATCAGGGTCAGAGTAGTCCTGAATTTTTACATTCTTATAAATAAGAAACACAGTGTCCTAAGATAACAAGAGACATTTTTAGATATCTTGAATTAAGCAACTCAGTAGTTCCCTTGAAAGAAAAGGAATGGGAAGCAATGTAGTCATTATTACTTATTCCAAATCTCTAATTGTGTTTTTAAAATTTTGCATTTTAAAAATAAAGACTGCTCCAAAAGACCCTAACAGCTCAAGAATATCCACTGCTTTCTTATTGCTATCCTGTATTATTTTGCTAGCTGTCAAATATTTACTAAGAGAAAAACAGTATATAGTTTTGAGAAATCAGGTTGCAAGAAAAGCCTCCAATCCTCTCCACTTGCGAGGGATAGTCAAAAACACATTTTCCTTGAGCATGAACAGTACATGTTAAATTAGTTATAAGACATTACTTAAAACAGATACTGTCACCAATATCAGAATTACAAGGATTGACACAAACAGGTTTATTCCACATCCTTGTACCCCCTTTCACTTTATTCCCTACAATCCTGTCCTCTGACTCCAATCCTACATTTTTTTCTGTTTCTTGAAAAAGTCATGCTCCTTCTCAACACAGGGCCCTTGCACATGCTACTGCTTGTGCTTAGAACACGGTTTCCCTACCCTCTACTTTTTCTGCTCCCTCATATCTTAGGATAAACCATTATTTCTGGGAGGAAGCTTCCAAAGACCCTCCAGCTTAGGTCCAGGCCCTTTGTTGCAAGCATGCAAGTGTGCAACTATAATTACTACGTGTTGCCCTTCACCATAAGAACGATGTATGACATCAGGGACCACTGTTTTCTCCTCTTTATATCCCCAGCAGTGAGCAAAATGTGGGGCACACAGCGACAGTCAAAACGATTCCTTCAGTGATGAAAGAAACCATCATGTACACCCCTGTATGAGACAGTATTAGTGAATTCCAAAATGGTAGTGTTGACACCTCACGGAGTTTGAAAACCTCTATGGGAGAAAAGACACATGTGAACCAAAGAGAAAATTTAGGCAAATTTTCATGAAACTTATGGACTGAACAAAGGTGGCTTAGGTGACTGCTGAGAGCCATTTCATATCTGGGATTCTGAAAGAATAAGGAAAGAAGGTAAGAAAACACCTGTGTGGGACAAACATGAGCAAACATACTGAGGAAGAAAGGAGTGAACAATACTCAGGAAAGAATAACCAGACCACACTAAATGGAGAGCAGAAGGGCTAAGTTATGAGGACAGGGAGTAAGCATGGGTGCCAGGCAGCCTGAGGAGGGGGTGCCTTCACCCGGTACTGTGGTACACTGGTTTCCATCAGTGCAAACTAGCCAGGGGCCACCACAATAGGAAATGCTTTTCAAGATACACAAGTGATGGGTAGCTTTTTAAAAAGTTGGCAACGTAGAAATAATTCTTAAAAATTAAATGTTATTTAATAATAAAAATGACAGTTTTACATGAATATGATTACAAAGTGGTAAGAGAATCAGGATAAATATCCACATGATGACTTAATCACTTAGGAAAGGGTTCAGCTACAATAACAGAAAGTCATTCCTACCTACAATGGGTTAGCCAGATTGAGGTTGACTTCCTTCTCACATTTGAAACCAGGGCAGGCAGCTCAGGATTTGGTGAGGCAGTTCCATCAAGTCACCCCTGACCAAGGCTCTTTCTGTCCTTTCACAATCTTTGAGGTATAGCTCTTATCATTAAGGTCGCAAGATGGATCATCTCCACACCAGCTCTGTAAAAACCCAGCCCTGGTATAGATTTGTATGATATTACATTTCTGCAGTAAATTATAGGGTCATGCCTGGCTAAAGAGATTCAGAAATAGAGAATTTGTGTTCCTGGGGATCCACAGAGAGCTTCCAGGAGTCCTGGATATGAATTCAAAATCCACAGATGATGTTTTATGATGCATTAATTTCCCATCCAGCAACAGGCTAAAGAGTAGTGGTCTCACTACTGGAAATGCCCTAAACTTGGCACAGAAGGGAAGTTAGCACTGTCACACCAGATAGCCTGGGGCACTGACACTGCAGCAGCATGCCGCATCTAGGGTTCCAACCAAGAGAAAAAAAGCCTGCAGGCAAGAAGAGGCTCAGGACATCTCCTTAAAGCCCCTCCATTCACCTTTATCCTCCTACTCTATTATTTACCTTTTCTGCTCTCCTTGTCTCAGGCCAAGAGCCATGAAGAGTACTCATTCTTTGGGCCTCCTTTCTTCCTATTAGGTAGAAAGAAGGACTCCAACTCAAGTGGGGGTTCAATTTGACAAAGAGAAATTCAAGCCCTTTCAGTTGGCTCTGTTATGTGGCAGAAAAAAAGATAAAAGAAACTGCTCCAATTTCATTATAAAAGAAAGCAAACATTAACAACTAAGTTAGAAAATATCCTAAGTTATCACATACAGACACACACACACAGACACACATGTTAAGACCTAAATCCAATATGAATAATAAAGAGGTTCAAATCACAAATCCCACACTAAAGTTTCCGATGATTTCATCAAAGCTGTGTTCTCTGAAGTTTCAGTGTTTTTAATACTCATGCAATTCCTGCTAAGATGCCAGGGCTAATTCATCTTTGAAACAAGAAAACCTCTGCAAGTGCTAATGCTAATTCATATTTAAAGCAGAATACCACTGGCCATGCTTATGTTGGACACAATGTTATTTCAGGATCTCATTTCAGTTTTTAAGCAATAGTTTATTCCCAGAACAGCCATAAGACATGTCTAAGTGAAAAAGTTAAAAATTGATTCACACAGTGAGAAAGAAGAACAAGTAGTAGGGCAGAGGTGGAATAAGTGTTTAGAAGAGAGGGAAAACGTGAGGTGGAGAAAGATACTGTTTGCTAGAGCCCAAGACACATCAGACTTTATTGCAATTATTGAGTTGTCTGGCATCAATTGAAGCCCTTTTAGGAACTACCTTATTTCCTTGATTTTTTAAAAGCACATTTTTTTCACATTTAACTTCTCTGAAACCTGGATGTAACTTACCCTTAATGGTATGTTATAGTTTTATTGGAAGTATATAAAATAATGATGCTTCTTACAACTTAAAGTGCCATACAATCAATAAAATATGCTATGTTCAACCTTCCCAGGACATTTGGGGGTATTATTTCATAAACTTATAATAGTGTACAAAACATCACTTTCTAGATCCTAACATTCCCATGCAGTAACAAACACTGGGAACAACTGATGTATACCCATTTTGTAATTTTACTTTTCCTTCATTTTTCTAAATATTTATTTATTTACTTTTCTTATTTTATTTTATTTTTCCATGAGTTATTGGGGTACAGGTGGTATTTGGTTACATGAATAAGTTCCTTAGTGGTGATTTGTGAGATTTTGGTGCACCCGTCACCTGAGCAGCATATACTGCACCATTTGTAGTCTTTTATCCCTTGCCTGCTCCCTCTTTCCCCCCAAGTCCCCGAAGTCCATTGTATCATTCTTATGCCTTTGCATCTTCATAGCTTAGCTCTCACATATTAGTGAGAACATATGATGTTTGATTTTTTATTCCCGAGTCACTTCACTTAGAATAATAGTCTCCAATTTCATCCAGGTTGCTACAAATGCCATTACTGCATTCCTCTTTATGGCTGAGTAGTATTCCATCATATAAATATACCAGTTTGTTTACCCACTCGTTGACTGATGGGCATTTGGGTTGGTTACACGATTTTGCCATTGTGGATTGTGCTGCTGTAAACATGAATGTGCAAGTATCTTTTCGTATAATGACTTATTTTCCTCTGGGTAGATACCCAGAAGTGGGATTGCTGGGTCAAATGGTAGTTCTACTTTTAGTTATTAAAGGAATCTCCATACTGTTTTCCATAGTGGTTGTACTAGTTTACATTTTTCTAAATATTTATTTTACATCAGTGAAAGACATGCATAGAGCACAGTGTTGTAAAAGAAATGGAATCTATACTGTTTAGAATCATAAAATACTAAAGGTTAGAAGGGTTCCTGGAGAACATCCACTGAAATCCTCCCATTTCACAAATGAAAAAGCTGAAGCTGGAGTCTTGACCTGCTCAAGGACCTCCAAATGGTCACCAGCTGAGCCAGCCACAGAACCCCATTTCTGGCTCCCACCTGATGCTGTATTCTTACCATTCTGTTCGTCCAGTATTTAGGCTGCTTTAAGCTGCTGCTTCTACATGACATCTTGGATAAAAGTATTAGATAAATAAACACTAGAACATAATTAGATGTATACATACATATATCCCAAAGCACCTAGCTTTTTGAGTGTCAAAAAAAGACTATTTTTCTTCATTTTGTTTTGTTTTTTCACTTTTCATAGCTTCTCGCCAGAATAATTGCAAATACTGAAGTAGCCAGCAGAGGGAGTCTTTATTTCTCAGTTTGTGCAAATAGAGAAAATATCATGTTTCGAAAACTGCAACCTTGTTAAAACTATGGGGTTTCTGTTTGATACAATCACAAGCTTGTGACAAAGTTAATATCTATTTTTTCAGAATTAGTAAATATTTGAATTTTTAAGATAAATGATTTCTACATATTAAACATTAATAAGAAGGATTGGGGGGGCATATGTATATATACATATGTGTCACCTCACCAGGAACCTTTCCTGGAACTCAAACTTGGAGTTTTCGCTGGGATTTCGAACAGTTATATCAAATTTTTTCTTCAAATATTGATAAAACTACCCAAGATAATTTCAGTTTTCAAACTGCAAAATAATAATTCCTGGTATTTTCCCAAACAAAGCCTGAATGTATACGTTCAAATATGCATGTCTGATTAGGAGGCTTTCTGACAATGCTGTTCTTGCCAAAACAAATTTTGAATTCCTCTTTGAGAATTATCATAATAGCAAGCATTATTAATATCCTACAGGGGTAGAAAATCCTTATCCTTTCTAGGGGTTTAGAATCTGAAATTACCAAAAGTCTTGCTTCTTTTTTTTCCTGCCAAAAAAGAGATTATTATTTTTAATATTTGGCTTAGAGTTCTGGGGCACAGCCATGAGAGCCAGCCCTACAGACCGCCCCAAGCAGTAGTCTGAGACCGTTCATTAGCCCAGCTATTTTTAATCAGCCTTCACTGCCAAATGTGGAACATGCAGTACAGTGTGCAAAATCATGATGCCCAGCAACTGTACTCATGGGGGTTCAGCCCAGGTGTTCACAGTGGACAGGGGATCCTGGAATCTGCTGTGATCAGATCTCAGACCCCAAACTTATTATTAGCCATGAGTTTTAGACTCCTCATACTGTAAAATGGGCAAAATGCTGGCAAACTGATAGCACTCAACTAATGTTAGCAATTATTATTATAAAATTTTGAAAGCAAAATAAGGCATTTCTGAATAAGTCCCAAGAGACCCCTACAGTCCTGTTGAGCTCTAAGAAACTCTGACCTGATGGTTGAATCACTATGTCTTTGAGGCAAAACTGAGTGCACAGCAAGGAAAAGTAACTAGGAGAGCAAAAGGCAGATTGGCAGAAAAGGTGAGATTCGTCCCATGAAAAGACTACAGGTGAGAGGACAAATTACTGCAGCTACACGGTGATGAGTAGCTATGCAGTACATGTGCCCAGGCAATTCTGAGGGACAGCCTCCTGTGCTAGGTGGAGCAGAGGCCCGGACCTCTGTCCCACCTCTGTCATTTATGAGCGAGGTGCTTTGGCCAAGACACTTAACTCTCTAAGCCAATTTTCCTCATCCAAAAATGGGTTTGGCCACCAAGCTTTTAGGGTTCTTATGAGGGTTAAAGTGAATGTGTAATCAATGCTGAACATGTTGTAGCTGCTATTTTTTATTGTTCTTTGTGAAGGGCAATACTCTGTGTGAAGGGTATACCAAATTGCCCACTGCAGCAAGTTGGAGCTAGATAAAGGTAATGAAAAGGCCTGAGCATTACAGCTTTTCATCCCAAAAGATGAGAAACTTGGCAAAAATTAAAGAAAAGCAACAGAGACAAATATTAGGAAGGAAATAGCAGGTCAGTATCTAAAGAGCTCAATCTTGCCTTTACAAAAATTGTTTTTATCCAACTAATTGGTAATTAGATACCAACTTTGTGCCTTCTATGTGCTGGGCATTGGGGTTCAATGATGATCAAAAGTAACAAGTTCTCACCATCATACAGCTAAGGTTCTATTAATAGTAACACCACTTGCCTACTGAAGCAACGTCTTAATACTAGACCTACTTTTATCCCTTTCAAATATACAACCCAGAAGTCCCCGTCTAATACTCCTTAGGACACTGAAAGGAGGAGTAATTAACCACCTATCTTGTATTTAAATCTACGTTCCCAAAGATTTTAAAAAATATATTCATCAGCGTATATAGTTGGATTCATTTTTTTTAATTCAAATTAGAGACCTTCTAAAGTTACAGAAAGGAAAGCAGTGGGAGCAAGCATTTGAAAGATATATTGTCTTTCTCTCCCTGGCTGAAATCTATGAAGAAAAACCACTTTTTGTTTGACTCACTTTCTACTATGAAATCTTTGGATAACCACTTTAGGAGAATAGGGCACGGAAAGTTTAAATTCTCAGTCACAGGGAAATTTAAACTGTTTATGAAACTAGTAAAACATGCCATTTCACAGGTGGGGAAAAAGGGAAATTCATATTTGTTAGACTTCTACTATGTGTGAAATGCTTCTAAATATTTATTCTGTTGAATCCTCACAACTGTTCTGTGAGGAAGCATCATCATCCCCAAGATAGAGAAACTGATTCTCAGAGGGTTTTGAAAGAATGCTCCCAAAGCCAGGGCACTGGAGAGTGATGAAGCTGAACTCAAACTCTGGGTTTCCTGGCTCTAAAGCATACATATAATCTGCTACAACACACTTCCTAAAAACTCACTTCTCAGGAAAAGAAACATTTCACTAAAATGCAAATACCATTCATCTGTGTGACACCCTTCCTGGTTGAGTATGCAACTAAGTTACTCTGTACAAAAGTAAAAAGGGCAGGAGAAATATCAAGGTTTAGCAAGAATGAGAACTCTGGATAAAAAGCAGTAACAATGCCCACTACCACTTCACTATCACCTTCCAAGCAAGTCCACCATCTAAACTAAGACCACCATCCATGGCCTTCCACGACCCTCTTCTGCACAGGAAATCTGCTCTCTCCCCACTTATTACCATACCTACAATCCCTATACAAGTAATAGAATATTATTTGCTCAAAAAGCATAGCTACATTTCATATCTGGCACCAGAATAACAAAAATCCCAGACAAATATTTACTAAATGTCTAATATGTCCAAGGCACTTGTAGAGGAGATGGCGAGTTACCCACCAATATCCACCCTTCCTCTCTTCCTTCCTGATGAATCCTGATTCTGGTGAGGAGGGCAGTGTGCTACACTCCAGGCCCGCATTTCCTGACTCCTCTTGTATCCAGAGTTGGCCAACAAGATGTAAGCAGAAACTCCTGGTTACTCCACAATGGCACGTTAACTGGTATAAAACTCACGAGCCTGTTCTTGGTCCTTCACATTCTCTGTGCAAAGACTGTAAACAGGATGACTGGAAATTTACATTTATCTTTCCATAAAAGGAAAAAGGACCCACACTAGAGAAGAAATAATAGAAAGCGAGAAGGAGTTCAGTTGCCTGAGGACATTGTGGGGCTGCAACATTAGCTTTGGACTTATCCTTGTAAAGTGAAAGAAAAATAAATCTCTTTTCCTCCTTAATCCACAGTCCTTTGTGTTTTTTGGTTACATGAAATTACATTCTGCCCATAAATGACAAAACATTTTAAAGATTTCTTCCTTTAAAATACTAAGATCTAGTTGTAAGACCAAAAATCAAAAGACAACTTTTGGAAACCAAATGGTGGTCCAAGATATACAAAAATAAACAAGATAGAGCAACTGAAAGTCATATTGTACACACCTATGGACGGCAATATGACTTAAATATTATTTAAAAGGTAATAATAAAATTGATGTTACAGGGCTGTAGTGGTTGAATTGACAAATGAGTAATAAAGGTGGGTCCACTGATACTAAATCAAGGCACCTTGAAGATAAAGGTGAAGCAAAAGAGTCTTAGAAGGCTTTAGGATGAGAACACAGCCTGAGCCGACACTTAGGCAATAGACAGCATTTGGGAAAGCAAATGAGCCTGGTGTTGTCTATAGGCTGCAGAGCACAATTCTGGGAGCAGAAGTGCAGATATACAGATTTTAAAAGCCGTTTGAAGCCCAAGGAGGCAAACGATATGCTGCAGTGAAGGCTTCAAGGGAAGCTGGGCAGGCTGAGGGCCAGGCAGGCCCTGGAGCATGGCAAATGCTAAGGAAGCCTGGACTGATTTTGTGCATGTTTAAAAGATTCTGGGAAAAATAGTGATGTGATGATGTGTTCTTTCCTCCACTAAATCACTTTTAGAAAATCATAGCAATTAGTCTAATTGTATGAGGAAAGAAATGATTATAACATGAACTATTCTCTTATATGAATGGGGAATTAGATCTTCTCATAAATGGCATTGCTCCGTATTACACTCATGAATTTACAATTTTCAAAAGGATTTGAATCTTAAAAAAATATATGTCATTAAAAGTATCCCTTTTTTTCTCTGAGATTTCAGAAGATACTTCAGGATCTTGTGTGCTTATGAACATCTCCTGTAATTGTAGCATGGATGAAGAATGCAAAAATGTTTGCAAACATAACTTAAAAACAATGTTGGCTGGGCACGGTGGCTCATGTCTGTAATCCCAGCACTTTGGGAGGCCGAGGTGGGCAGATCACAAGGTCAGGAGATGGAGACCATCATGGCTAACATGGTGAAACCCCTTCTCTAGTAAAAATACAAAAATTTAGCTAGGTGTGGTGGCACACGCCTGTAGTCCCAGCTACTGAGGAGGCTGAGGCAGGAGAATCGTTCGAACCCAGGAGGCAGAGGTTGCAGTGAGCCAAGATGGCGCCACTGCACTCCAGCCTGGGTGACAGAGCAAGACTCAATCTCAAAAAACAAACAAATAAACAAACAAACAAAAAATGTTAATCTGATAGAGACATGAAATATGCCTGACCCACCGAATCAGGATATGGATGTAAGGCCTTCTGACCTGGTAGTGTTTCCATAAAAGAATGTGAATTTTATATTATACTTAGTTTATACTTTACAATACTTGAGCCTTATGTTAACTCTCCGGGACCTTAAAATGTTTTCTTTATGTAATGTGCCAATCTGGAGTTCCAGGTATAAACTGTCTTTCTATCACACACTCACACACACACACACACACACACACTTGGCTGCTTACAATTGCTTTCTGAATAAAATGTTTTCTATGCTAGAGCATAAGGGAGTTGGTGGAGGTGCAGAGGAAGATGAAAGGATTTGCCTAAGCTAATTCCAGACTTGAATGGCAATTATACCCACCATAAGGCAATTTCATTTCCATATTAATTTCAGGAGGTAACACGTATCTAGGAGAAGCATACTGGAAGTCACAAGATCTAGATTCTATTTCTAGCTCTGCCACTGACCTTCTGGGTGACCTTGCATAAGTCACTCAACACCCAAGAGACTCAGTCTTCTCATTTGAAAAAGTAAAAAGCTACAACCTAGTGATGATCTGAGAAAAATGCGATGAGGTAAAAGATTCATTCACAATGTTTGCTGAGGATGTGATCGTTTCTGAAGCACATGAGGAACGTTCTTCACCAGAACCTTAATTCACTTAAATCAGAGAAATCAGATCCTAATAGAATTTGGAAGTGAACATTTTCTTTCCAATTTACTTGATAGAGAATCTACCAAAATACCTTTCTTCTCAAAGATCAAGGCGTACTTTCTCTGCTACAAAATAGATCTATACCACATGAAGGGCCATGTTTAAAATTCAAGTTCCTAAGCACTACCAGAGACACTTACAGCCACTTGGATCAGACACACTACCTGATAAGAAAATTACTCCCTATTGCTACGGAGCATTTTCAGAATGCTCTCAGCCTTTTAAATGATTAGGATTCCATTTGATAAATTATTTGTCAAGGGCCACTCATTCAGGATGAGTGAACTTTACACCAAACCTGTGGAAAAAGCACCTGCCTTCATGGGAAAATAAGTTGCTCCCCAAATTCTCTGAGAAATGCTTGTACTGATTTATAAGATCATTTAAAATTATGGCATATATGGAAAATAAATTAATTACAAGTATGAAATAACTTCTTATATTGGAAGAAAAAATTAATCATGGTGTGACCAGGGCAGATGGATGATTTTTAAATCAGAAAATACCCAACTCCTAAAATAAAAGACATTAAGATCTTCAGAACAATCAAATGGGTATTTTCAGAGTTAAAATATCAGGAGAAGCACATAATGGTGTGCTAAATTATATAAACACCAAAATATGTGCACTCACTGAAAAAAATAGCATAGACTTGAGTCTAGGGAATTTTGACTTTTATAAATATTATAACAGAAACTTGACAAGAAGCTTATTATTAAAATACCACGATAAATCACAATGAGGTGACCATTGGCAGCTCAGATGTAACATCAATAATAACCACCGCTTTCCAGAGTAATCTTGTTTTCCTACTTGGCAAACAGTGCTAGAAGTTATTTTTCTAGCCAAGTTTTCCCATAACCAATTTCCCCTAGGCTAATTGTTCAAACTCCTTGAAAATTACAGCATTCTTTCCTAATGTTTTATAATAATTCTAAAATAATAAAAATAATTTACATATTTTACTATAACCATGAAAATATAAAATATTTGGTTCACAGAATTATAGACACAAATAAGACTGAAGATATTATTTACTGAAAACTCCTCAGTTTGTTATACAGATGAGGAAGTAAAGACTCCAAGAGTTTACTGGATTTGCCCAAAGTCACAGGGCTAGTAAATGGAGAGTCCAGATAGTACATTTTCCATCATACCAACATGTCATCAAAAACAAACCATATGATAGAAGTTTCTTAGTCAATCTAAACTGCAATATTAACCGGATAAAGAAGAATTCAAACATGAGAACATAGACTTGATAAATGTTAATATGCCTTTTCACATCCTCAGTGAGTCCAGGAACCTATATTGTCATTATTAATGCACTGCTAAGTCCAATTCCAAATAAAAGTTAAAACCCAAAGCAAAATATTTTTAATTAAATTTGCTTACAATTAGCAAAAGGCCTCAAGAAAGATAAAGAACTCATGTTGGCAAAATTATCATATAGCTGTTCCAATGCCAAATAAAATATTCTCAGTAAATAAATGGTTGACTGGATAAGAAAATAAGCTGAAAATCTAAAAATTAAAAATAGTAAAGAGGCACTTCGTTTTTAAAAACTATAGCCACTTTAACTGTTAGATTTGCCATGTTTCAAATAAATTGCAACATGACCTTTGACTTAATGGAATGCACTGATAGTTAACAGTTAACTATTAAAAGTTGAGTTCAAAAATAAACACTACAGTTTCTAGTGTCACCAAAACCATTTGGTAAGCATATTGCCAAAACTGAGTTTTAGTGCCTTCCTTCTCAATGCGACAGATTTGATTCTTTAAGAAGTCCAGTGCAATGTTCTTATTTTGGAGAGTTACAAGAAAAGTTTACTATGACTACATGACATGGTTGCATATACCACCTTGTAAAATGCAATGCTGTAAGTGAGACATAAAAATAATCTTTACAAAAAACTAATAAATAAAATATTTTCATACACAGGATTGACTGCATTAATAATTAACAGAAAGCCCTTTCACAGGGGAATTTAATGGAAAGTTTTTCTTAAGCAAATACGCAGAAGCTCAATAGAAATGGGTAGAAACCTGAGAATAAACTGGTAACACATGTTTAAACAGTAAAATAATTGTATAGTCTATTCAACAATGAAGAGATTGATATATTATGAATTATGGTGAAACAAAGAAACTATTCCTTAGTAAACAAATATAAGACATAACAGCAGATTTCCTACTGAGCTAAAAACAAAGAGGCTTGAAGTTACAGTAGAAAGAAAAAAAAGGAAAAGTTTCAATACAGTCTCTAAATCACAGTGACCTGAAATCGAGATCAAACTTCTTTTAGGTGAAAGTTTTTAACTATAGCGATGTCCTAGCGCAGTATTATTTTTCCTAGTTCAATTCCAATAATATGTCCTTTAATTTTACCTACAACTTTAATGAATTATAGGCTCTTTCAAGGGTATGTAAGTAAAGCTTCCTATGTATTAATAAACACACAGTAACAGGGGAAAAAAAGCAGCAAGAAAAATTAAAGAAAAAAAGGATAAAGAAGTCACATACCCTTTTCTGTAGAATTATTGGCGTTATTGCAGGCAGAGTGACTCTTCTTGCACTCAAACTCATGCCTGCTCTTCTTAGAATGATCCTGTCTCGTAGGTCATGGACAAAATAAAAGAAATCTTTTATGGTTACTCCTTGGGAATCTCAGGGCTCAGTGCAATGAAACAACTAGGAAAGTAATAAATGTCACCCTGCTTATGTGATTCCAATCTACCCAAAGCCAATTAAGGATGGCTGTGGGACAGGACAAGGCAGCAACCAATCAAAGCCCGGAAAACCCCGCCTTTGTCCTTGGAAACACATTCTGATACTTTTGTTTATGATATTTAAAGAACCAGATTAACAGGCATCTAGTTCGCTCAACTTTTTTTCCAAAACAGTGCAATTCAATGCCATCTTTGTTGACTAGGCAGTTATGTCTTTACTAAAGCATTTCAACATATGGCAGATAAGAATCTGTTTACATTGGTCTATTTAAAGTATATAAATATATTAATGAACTAAATTTACTTATGCTATTCATAAAATTGATGAAGAGATCAACTGGAACATACACAAGGCACAAAAAATAATCCTGAGGTTAGAATTGGCACAAAGTGTTAATTTCTATGGTATAATAAAAGAGTTTTAATATATATTAATATCTTTCATTTCCTAAACATTAAAATTTTTGTATTATAAGCCTTCCAGCTATCCTTGATATCACACACTGTTAAATATTATTTTAACAATAAACCTAAATAATAGTATTAAATACAAAGAGGGGATTAAACTACAATATATCAATCTCAAATACTTATGTTTTTAAAAAGCACAAATGTGTGTGATGTAGCATATTTCATTCCATTAAAAGCATTTAAAAAATAACCACTGCCAAAACTTTCTCAAAATTTTAATGACCATTTTGCATTTCTTCTCATAAAAACTGAAAAGTTTATTCTAATGTTTCTAGGGGAGGGAGGCTGGAGGAGGTTTACAATGGAAAACATCTATAACTAACAAGAAAAATTTCAATGAAGTCTAAATAAAAAATGAAAGAAACACTCAAAAATGACAAAAAGGATTGCAACGTTAAAACTAATCTGAGCTTTTACAATTGTAAAATCTCTTCTGGACTGACATCTGGACAAGCTTCACTGAACTGCTCAATGCTCTTCAATCCTGACCCACTGCCTTCAGCGGGAGAAGAACTGGTAATTTCCAGATTACAATGTGGTTGTTGTAGTAACAAGGCAAAATGGAAGATACTCAGCAACACAGACACAAACTTTCCATTTCGTTATCTTGACTGCTACTAGGCAGTGTTCACTTTACTGCTTTATACATAAGTGAGTTTAATATGCATGGTGAGCTCATATTCCTCAAAAGAAAAAAGAGACACTACAACTCCAAGGATCCCTGCTTTGAATTTCAAAACCAAAAATCCCTCAGAATGGTAGTTGGGAGTGGCAGTAATGCGCTTAATATAAAAAGTCACAGATCTATTTTGGAGGCATTAATTAATTTGATCCTTATCCAGTTAGGTTTATCATGATCTTTTAAAAGAAAATTACCAAGAAAGCAAATACCAACTAATACAGCGATGGGGGGTTAGCATTTGTGAAGTAAAAGATTCTGTTCTAACCTTGAGCTACTTTTCAGCAAGCCAACAATAACAAAGACCATGGTAACAAATAATTTCAAGAATATCACCCATAATATTTGGCCTTATCTGTCTTCTTTTCTCAATTTAGCCTTCAAATATTACAAAGTGTTATCTCTGCATCCTGGCTAACACTGTGAAACCCTGCCTCTACTAAAAATACAAAAAATTAGCCAGGCATGGTGGCACGTGCCTGTAGTCCCAGCTACTCGGAAGGCTGAGAGGCAGGAGAATTGCTTGAACCCGGGAGGTGGAGGTTGCAGTGAGCCGAGATCGCGCCACTGCACTCCAGCCTGGGTGACAGAGCAAGACTCCATCTAAAAAAAAAAAAAAAAAAAAAAAAAGTGTTATCTCTGGTCTCAAAAATTTTACTGGGGTTCCATCATAATGAAAGTAATTCATTTCACTAAATTATCAAGCAAAGTACTATTTGCCAAACCCTGTATCAGGCAGTAGGAACACACTATTATTAAGACAGTTAAGGTCACTGTCTCATAGTGGAATAGAGATATTAATTTTTAAGTTAAAATATCCCATTCAGTGGTAAGTTGAGACTAACAGTGATTAAATGCTAAGTATCAAGGGTGCACCAAGGTAGAAGCAACTGCACAATAGGGGTAAGATCAGGGCAGGCTGCAAGAAGGAAACGGCACTTGCTTTGAAAAGTGAATAGAGGTGAGGAATATGCAGAACTTGAAAACTGATGTGAACACAGGGTCAAGGTCTCAAAGTTTACTCTGAGGTTTGAAGTCTAGATGATGGGGAAGTTAGAAATGCTGTTTTGTATCACACCATAAAGCCTGTTAAACACTATGTATAAAATGAACGCTTCAATTCAAAACAGTATCCAGGTCCTGTATAGATTACAGTGCAATATATACATGCCCTAAAAGGGCTTAAAAACACTTAATAGATGACTAGCTGTTTACGTGTGTGTGATAGGTCATCCCTTCAGAACACTGGAAAACTAAGTTTCTAAATTTTCAGGGAAAATTATGAAGAGCAAAATTTGGCATTTTGTGACTATGTTATCAAAAAGGCAAATGTCTTTGAAAAATGAAGCTTACCGATACTTTTCATAGTCAGCAGACTGAACAAGATAGCACCCTGCATACTTAAGACAGGTGGAATCTCATTTTTCTGTAATCCTTTGCAGGTGCTCATATTGACTGTGCTTTATCTTACTTCCTAGTTATTTTAGACACTGATTCCAAATTTAACTTCAGCCTATTCTTTTTTCTCATTAATTATTATAAATGACTTTGCCACTCACTAACCTTGTCACTTGACCCTTAATTTTCTTCAGTTGCAAAAATGAGGATAAAAAACTATGACCAAAACTTTCAGAACTGCTGTGAGGATCAAAGGAAATCAAGTTTGCAGAAGGCCTGGAAGAGCCCAAGGCAGACACTAACAAAACACTCCTTAAACTCCCGCTGCAGAGAATTGGTCTTTTATCTCCAAAAACGAAACTAACATTATAAGATGTTTTTAACACAACAGAGTCAACAATAAAATATTACAGAATAGCAGTGTACATTATTTAGAATTTTATTTGATAATTGGATAGAACAAGAGTAAATGTGTCACTTAAAATATTTTCATATCAATATTTCAATTAGGAAAAATAAAAATAACTATTATTGTGATTATCAATAATATTTATGTGAGCACCCATTATGTGCCAGGCACTGAGCTAGTTTTCACTTAATGCTCACAACTCTATAAGGTACTAGCTATTGAATAGATGAGGAAATTAAGGCCAGAAGAGCAGGCAGCTAAGAAATGGTCTTGGGTTTAAGCACATACTGCAAAAGAACTTGACCAAGTTCACAAAGTCCATAGCCACTAAGCCAGGGAGAAAACTGTAATCTGGCTCTCTCCAAGGCACCCCACTATTCCACTCTACAACATGTGTTTCCACATTTTATTATTAAATACATAGCTTGATACATTAGCATAAAATGTCACATTCATACAGCCCTTGTTCCTGACGTACCCAAGCATTTGTTTGATTAACCTGCTTTATAAATATGTATTGAAGACCTTACTATGTGTAAAGTGCTGTGCTGTTTATTATGGAGAATTCAAAGTTAATCAACTCATGACTCCTCTTTACCAAAACAGCTGATGCAGGGTGACACATAAACCATCAGTTATTATAGTATACAAAGTGGAATCTGGGCAGAAGAAAAATGCTATTAGGTTGGTGCAAAAGTAATTGGGGTTTTTATTATTGAAAGTAATGACAACAACCGCAATTACATTTGCACCAGTCTAATACAAAAGTACCATCCAACCTCTAGGTTTCAAGTCCCCCTTTCAAATCTCTTCTCCCACTCAACTTCAACGAAGCTCCCAAAAGCATGTTCTGTATTCCCACCTCTTTGTTCATAATGTTCCTCAGTTCATTAAGCCCCACAATGAAGGCCCAAGGCCAGTCACACCTCTTCTGAAAATTTCACTTCTGTGCATCTTTCAAGGATCTCTCCTTTTTATATACAAGTTATGTCAGAATTGAGAGGTGGGGAAGGAAGGAAAGATGACAAACACATATCAATTGCCCATTAAGTGTTAAGCACTTTGCATATGTTATTTCATTTTATTCTAACAGCCCTGCAAAGTAAGTATTATTTCATCTCATTTTACAGATTCAAACCCTACCTGTCCTTGCAATACTACCACTTTATTCTTTCTCATACACCAGTTTATTCAAACTTCAGCTACTGTCTCCTATGTGGATGCATTCTATATTATTTAGAATGGAGGTTCCTTGAGGGCAGTGGCATGTCTAACTTCTCTCTGACCATCTCAGTGTCTATCTGACTGTATAAAGCCCCCAGTGGCTTTATACAGAGAAAAAAAAGCAATAAGGAGATGTTTCTTGAATATCAAGTCCTACAAATACTTTTTTAATCCAGCCAATCTCCTGCCTCACACAAAATACAACTTGCACTGTCCTTTCATCTTTCCCTGTATCTCACACTATTGTGCTGTGCCCCCTTGGGATAACTCATTGCCTAGCTAGGTTCATCATCTCTCTCAAAGACATAGATCAAAATTTATTCCATCAAGCAGCCATCCCTCCATATAAATCATATCACTCCCTGTTTTGTAATTTTTTTTAGGACTTAAACTTTTCCATTTCTCCTTTCTTGCCTGAGACTTACTAATGCATTGTTTTGATAACTTATAAATCCTTCAACAGGCTCTACTTTTTCCACTCAACACAAATATAATCCTTAAGGTTAGGACTGAGTCTCTTAGTTTCTCTGCTTCTCCCAGAATACCTAGCAGAGTGTTCTTTGTACACAGTAGGCCTTATGTTCACATACAATCAATGTGGAAAGACTAGTCACTCCGGTTACATAGTGGACAAGCCTCCTTTCTCATCTTAACAATTGTTAGCCTTATGATTTTTTTCTGAACAAAAGCACAAAGTCTTCTTTACAGGAAAATGTAGATATTCTTTCACTATCTGACACAGCTCTATTAGTGACCACTAGTGTGAACACTAAATCTAAATGTTGTCTTGAGAACACCAGTCTCAGAAAATTCTTTTTTTTAAATGAATCAATTTTATTCCAATTCTTCAAAATTTATACGTAATATGTTGTTTCCAAAATGTAAGTCACCCTTTATATAATAGTTTTATTATTTCATCTTTCTTTAATAGTTTTTTTTTCATCTTTTCTTTATGGTTCTTCAGTAGAAGCCAGAATCTTGAGTTGCCCAGTTAGGAGCCTCTGACCTGCTATTCTAATTAAGTTTCTTCTCAATATTCATGCCCGTCTCTTCATATTTGAGACTTTCTGTCGCATCCACCAGTGTATCAGCATTAACATGTTGGCAGATAAATTGAACATGACTCCAGAAGAAGCTGAAAGGTGGATTGTAAATTTGATTAGAAATGCAAGACTGGATGCCAAGATTGATTCTAAATTAGGTCATGTGGTTATGGGTAACAATGCAGTCTCACCCTATCAGCAAGTGATTGAAAAGACCAAAAGCCTTTCCTTTAGAAGCCAGATGTTGGCCATGAATATTGAGAAGAAAATTCTTAACATAGATTGTTGCAGCAATAAATATGTAGCCTAGATCTTCAGAGGTAAATTCAGAAACTCTGGTTTTACCAGCTCATCATACTCTACTATGAATTTTCACTTCCTTAAGTAAATGACATAGAGTCAGTCTTTACAGTTGATGAGCTGATCTGATCCACCACTAGCCATTTTTTCCCCTCCACTCTAACAGTGAAGTAACCAAATTGAGAGGAAAAATTATCTTTTTTTTTTTTTTTTTTGAGACGGAGCCTCACACTGTCACCCAGGCTGGAATGCAATGGTGCGATCTCAGCTCACTGCAACCTCCGCCTCCCGGGTTCAAGTGATTCTCCTGCCTCAGCCTCCCGAGTAGCTGGGACTACAGGCATGCACTACCATGCCCAGCTAATTTTTGTATTTTTAGTAGAGACGGGGTTCACCACGTTGGCCAGGATGGTCTCAATCTTTCGACCTGATCCGCCCACCTTGGCCTCCCAAAGTGCTGGGATTACAGATGTGAGCCACCATGCCCAGCCAGAAAAATTATCTTAAATTTAAGAAACATTAGACAGAAAATGAAATCCGCACAGAAGAAAACCAAAACAGCAGAAAAGAATAAATAAAATATAAGACTTTTTTGTAGTCAAAACTTATTGATCGTTAGGCATGGTGGCTTATGCCTGTAATCCCAGCCATTTGGGAGGCTGAGACAGGAGGATGGCTTGAGGTCAAGGAATTTGAGATCAGCCTGGACAACAGAGCAAGACCCTGTCTCTCTACAAAAAATAAAAAAATACGGCCAGGTGTGGTGGTGAGCACCTGTAGTTCCATCTATTCAAGAGGCTAAGCCAGGAGGATTGCTTGAGCCCAGGAGTTTGAGGCTGCACTCCACTGAACTCCAGCCTGGGGAACAGAGGGAGACCCTATCTCAAAATGAAGAAAAAAAAAAAAAACTCAGTGAAAGTCACATAGTTCCCCAGAGAAACAGTCAACACTAAGACACTTCCTAGTAAAATTACTGAAACATTTTGAACAGCAAGGCAAAAGTTTTCTAGTAGCTTGTTTTAAGGCAGGAATCAGTCTGTTGTCAAATCTCTCCACAGCAACATTCAACAGTCAGATTCAGTGGACACCACTGCCCTCTAGATACACCACTGGATGCAGTAATGTGCATGAAATCCTTGAAAAAAGAAAATACAAATGAGATTTTTAAATTCAATCAAACTCATTAATTATAAAGGCAACGGACAATGTTCAAAATTTTGAACATATTACAAATATATAAAATCTTGTTTTCATAGGATCTTCTTGAGGAATTTACTAGAAGATAAATTTTAGTCATCCAAGTGATTGTAAAAACCTGAGTGAAATAACTGAAATAAACACTGAAATCAATCATGGTACTAAATTCCAATCATGTATGTGATTATGTTGCTATAATAAAACGTAAGTAATATGAGCCATAACAATTTAAGAATCGTTATGAAATTTCAATATGAAAATATGAATGATAAAATTTTTCAAAAAGATGAAAGCTGAGGGAGCAAGGACATGGTATGCAGTATATACTATATAAACTGACTGCTTTGCTAACTAAGATCAAAAAGATATTTTAAACTGATAAATCATAGGAGAATTCTAAGTAATTTATTTTATAATGCTAAGGTCAGCTGGTAGAAAAGGGAGGATGAAGAGGAAACATCTGCAGAAAGGAATAATAGATCATTTTTAAGGAAATAAGAGGATTAAGAACTTTCCTACAGTTACATTTATAATCATAACAGAAATATAAACTTTTCTAATAAAAAGAGCAAACACAAAGCTAAGAAAGCAGAACATCTTGTGAATTTTTTTCAAAAATCTATAAATTGGAAAACATAAAATAACAGTACTAATGCTAAACTTTTATGTTATCTCAGAGATGTTGCAGAGCTAAACTCACCTATTGAAAGAAAAACATTCAGTTGAATCATAAGACAGATTCTGCTCTATTCTATGGGAAAGAGAACCCTCTATAACCAAGTGTTTCATCAAGTTGCCTGTTCATAAGAATAGGCAAAAGCAAATAGGACAAATAAAAATAAAAAGGAAGAAAGGAGCAAGGAAGAAAACACTATAATGCTAAATGGTGTAATTCACAGTAAAAATAAAATGATTATAAACGTCTCGGTGTCATATAGTACACATTTGTAAAGCAAACTCTAAAATAGGTATAAAGATAATCAGATGGAAACATACTATTAATTGACTGTTATCCAACCTTCTCAAAGCCTGAATAACAAGAGAATTAAAAAGTAGGTATAAATATAAAATATATAAATAGGGTAACATAATAAAATAGATTTAATTGCCATATATTTAACTTTAAGGTGAAATCAGAGAATATCCCTTCTGTTTAAGAAATTGGTTTAAAAAAAAACTTGATCACATTGGACATCAAAGATAAAACCCCAGTAAATTCCAGAATACAGATAATAGTTACTAATCACAATACAGTAAAAGGAAAAATCACTAATCAATCTGGGGTTAAGAAGCTCCTAGCATCTGAAAATTTTAAGACTCTTCAAATAACTCTTCTGGCAAAGAAAACAATGAAAATTGAAAGTGTAAAATGTCTATGTAATAATAATAAATATAATAAACACTATATATCATATCTCATACTGCTAAAACAATTCTCAGACTCTAATTCATAAGCTTAAATACAGGTATATTAAACAAAAATAAATTTACTAACATCCCAAAATTTTAAAAAAATTATTAAATTAAACCTAAGGAAATCAGAAAGAATAAACTAATAAATATAAAAGTAGAAATTAAAACTTGAAAAAAAAAGGTAAAATGATAAAACTAATAAGTTCTGAATCTGGTCTTTGGGGAAAACAATAAAACAGATAAATACTGAAACAAATCTAGGGGGAAAAAGGGAGAAGGTACCAAAATATACAAAATAAGAAATAATACCAGAGAAATGATAAGAATCATAAGAGACTACTTCCCCCAATTTTATGCAAAAAAACATAATGAAATAGATTATTCTCTGGACAATATAATTTATACAAATTGACTCCATAAAATTCAAAGAAATTAATTGCTATAGAAGAAAGACAGTTGTCAAAGAGATACTGCTAAAAATTGTGGCCAAATCCTAGACGGTTTGATTTACAAAAAAATTCTATATAACCTTTAAGGAACAGATCATTTCAGTGCTAGCCAAACTATTTCAAAGTTAAGAAAATGTACAATTGTAGCCAAGAAAGGCAGACAAACAAGATCAATGAGGGGGATCTTCACATACCTGGTGTACCTAATTGATACGGTTTGGCTCTATGTCCCCACCCAATTCTCATGTTGAATTGTAATACCCAATGGTTGGGGAGGGATCTGGTATGAACAGGGCGAATTTCCCCCTTGCTGTTCTTGTGATAGTGAGTTCTCATGAGATCTGGTTGTTTGAAAGTGTGTAGCACTTCCCCTTCAACTCTCTCTCTCCTGCCATCATGTGAAGACATGCTTGCTTCCCCTTCACCCTTCTGCCGTGATTTTAAGTTTCCTGAAGCCTCCTCAGCCATGCCTCCTGTACAGCCAGTTGAACTGTGAGTCAATCAAACCTCTTTTCTTTATAAATTACACAGTCTTTGGTAGTTCTTTATAGCAGTGTGAGAATGGACTAATACACTAATATATAATAAAACTGTAGTTAGCCAATTTTTAAAAAGGTGCTGACAGACTCGTGTGTTCGTGTGTGCATGCATGCAACAGATGCCACTGAAAATCAATAAAGAATAAGACTTTCTAAAAAGACTAACTATACCCGAGTAAACAAAATATAGATTTTTTTACCTAACACCATACTCTAAAATAGACTGTAACATTAGACAACTAAAAAGAAATTCTAAAAAATTAATTAGTTTATAAATATGTTAGAAGAAATAACTCAAGAATGCTTTAATGGCCGGGCGTGGTGGCTCACGCCTATAATCACAGCACTTTTGGAGGTGGAGGCGGGCAGATCACGAGGTCAGGAGTTCAAGACTAGCCTGACCAACATGGTGAAACCCTGTATCTACTAAAAATACAAAAATGAGCTGGGCTTAGTGGTGTGCACCTGTAATTCCAGCTACCCAGGAGGCTGAGGCAGGGGAATTGCTTGAACCTGGGAGGTGGCAGTTGTAGTGAGCCAAGATCGTGCCACTGCACTCCAGCCTGGGCAACAGAGCAAGACTCTGTCTAAAAAAAAAAGAAAAAAAGAATGCTTTAATAATCTTGTAATATGAAAAGTCTTCCAAAGTAAGGCCTAAAAGGAATTACAAAAACAATTTTGACTCATAAATATTTTAATGCTATAGAAGACTCCACAAATAAAATTCAAATACAAAACACATATTGAGTAAGTATATATGCAATATATTTAAGAATAAACTAATAATCCAAATACAGAAAGCATTCTTTAAAAATGAAAAGTTTAAAAAAACCCAAAAGAAAAATGAACAAAAAAAAGGAACGAAAAGACAATTCGCGCGCACACACACACACACACACACACACACACAATATACCACTGGACATAAACACTTAAAAAGATAATCTCATCAGTGATACGAGAAACATACATTAACATAAGGCATCTTCATGAGTTGGACAAAAATGTAAATGACTGATAAAGCCAAAGGCTGGTACAAGTGTCAAGTGAGAGAGTGGTATTCTCTAATACTGATAAAAAGCATATAGATGGGAACAGATGTTACGGAAGGAAATTTGGCAGCACCTGTAAAAATCTTGAGAAGCCATGCCCTTGACATAGGCACTCCTTTTCTGGTTCTCTATAGACTAAGGAGCATAAATGATTAGAAAAGTATCTGGAAGAGTTCACTGCATCGCTGTTTACAAGAGAAAATGTGGAAACACCATATATACTGGAAATGGTCACATATGAATAAAATGTAATATATTCAGACTGTGGAATACTGGGTAGGAATTAAGAGAACTAAAGTATGGACTAACGAAGAACTGTTAAAACACAGTGTCCAATTTAAAAAAAAACAAATTATACAATATTACTTAGTATGACCCCATTTGTGTAAAAACAATAAAATATCCTATACTTCTATATAAATAGTAAATCCTTACTTAACATTGTCAATCATTTCTTAGAAACCGTGACTTTAAGCCAAAAGACATAATAAAGATTTAAACCAGTTTCACCATGGGCTAAATGATAAAATACATAAGTTAAGGTCCTATGGCACATTTCTGGTCATAAAAACATCACCAAACTTCTAAATAAAGACCCAAAACACTTCTGATATTAAACACTGAAATAAATTTGAGCTATATATACATTTAAGAAAGATGAGTAAAAACAAGTGAGATAATGATTTAATGATTTATCTGCTTATTCCAGTTCAGGGTCACAGGTGGCCAGAGCCTATCCTGGCAGCTCAGGGCTCAAGGTGGGAACCTACCCTGGCCAGGACCTCATTTTATTACAGGGCACACTTGCACACACACACACACACACACACACACACACACACACTTACTCACACTGGGACCATTTAGACATCAAAATTAACCTGACCTGCACATCTTTGGGAAGTGGGGGGAAATGAGTCTCTGGAGAGAACCCACATAGACATACAGAGAAAGTGCACACTTCACACAGACAGTGGCCTAATCCCGGAATAGATTTTTTTTTTCCTCAACCATGTTAGATAAAAATGATGTTGAAGAAAATGACCTTATTGGAGGACCAGCTATACACATGAGCATAGGTAAGCCCATAGAAAAGGACCTCCACGAATCTATGCCAAATTTTTAACAATCTTGATCTCTAGGAAGGAAAACAAGAGAACAGAGGAGATCATAAAGTGGTTATTTTTAATGTATCTATTTTCATTCTTATAATTTTTATAATTCCTTTACTATCAGTGGAAAAATTAAATTTTAAAAAGCTATCAGATTACTCAAGTTAAAGGGCAAGTACTTAATAGAGTGCCATGAGCTCTGACTACACAAATATCTGGAAAAACTTCTTAAGAATTCTTACTATATCTTTACTTCTGATCAATTATTTCTAGTAGCATTCTATGATACATTTTTTTTTTTTTTTTGAGACAGAGTCTTGCTCTGTCGCCCAGGCTGGAGTGCAGTGGCGTGGTCTCGCCTCACTGCAACCTCTGCCTCCCGGGTTCAAGTGATTCTCCTGCCTCAGCCTCCCAACTAGCTGGGATTACAGGTGCCCAACCACACCGGGCTAATTTTTGCATTTTTAGTAGAGACGGGGTTTTGCCATGTTGGCCAGGCTGGTCTCGAACTCCTGACCTCAGGTGATTTGCCTGCCTCAGCTTCCCAAAGTGCTGGGACTACAGGCGTGAGCCACCATGCCCAGCCTTATGATACATTTCTTTAGAGTGTATTCTAGGCTGGGCGCGGTGGCTCATGCCTGTAATCCCAGCACTTTGGGAGGCCAAGGTGGGTGTATAACTTGAGGTCAGGAGTTCGAGACCAGCCTGGGCAACATGGTGAAATCCCATTTCTACTAAAAATACAAAATTAGCCAGGTGTGGTGGTGTGCACCTGCAATCCCAATTACTCAGGAGGCTGAGGCAGGAGAATCGCTTGAACCCGAGAGGTGGAGGTTGCAGTGAGCCAAGATTGTGCCACTGCACTCCAGCTTGGGCAACAGAGCAAGACTCCATCTCAGGAAGAAAAAAAAAAAAAAGTGCATTCTATTTAGAAAGTATGCATTACTTACACAATTAGCAAATATTAGAACTGTCAATGAAGTCATCTTTTGTAACTCAGCACCCAGGAATACTTACTAAACTTTTCCAGTGAAATGTATATTTAACATGCTTTGAAAACTCCCAGTGACAGAAAGGTAATAATCACCCTGTGCTGGATATCTTTATATCCCTCTACCCATTGGGCTCCTGGCACACAGCAGGCTGTTCTATTAGCGAAGTGAAAACATGCTCTAGTTGTTAGGATGACACTTTCTTCTACGGATCTACTACCAGTGCCTCTTCCCTCAAACAAGTGAAACAACCTCTACTTTAGTGAAATAGGAAATACATTGTATTTCCACTATGACATATACAAACCACCCATATTTCTATTTTCTACCTTCTTTCTCTTCAATTAAATTAGGAAATTTTCCCTTCTTTCCTTTAGGGCCTGCCCTTCTAACTGTGCTTGGTCTTTGTAGGAAGCTGAATAATTCCCCCGCCTTCACCCCATGTCAGTGTCCTAATTCCTGGAAGCTGTGAATATGTAATCTTACATTGTAAAAGGGATTTTGCACATGTGATTATGTTAATGGTCCTGATCAGGGAAGATTACCCTGAATTATACAGGGGGTTCCAACGTAGTCACAAGGGTCCTTAAAAGAGAGAGAAAGAGGAGGATCAGAGTGAGAGAAGCTAATGTTTCCGTGAAAACAGAGAGAGAAAAAGAAAGGCAAAAACCAAACCAGGAGTCAAAGCGATTCAGGACCAACAGCCAACAAATGCAGGCAGCTTCTAGATGCTGGACAAGAAAAGGAAACGGATCTCCACACCTGCCCTGCCACCCAAACCCACCAGAACAAATGAAGCCCCGCTGAGATCTGGATTTCAGCCCAGTGAACTGACTTCAAATTTCTGTCCTCCAAAACTCTGAGATAAATATGTGTTGTTTTAAGTCACCAAATTTGTTGTAATTTGTTACAGCAGCAAGGGGAAATAATATATGCCTATTTCCTTCCCAGCTTCTTAGAAGTTCTATATTATGATCTCTTCTCTTTCCTGGATAGTTAACTTTTCTCAACCAGATTCCTCTCACTGGCTTTTATACATATTCAAGCCCCTTGATTTAAAGAAAAAAGACACTAAACTTTCCCTCCAGCTAAATTATCTTTTACCAATAAACTCCTCAATTTTAAGGACCCTTGTCTTCATTCTACTTGTCCTTCAGCATCATATTGGCATTCTTGACTGGCCTCTCTCTGTTGACTCTCTTTTGTCCAGCTTATTCAGACCCAAGACTTCAATTAACAATTTATAGAAAGATGTTCCCAAATTTTTATCTTCTGCCCAGATATCTCTGCACAGCAATAGACTCATATATTTAATTGGCTATTTGATATCCCCATTTGGATGACTCACATGCAATTCAAACTCAAAAAGTCTAAGCCAAACTGATGGTGTCACCATTTGCCACCCAAACCTAGTCTTCCTCCATCCAGCATTTCTAGTTCAGTGAATGGCCACCATATACATCAAGTTGCATAAACCAGAAATCTGGGAGTCATTTTTGACATTTCCCTCTATTCACATCCCATATCCATATCCACTCTGTCACCAAGTTCTGCTAATTTTACTTCCTAAGCATCTCCCAAATCAATCCATTTATTTTCAGCTCTTATTTATTTATTTATTTATTATTTTTTTTTTTTTTTGAGAAGGAGTCTCGCTCTGTTGCCCAGGCTGGAGTGCAGTAGTGCAATCTCGGCTCACTGCAGCCTCTGCCTCCCAGGTTCAGGCAATTCTCTGCCTCAGCCTCCCGAGTAGCTGGGATTACAGTCACCCGCCACCATGCCTGGCTAATTTTCGTATTTTTAGTAGAGACGGGGTTTCGCCATCTTGGCCAGGCTGGTCCTGAACTCCTGACTGCGTGATCCACTCGCCTCGGCCTCCCAAAGTGCTGGGATTACAGGCGTGAGCCACCGCACCCGGCCTATTTTCAGCTCTTACAGTTCACTCCCTAAGAATGAAGTGGAACCTTCAGGTCTCCATAACCTAATATCTTCCCTGGTCTCCACACCGTCATGGAAATAGCTAAGAGGAGAACACAGAAGTTAGTATGGTGGTAGAAACAGTTTCCTCTTTACAGTTTCCCTGTGATTGCTTGTCTTGAGTCCTTGAACACAAATGTCTTTATGCCCTCTCCCTTCCCCATTTATGTCAGTCACCACAGGTCCAGAACTCCCAGGTCATCCATTCTCAGGCCCCAGACTCTCTACTGAAGAGCAGTCCATTGGCTTATTTTACTTCACCATCCACACTTCCCCAGCTACTAAAATTCTTTTACTATGCTTCTGAATCTCACAGTTAATCAGGAACAAAATCCCACAAAATTCAACCTCTTCTCTCAACTTTCCCTTCATTCTAATTTAACCCTGTTTATCACTAAATATCACTGTTCTCCCTATGGCCCTCTTACATTAAAACCATTTCCATACAAAGAAAACTGGAGATAATTTGTCACTAGCAGAATAGCACTAAAATAAACATTAAAGAGAAATATTCAGGTAGAAGAAAATTAACCTCAAAGAAAGAAAAAAAAAGGAGAGTAAAAGGTAGAGAGAATCAACAGTTGTAAAAAGAAGTTAGGGGGGAGGTAGAACAGTGAAAAAAGTAAATATACTGCTAATTCAAAGTGAATATTGAGTGGACATATTAATGTCCTGTGACGTAGAAGATCTATGTAGAATTAAAAAACATGACAATATTAACATTAAGGGTAGAAAGTGAATGAACAGATTTAAGTAGTGTTAACAATATCATTTCAATGAATCAAGGATGCACATTACAATATCTGGAGTAACTACCAAAAAAAATCCAGTAAAATAGTGTATAACTACAAGGTAATAGAGTAAAATAATAAAATAGTTTTAAAATACTTGATTAGTCAAAAAAAGGCAAGAAAGCAAAAATAAGAAACATAAAACTGGTGGGACAAATAGTAAAAGAATATAAGATAAAACATCTGAAATTGTAAAATATCATACTCATTCTTACATTAAAATAGAAATCATTTCTTCATAGATTTTCTGACTGTAAACATTGCGGAAAAGTTCGATGAAATTGGACTTTTCTTACTTGAGGGAGTCTCCTTTCCTGGTGCTGAAAATACTTATTTTGTCTTCTTGACACAATTAGGTGACCTCATATGCACTTAGGCATTATAATAAAATCCTATATTATTATGCAGAATTTAGAATGCATTGCTTTTTTTTTTTGGAGACAGAGTCTTGCTTTGTCACCCAGGCTGGAGTGCAGTGGCTCGATCTCAGCTCACTGCAACTTCTACCTCGCAGGTTCAAGCAATTCTCCTGCCTCAGTCTTCCAAGCTGGGACTATAGGCATCCACCACCAGCCTGGCTATTTTTTTTTTTTTTTTTTTTTTTTTTTTTTGTATTTTAGTAGAGACAGGGTTTCACCATGTTACCTAGGCTGGTCTTGAACTCCTGAGCTCAGGTAATCCACCTGCCTCAGCCTCCCAAAGTGCTAGGATTACAGGCGTGAACCACCGCACCAGGCCAGCATTGCAATTAATTCAATTTATTGGCTATAGTTTAACCCAATTTCAATTTCTATCCTATATTTATTTTAAATGAAAATCTGTATTCAGCCCAATAAAATTCAGTTTTATCTTCCTATCTGCAAAATGAGGTTTTTAAACAAAATTATCTTTAAGTACTTTTCCATTTATAAGAAGAAAAAACCATTAATATACACTTGAAAACAGTTTCATTTCCTGAACAAAACTAAAATATTTAAATATTTAGGAGATGTGTGGCTAAGAATAAGTCCCTACGATGTAAAAAAAAAAAATACTTTTCAGGAGACTTAAGTACTGTTCTCCTAAATATCACCATTGCAAAAATACAAAGGAATATGTTGACTTGCCACAAATCAATGTCATTCTACTGACTAAAGACACAAAATTATGGCTGGTCTTCCCCAAATATTATAAATCACACATAACAAACCACCATACAATGTCTTGTTCTACTCTTTCTTATATTTATCAAGAAACTGCTAGTACCTTTATAAAAGTTACACATTTCCTTACAAGGAATTCTCCAATTTAAAGATTGGATTGTTCAGTATCTTTGATTTCATCAGTGGAAAAGAACTAGAAGAGAGAATGCATTTGGGGTTGTTTTATATGTTTTTGTTTTTGTGGTTTTTTTGAGATGGAGTCTCACTCTGTTACCTAGGCTAGAGTGCAGTGGTGTGGTCTTGGCTCAACTGCAACTTCCTCCTTTTGGGTTCAAGTGATTCTCCTGCCTCAGCCCCTTCATACCACCATGCCTGGCTTTTTTTTTTTTTTTTTTTTTTTTTTTTTTTTTTTTTTTTTTAGTAGAGATGGGGTTTTGCCATGTCGGCCAGGCTGGTCTCGAACTCCTGACCTCAGGTGATCTGCCCACCTTGGACTCCCAAAGTGCTGGGATTACAGGTGTGAACCATTGCACCTGGCCATGCATTTTGAAATAAATCTCAACACTCAGCACACTTACTACCATCAATCCCAAGTAATAAGTTGGTTTATTTTCAAATAATGTTCAAGAGCAAAACAAGCTAAATGGTACAAAAAATTTCATTTAAATGCACAATGTTTTCAGTTACAAGCAGCATTATATTTGATTTTCATTTTTCTTTATATAAACTTCTGACAGGAAATAGACTGAAAGCTGAATAACTATTTCCCAAATATCTGACAATACTCCTGTGTCATTAGCAAGTGTTTATCACTATTTGTGGAAACCCATACTTGAAATTTGCTAAGAAAGTAGATTTTAAGGATATTTACCATACCAAAAAAATGATAACTATATGATGGGATTAGCTTAGTCATGTTAATCATGTCACAATATATACATATATCAAAACATCACATTGTATGCCTTAAATATATGCAATTTCTACTTGTCATTTATACCTCAATAAAGCTGAAAAAATAAATAAATATTAAGAAGTGATCATATAGATAATATAAAAACCTGTAAAGTCAATGTAGTCAACAAAGCACAGTTTTGGTCACCAGTCAGCTCTTTTTAAAAACAAAAACAAAACAACCTCCAAATTTATTTTCTCAATATAAAACATTATAATGCAGCATGACTACAATGCATCCAGTCACTTAGTCAACCATATTTACTGAGCACAGATTATAAGTGAAGTACTGTTAGACCTTAGTAGATCACAGATGAACATGACATAGATTATGCCTTAAGTCATTTCAGTGCAGTATGTTACACATAAGAGATGCACACAACATGTGCTTTGGGGCATACATAGAAATAGAACCTCGAGTTATAGAGATTGGCAAAGGTTTTTTAAAGGAAGAGGTCATGAAGTTGAACCTTAAAAGAGAAGAATGTCCCGGTATAAATGGGAGGAAGTGAAGGAATCCAAGGAAAGAGCATGGGATAGATCTGGGAAGCATAGAGTAACATATTTGGATTTGAGTGAAGGAATATATAGAGAATAGTGGGATATGATAGTAGAAAGTTGCATTGGAGTTAATCTTTCCTGGACAACTCAAAAATTAAGCTGAGGAATCTGATGGTAATTTTGTAGGCAGTGGGGATCCAGTTAAGATTTTTAACAAAGAATATGACATGATGAGAGCTGTTCTTCTGGGAAGATAAATGTGGCAGCCATTCATCAGATGAACCCACATAAAAATACTATAGATCCCCCTGTTGTCTTTTATAGACTTCTACCTTAAAACAAACTCCAAGAGTTTCCTTGTTATTTAACATTATGTGTCCCCTTTCCATATATGCTTTGACTCGTTTCTATGTGCTGATCTCTGCATTTGCCACAAAACACAGGCTACAGTGTTGGAGCTTTCAGAAATGAGCCAGTGCTACCTTGAGGAAGACCAGAGTCATGCCCAATAACCTTCATGCTAAAAACAGCCTAGACATCACTTTAAGAGCCAGAAGTCTATATTTAGATTCAAATCCCTTGATCAAAATGATAAGCTTAGAGAAGCAAGACATCTGAAGGAGAAAGAATAATTACCATACTGGGTACTGGCCTACTGGGGATTATAATTTCCACTTTATAATAATGCAATTGATGATCAAAGATGTTAGAGGTTAACTTGCTGAAAACCACAAGGCTGACATAATGCTTGGCAAAATTTGGACCCAGAAGGAGAAAACAGAAGAAAGAAAATAATGAAACACATAATTTTCTCTTTGCTGAATAAAAGACCGTAGGCATGAGATTAAATGAGCCTATTAAGTACAGAGCAGAAATAGTTATTTTTTAAAGACAATTTTTTAACATATTTTAATGAACTATCATAATAGCAACAATAAGAGAAAAACTGCACAGTTTCCAGAGAGAAAGTTAAAAACCAACAACGAATCAAAACAAAAAAGTCTTATTTAAATAACAAGAAATCAGACTGGCAAAAAAACTTTCATTTGCAAAACTGGATGACAGATGACAATGGATCAATGTCTTCAAAGTTGACTTTAGAATTCTATACACAAGCAAGTGATTAAGCAAGAGTAGGGGTCAAGTGAAGACATCCTTAAATACAGAGCCCCTCAGTAATCAACATCCTTTATGTCTCAGGCACTGTGCTGGATGTTCATTATCTAAGGTGAATTACTTTGTTCAAGATAGTTCCTCTGCCTAAGGAAGTTGTCTTTCAGTTAATAATTTGTTTTAAAATGCAGTTTATTGGAACAATGTAGCCCCTAAACATGCTGAACCCCCATGTCTCTACAGTCATTGTCTTCTTTAATGTAGGAATTGTCTTTAATAATGTCATATTGCTTATATCTACCAATTTTCATACTACATACTAACAAATAATATTACTGCCAATAAGGAAAGGAAGGAAGGAGGGAGTCAGGCCATCAATTACTTTAAACTCCAATAAAGAATTTAAGGCAAAGATCTTCACCCATTTTTATTTTTTCCAATGCAAGATCTGCTAGGCTTACTAATCGAAAACTGACATTTAGGATTATCTCCCCAAGAATTTTGTCATTCTTGATATCAAAACCAACGGGAAAGAAAAGTGCACTGGACATAAAGCTTTTCTCACAGAAGTAAAACATCACATGAAAGACGGGGTGAAATGGCGTCACTGTGGTCCACATTAAAAGGAGGTGAGCACTGGAAGGATCTTTTCAAAGGCAGTGTTTGCCATGATAATTTCTGAAATAAACATGTGGTTCTAAAGGACTGCATTCCTTCAGGACTTCCCAACTACCCTTTCCTATCTTTCCACATTGGAAGCATGGTGGTCATCAAAACATTTCTCAAGCTAAATGAGATAATCAACTTCTTGTCAACTGTTAACAGATAAATGTGTTTCCAATCTTCTAAAACTCTCTATAGGAAACAGGATTTAAACCTAGAACTCCTCTTTAAAATATTATGTCACATGAAAACCTTTTTATTATTTAAATGATTCATTTGATGGTTTCATAAAGATAAGAAAACTAACAATATTGCCCAGCCAAGGGTGGGAAAGAAATGCAGAAATGTTGCCAATGTACCTCATCTTAACAGCAGCAGCCTTATGTTCTCTCATTAGACTCTCCTGAGCAGATTGAGTAGAACAACTGAATTAAATAAGGGCCAAAGAATTTCTCTACTTAAATCAACGGACCATCTGGTAGGCTATGCTGTTTCTGCCAGTGGTCACAGCAGAAACATCGAGAAAGCAAATGTGGACATCATTATAGAGTCATACGTAGGTGGAGAGAGAAAAGTACTCTTAACCGTAACTATAGGAAAATATGAATTTTTTTTACCTCAAGTTCAAATATTTATGATGTGTAACTATGCAATAATTATGCTTATTTAACAAATATGCCAGGACATATATATGCAGCAAGTGAGTGAAATCTTCAAAAGTGATTGTCTCAGAAGTTATTCAGGTAGACCTCCTTATGTTGAGCCTCATTCTCAATTGTTTAAAATCAGCCTGTATTTTCATTTTTAGCCACCTGTATCTATTTGACAGTTTATTAACAAAAGAGAGACCATTATTTTCTGGCATAAATAGGAAGAACCTGCAAGCAATTTTAAGTAACATCGTTCTAAAATCAATGCAATAGTTTTAAATACTCAGCTTGCTGCAGGGAAGGCTATTTTGAGAAAAAGATGACTTCTGTTTAAACCTCCAAGACACCTTTATTAAAATTCCCAATTCGGAGAAAGAATTCCAAAAATTGCTTTTGGATAACATTCATTTAATGGTAGTTATGGTTATAAATCCAGCATATTAGTTGCAAGTAACTTTGATGAGGTAGGATTGTATTTTTTGTAGGTTGAATGTACATATCACAGTACATAGAGTACTCTTGTAGTCAATGTGTACATTTACAGACATTTTAGAAAAGTTAAAATATAAGATTAGTATTCAACTCTTATGGATAAAGGTTTATAATTATTATATTTTTGCTTTCAAGAAACTGTCCTATGTGAATGCATTTAAATTACAACTACAATAATACTTTATTTATCCTTTTACAAAATCCTATAAGCTCTACTTTGCAGTTTCACAGGCAATGTCACAGAAAAAGTTTTGATATCCTATATCCTTTGTCTTAGTCCATATATGTTGTTACAAAGGAATACCCAAGACTGAGTAATTTATAAGGAAAAATGGTTTATTTGACTCACAATTCTGCTGGCTGGAAGATTAGGCATCTGGTGAAAGCCCCAGGCTGCTTCCACTAATGGTGGAAGGCAAAGGGGAGCCAGCATGTGCACAGATCACATGGCAAGAGAGGAAGCAAGAGAGAGAAAGGAGGTGTCAGGCTCTTTTTACAACCAGCTCTGTCCAGAGCTCATGGAGAGACAACTAATTTGCCTCCCACTCAAGAAGGGCATTAATCTATTCATGGGGACTTCAGTCCCATGGCCCAAACAGAAGTAGGCCCCATCTCCACCAATGGGGATCAAATTTCAACATGAGGTTTGGAGGGGTCAAAGATCCTAACCACAGAACTCTTATTCCAAGAATAACCTTGTCTTACTTCACTTGGACCACTATAACAAAGCACTACAGACTGGGTGGCTTATAAGCAACAAAAGTTTCTTTCTCACAGTTCTGAAGGCTGGAAGTCCGAAATCAGGGTGCCAGCATTGTCGAGTTCTGGTGAGAACCCTCATCTGGGTTACAGACAGCCAACTTTTCACTGAGTCTTTACATGGTGAATGAGAGCTAGCTAGCTCTCAGGTCCCTTTTATAGGGGCACTAAGCCTGTTCATGAGGGCTCCACCTTCCTTACCTCCAAAGGCCCCACATCCTAATGCCATCACATAGGGTAATTTCCACATATGAATTTGCAGGCAGTGGGAACCATACATTCAGTCCATACCATAACCCTCCACAAGCAATTTTCATATTTTTCCTAAGGAATAAATGTGTCCAGGTCACATAAGGAACTCAGAGCCTCATTACTTTCTTCATATATTCTCTAGTTTGAGTGTTTTACTTCATTTCCTAGAATTGGCTCTAAACAACTTTTTGCTCATTCTCAAAAGCAGATACTGTCAAGGAATTAAGACCAGTCACCAATGGGAATGCTTAAAAGATAGTTATAAATAATGAAAAAAAAGTTAGTTGTCTCAAAATTACTGAGCAGTAACTATAACAGTAGAATTAAAGTTATCTCCCAGTGAGTACCGTGAATGAGAACATACTTACGTGGATGTATCAATTCAATTCTGATATAAAATAAACAAATAAATTTCATGACCTTATGCCACACTCAAATAAAGCAAGTTCAATAGTTTGGGGGAAGGAAACAATGAAGCCATTATTCAGATTATAATCCTACACAAATTGATATTCAGTTTATGCTTTATATACAGCACATAGCACCCTGACACTGGAGGAATTCTACAAGCCTAATCATGTCTCTTCCGCACTATCATTTCATCTAAACCTATGGTTGAAATCACTTTGATAGTGCTTTGTACAAGTGGTTTCACCTTTTTAAATTTTCATAAATAAGATACAATCATTTTCTTCATTATTTGAATAGAAAATATTAACTCCATTATTTTCATATTAAAATGCTCTGAATATACAACTGCACTGGTCCCGCTATTCTAAATCATGTTTGCAAAGCTGCCACTTGATTTATTTTGAAAACAGCTAAGTCACATGTGGAATAACATGCTAATACTTGGCTGCAATCCTAAATTGATTATACAGTTTGTTAACACAGCAAAATTATTTGGCCTAATGAATGTCTGTTAGCACTAAGAAACTGTTTTCAGTTCTAATATAAAGCTGATTGGAGATTATGCACAGAAATTCTGTCTGTGTATTTAACTGAGCTTTCCTCTCAAAACAACAGTTAAATAGATAAATTGGCAGTTAGAAATACTCTTCCACATCAATCATTTGTGTAGAATATAAAGACTTTCTAAGACTAGGGAAGGAGAAAGAGCACACAGGAAGATTAGACTAGCTTTTGTTTCTATTGTCATCATACCACAGAAGTACCTTCCACTTCAGTCCATTAAGTAAGGGGTTTTGACCAAAACATTACATTAAAAGTGTTTACTGAGTGACAAAATCTTGAAGGTCAAAAAGAAAAATTGCTATTCTCTTTCTATCCCCCAACCAATAACACCTCATGTAGAGGTGCCTGTAATTAGAGTATGCCTATAATAGACCCTCAGGCCCAGGGTGCCTTAATAGTACTGTGTTCTTCAATAAATGAGGTCAAGGGAAAAGGCTATTCTGTTCAGGTCCAACTGCATCCTACAATATCATTCTGTTAATTTGCTAATTTTCAGAGTACAGGTCTAGGGAGACCTGATCTTCTCTAATTCCCAGGGTTGTTGGTCTGAGGGCCATTGGTTTCCAAAGGCCTTAGGGCAGTTAACTTCCCCATGATTCCTCACTAATCCTCAAGAACTATTTCTTGAGCCTACTGCCTTGTCCAAAGCAGTATCTATTGCTCTGGGAGGCTGAGCTGACACACTTGGTAAACTTGACCCAGAGCCTGCTTCATAGACTACTGATCCCAGTGATATGGTTTTGCATTGTCCCCACCCAAATCTCATCTTGAATTGTAGCTACCATAATTCCCTTGTGTTGTGGGAGGGACCCAGTGGGAGATAATTGAATCATGGGGGCAGTTTTCCCCATACTGTTCTTGTGGTAGTGAATAAGTCTCATGAGACCTGATGATTTTATAAGGGGAAACCCCTTTTGCTTGGTTCTCACTTCTCTCTTGCCTGCCACCATGTAAGATGTGCCTTTTACCTTCCACCATGATTGCGAGGCCTCTCTAGCCACGTGGAAGTGTGAATCTATTAAACCTCTTTTTCTTTATAAATTACCCAGTCATGGGTTTTTTTTTTGTTTTGTTTTGTTTTGTTTCAGATGGAGTCTCACTCTGTCTCCCAGGCTGGAGTGCAGTGGCACCATCTCGGCTCACTGCAAGCTCCGCCTCCCGGGTTCACGCCATTCTCCCGCCTCAGCCTTCCAAGTAGCTGGGACTACAGGTGCCTATCATCACGCCAGGTTAATTTTTTGTATTTTTAGTAGAGACAGGGTTTCACCATGTTAGCCAAGATGGTCTCGATCTCCTGACCTTGTGATCCGCCTGCCTCAACCTCCCAAAGTGCTGGGATTACAGGCGTGAGCCACCATGCCCAGCGAGTCATGGGTATGTCTTTATCAGCAGTGTGAAAACTGACTAATACACCCAGTGAAACCTTTGGGAACCACCCTAAACAAGCCAGCTCTGACATGGAGGCCCTACCTCTTGGGCACCACCAGGCTGGGATCCAAGTCTGTGGCCAGCATCAGCCACTAGACACATAGTATTCATATGGCCTTCCTCTTCATTGTCTGACATTCATGTGCATGGAAACCTACTCACAATCTAAAAAACTGAAAGAAGAGAATCATGACTAATGACATTGTAAGACTTCTCTCTCTGCTTACTTTGTATGTGCTCCACATAGAGTAAAGCACTCTATCATACCAACAATTTTTTTCAAATGTGGAAATACTCCTCAGTTTATGAAAGTTGTTCTACATAACCACCTCCATGTCTCTTATTTCCTTTTAATATTGCTCTGCTTTTCTCAAAGCATTTCAACTCTGCCTCCATGCCCTTACCTTTCTGATCAGTTATTCCCATCTTTGTCATTCCCCATGATAAGCCTTTTGTTTAATCAACATGTAGTTGCAAGTGTGCAAAAACCCATCCTAAATTATGAGTTAATACAAATTACTTTATGTTACATAGCGGTCTGTACTTCTTAAAGTGCTTTCCTGTAAAGGCACCAAGAAACCATTAAGCCAAAAGGCAAAGCAAATAGAATATGCTTATAATAAACCTATAACTACAATTATTTATATTTACATAAGTAAGTACATGGGGATGTATAAAAGACATTAATGGAGGCAAATCCCTGTAGGTATTGAGGGAGGTGACACGTGCTGATAAATATGAGAACAGGAGCAAGACTTTTCAGTGAATAATTTTAATGTATTTTAAATATTATTAAACTATATATACATTCTGACTACTAAAAAAATAAAATCAAGTAAATAAATGAATGAATATGTTTTCATAGGATTTAAAGATTCAAGATGGCAAGCTGGAATTGAGAATGAATTGGAACTCTTAACAGTATATAAATAAAAGACAATTTTAAAATGCCTTGAGCAAAAAATGACTAGAATTCTATATTCAGCAAAAGTATTTCTGAGTTGTAAACTTAATATAAAGGCATTTTCAGACCAATAAAGACTCAGAAAAATTACTCCTCCTTCCCCCAGTTAGGTACACCACCACAAAAAGAGGAAAAGGAAGAAATCATGAGACCCTGGAAACAGGGAATCCAATACAGGAGAGAGAAAAAAGGAATTCCCAGAACAAAGGCAAAGCAAAATCCCAAGGTGAGGACAGTACCGTGGCAGCCCTAGAGAGCAACGTCTCTCGGCAGGGGCAGAACAGAGGCAGAAGAATGGAAATTTCCAGGAGGGATGCCTTCAGGTGAAGGACAGAACTAACAGAGTCCCTGCACAGTTGGCCACTTGGAAGTTTATGTTAAGACTGTTTTACGTTTCTTGGGAGAGGAGAATAAATTTGGAAATAGAATCAAAGAAAATGAAGCAAATGGAACAACAAAGCAATTATTAACTACAGGAAAAACAGAATGTTTTCACAACAAAAGAGCATAATCATAACACATTATGCAGTACTGAATGATATTTACATAGTCATATTAACAGAATTAACAAAAAATTTTGATGTGACCATATTGTCAGTAGGGGAGAAGGGGAGTCTATTCAAAAACTAAAAATCTTCAGCTTCCATCAGTAGATAGCATCTAAAGTATCCTGTTACAGTCTGTCTAATAAAAAAAAAAAGTCTATCTTGTGCTGACTCACAACACAGTAGATGAATATTGATGAAAACCCTCTGCTCAACAAAAAAAAGGGTTACCTCCTTTGGCAGTATTTGCCCTGGATGCAGGAAGACAAAAGAGGCTTTCCCTCATTTTTATAAGACTTATTTCTGGACTACTTAAGCAAGCATTATTTTGAAACAAAATAATTTGATGCATCCACATGGCTATTTTCATATTTAATCTTCATGATACTCTGTGAGATAAATGGAATGGCTATCATATGTATATTACTGATGAAGAAACATGTAAAGTGTCTGTTGATGACTGTCAAAGCCATGCGTAGAGTTACGTTTCTGGCCTCTTCCTCCAGGATGCTTTCCCCTATATTCTGTCTTATAAAGTACAGAGGTTGTATGTAATTATTTACTCAGAAATTTTTAAATAATGCTCATTATCTACCACAGGTGCACAGAGAACTTTGGACTCACCCATAACTTGACAAGCTCCAGGGTGTTAATGGAAGTCGCCACATTTAAGAGCAGAAAGATGTAATCCATTTCTTCCTAAACCTCTTCATAAGTGATTCTATGGCTAGACATTTTTTACCATAAGTATCGTGTACACATTTTAACTTACCCACTAAATATTTTCCTTTAAACTTTTATAACAAAAGGAAATTGACAAAAATAAAAACAGCATTTCAAGAAGAGGCAAAGAAAAGTGTATCCCTGTAGTTCTTCAAGGTCAGACTTTACAGTAAACATCAAAGTCTGTTTCTGCCATAACTCAGCTAAAGGTTCTTCATGAAAATGGTTTTGCCCTTTAACAGACAATATTAGACCCTGGTTTTGCCCTTTAAATCAGACAATATTAGACCCATTAATAGGTCCATGTCTGTTTCATTCACCAGTGCCCAGCTCAGTATCTGTATTTAGAGGGAAGAAAACATGTGTTTATTAGATAAATCAAAGGAAGAATAAAATAATCCAGATGATCAAATACTTGAGAGCATGCAAAGGATTTTGCAATAAACCAATGTTTATGTAGTCAAATGGACATTAAGAATTTTCAGTTTGGTAAGCCTACTCATGCTTTCATCCAACTTTTTAAAGGTTTACTGTGCCAAAGGCTCAGCGCTAACAATGGGTAAGACACAATCCCTATTCTCAACAATCTGAGTGTCTAGTGGCAGACAAAAGCAGATATAAAAAACTATTGGGGCACAGATGTTATACATGCTATGAAAACAAACAAACACAATGGACACAGTGAGGCCTAAGGAGTATGTGATTTGTTTTTCTTGAGGACATTAGGAAATGCTATCTAGGAAAAGGGGTAATTCACTCTGGGACAGCAAACTAAGCCTGACGGGGAAGTAAGATGTGGAGTAGGATGAAACAGAGGCCAGGGGAAGGCTATCAGGAGTCAGATCACAGAGGGTTTTGTAAGAAACAGTAAAGAGCTTAGGTTCTATTCTACAGGCAGTGGGGAGCCATTCAAGAATTAATGTCATTAAGATGTCCCTCAGCTATGACTTTCATAGATGAATATCAGGTTCAGATTTGAGTTTTTATAGACAGCACTCTAGCAATAACAGAAGAAGAAGAGACGGGTATGATCTGGCAGAACAGTTGGTGGCACTTAGAGACTATTGCAATAGTGCAGAAATAAGATCATGAATCTAATTAGAATTTGCTCAATGGGACCAGACCCAGAGGCTCAAGCCTGTAATCCCAGCACTTTGGGAGGCCAAGGCGGGCGAATGACAAGATCAGGAGATCGAGACCATCCTGGCCAACATGGTGAAACCCTGTCTCTACTAAAAATACAAAAACTAGCTGTGCTTGGTGGCATGCGCCTGTAGTCCCAGCCACTCGGAAGGCTGAGGCAGGAGAATCGCTTGAACCCAGGAGGCAGAGGTTGCAGCGAACCGAGATTGCACCGCTGCACTCCAGCCTGATGACAGAGGGAGACTCCGTCAAAAACAAAGAGATAGAAACACAGACTGAATTCTATATTTGTACTTAAACGTGAACCCCCAACTTAGAATATACTGTAGGCATTCTGCTTAACATACAATCACAAATAAGTCTTTCCCAAACACAAGTGACCATACAGTGATAGAAGTAACATAACCAGCTACTTTTTAAATACGTAACAGAAATGAACCAAGCATCAATAAAGCAGTAAGGGTTGTTTTGTCTTTTGAAATATTGTTCCTAAAATATTTGTGCACCAAGGAAAATCAGAGCAATCCTGAACCCTAACATGAGAAACAAGTAATTATCCCTCAAGTCATTAAGATGCCAGCTTTCTCAAAAATAAAGGACAGAGAGAGAAAGGACTAAAAACCAAAGTCCTTTTTAAAAAGTTTCCTTACATGTTATTCTAATCTTATTTTAAAATTACTATGTAGGATTCTCTCATAGCTGTGTTTTCCCTCTTGATGACTTGAGGAATTACTTAAAGTACATTTGGTCTAAGAAGATAAAAATAGCAAATAGTTTAGAATGGCTACAGTAAAATACTGATAAATACACAAAGAAAACATTTTGTGGAATAATATGTTCTTCAACTTGGGACTTGTTAGCATCTTATTTTTACACTTCAAATCAGGCTCAAGCAAACAATAAACTCAAACATTACCTTGAACTTTTTCACCACAATTTTTGTCTTATCCTTGGGGAAAGCTGGAACCGTCACTCACTGTGCAAATGATTCTGTTTGAGTAAAGAACTATAGTTCATTTGTCATCAAAAAACCAGCTTTAAAAAAAAAATGATTCCTAGATCTAGTCTTTAATCCTTGAAATAATCTACAAAACCTTCATTTATTTAATCTAACTCTAAGGAACGGAAGGATTAAATGTCAGATATCCTATTTATGACTAGTTAATTGACCACATCAATCCATAACATTACACAGTTCCACTGTTTGGTTGTATCCCAAGAAGAAAATTCCTCAGCATCATGAATATCAGTGAAAGTGAATTCAGTGAAACACGATCAGTAAAAGTGAAAAATAAAGCTAAAAGAGAAAATCAACAGCAAAATTTGACTTTATAACCTCACATACACTTACCATATACAATATACAAACTAGAAACACAGGCAATGTGCAAGGATTTACAGGATGTCAAAATAATTTTCAGTGCATTTCACCCTCTTTCATAGTGCAGATATATATTAATAAAAAGAAGCTGTAGCTATAATATTTAATTTGCACAATAAATACTGCTAAGCATTTCAAAATTATGTGATAGGGATTATAAAGAAAAATTAGATGTAGCCCCTCCTTTCAAATGCCTATAATCTAGTAGGAACACTTACAATTTGTCTTATTTATACAAGCAACAAAGATACAGAGCAATGCCACTCACTTTCCCTAAATCTAAAAATAAACTGAGGAATTTAATTAACTATACTAGCTAACAATTCTCGAACCATTAAAGAAGCTGGGTTGATTTTAAGAAAAATAAGACAATGGGTAGAGAAGAAGAAAGGCAGGGAGAAAAAGAATGGAGGGAGGGATGCAAGGACAGGAGGAGGAGGAGAGGGAGACAGAAGGAAGAAAGGAGTGAGAGAGAGGAAGAAGGAGGAGGAGAAGTGGGAGGAGACAAGGAAAGAGAAGCAAAAAATAAAAACACTTTCTTAGTTTTAGAAACAGGAACATAGGGAAAAATGGAAATACTTCATCCTGTTCTCTAATGAGTTTCAAAATTGATACCTTGGAAAGAGGAAGCTGTTGGGCAGATAGAAAGGAAAGCAAGTAAACCAGTCCCTAGGATACTTAAAATAGGGAGCGGAGGGGAATCACCAAGAGCTGACTTGAACTAAGAAATTTAACCAACAAGAAGTCCTGAACCATGCTGTTTCTTCACCAAGCAGAGGACATTCTCTCACTGCATTGAGACCCTAGAACCTTCTCTCCCTTCATCCTGAAGCCTAAGAAGACATCTTCTGCAAGCTGGTCCTGAGAGCAAGATATACGGTGCTATCCTCCATTGCTCAACAAACAGGAAGTCCTTCTGCCAAAGCCAAATAAAGGGAAGGGTTGGACTGATGGGTCCGTAGATAACAAGTTGGCATTCAGAAAGCATTTCCTCAAAGAAATCTGATAATTATGGTGATAACTTCAAGTACTATACTTTAGGTATGTTAGGTATTAAATTGAATTTTGAATAGCATTGTTTCTATGGGAAAATGCATTCCAAGCTCCCAAATTTACCACAGAATTTTTGGCATACAAATTGCCTAAATGTTGTGATTGTTTACATATGATAGCATACATCTGTGCACATGATTATTTTTCTAGTATCTTTTACTATATTTGAATGTTAAATTAAATGTACAATTACACTGGAATGTAACTTTTTATAATCGTTTACATAGGACAAAATTGTTGGGCAGGGTATTCCTGGAACCTGGTATTTTTGAGACTGCAAAGTTCTTTCTGGCATGGTAGGAGGTCTTCAGGTGTCTCTAGGCTATATTTATTGGTCTTCGCTTACTAGTTTTAAAGTAAAAAATTCAACGATCTTACAGGATGTTCTAAAGGCAAGGGCAACAAAGTCAGATAAGAGTCCTAACAGTGACCATAGCCATCTAGATGACCTTGAGCATGCCACTTCATCTCTCTGGAAAACAGTTTTTCCCTATAAATGGATGTGGTTAAATAAGATGTTCTCCAAGTTTCCTTCCAGTTGCCACCATCTACTTTTCTCTCCAGAACTTAGCCTGTGTTATGGATCTCTTATTATCACACTAACAAACTGCTCCAAAACAGTGTCTTAAAACAATAACGCTTACGTTACATCTCATGACTTTGTGGAATTGGAGAGAAGGGTTTATCTAGGCAATTCTTCTGTTCTACATGGTGTCAGTGAAGGTCACTTTCCCTAAAAGGCACGCAGCTGGTGTAGGAGCTAGTCTAGACCATCCAACCTTGCTTTACCATCGTGTCTAAAACCTTGGCAGAGATGGCTGAAAAGATGGGAGCAGCTGAATCTACACATGGCTTCTCCAGCACGGTGCCTCGATATAGTCAGAGAGGGCTCAGATAAGGTAGCTCAGGGTTCCCAAAGAGAGTATTCTAAGAAACAGGAAATGGAATCAAAGCCAATCAAAGCCTTGGACCAGAAATGGTCACACTATCACTGCCAAAGTATCGTATGGGTAAAATAATCAGAGCCTTCCAAGAGGATAGGACATAGATTTCCTCTCTCAATGAGAAATGTAGTAAAGAATTTACAACCATCTTTAATCCACCACAGACTATATCTAGGAACTGACACCAGCAGTGACACTCATTACTCTATCCAATGTTTCATAGCAGAAACTGAAGAGATAAAAAAGAATAAGGAACAGTCGCTACCTTCAGAAAACTTCACAGTTTGACAAAAAGAATGACAAAGTAGGCAGTGCTTTTCTGATTAACCAAGCTCAAGTTTATTTATTCTACTGTAACTAATAGAGAATTGATAGAAGCATATATGGGAAAATGCTACCTAAAAAGAACAAGTTTTAAAGAAAGTATTTGCATATGCACTAAGTCTGGAAGGAAGGAGGAAAAATAGCATATTATGATGTGAATGACATATATCTTCAATTCTCAGGCAAAACACTATAAAATATTACACAACAAATCATCTGTAGAAGATATCTGTCTGTTGTAGATTTATAATCAACTAGCACTTTTGCATATCAGAATCTTAATTCTTATGACTAAAAAAGAAAAGACCCAACATAGAAGAGATGCTACTTAGAGCCACTGTTTATAATGTAATGCGAAAACACGAAGAAACCAGAATAATTTGAATACATGTCTAAATTATTAACTTATAAAAACTTCACATGATCCTTACTTAAATAAGTTTCAGCAAGTCATATTTCTTTAATAGTCTAAATTAAATTGATAATGCAACCTAGAATAATTCAAACTAAAACAATCAGGTCACAGGTTCCTTGTGTCATTTAAAGCATGCACCCTCTGCTGTATGGATTTGGAACTATCCACAGACAAAACATATTTAAACAGCGCCCCCCTGTGTGATCTACTTCAGCAACCACTTTAGGAGTCATAGAGAAAGGGCAATTCCCGTTGCCATAGAGGTTGTTTGTTAAACAATAAATATACTTTAATTTTAAAAGCAATGCAATTTAAAATTCAAGCAATTTCTAATACCTTTGAGATGAAGCAAACAGATGTAGACAATGGTTATCCTTTAAAAAATTATAGAACTTCACATATATAAAGCATGTGGATGTATGAGTAATAGCTCCTCCTGTATTGATTGACCACTCCTTCTGTAGGAGAAATGTCATTATTTCAAACCCTGATTCAATCAGATTATATCAGGGTTTCTTCAAAAGTGGTATAGAGTCAAGCTGCCCCAGAATTATAAGAATCTCCCGGCAGGTACTTGTTAAAGGTTTTAATGTTTCAGCCTATGGAAATAGAGTGTCCAAGGATGAGACCCAGGGATCTGCACTTGTATCAAATACTCTAAGCATGTGATATGCCCACTGGGGTTTGAGAATTGCCATCCTAAAGCATTACATGTAAAACAACTTTTCTAAGATGGAAGGATAATTATATTGACAAGTAAAATAAAGATTTATTAATTTCTTTTTTTAAATGGAATTTAATTCAATCTCTAAATACTTAAATCATTTTTGATTCCATGCTTTTAAGACCCAGTATTCTCTGCACTGATATTTATAGCCCCACATTTATTATAATGATGAGTATTTGGCTTGCTAATAGTGACCACACAACAGCAGGACCAGTCCATTGCCAAATCTCTACCGTCTCTGCAAGTGACCTGGGTTCTTTCCAATGGAAAAAAAAAAGGTTGAGAAAATACATTCCTCTCCACTTCATCTACTTTGTCCAATTGTTCTCTAGGCCACAGGGCAGAATTTTTACTGACTTAAATCTCAGTTAAATCCCAGACAAGGATCTGTCAATGAAAGTTAATTTTAACACCCCAGAGTACAGCTAAACTCTTTCAGTAAGAATACATCCTGATCTTAGAATGATCCAATTTCCCTAGCAGTTTCTGAAAGTCATTCAAAATCTTATAAATTGAAAATAATAATAATAATAATAACGACAATGATTTCTGACATTTTCTGAAACAATAATACAAAGGATTTTTGATATTTCATAAAGGCAGTATACCGATACCATAAGAAAAACACTATGGAGGTAGAGGGAGATCAGAACATATTAAGGTTGGTTTCATGGGTGGTGTAAAGGACAACTCTTTTTATTGTTTTCACTATATAAACATCTACAATACTGAAAGCACAGAGAAGGTATTTTGAACGTAGTTTCTAAATAGAATTCTACCTGTGAATTTTGTGTTAGATAGGCAGGGCTGGGATTGAAATCTGAAAATCTGGGTTCAAGTCCTGGCTCTCTCAGGCATAATCTGTATATTTAACCCTTGATCTTTGACCCTGTGTTTTTCCATCTGCAAAACTAGGACAAAACTAAGGATTCCATTTATTACATTCAGATATTAAAAGAATAAAAATAACATATTTGAAATTATCTTAGAAACTGTGTCATCATTAATATAAAGGTACGATATATGCACCCTTATAAGCCAGTGAAAGAGAAAATAAATCACACTACTTTACAACTGCAGACCTTCACAATTCAGGATACAATCTTAACAGTTTTGAAGAACTGTTTTTCCCAAAGAAGTAAAAAATATTTTTATATTTAAATTTTGTTTAATTATTATAATTTTACATATCTAGAAATAAACTAATCAAGTCCAAGGTAACATTCAGTGAAAGGAAACTTTATATAAATCTAAAACCGGTTCTGCTCCCTTCAGGCACACTGGTTATACCATGTAAGAGTAATGTATCAGAGACGCCCACCTTTGGAATTCTACTCTGCAATATTATCCATAGTATAGGCCTGGCCTATTTATAAAACAAAACACTTTTTGTGTGTCTCCAAATGTATTTTTAAATTTAAAAAAAAAAAAAGGAAAGGAGGGAAGGGAAGAGAAGGGAAGAGAAGGGAAGGGAAGGGAAGGGAGGGGAGGGGAAGGGAGATTAGGAGTCTGCAAACCTTGCCTCTGCCACTTCCTATCTCTGTAATTTTAATCAAGTAATACAGTCTTTCTTTTAACTCTTGAATGAAGACACTAACATCTTCTATACCTATGAACATATAAGGAAATGATGAGAGAGATGATTACTGAAATTACCAAAATTCAATAATATCTTGACATGCTGGAATAATAGGTCAAAATTGAGATTTACATAGGGATGGAGACAATATCCTGAAAAAAATGTGCAATTATTTTTTTCCTTACAATTACAGACAAACTTGGTTTACACGTACTTCATAAGAAAGCATTATAAAAGGATTTTATTGATTATAAGCTAATGAGCTCACTATCATTGAAAATGCTCAAGAGGAGATTATACAGATGATCATCTAACAAAGATTTTAAAAATGAATCCTACTCTAGGTGAGAGTGTTATCTGAAACTTCAGTTCATTCAGCAAGTATATACAGAAGACTTAGTATGTGCCCGGCACAAGGCTAGAATCCAGAATCCAAGCCAACTGATCCCTATTGCCCCCAGAGATTCCTGGATTGTGGAACACTAATAATGTAATGTAATTGACCTGGTAGATTATCCCTAAGCAGGGCACCTAACATATATCTATTATGGGAAGAGAAGACTCTTGCAGCTGAGTCTTCAAAGATATGTTATTTGAAGCTAGCTATTTAAAGATTAAGGAAAAGAGATATGCAGGAAGATTGAACATCTATCTCATGTAAAGACCAAAGTCAGGTAAGAAAAAGAAAGACATTGTACAAAACTAAAAAAAAATTAAGTGTGGTCAAAGCACAGAGTATGAGATGGAAAGGATTAGAGGCATGATTAGAGAGGTGGTCCAGCTGTATAGTACCTCAGGGTCCCATTTAAATCAGTATCTGAAGAGTGAGGGGTATTCATGGAATGGTTTTAGGAGTAAGATAATTTGATTAGCCATTTAGCATTATTGCTTCCACCTATGAAAAGGGGAACTTAATACATGATGAAAAAATGTTAAAAAGCTTTGGGAAAAGAAAAGATGATTAATAAGTGGTGCTAGTATGAATGGATGGTCATTGGATAAAAAATCAAATTCCTATCCTAAAAAAATAAATTGTGCTATGTCAAAAACCCAAGTGTGTAAAGTAAAACATAAAAATGACTACATGAGGCCGGGTGCGGTGGCTCACACCAGTAATCCTAGCACTTTAGGAGGCTGAGGCAGGAGGATCACCTGAGGTCAGGAGTTCGAGACCAGCCTGGCCAACATAGTGAAACCCCGTCTCTGCTAAAAATACAAAAATTAGCTGGGTGTGGTGGTGGGCACCTGTAATCCCAGCTACTCTGGAGTCTGAGGCAGGAGAGTCACTTGAACCTGGAGGCAGAGGTTGCAGTGAGCCAAGGTCGAGCCACTGCAATCTAACCTGGGTGACAGAGTGAGACACCACCTCAAAAAAAAAATATATATATATTAACTCGACGAAAAAATATTCAGGACAGAGAGGGAAAAATTCTTAAATAAGACACACAAAAGTACAAAACTAGATTTAACTAAATTAAAACAAAAATATTCTGTATCATAAGAAACACTATAAACAAAGTTAAAGCAAGTCACAATTACTGAGAAAAGATAATTGCAATGTTTACAGTTGCAAAAAGATAGCTATCAATACCATATAAAGGATTCTTACAAGTCATTTTAAAAAATGCAAACAATGCAACAGAATAATACAGGTAATTCACAAAGAAGAAGTAAGAATGGACAGAAGCAAATAAAAAGATGCTCAACCTTACAAATAATCAAGGTAATGCAAATGAACACAGTAATTAAATCTCATTACACTCACCACATTGGCAAAAACTTTAAATTCTGAAAATACCAGCTGTTGATGAGAAAGTGTGGAAATGGAGACGCATATAGTGCTGGTGGGCACAACCACTTTGGAGAGCAATTTGGCAATACCTAGTAGAACTGAACATGCACCTGTCTACAGCCAAGCAATTCTACTTCTAAATACATACAATAGAGAAACCCTTGCACACAGGCACAAGAATGTATATTATAGTGTGGTCTTTAATGATGGAAATTGAGAAATTCTCAGTTTTCTTCAATGGGTAAACAAAAAATTGTGGTACATGCATACAATGAAATAAAATTAAAATAAGTGATTTATATTTATTCATATGGATTAATCAAAAATGTCAAACGAAAACAAGTTGCAGAGATAGACATACAATATATTTTTAAATAAATCATTAGGACACATTATAGTATTATATGTGTAAAGGCATAAAAACATGGAAAGAAAGGATACTCACCAACCTCAGAACAGTGTTTCCCTCACAGCAGGAAAAAGGGGAAATAAAATGGGATTGAGAACAAAGACACAAAGCAGAAGCAATCATGTATGAACAATCTCTTCTTTCTTAAAAAAAAAAAAAGTTAGTTCTCTAACTGTTTGGAATTACTTCACGGTGAGAATCCTAGTATTACATTCAACAACATGGATAAACTTCCAAAACAGGCTGAGTGAAAGAAACCAGATGCAAAAGGTCACATACTATATGATTCCATTTTAATGAAATATCCATAATAGGTAAATCCATACAAACAGAATGCAGATTTGTGGTTGCGAGGGGCCGAGACGGAGAAGAGAATGGAGAATGTCTATTCAATGGGTATAGAATTTTCTTTGGGGGCAATGAAAATGTTTTGAAACTAGACAAAGGAGATGGTGGTACAACACTGTGGATGCACTTATGTCAGTAAATTGTAAATGCCAGTAAATTGTAGATTTGGGAATGGCTAATTTTATGCTTAATGAATTTTATCTCCTTAATAAAAACATGTAAGCATACAACACCTCTAGGAGTAGAAAACTACTAAAAATAGAGTACCAGTGAGGAGAGTCTCAAAGTAATTATGTAAGAGATGATTTGACCTGAGCTGTTGCAATAGCAGAGAAGTTTTGAAAAGTGGATAAATCCAAGAGTTGTTCTTCCCAAAGGACTTGGTACCCAACTGGATGAGGAGAGAGAAATAAAGAGGAGCCAAAGAAGAGCTAAGATATCTTATTTTCTAGTACAGGAAGAGTATATTCTATTTCCAGGGAAGGAAAACATGAGAGAAGAAGCAAGTTTAAGAGGAAGAGTATTCACTTGTTTTGGAATCTGCTGAGTTTGAGATGTCTATGGACCGTATAAATGAAGATATCCAACAGGCAGCCCAGTATACAGATCTAGCCTAGACTTACATGCACACTGCAATTGAGGCCGTGGAGGTAGATGAGATCATCCTGGCAGTAAAATGAAAACAAGAAGTTCTAGGACAAAACCCTAAGGAATACCAACACTCAAATCCTACAACAGAACCTTTAAGAGGCAGAAGTCAAGAAAGTATTTCAAGAAGGAAAAAGTAGTCAAAATGTCTAAAACTGCTCAGACATCAACACAAAGACTCAAAAGTAGGTCTTCAGGAATAAGGTGGTCTTCAGAGACTTTAGTTGAGAGCTATTTCCTGCCAAGCTGCAGAAAAGTAAAGTAGGAAAATAGTTCAAATGTTTAAAACCCAATATCTTTACTGGTAGTGATATAGATACCAATAAAATCAGAGAAGCTCTAGAAAGGACTATGGCTAAAGAATAAAGAGATATCCAACCCTCATGAGAGTCACAAGGAGCCACTTCCCACAGAAATGAAAACTACACTAGCACTTCTCAAATGTTTCCACCAGAGATACCCAACATGCAAAAGAAAGTAATTGTACAGCCTTTGCCATCTCAGGGTAAGAATATCTGAGGCGTATAATTTGTTCTTAAAAATTCATGCACATTATGTATTCTACTCATAAATACAGGAGTGTTTATTTTAATATAAGAATGTTTTTCCCATATTTTCAATTAAAGTTAACGTTCCAAAAAGGTGTTCCATGTTTATCATGCAACTTCCCATATGGCCCTCCCACAATCCCCACACATCCCATATGCATATATGCATCTTATACTCCCACTTTGAGAAATATGGAGGAGGTCCATCATTCCACAAGAGTGATTGCCCCTAGAAATCCCTTTTAGAAATCATTTGCCACGACACAATACCCATAAGCCCCTACATGATGTGTAATCATTTCTTCTTTCAATTTTTCTTAAAATTACATCCTTCAACTTTAAAAGTATGTTTCAGATATCATGGAACTTGGCGGGTAAATCTGTATTGAAGAGACTTTCATTACGACTCCTCTTTGTCTTTCTTGACTAAAGAGTCAATTAATTTATAAAGTACTTTATACATGGAGGTTGACCCAATACCTTTAAATATTTAGTCATTTTTCTCTGAACCTCTTCTATATCTTTCCCAAGGTGCAGGCATGGTTTTGTAAAGGGCCCCTTAGGCTTCTGGGACAAAGGCAGATTTCGCCTAAATGAGGTCATTAAAACAAAACATCAAGTTCCCAGTGCCCTAAGATTCCAAGCCAATGACCTACAGAGTGTTCCAGCTGATCTTAATTTCCTTGGCACAGCACAGTAAGACTACTGTAATATAATGCAAAATAGCTCTAAAGAGAAACTAGATACTGGCTAGAGTCTTGCCAATACACAGTTAAATAATACCAAAGTAGCCCTTTCATCTGAATACTGTGTTTCACACGCATATGTCACCCTTCCCAGGAATGAAAGTAATCTTCCACTGTGAATGTGGGTTGATTGAAAAGCTTTTACTGGACTCAGCCCTATAAAGTATGCATGCTTTTTAACTGGCATACATGGGCTGCTAAGACTGAAAATGCTTACAAGGGAACCAAAGAGACAAAGAACAGAACCCATTCTGACCAAGGGTAATCCAAATTTAGAATGTGCTTATAGTGGTAAATCAATACTCAAACATTTATCCTGACCAGGCTCTTTTTTAACATCAAACAATATCAGACTCTTCCTGGAAAATAAACTAAATTTCACTTTTCAAAGTTTCTTTACACATTTGATATCATTTATATTAAAATATCAGTACGTTTCCAAATATTCTCTCCCTTAATAACAATGACTTCCCAGCTCTTTATCCATTCATTTCTCCATTTATTTATTCTTTCATTCAGCAAAAATTTACTGAGGGCCTGTGAAGTGCTAGGCATAATTCTACATGCTAGAGATTGAATAAATAAAGCTTACTCAATTAACAAATAGTTCCTGTCTTCACAGAGCTTATGTTCTACTGGGAAAAGGCAGTAGATGAATCCATATATATGTGAACATAACACATGTCAGATAATAATAAATGCTAGTTAGAAAAATTAATCTGAGCGAGGGAGAAGAGGAAGCACACAGGTGGTGGAAGGCAATGTTAATCTTTGAACTCCATCAGAGCTAAAATAATCTTTAATAATCTGTTAACCAGCAAATCAGTTAAGGACCTCATATAATACAACTGAAAATGACAAATTAGAAACCATCTGACTTGATAAAGATTTGTCACCCAGATTCATTCATTTTATCAATTTCTGGATAGTTTCAACAAAGCTTTACCATCAACAAAGCTTTACCATTAGCCATTAATGATTTTTTACCCTTCAACTTAAATGTACTTTGTTCAAATTAATACACTCGGAAAATGTGTTAATTTTATCATACCTTGGCCAAACCAAAAGTACGAGGCTTCTGCATGATTGCTTTCCAATTTTTTTCCTAAGATGCTTTTGTCTTATAATGTGTCTTATATATATGTTCATCAAAAGTTTAAGGCTTCAGATTTAGTTTCTAAAGAAAAATGTCAGCCATATAATTGGAAAGTTAATCCTCACTCTCAAAAGCAATTGGCCAAATCAGACTTATATTTTATCAAATAAAGCCCAACTTTACTTTTCAATTCAAATTAGTTACATTTTGGCCAGGCACAGTGGCTCACACCTGTAATCCCAGTACTTTGGGAGGCCGAGGCGGGCAGATCAACTGAGGTCAGGAGTTCAAGACCAGCCTGGCCAACATGATGAAACACCATCTCTACTAAAAATGCAAAAATTAGCCAGGTGTGGCGGCGAGTGCCCATAATCCCAGCTACTCAGGAGGCTGAGGCAGGAGAATCGCTTGAACCCAGGAGGTGGAGGTCGTAGTGAGCTGAGATCACCCACTGCACCCCAGCCTGGGCAAAAGAGCGAGACTCCCTCTAAAAAAAAAGCAAACAAAGTTAAATTTTGAGAAAAAAAAATTTAAAACACTGAAAAATAAATTATGAATTGTATCTTAGAAGAGAAATAGCTGAAAGCAGTCAAAATTAAAGTAATACATTGATGGTGCCTATCTCATATCAACTAGGAACAAAGCAAAGTAACCCCTTATATATCCCAGTAGCCAATGCCTCGTTCATGCCTTGGACAAATGGAAAAAAAGAAAAAAGAAAAAAAGTTAAATTAATACAGGACTAAGAGTTCTGGGGAGTATGATGAAGTGCTAGGAAGTACATAGAATTCCTTTGGCAATTGTGTTACTGTACATTTTCACCATTGGGTTTCAGCTTTTGGATATAACTAAATAAAAATCAAGTATAAAATTAGAAATAGTTCTATTAAATGTAGTAGTCACCATGACAAATATTTCTTATGTTTTTCAGGAATGCAAACGGTACATGCACATTAAAAAATAAATAGTCCAGTAGCTGGCATATCATTTTTTAGGTATTAGAAAATATTAAAATATTTTATGATAAAATAGGATGGGAATTGACTGGAATTGGAATAAAGAGTTTATCGTATGATTTGCCAAAATAGTAAGTACAATATTGAATAACACACACAAAATTTGAAAGAAATCATGTATATGTTTTATTCTTGAGTTTTAACCAATTTATCTTGAAAACTTTGGTAGTCCCCAAAATGATTTCTATTAACATTTTAAAAGATCAGTTACTAACTATGGCAGATACTGTGGCACAACATCCAAACCCACCTCCTTCAAGACTGAAGCACTCATTCTCCCAGCTGTTAGAGTATCAGCCACTAAGACTTGTGGCTAAGGCCTCCTTGACTGCCATTGCACTATGCTAAAGAAAGCTGCCATGCCCAAGTTCTGACATTTCCTAGACAGCCCAGCACCTGTGCCCTAATTCTGAACAATTCTGTAGGGCCAATCCAGCTCCAGAGCTCTCCTACGGGATCAACTGGACCTTTGCTGTGGCTGTGCTGCAGCCCAACTTCTCCCTGTGTCCATTCCTACAAGTATTGTTTCCACGGGCTCTCCCCAGCAAACTTCCTGAAGGCAAACCTGTGCTCCAAGTCTACTTCCCAGGTAACTTCACCAGCAGCACTAACCTATATCATATCAGGTGTTTGTACGTGCATTTTCTTTCAGCTTTTATAGGATTTCTTTGCATTTATAAATACATATTTATTATATAAATTACATAAATTCAGTGCTTTTATAGTATTTCTTTCAGCATCCTATACATATGTATCCAGAATAGCAGATAGTACATTTAAATATATGACAAAAGGCCATTTCAGCAATCAATATTTCTCACTGATGCACTCCTTGCTTTGCTCTTAAGAAGTTATCCCTCAAGGGTTATTATATATTCTTTGACAACAGTCAGGACATGGAAGAACTGAAGTCAAAAACTGAAAAATGAAAATTGTGATTACTTCATCACACCATCATCTATCTGAATTCAAAATATTTCAACACTGGTCAAAATCCTCATTTCCACCATGATTCACCCTTAACAGAAAGAGGCTTAAGACATTAAAAAGGAACTCCTTCTTATTTGTGATGCTTTGATTAATCACTAAAGGAAGCTTTCCCTGTGTGTGATGCCCTGGATGTTTACACGCCCCAGGGTAATGCACCAAGAGGAGCTTACTGGGAGCACAGGTGGGTTCTCAGGAAGTGAAAACTGATTCTCTTAAATCTATGTTTGACAACCCTTGGAAAGTCTTCATGTATTTTCAAAGGGTATATGTCTCCCCACTTCCATCTGATGAACACTGACCTAAATAATTCACCACTGATATTAATTCTTAATAATTAAAACATTTGCTAGCATATACCTCTTGCTCTGAGAGACTCATACTATAAACCTAACTAATATTTCCACTTAATCTTTTCTAAAGCTGTGGATCTTATGAACACACAGTAAACTTAAAGAAAGTATAGCAGTTCACTGGGCACTCACTTATAATTATACTATATAAAAAATAATGTATAAAATCAGAAATATCTTGATTACACGGATCAAATTTTCATACGTGTTAAATGAAAGCAAAAGATACGTACTTTTAAAATCCACTTAGTCCAGGATCTAGATTCAATTTTATTTTTGCATTACAAAGAAATAATTGTCAAGAAAAAATTTTAAAAAATAAAAATATAATTTATTTTGGTAAATAGAGTCTGTTAATCAAATTTAATTTTATTCTAATTTAATGAAGATGACTGAAAATGATTAGAATAAACATGTCAAAATATAATTTGTTAAATTAGTTTTAACTATGTATCTTCAATAATCCATTTACTCATTCATTCTTTCCATGAAATAACCCAAGAACAATAAAGCCAAGATAATTCACATAGAGGGAAAAAGAATAAAACAACTAGACCAAATAGATAAATGAGACAATTCGGATTATGGTAAGTGCAGCCAAGGAAACAAACTGAGAAATGTGATGGGAAAAAAAAATTAAAAAAAAAAAAAAAACAGGCTACATTTAGGCTGGTCAAAAAAAAAAAAAAATCTCCTGGATGAGATGACCTTATACTGAAATCTAGAGAATAAAGAGGAATCAGGTATGTCAGGAGCCAGGGAAATAGGTTCCAGACTCAGAAAACAGCTACGATAAAGCCTTGGAGATAGAAAAAAAAGTTTGCTAAGTTCACAAATAGATAGGACTGTGGCTGGAGTCTAATGAACAAAGGGTAGAATGTACATGAGGTTTAAGAGGTAGCCAGGGACAAAGCCATGGAGAGTCCTGTCAAAGGAAGAAATGTGGATTTCATTCTAAGGTATTAAAATTTTTTAAACCAGGAAATTACATGCCGCGATTTACCTTTCTGAAAGTTCCCTATAACAAGTGTATGTAGAATGAACCAAGATAAGCTAACACAGAAGAAAGGAGGCCATTTATGGGGCTCCTGTAGGTGAGAAGACAATGGCTAAATTAGGATGGTGGCAGCAGAGATGGGGAGATGTATATAGATTCAAGCCTACTTTGATGAAAGATGAAGCAGTACTTAACAAGAACAGAAAGTGGACTCCTTAAATTTTGGCTTAAGTAATCAAATAAATGATTTGAGGGTGGAGAAAGATAAATTTAGAGAATTCAGAGGTTACGACCACCCCGTACCTATTAAACCAAGTAGAGCCAAATGTGTATTGGACCTATGCCGGCCTCAAGTGGTCACATCTTATCTCGTATCCTTATTTCTAAGTTTAGATGCTTGGTCCTGTACTTTAACTTCACCACTTGAGCTGGCTCCTACTAGATGTGATTCCTTTTCTGATTCTTCTTCTAATATTTGAACTATGACTTTGCTGCAGTTTCTAGTTTAACCAGACCCTTCTGCCCCAATTATTTCCATGAATGTGACTCCTGTGCTCTTTGTCCTATGACACCCCAAACATACTCTTTATCACAAAAAAGTGTGGTCACTATATGGGAATACCTGAACAGAGGCTAAGAGGGAGCTTCTAGGGCTAGTGGAACAAAAGAAACCCTGCTTTCCACGACTCCTGTATCTGCTGCACAGGAGCCATTACTGCTTCTGGAGCCATCAGAATCACTTGCTCTAGGAATACAATAAAATTGTAGAGCTCTCAGGTACAGAAAGGGTGAGCAATGGGCTGATATAACACCCCTCATCTGTAGTAGGACTGTATTAAAAACTAGGTTTGCTGATTCCTGTTCCAATATCTTTCAGTCACATCATATTGACACATCTTTCCACAGAAGCAATTTTAAAAACGGTACACGCAATGTTGTAAGAGCACTATACTTTGGAGCCATTATGGATTTTAAGGCTTTGGCCTGACCACCTAACCACTGCATGTAACAATACGTCTATGGAAAAATGTATGTGAATAAATGGCCAATTTATTAAAGATCTTCTGGAATACAAGCATTTGTAAGCTGGTTAAGAATATTAAACCTCCTATTTGTGTTTATTTTTTCTGTGGCTTTGAAAAAATGTTAAATGAGTGGGCCAAAGAAAAGGACAAGAATTAAAGGATGGTCTCCCTATGTCAGTCCTGCCATTTCTCTTCTAAATTAATCCTGAACCCTTTCTTTCTACTCCCTTGCCTTGGCAAAGACTTGTGGCCATTCTCTGGGGTCTCCCTTGAGCTGACCTTTATCTGTAATGTCAAAAGGACAATTCTCAGGTCTGCTTACCACCATTGAAATACACATAAGCATATACTTATACAATAGAGTTTATTACTATTTGACATAAGCTGACGTTTTTTCAAAGCAATATCCATAAGACTGCAGAAATCTTTTTTATATTAATTAAAATCCACACTTATATTGAACCATGATGACTCCAATTTTCTTTCTCTTGACAGAACATATTATATGCCCCAGGGAAAAACAAACCAGAAGCTGAGATTTCAATAACGTTAAAAAGAAAACCCATATTGTAGATAAAGCTTGGACTGCAAATGTACCCTGCAAATTAACCAAAAATTAAAGGCAACCTTCAAACTAGAAATAAAACCTTGACAAATAGAAGATCTGCTAGGGGATTTAAGTTTTAAAATAGGAAAAGAAAGCTAACTTCTCCTACAATGAAGGTAACTAGCATAAGGTGGGAAGGAACCTGAGTTGGTAATTCCTGTCATCAGGGGTTAAGGGACCTCAGTAAGACGTAAGCTCAGGAAAATGGACAAGGAAGCTGAGCATCCCTGAAGGGTGACATCAACTGAAACAACTGCCCAATAAGTATGCTTCACGTACATTAAGTGAATTGAGACAAAGGAGCTGAACACTCTGAACTGGGTACGTTAAGTCAAATAAACCAATTGGTGGATCATCATATATCATACAAATATGATTAGAATTAGTTTTTGTGTCCTGTTTGAGATCTTTTTTTTCCCCTAGGACACTAGCTGCCCCTAGGACATAGTGCCTCCATATGCCATACCTACTAAACCTGTACCTCTTTCTCACATGTTACCACACCCTTGCAGACTGAACAGTGGTCCAGGGCCCACTGTCCCCTTGGCCACATCTGATTGAATAGGATCTGGACACACTGGACTAACATACCTCTCCAGATACAGTTCCCAGTCAGTTACCAAGTACTGAACCACTAATAGGTGGAAAACTTGGGAGCAGCCACTTGAGGCCGCTGGCACTGACATGAAATCAGGGCAAGCAACACTGCAAAGAAATCTCAAAAATGATGTGAATTTGCAAGGAGAGGCAGAGACTATGTGGTATGTTTGTGGGAGAACAAAAGAGAGAGAATAGAGAAAGTGGTTGACTTGATTTTTGCTGACTTTCTTGCTCCCAATTTCAGCCTCTCATGAGACCAGTGACCTTTTGGCCTTCAGGTACTACAACACAGCCTTTCAGGCTGGTTCATTTGAGGCTCTGTTTTGTCTGAACAATCAATACCTGGCTAAAATACCAACTAAAGGCCATTTGTAACATACTCACCTTTGTCAACAAAACACAACTGTCCTCAGTTTTGAAAGGTCCAATTGCCCCAGTTTGAAAATGGTAGAGATTAAGAGTAGCACTGATTTGTATACATATCAAAGAGAAAAAAATATAAAAAATCAAATTCCTATAACCTCCCCCAGAACATTCCTATTCAGTGGGTTTTGCAAGAGGTCCAAGTATCCATATTTTTAATAAGCATCCCTGCTGATTCTGAAGAAGGTGATTTAATGACCACACTTTGAGAAGCGCAGCTGTAAAGCCTGCTTCAACACTGCTACAAAGATCTGCACGCTTTCAAATTCTCCCAAAAAATTATATTCATCAAGTGACAGCACTCAAAAGTAGCAAATTGCCGTTGGAAAGATAGATTTGTTTGAAACCCTAATAGGAGAGAGTATTGTTTCTATCATTCTTTCTGCATATATGTTTTGTTTCCAATTAAATGGGATTTTGTAAAATAGCTCAGAGGGCCTAAATACAATTTATGATGTTGTTTCCATCTAAAAATGAATTTAAACTTCCAAAGAGCTAATTTTCAGACATTTGAAAGCTAAGCAGTTTGTAATTTGAGAATTTCATGAGCCATTCCAACTGAGAAAATTCAATTATGAATGGTTTTAGACGATATCAAGGAATTGCTGTTATTTATGTTAGGGAATAATGGCATTTGGGATATAAAAGAAAATTCATTTTTCAGAGATGAATACAAAACTACGTAGAGATGCAATGATGGGGTGTCCAGGATATACTTCAAAATACTTTAGCAAAGAAAATAAAATTTTTAAAAAAGAAATAGATGGAGTAAATGAGGCAAAATCTTGATAATTGCTGAGTCTGGAAAAACTACAATATGTACATGGGTTTCTCTTCTTTTACTTCTATGTATACTAGAAAAATAAGTATATGAAATTTCAGTTAATGTAGCAGCCACACAAGATTCCTATAGGACCACACATACAAGTTCAGCATGTCCAAAGTGGGGTAATTACTGGCATCACAAAGGAATGATATAAGAGGCCCTTTAATTTGGGGACAGAGATCTGCTTATCCTTTGAAAGTCCGTGACATGGTAGAGAAAAAAGAAATAAAAGGCCGAGCATATGGAAAACTAATTTTTTAATTATTTGAGATAAATTTTTATTTTTCTGAGACATACAAAAAAAGGCTTAATTTAATAAAGAATACACTAGAAACAGTGTGGTAAGGGACAGGACACATTGAGACATGATACTCTTTTTGATCTCCCTTTATTTAAACTGTGGAAGCATGGGCAAATCCCTTCCAGTTTTTGCATACTCTTTTTGTAATCTTAAAATGCAGGTGACATACTCATTTTCTTGTGTTCCCATGAAATAATATCCTGTGGACCGTAAACCACACACAAAAGCTGGTTATTAATAATACTAATAAATCTTATTTGATAATAAAATCAAATATTTGATAGATTTCTCAGACCAATTTTAGGGAGAAGATGGAGAAGAAAGCTAGAAGAAAAAACGTAGTTACATTTCGGGAAGAAATAAAAAGAGGAATTCCAGGTCCTTAGATGAATATTAACAAATGGCGTTTGTCTCCCCTGTTCTTCTTGTGTTATGAGGAGAGTTGTAACTAACAACACTGGTACACATGTATTATTATACTACTCTTATTTACAGTCCTTGCTTTCTTTAGAAATTGTACCTTCCTAAAAAGGGACTGTCAAAGCCTCAAGAAATCCAGATTTCAGGTGCTGGCTGTGCCACATAGCATTCCTTAAACTCAATTTACGTATCACTAAAGAAGAATATTGGAATAGAAGATCTGAAAAATCCCATCCAACTCAAACATTTCATGACACTGGTTTTCATAGCATTTTTTAAATCTCTAAAGCCTTCAGAGGCTTTATTCTTACTTAGTTGTACAACATAGTCCTGGGAAGCAATTAACCAGAGCTACTACACAGGCTATGTCCAAGCACAAAAATTACCTAGGGGTCAACAAAAAAGACAAGAACTGATTCTGCTGCAAGAGCTAAATAAAGATTTCTAACTCTTTGCTTTCCTTCAAACAATAGGTGTTTAGGGTTCATTACTAACAGATGATTTCCTTATAAATTTAAATCATAAATTAGAAAAAAGAGATTAAGTTCATAATGGAAGTCACTTTTAATATAAGTAACTTTTCTGGACCATGTATGTAAGGGAAGGTATACTTTAAATTTGCTTTATTAGTAAACACAAAGAAAGATGCCTAGGAAATCTGGCCATCATTATAAAAAGAGGGAAAGGGAATAAAGAATATGAATTCTCGCGGGGCACAGGGGCTCATGCCTGTAATCCCAGCACTTTGGGAGGCCAAGGCGGGTGGATCATGAGGTCAGGAGATGGAGATCATCCTGGCTAACACGGTAAAACCCTGTCTCTACTAAAAATACAAAAAAAATTAGCTGGGCGTGGTGGCAGGCACCTCTAGTCCCAGCTACTCGGGAGGCTGAGGCAGGAGAATGGCATGAACCCAGGAGGCAGAGCTTGCAGTAAGCCGAGATTGTGCCACTGCACTCCAGCCTGGGCGACAGAGCGAGACTCCGTCTCAAAAAAAAAAAAAAAAAAAAAAAAAGAATATGGATTCTCTCTCACTCTAGCTTTCATTTAAAAATAATGGTACTGAAAGCCTACAGTATTGTACACTTTGGGACATTTTATTTGCAAAAAGTGATAAAACATATCCCATTTGTGGCTTCAATGCACTTTACCACTCATGCATTATGTAGGCATCTCAAATAGTAAACAAAATTTATGACTTGTAAGATGGTTTTTGACTGTGATTTTGAAAGGCCAGATGAAATTTAACATTTTTAGTCTGGATTCTCTCAAATTTTCTGGTCATTGATTTGTAAATAACAAGTACAATTATTTTCTTCACTTTTTCTGTGGAGAGAAAAGAATCACTAAAATGACTGGAATGGTTAAACAGGACAAATGAGAGAGAATATAAAGTAAAGAGACATCTTCTCCTATAATATTTCAACCATAAATAATACTCAGTAGAACATATCGCATAGTCACTTACATCATCTCAACTGAAGGTTACAGATAAACTGGGCCAAAAACAGCATCTTGTAAAAGGGTAATATGTGTTGCAAAGCTACTGAGTTGGGGGACTCACTTACATAGAGTCATCTATTCTCAAAACCTTCCTCATTTCAAAGAACTGAGTGTGTATAAAGAAACTAAAGCAAAAGGATCAGTTCTAAATGCAAAGTCTAGGTGGGGGAAAAAGGAAGCATAAAATAAAGTAAAAAGCAGCCTCCCTCCTCCTCAACTTTGGGGTACCCTTGTCTTCATAGAGATCTCAACCATTGGGCCAAGGAAGAGATCAGCAAGAAGGGCCCTTCAAAGGTAGGGACAGCCCTCTGGGATGGATCTTTAAAAATCAGGCGGGGACTCTCTGCTCAGGGAACAGTACAGGTGTGTGTGTGGGTACAGTGTTCTTTGAGAAGGTCATTGTGGACACAGGATACAAGGCCAGAGCAGGAAACCTATTGGGGTCAATAACAATATCACCTTTTCCCCATTTCCAGTTTGCTATTTTTTTTTTGCCCATTTTCCAGTTTAAACCTGATCTGAGGAAATGTCATCAATCTCTAAGACGTCTTACTCTAGTCTGATGACTATCCACACTTAGGGCACATCCTGCCTTAACCCTGGCACTTTACCCATTCTTTCTCTTTTGTCCCCTATACTAACATAAGCATACCAACACCTCTTCTCACTTTCTATTCAAAACAAACCCTGCATCATCAACAAATCTCTCAGACACAGGCATTCTGCAAGTGTCCATTCATAGCATTAAAGTGAGTCAGCCCAGATATCCTTCCCTTTACTTTCCTTCTGGTTCAGGCTCCACCCGCTACCACAACCCCAAATCAAAGCCCCATCTTTTAAATATATCTTGCATGGTATTGTTGCTTAGCTAGGGTCCTTACTGCCTAGGATTTGTGAGAAACATAGCAGGCCCTTAGTAATTTGGGAACTACCTATTAAATTCTTCCAGATGACCATTATGTCATCATCAGACATTTCCTTTTCTTACTCTGGCTCAAGGACAAGCCAGAATCTTTTTTTTGGGGGGGGGGGGGTAGTGTCAGCGGGGGACAGATTCTCGCTCTGTCGTTCAGAGTGGAGTGCAGGGGCACAATCTCAGCTCACTGCAGCCTCCGCCTCCTGGGTTCAAGCGATTCTCCTGCCTCCGCCTCCCGAGTAGCTGGGACTACAGGTGCAGGCCACCACACCCAGCTAATTTTTGTATTTTTAGTGGAGACGGGGTTTTACCATGTTGGACAGGATGGTCTCAATCTTCAGACTTCGTGATCTGCCCGCCTCAGCCTCCCAAAGTGCTGGGATTACTGGGATTACAGGCGTGAGCCACCGCACCCGGCCTCTTTTTTTTTTTTCCACTACCATGGCACACAGTCAAATCTATTATCCTTACTTCCATTTTCTATCCAAACCAAAAAGTCAACTCTCAAAGAGCTTGGAAGTTTCACTAGGGCTGTTTTTTCCTTGGGATCTGACTTTAAACCTCATCCTGATAATAAAGGTCTCAAGAGAGTCTCCTCTTTGTCTCCCCAAACAAAGTTACAGTCCCACCCACTTAAGGGTTTATTCCCCCTTTCAAAGATGCCAATTCAGAACATAGTTCTGCTTCTAGAAAAATTTATTCCCATTTTCTCCAATCCTTACCCAAAAACCTGTGTACCAAGTGACTTCAAGCCCCTCCCCCCAAAAATATATACACAGGGCTTCCATCAAACATATTTCCTACTGTCTCTATCATTTCTGTATATGATCAATAATTCATCTGCTTCCTAAGGTATTTCCTCCATTCCTAAAAATATAAACACACATAGTTGAACCCATTAGAAGCAATAAAGGTGCAGAAATAAGAAAGAGAGCAATAGACGCGGAAAAATGGCCAACTGTCTTGTCCTCGCTGTTCATTATCCTTCTCCCATTTCAAGTACCTGGCTATTTCAATGTATTGTTTCCACCCTTGTAAGAATAAGGTGCATTTTGTCTAGTGAGGCTTCTCTTTGTTTTGCTGGGTCAAAACTGGGAGAAAGTATATGACAAGAGATGAATTATTCTATGATACACTATTTTTTTCCCCTCCAAATGTACAGCCATGATGTATTTTCTGTTAGTTGCTTGGTCCTTAAAATCTAATTTGCTTAAGTCAATCCCAAACTAGAAAAGGAGAAAATCATAAAGATATGGTCCTTAGTCTTCTAATTATCACTACGAGTCATCTATCTTCTGCAGCCAGAGCCTCCAAACTGAGGAATCCACTGAAATGAAGACATGTTGACCCTAAATTCTAAATACCTTTTGCCACAGCATCACTATATCACTTTCCTTAGGTAAATGAGGTTGGCTTGGGTTGAAAATGTGAAAAATTAAAGAAAGTATTAAAGGAATCAGTCAATCCCCTTCTCACCCCACTACTACTGCCCACCCCGTCCCAGCCTCTGCCCAATTCCTGGCTTAAAAATGATCATCTCTTCTACCTATCTGGTGAATGATTATTGTTCTCAACCACTGCACTTTATATATATTCTCTGTTTTAATCCATCCCAAGACCCTCGGAGGTAGGTTTTAACATTCCCATTATACGGCTTAGAAGAATAAGGCCCTAAATGGAAAATAATGCCAAAGGACCATGTCAGTCAACAGAGTTATTTAACAGAGCCCATGCTAATCCTTTGTTAATACTGTAAATTACGGAACACCTTAAAGACTGTATGGATTCAGAACTCCTAAGATTTTTGAAATTTAAAATTTAAAAATGCATACCTGTTTTTTCCTTGAATTTGCTTTGGGAAATAGGTCTGCTGACAACACAGATGTAAATGGAGAACAGCATAGCTCAGGAAAAGGGTTTGGAATAGATGGCATTTCCGGAACATCAAGATCTTTCTTTTTTCTCCTACAGTAAGAGAACATAGGATGTAATTTACATAAAACAGAATGTAAAATATAATTGCTGTCAGGAATAAAAAGTGTGCTAAGGCGAACATGTACCACTCTGTGACAAGGCTCATATTATATAAAGTATATAGAAAAGGTCTGTGATGTACTTTCTATGGGTCAAAATACAGTATGTTAATTAGATACAAACAAATCTCCTATAGTTCCTCTCTTTCTGTCTCTCTCTCTCTCTCTCTCTCTCCCCTCCCACCACCCCTCCCCCCCCCACCGCCTTCTCTCTCTCTTGCCTTTAAATCACCAGGCATAGAAACTCCATCACTTTTGATAATTTTCCTGAAACAGAAAAATAGACTATACAATTACTAATCCAAACATCACCTGAGAAGTCATACATTGTTATGCATCCATGATATTGACAGTCTCTAAGTTGCATTTAGTGCATTCATCCTTATGATATTTTACTAATCACTTTTGGAAGTTATGATTTATTAATTATAGCTGTGGTTCATCTCACTTCAAATTTCATTCACAATGTTGCCCACACACAGTCTGTTGATTTTTCAAGCGCTTATAGATATTAAACAGCAAGGCAGTGTTTTGAGGCGGTAAGTTAATAGAACTTGCTAGTATAAATGTACTATAGTCCACTGGAGAGTAATTTTAACTTCACTGAAGTTGGAGCGCTTTGAAAATCAGGAAAAAAAAAGTAACATTTAAATGTATGAATATAAAGGACTATAGATTTTTGTATTGCTGTAACCCTTTTTCTTTCCGAAAGTATGTGCAACTCTAAAGGCACTTAGTGCTGAATGCTATGGAGATTGGGAAACCCTTTAAAGCCTCTATTCTTTCCTGCCGAACAGCAAGACTGCTCGAATGTCAATCCATGCTTTGCTTCTACAGGGTCGCTGTAAGACTCTATGTGGGAGGTGAATACATTTATGCTACGATTTTTTTAAAATATATAAAATAAAATAGAGTTTACTTTGTGAAAATGCATGGCCACGAAGGAACAGAAGGTGATCAGCCTGCAGCCTGAGCTCCTAGTTTCACCACCGATGGGCAGAGGCGAGAGAGATGAGAGCTCTCAATGAAACGGTGATGCTATTTATAAGGCGCTGTGAGATCGCAATGTCCTGCTGATCCGGTAGGAGCCAGCTCAAAGGGGATTGTCTTCAGAGACTTTTACAAACTTGGCCCAGCTCTGGGCACATGGCTCACCCCCTAGGACCGCCTCCTCACCCCCTCGCCGGCTGCCCAGCCAGGACACTCCCCCGCGCCCTCCAGGGTTGCCTACCTGTCTGCAGCACAGCCGCGGGTCCCGTCCGGAAGGGGCAGGAGCGCTCGCGCGTGCAGCCAGGGGGCCGGCGCCAGGTCGTGGGCGTCGCCCCTCCCCTGGGCAGCGCCACACACCTGGGCGGCCAGCGGCGAATCCCGGGCAGCCGCCCTGCTCGCGGCGCTCTGCCCATCTTGCAGGGAAGTGGTCATTGTCGCCGGCCGGGGGGCTCGGGCGTCATGGGAGACTCGGCGCGTGGGGAGAAGGGGTTTGCGCGGCGGGAGGCGAGGTGCCGGCTAGGCAGCCCGAGCGCTCTGCAGGTGTGGTGGCCTCGCCGCCTGCGCTCGGGGCCCCGGCGGCTGAGACGCGCGGCCGAGCTATCTGCGAGGCGGCGGGGGAGGGGAGGGGGCGGAGGAGGAGGGTGGGGAGAGGGGAGGAGCGGCCGGTGGGTGGGGGCCGCGGGCGGCGAGGCAAGGCGCGGAGGGGGCGGGGAGGGCGCGAGAGCGGCTGGCCGGCCCCGCGCGTGGCCCGGGGCGCTCGGGGCCACTGGCATTGCTCCCGCGCCGTCCCATCCGGGACGCGAGGCCGGGACCGCTGCCTCCTCAGGTGGGCACCGGGGCGCGAGGCTGAGCCCAGGGTCTGGGCGGCCCCGGCGCCGCTGGAGGCGGGGACCCAGCCGAGCGGGCGCTCCCGCTGGGCTTGCCGGGAGGACCGCAGGCGGGATAGGGGTCCGCGCAGCCCTGACCCTCATACCCTTGCATTCTTTCTGCTCTGCCATCTGAGATCACCTAAGCTGTTGCTGGGCCGCCATGACAGTCCCCACCGGGCCAGGAGGCCAGGACACCAGAGGGTTTGCCCCAGTCCTTCCCCACGTGCCTCTTCTTCCATCCACTCCGCAGCCAAAGATTGGGGGGTTGATAGGGAGCAAGGAGTCCAATCATTATAGAAAACTACTGAGATTTTGAGAATTCTCAGTAAAGCATGAGTAAACCTGAAGGTGTCTGGAATTAGAAAGACTATTAGTTTTATGGTAATGAGAGAAGCTTACATTAATGAATTCCAGGTTGCCTTACGCTACCTATTCCATCCTCTCAACAGCTCCATAAATTAGATGTTTATCTCATTTTACACAAAAGGAAACTGGGGCTCAAAGCCATCGAGTACCTTGCACTAGTAACATAGCACTAGTAGCTGGTGGAGTCAATATTCCAACCCAGAAGCTTCCTTCTCAAAAACCCAGACTGTTCGAAATAGTAATGACATTATTATGCTCACCCTCTGAGATGCAGCAACCCTACTCTGAAATGCTGGGTGATCCTGTTTCTGCTCTTCCAGTAAGTGTGCCCGTCCCTATGCACCGTTGAGGATTTCCAAATGTTTCACAGGGTCTTTGTTCTTTGACCAAATTAGGTAATATCTGTCCCTGGCATCTGCTTTACCAGGTTTTCTTAATTTCAACAACCTCTGCCCAGGGAAAGGTAAACACTGCCTCCAGAAGAAAGCAGCAGCTCCCCTCCCCCATCTCAGTGCATTCTCTCCCACCGAGGCACCGACCACTGGAGAACCCAGGGGTCACTAATTCCCAACCTGTGAGGAAACCTGGGGCACTCCGTGAAGACAGAAAATCCTTGAGTCACAGTTCAGGGAATCCAAGTTCTTTATTTTCCTAATGTCAAAATTAAGGCCCAGAAGTGACCTGGGTCACAGCGGGTGTGATCTCTGGGATCTTTTATACCAGGGGTCCCCAACCCCTGGGCCCTGGACCACACCATACCAGTCCATGGACTGTGAGAAACCAGGCCGCACAGCAGGAGGTGAGCGGCTGGTGAACCAGCATTACCGCAAGAGCTCTGTCCCCTGTCAGATCAGCTGGGCATTAGATTCTCATAAGAGAGCGAACCCTATTGGTGAACTATGCCTGCCAGGGATCTAGGTTGCTCCTTATGAGAATCTAACAAATGCCTGATGATCTGAGGTGCAACAGTTTCATCCCGAAACCATCACCCCCACCCCATCCGTGGAAAAATTTTCTTCCATGAAGCCGGTCCCTGGTGCCAAAAAGGTTGGGGACACTGCAGTTTATACAATACTTTGGCTAAGCTAGGACAAAATGGTGATTCTCTTTCTCAGGAAGAAAATAATAATACTAATCATGGTGATAACTAACATTTATTGACACATGTGCCAGACAAAGCCCTCACTCACATCCAGTTCTCTGAATTACAGATTCTATGCCTGAGTTTAAGTGAATTTAATTTAAAAGCATACAGATATACTGAGGTTATTCCAGCAAAAAACAAATGAGGTATGTAGTTGCAGACAACTTGAACTAAAGAAACAAAGAAATAAGTAAACTTTAATCATTAACATCATTATCCCAATTTTATCCAGAACTCTTGCAGGCAGTCACTTCTTCTAAGAATAATATAGTTGAGCACATGAATTAGTGGCTGAAGTTTACACTGTCTCCACTCCCAACAACACTCTCTCTCTATCTCTCCTCCTCACCTCCTCTCTCTCTCTCACACACACACACACACACACACACACACACGGCGGGGGTGGGACAGAGAGAGAGAGAGAGAGAGAAAGAGAGCACACTTTTGATTTTTTTTTTTTCTTGGGGAAAGGGATAGGTGGAATCTGTATATGTCTTTGGAATCACTGGAAATGCTATTCCCCAATGGTGCATCCTGCTCCACATCCTAGCATAATTGCCATAATTTCTTAACCTCAAGAAAGAGTATTCCTTGGCTGGAAATATATCTCTATTTTGTCTCCCCTTTCCAAGCATTCTCCTATTTAGTGGAAATCCAAGGAGGGTCAATTTGCAGGCTTTATGCTCGTCCTCTGACCCCAATGGGTAGACATTGTAATCCTTGAGATTACCAGGGGCAAAAAGAAAAGGAACAGGTCTCTGAGAATGAGAAACTAAATAATTTTTTCTTGTAGATTGGCACTAAATGTTAAATTTACTCCCAGTAGTACCTTGAGAATCTGTACCAAGAGTTTTTAGAATTAGCTCATTCACATTTTTGAAGCAAGTCAATAAAGGAACTAGGTTTTTTTATCCAAGTGGTTTACAAGAAATGATTCTAAATAAAGAACTATGCAGTATAAAAGGTACAGAATCCTGTCAGACCTGCTACAGCCTAAGAAAATAGAGGTATTTTTCTATGAAAGAGAAGTTTTAAAAGAGAAATTTTCATCCTCATAATGGACAGATTTCTGAAACAATAAAGCAGATATGTGGGTATCAAAGAGCAATATCAGTCCCCTGGGTGGCTGTCCGCCTTTTGGACTTGGGCCTGTAAAATTGCAGAGAAGCAGCTTGTCCCCTGGCCCCTTTCCTCTGAGGGCCTTTTTTACTCTTTGTCCCTCCCTTTCCTGTCTTTCCTCAGGAATCCCAGTCTTCCTACCCCTCCTGGAAAATGTGTCCTCATTGCATTCCTCTCTCTCTCTCTGCTCATCAATTAAATTTCTTAACCCTTTGTATTGTGAAAGATAACACACATACAGAAAAGAAGTTCATAAACAACAATGTATAATGGCTTATCACAAGGAAAATACTGATGTCAGGCCATGAAACAGATTCTTGTCAGCCTTCCGGAAACTCCTCTTTTGCCCCTCCCTTCAATTAAAAGTTAGTTTCTTTCTTGCTTGCTTGCTTGCTTGCTTTTCTTTCTCTCTCTCTCTCTCCCCCTCTTTCTCTTCCTTTCTTCCTCTCTTCCTTCCTTCCTTTCTTTCTTTCTTTCCTTTTATTTTGCAGTGTCTCTATTGCCCAGGCTGGAGTGCAGTGGCAGGAACATAGCTCACTGCAGCCTTGACATCCCAGGCTCAAGCAATCCAGCCACCTCAGCCTTCCAAATAGCTGAGACCACAGGCACATGCCACCACATTCAGCTCTTTACTTTTAGTAGAGATGAGGTCTCATCATGTTGCCCAAGTTGGTCTCAAACTCCTGGGCTCAAGCAATCCTCCTTCTCCAGCCTTCCGAAGTACTGAGATTACAGGCTTCAGACACCACTCCCAGCCCAATTCAAATGTTCAGAATAATCAAATCCTTCTTTTTGTTTATAGTTTACACCTAACTATCCATCCCTAAACAAAATAGATTAGGTTTTCTAGATTTGCTCTTTATATAAATGGAATCATACTGTTTCGCCCTTTTATGTTTGACTTGGTTCCCTTAATATTACGTTTGTAATATTCTTCCATGCAGTTGCAAGTAGCTGTAGTCTTTTTGTTTTTCTATTGTATGTAATACCACAATTTACTGATCCATTTTACTGCAGAAAGATATCTAGGCTGTTTCCAGCTTTGACTATTATTAATACTGCCACAATGCACATTTTGCACACTTCCCTTGGTATGCATAGGCATGCACTTCTGGGAGGTATACATGTAGGAGTGGCATTGTGAGGTCATGGTATATATATATGTATGTTCGGTTTTAGTAGATATCGCAGTTTCCCAAATTGTTTGTATTGATTTTATCACTACCAGGAATGCATAAGCTTCCCCAGTTCTTCACATCCTTGACAATTAGTATATTAGAATTGTCACAGTAGATAGACATTCTGGTGAGTGCATAGCAGTATCTCATTGTGGAATTCAACTTTTCTTTATGACTAATGAGTTTGAGCAATTTTTTCTATGATGAGTTGCCATTTGGACATCCTCTTTTTGTTTTTCTTTTTTGTGAGTTGGAGTCTCATTCTGTTGCCCAGGCTGGAGAGCAGTGACACAATCATGGCTCAGCTCACTGCAACCTCAACCTCCTGGGCTCAAACAATCCTCCCTCCTTGAGTTCCCAAAGTGTTAGAATTATAGGCGTGAGCCCCAGAGCCTGGCCAGGACATTTCTCTTTTGATGGACCAATTCAAATATCTTGCCCATTCTTATGATGAGTTGTTTGTCTTTTTCTTACTCACTTATGAGTTATTTTTAAGTTCTGTTTTTATCTTATGGTGTGAAGGTATATAGGTTGTTTTTATTAATATGAATAAGTGATATCACAGCCTCACTCATAGAAAAGATTATCCTATCCTCACAACTTTGCAGTGGCTCCTTAGTCATAATTCAATTGCTGATCTACCCATAGGTCTGCTCTGGGCTCCCTCTTCTATTCCTCTAGTTTATTTACCAATATTTATGTCAATATCACATTGCCGTAATCATTATGATTTATAACAAGTCTTAATATTCAATGAAGCAGGGCTTTTCATTCTGTTCTTCAAGATGGATTCTTCAAGATAGTCAACAGCACAGATCTTAGTCTTAGTTCTGATCTCAAAAGGATGGGTATTAAATATGATATCATATCTTTATCACAGATATCCTTTATCAGATAAGAGAGGAGAAGGGTTCCCTCATTTTCTTTGTTTGCTAAGAATTTTTATTATGAATGAATACTATTAAATCAACTTTTCTGCCTCTAGAGTTGATCATATGGTTTTTCTCCATCATTCTATGTATTAAAAAGTAGTTATGATGACTTTTTTTTTTTTTTTAGATGGAGTCTTGCTCTGTCGCCCAGGCTGGAGTGCAGTGGTTCAATCTCTGCTCATAGAAGCTCCGCCTCCCAGGTTCATGCCATTCTCCTGCCTCAGCCTCCCAAGTAGCTGAGACTACAGGCGCCTGCCTGTAGTCCCAGCTAAATTTTTCTATTTTTAGTAGAGATGGGGTTTCACCGTGTTAGCCAGGATGGTCTTGGTCTCCTGACCTCGTGATCCGCCCGCCTCGGCCTCCCAAAGTGCTGGCATTACAGACGTGAGCCACTGAGCCCGGCCTAACTGTGTTGACTTTTTTAATGGTAAACTAAGTGTACATTCATAGGATAAACCCTACTCATATCTATACATATATTTAATAAGATTGCTAATATTTTGTTTAACATTTTTGCACCTATGTTCATGAGTGAGATTGGCCTGAATTTTTCTTTCTCATAATATTCTTCTGAGATGTTTGTATAGGGTAATGATGGCCTTGTTAGAAGTGGAGAGTTTTCCCTCTTTTTCTTTCTTTAAAGAGTTTATACAGATTATTTCTTATATAAACTGTGTTATTTCTTCCTTAATAGTTAATAAAATTTACTTGTTAAGCCATCAGACTTTTTCTTTGTGGTCGTTTTCTTTGTGGAAAAGTTTTTAATAAATGATTCAATATCTTTAATAGTTATAGGACTATTCCAAATTCTTATTTTTTCTTTTTTTTTTTTGATGGATAGCATAGCTTTATTCAGAGTGAAACCTTCCTTTCACAGAAGAATAATAAAGGTAAAATAGAGGTACTCTTGTAGATCTGAAAAACAGCTTTCATGGGCTAGTCCAGGGGGAATAACCACCGGGAGCGGGGGTTCTTACCTGAGTGTTAGGATGCCGGATGCCCTTGTCTGAGATTGCAGTGTGACTCTCATTTCCTCCCAGGGAGCTGCTAGAGATTAGGACATGGGTGACAGGAAAGCTAATTGCCTCACCTTACCAAGTGGCTCTCCATAAAGAAACACTTACGGCAGACAAGATCACTTTGGGGAACAATAGGTCTTTCCCACTTATCCACACCATCTCGAGGAAAGGCAAGAATCTGCTGGGGAACATGCATCTATCCTGCTACCCCTTCCATCCTCAAGAAGACTCTTACTGGCCCTCATGAAAGTCCTCCCTTGTTCTTGATGCAGAGAAGTGTCTGCAGACATTTATTCCTGTGGTCTTCTGCTTCCTGCTCACCCTCCGGAACCAGAGTCAGGGGCTATTCAGACTGGCACAGCCAATGTGTCCTACTGAGGAGCTCCTTTGCTGCTGTGTTTTGAACCCATGACCCTCACCCTGAGCACAGCCAGTTGGCCCAGGTAAGGGTGGTGCTGATGCAAATGCAGCATCAAAAGGCTGGCCAATCACCTCTCACCTACAGATATTAGGTTGGTGCAAAAGTAATTGTGGTTTTTTCAATTACCACAAGTACTTTTGCACCAGCCTAACACAATCAGTCCTAAGCCTGAGCAATTCTACTTCCTAAGTATTTCTCCCTCTTTTCTGTTCACATCTCTTCTTTTTTATTATTATTATTATACTTTAAGTTTTAGGGTACATGTGCACAACCTGCAGGTTAGTTACATATGTATACATGTGCCATGTTGGTGTGCTGCACCCATTAACTCGTCATTTAACATTAGGTGTATCTCCTAATGCTATCCCTCCCCCCCGTCACCCTACAACAGGCCCCAGTGTGTGATGTTCCCCTTCCTGTGTCCATGTGTTCTCATTGTTCAATTCCCACCTATGAGTGAGAACATGCGGTGTTTGGTTTTTTGTCCTTGTGATAGTTTGCTGAGAATGATGGTTTCCACCTTCATCCATGTCCCTACAAAGGACATGAACTCATCATTTTTTATGGCTGCATAGTATTCCATGGTGTATATGTGCCACATTTTCTTAATCCAGTCTATCATTGTTGGACATTTGGCTTTGTTCCAAGTCTTTGCTATTGTAAATAGTGCCTCAATAAACGTACATGTGCATGTGTATTTATAGCAGTGTGATTTATAATCCTTTGGGTATATACCCAGTGACAGGATTGCTGTGTCAAATGGTATTTCTAGTTCTAGATCCCTGAGGAATCGCCACACTGACTTCCACAATGGTTGAACTAGTTTACGGTCCCACCAACAGTGTGAAAGTGTTCCTATTTCTCCACATCCTCTCCAGCACCTGTTGTTTCCTGACTTTTTAATGATCGCCATTCTAACTGGTGTGAGATGGTATCTCATTGTGGTTTTGATTTGCATTTCTCTGATGGCCAATGTTGATGAGCATTTTTTCATATGTCTTTTGGCTGCATAAATGTCTTCTTTTGAGAAATGTCTGTTCATATCCTTTGCCCATTTTTTGATGGGGTTGTTTTTTTCTTGTAAATTTGATTTTTTCTACTGTCAATTTTGATAAGTAGTATTTTCTAGGAATGTATCTCTTTCATCTAAATTTTAAACTTTTTAATATCTGAAGGATTTACTGTGCTTCCCTATGCCCATTCCTGACATTGGATATTAGTGCTTTCTCTCCTTTTTTCTTGATTATATTCACCAGAGTTTATCAAGTTTTCAAGCTTTTCAAGAATAACCTTATTTTTCATTTGTGTTTTATTTCGTTAATTTCTATACTTTTTTTTTTTTCTGAGATGGAGTCTCACTCTGTCACCCAGGCTGGAGTGCAGTGGCACGATTTCAGCTCACTGCAACTTCTGCCTCTCTGGTTCAAGCAATTCTCCTGCTTCAGCCTCCCCAGTAGCTGGGATTACAGGCACCTACCATCATGCCCAGTTAATTTTTTGTACTTTTAATAGAGATGGGGTTTCACCATGTTGGCCAGGCTGGTCTTGAACTCCTGACCTCAGGCAATCCACCCACCTCAGCCTCCCAAAGTGCTGGGATTATAAGCGTGAGCCACTGCTCCCAACCTCTATCTTTTTCTTTCTTATTTCCCTCCTTCTTTTTCTGGTTTTATTTGTGATTATTTTTTGTTGATATTCTAAATATTTTACATGGATGCTTATAGCTTATTGATGTTTAGCTTTCCTTATTTTCTAATATTTACATTTAAAGACATTCATTTCCCTCCAGGTATGATTTTTAACTGTATCCTTGAAGTTTTAGCATATTGATTTGTATTAGTATTCAGTTCAAAGTATTTTATACTTTCCATTGCAATATTCTCCTAGCTGTCGATTTTGATTCTTTTTTTTTTTTTTTTTTTTGAGACGGAGTCTCGCTCTGTCGCCCAGGCCGGACTGCGGACTGCAGTGGCGCAATCTCAGCTCACTGCAAGCTCCGCTTCCCGGGTTCACGCCATTCTCCTGCCTCAGCCTCCCGAGTAGCTGGGACTACAGGCGCCCGCCACCGCGCCCGGCTAATTTTTTGTATTTTTAGTAGAGACGGGGTTTCACCTTGTTAGCCAGGATGGTCTCGATCTCCTGACCTCATGATCCACCCGCCTCGGCCTCCCAAAGTGCTGGGATTACAGGCATGAGCCACCGCGCCCGGCCGATTCTTTAAAATATTTAATTTAACTACCTTATTATCACAGACTATACTTTATGTGATTTCAGTCCTTTGATATTTCTTGAAACTTACTTTATGGCCCAGACTATGGTCAATTTTTAATAATATTCTATGTATGATATAGAAGAAGAGGTTTTCTCAAATTTCTTCACTTATGTATGTGTAGGTCAATTAAGACAAATGTGTTAACCATGCTGTTTAAATTCCTTATTCCTACTGATTTTTTGTTTATTCTATTAGTTCCTGAGAGATGTTATATTAAAATTTTATCACTCAATCACTTTCTATTAGCAATCACTCTCTATTTTACTCCAACCTACCCAGTCCCAGGTAACCATTAATTTACTTCCTGTCTCTATAGATTTGCTTATTCTAGATATTTCATATAAAAGGAATCATACAATATGTGTATTTTTTATGAATGGATTTTTGCACTTTGCATATGTTTTTAAGGTGCATACATATTGAATCATGTATCCGTACTTTATTATATTTTTAGTGAAGAATAAAGTTATATGTATTTACATTTTTTATTCATTCGATTGATGGACATTTGATTGTTTCCACTTTTTGGCTATTGTGAATACTGACACAATGAAGATTTGTGTACAGGTATTTGTTTGGACATATGTTTTGATTTCTCTTTAGAATTGCTGGGTGATGTGATATCTCTACATTTAATAATTTGAGGACTACCAGAATGTTTTCCAAAGTATTTGCACCATGCTACTTTCCCATCAGCAATCTATGAAGGATCCAGTTTCTCCACATCCTAACTAACACTTGTTATGATCTGTCTTTTTTATTATAGCCATTCCAGTGGGTGCCAACTGGTATCTCATTATGGTTTTGATATGCATTTTCCAGATGGCTAATGATGTTGAGTATATTTTCATGTGCCTATTGGCCATTTGCATATTGTCTTTGGAGAAATGTCTGTTCAGATCCTGCCTGCTTTTTAATTGAGCCATTTGTCTTTTTATTATTGACCTTAATTGTTCTGTACATATTCTAGGTACAAATCGCTTATCAGATTTATGATTTGCAAATTTTTCTCTCATATGGGGAGTTGACTTTTCACTTTTTTGATGATATCTTTGAACCAAAAATGCTTTTAATTATGATGAAGTACAATTTATATTTTCCTTTGGACACTTTTGATTTTGTGATCCTATGAAAACTTTTCCTATGCGAAGGTCACAAAGATTTACTCCTATATTTGTTTCTAAGAGTTTTATAGTTTTAGTCCTTACATGTACATTGTGATAATTTTGAGTTAATATTCGTGTATGGTATGAGGAAGGAGTCCAACTTATTTCTTTTCATGTATATATCCAGTTGTCCAGCATCGATCAGTAAAAACACTATTATTTTTCCATTGAATTGTCTTGGCACCCTTGTCAAAAATCAATTGACCATAAATATGAGAGTTTATTTCTGAGTTCTCAAATCTAGTCCATTGATTTGTCTATTCTTATGCCGAACCACACTATTTTTATTATTGTAGCTTTGTAGTAAACTTTAAATTTTGAAATCAGGGGACCAGGGACGGTGGCTCACAACTGTAACCACAGCACTTTGTGAGGCCAAGGCAGGTGGATGGCTTGAGCCTAGGAGTTCGAGACCAGCCTGGGCAACATGGTGAAACCTCATTTCTACAAAAACAATACAAAAGTTATCCAGGTGTGGTGGTGTGTGCTTATAGTCACAGCTACTCATGAGGCTGAGGCAGGAGGATCATTTGAACCTGGGAGGCAAAGATTACAGTATGCCGATATCATCGTGCCACTGTACTCCAGCCTGGGCGATAGAGCCAGACCCTATCTCAAAAAAAAAAAAAAAAATTAGATCAGAAACTGTGAGTCCCCCAACTTTGTTTTTCTTTTTTAAGATTATTTAAGCTATTCTGAGTCCCTTGAATTTCTGCATGAATTTTCAGATCAGCTAATGCAGAGGAGCCAGCTGGGATTTTGGTAGGGATTGCATTGAATCTGGGGTTCAAGTTCGGGAGCATTGCCCTCTTAACCATATTAAGTTTTCCAATGAACATGGATTACCTTTCCATTTATTTGTGTGTTCTGTAGTTTTGTTTTAAAATGTTTTATAATTTTAAGATTATAAATGTTGTACTTCTTTTTTAAATTTATTCCTAAGTGTTTTGTTCTTTTTAATGTTATTATAAATTGATTGTTTTCTTATATTTCCAGATTGTTTGTTCTTAATATGAAAACAAAATTGATTTCCATATTGACTATGTATCCTTGCATCCTTGCTGAATTAGTTTATTAGTTCTAATAGTTTTTGTTTTTATTGTTGTATCTTTTAGTAGATTTCCTGGGATTTTCTATAGGTAAGACTATGTGATCTGCAAACAGAGACAATTTTAGTTCTTTCTTCCTTCCTTCCTCCTTTCTTCCTTCCCTCCTTCCTTTTTTTTCCTAGAACCTCCAACACAATGTTGAATGGAAGTGCCAAGAACATAAATTCTTGTCTTTTTCTGATTGTAAGGGAAAATAGTCTTTCAGCACTACATACTATGTTTGCTGTTGGTTTGTTATAAATGCCCATTACCAAGTTGAAAATGTTGCTTCTCTTCCTAGTTTCTAGAGTGCTTTTATTATGAAGAGGCATTGGGTTTTGTCAGACTATTTTTCTGTTCCTCTTAGTATTTAAAGGATGTTTTTGTTGGCTATAGAATTATTGGTTGGCACTAATTTATTTCAACATTTTGAATATATTCTTTCATTTTTCTGGCTTAATTTTTTGTATTGAGATATCACATGTCAGCCTAAAATTAACAAATGCTCCTGGGAAGAGGGAGGCTTTTCATCAAATCATAACATAGTCTATACTTTATTCCTTTAAAACAGGACTTCTTTAGCCCCCTAGCTTATTGCTAGTCATTCTACCAAAGCAATTTTTAATTTAATTGGGCCAGGCTTAAGCTTCTTCAAACTTATATAGTGACCATACATTTCTTTCAGTGGCTTTTAGAAGAAAAAGTTCACACCTCAGTAAAATAAAGCATAGGAGAATAATGGTAAGAGGTTAAGTTCCTCTAAGATGGAAGGATAGTACTGCGGCCAACTGGTGCAGACCCTATTTTATAGGACCACAATCAATTGGGGATCCTAGTATCTTCTGTTAAGTGGTCCTCTCCCATGAAAGACCATTTAAAATAATATTTGGGCCTGATTAAAAATGAAACTTCTAGGAACACTAATCGAGTTGACAGACAAAGCTACCTATACTTCTTATGAATTTATTTATTGTTTTTTTTTTTTTTTTTTTTTTAGATGGAGTCTCACTCTTGTTGCCCAGGCTGGAGTGCAGTGGCGCGATCTCGGCTCACCACAACCTCCGCCTCCCAGGTTCAAGTGATTCTCCTGCCTCAGTCTCCTGAATAGCTGGGATTGCAGGCATGCGCCAACCATGCCTGACTAATTTTGTATTTTTGGTAGAGACGGGGTTTCTCCATGTTGCTCAGGCTGGCCTCAAACTCCTGACCTCAGGTGATCTGCCTGCCTCAGCCTCCCAAAGTGCTGGGATTACAGGCATGAGCCACCATGCCCAGACTATGAATTTATTTATTTATCTTCTTTTTTGTTTTTTGTTTTTTCTTTTTTGAGATAGAGTCTTGCTCTGTTGCCAGGCTGGAGTGCAGTGGTGCAATCTCAGCTCACTGCAACCTCCGACTCCCTGGTTCAAGCGATTTTCCTGCCTCAGTCCCCCAAATAACTGGGACTACAGGCACACGCCACCACGCCCAGCTAATTTTTGTAATTTTAGTACAGGCAGGGTTTCACCATGTTGGCCAGGATGGTCTCGATCTCCTGACCTCGTGATGCGCCTGCCTCAGCCTCCCAAAGTGCTAGGATTACAGGCATGAGACACTGCCCCCAGCCTATTCATTTATCTTCTAACACAACCTTCAGATGCTCAAACTGCTTCATGTAAAACTTTTAGCATGCTTATGAATTCCCGTAATGCCCCAATTAAATCCCCTAATTCTTGGTAGTACCAAAAATGTTTCAGCATTTGTAATATTCCTGCTTGTGATTGCTTTGTGAGAAGAAGAAATTTGGGGCCCAGTCTGTCAGTCTCTCAGTTTTATGAGCTATAGGCAGCACAGTATCATTTATTTTAAAGTGGTAAAGAAAACCACAGCAGTACTCCAGGGAGTGTGATTTCTTCTCCAGCCCTTGAAGCACAACTTTTAGTGAGTGCCTCTCGGCACACCTATGCATGCCTGCCCCTATTAGATCAAAACTGTGCATACTCTTAGACCTCTGAGCTCCAGATGGCTCACAGTGATCCTGCCACCAGCTTTAATATGGAAGTGTAAAGTATAGCTATTTCATATCTCAACTTTTATTACACTCAGTAGCTGGATGTAGTTCCAATCTCATTGATTTTATTTAGAAATATAAACAAATTAGTTATCTGTTATTTACAACAGCAGTGCTAGTAAATCCAAGGACTAGCCTTGAATGAATGTGTTAGAGAAGCAGCAGAATTCGATTTTAAAAAGATAAAAAGAAGTAAAAGGATTGGGATTGTGGCAAGATAAAATAGAAATGGAAATTCCTTTAAAGAACATGCTATAGGAATTGAAAATCTCTGGTAACAGTTTTTAAGTGTTATACCTAAGGAAATAGGATGGTATAACTAAAGAAATGCTATTATATCCCTTCCCTACAGATTCTCTTTTGGCTTTCATGTTGTAAGGAACTTGGATTTCCCAAGGAATTAGAATATACCAGCAAAGATCAAGTGCTTATATAAGAAAGCTCAGTATTGTGGTTTTGTACCCCATTTATAGCAAGTACACAGATCCCTAAATCCTGTGTTCTGTGGGTGAATAATAACCTTGGCTTTAGTTTATTTTCTTTTCTTATTCTCAGCATTGACCTTGACTTCCTTCTATATATTTTATTTGCATCTATTATTTTTATTGTTATCTTGCTGTATTTGTGCAAGCCACCTCAAATCCTTTTTGGAACAAACTTAGTGATGCATAGATGGACATATAAAAATAACAGTTAACAACTTACTATGTTTACTGTACACTCTACAGTTTTGTGAGGGGATAAATAACCTGCACAGTGAGTGTGGACAAAGCCAGAGAAACACTATTTTGGTAAGATTATTTTGACTCTATAGTTTCCCTTTGAGTCATGCCGAGGCAGTATGTCTTAGAGATTTCTCTCTTACTGGACACTTGAATATCAAAGGGATAGGAGGAAGTTAGAGATAAAATTTCAACCTCCCTTCTGATGCCAACCTGGTACTATTTAAGTCTCATGCCATCTAAGGCCTGCATTTCACATGTCCCCTTCCAACCCCCAAATATCTCTCTCATAAGGGGGCTTACTCAATGTACAAAGGATGCCTAGATAATTTGTATGCTCTTTAAGGATTAAATGGATCATTCATTCATTTCTTATGCATCAATTCAGAGTCTGTTGTCTATGGGGTATGGCATTCTATTAGAAAATCTTGTCTCAGCCTTTAAGAAACTTAAGTCATATATTAACAAACACATAACAATCCGCAACTTAAAAATCAGTGTGGATATAATGACACTTCTTTTGGCTGGACACTGAAATCTAGTCTTTGACTCTGATTTGCTACGTTGCCTAATGGCAGATACTCAGTCGAGTTCATTCCCACTTATCCAGTGATTTATCTTGCCACATGATGATTCCTAGGCCCTGCTCAAAATTTAGTTCAAAGTTCCAGCTCTTCCTCTCTGCAAACACTCCCAGCCTCACCATGAGGTAACACCTTGTGCAGCGATCTGTAGCAAACATTTCCATCCCTACCTTTAAGATTTATAGGAACATGTGGAAACCTCTTCTGCAAGTTCTTCAGAAAATGAAGGAAAATAGGAGAGGGATCACTCCAGGGCCTCTCTTGGGCTGGATATTCTAGATGCCACATATCTACAAACATGTATTAAGAAAGAAAGTCTACCCTCCTGCTTTGGAAATTATCTGTCTGGCTATCGTAGCCCAAGTCTATCCAATATTTGAATTTGTTCCCCTTCTAGTTCTGATTTTATATGGCTATGTGGGTAGACCAATGTTGGGGGACCAGTTTGTTTGACCGTTGCATTTTCAGGATAAATAAGACATTGTTGGACCAGGCACAGCGGCTCACGCTTGTAATCCCAGCACTTAGGGAGGCTGAGGCAGGAAGATTGCTTGAGCCCAGGAGTTTGAGACCAGCCTGGGCAACATGGTGAAACCACGTCTCTACAAAAAATACAAAAATTAGCTGGGTATGGTGGTGTGCACCTGTAGTCCCAGCTACTCAGAAGACTGAGAGGTGGGAGGATTGCTTGAGCCTGGGAGGTCAAGGCTGCAGTGAGCCATGATTGTGCCACTGAACTCCAGCCTGGGTGACAGAGCAAGACCTTGTCTCAGAGAAAAGAAAGAAAAGAAAAAAAGAAAAGAAAAGAAAAAAGGAAGGAAGGAAGGAAGGAAATACATTGTTATTCTGGTTTCAAATATTAGTCTCAAGGATATCATGTGCAAGAGTCACATCCATTAATCCAATCATTTCGAGGCCAAGGCCAGGCATGGTGGTTCACGCCTATAATCCCAGCATTTTGGGAGGCCAAAGTGGGTGGGTCTCTTGAAGTCAGAAGTTTGAGACCAGCCAGGCCAACATGGCGAAACCCTTTCTCTACTAAAAATACAAAAATTAGCCAAGCGTGGTGGTACATGCCTGTATTCCCGGCTACTCGGGAGGCTGAGGCAGGAGAATCGCTTGAACCCAGGAGGCAGAGGTCGCAGTGAGCCGAGATTGCACCACTGCACTCCAACATGGGCAAGAAAGTGAGACTCGGTCTCAAAATAAATAAATAAATAAATAAAAATAAAAATTAGGTCAAGTTCCTGAGTCTGCAAAGTAGAGTAGACCCTGGGCTCGGGTGAATTTATATTCTTTTTTTTTTTTTTTTTTTTTGAGACGGAGTCTTGCTCTGTTGCCCAGGCTGGAGTGCAGTGGCGCGATCTCAGCTCACTGCAAGCTCCGCCTCCTGGGTTCACGCCATTCTCCTGCCTCAGCCTCCCGAGTAGCTGGGACCACAGGCACCCGCCACCACGACCGGCAAATTTTTTTTTGTATTTTTAGTAGAGACGGGGTTTCACCGTGTTAGCCAGGATGGTCTCGATCTCCTGACCTCGTGATCCACCCGCTTCGGCCCCCCAAAGTGCTGGGATTATAGGCGTGAGCCACTGCGCCCAGCCAGGTGAATTTATATTCTAAGGCTATTAGCTTGAAGCAGGCAGGGACTGTGTTTAGCTCACTCATTATTCTTTATTTTAAAGTGCCTGATCCATAGTAGACATCTGATGTATCTGAATGAAAGAAAATTCTCCTTTCTCAGGCTTCTTAGAAGTCACTCTACTGACTCTCCTGGTGATATCAATCACATCACACAAGAAGTTCCTTTGAACTTCTTGGTAAGTTGTATTATACCCATTCTATAGATGGAAAAAGCAAGATTTAAATTAATTAAATATCTTTTCTATTATAAAAAATTTAATAGAATGACTTTGAAACCTAGCTGTATACAATTTCAAAGCCCATGCCCCTTCCATTACATCATGGTGCTCATCAGAATAGAGATTACAGCTAGCTAGAGCTTGAACCTGGGAGTTCAAGCTTCTTGGAAAAGACATAATTTGAACTGGGTTTTTAAGGTTGTGTAGTACTTCAGCCTACAAACAGGATACACAATATCAGCAAAATATGAAGGAGCAAGAGATTGCATGCTATATTAGGAAAATATTAAGTAATAAAGTTCAACTTGAGTATATAAGCTATAAGTAACCAACTGGATGGAGGATGACCCCCAAAAAGTTTGACAGATCTTTAAATTCTTGAATGCCAGATGGAGCAATTTTAACATTCTTCTATAGATAATCAGAAGTAAACACAGGTTTTCAAAGAACATATGAAACATGATTAAAGCCATGCTTTAGAGTGATGATTCAAGTTGACATGTTCCTTAATTGGAAGTAAAGAGACGATTTAAGAAGCTATTGAAAATAGTGCATGTGATGATAGTAAGGGTAGGACAGTGGGAAAGGAGAGGGACAATTCAAAGAAGCCCTGAGCTTCAAGGCCAAGGTAGGTAGGGAATGGAGCATTAACAGAAATGGAGGAGTTAAATTGAGAATGTAGGTCAATCATGCTTTTGGTTTTGTATACATTACATTGGCATTGCTTGTAGTATATCCATATGTAGATGGACAGCAGGAAGTTGGAATGCCTGCCTGTAGTTTGAAAAGTCTCCTCTAGAGTCATCTGTTGGGGATTTTTCTGCAGAGAGACAATAATTGAAATCATAGAGCAAATGAGATTGTCAGAGGCAAGGGTATGAAAAGTAAAGACTTGAACAAACCTCAGGCAGGAACATTCAGGGGGCAGAAGGAGGAAGAAGAAGCCTCAAAGTAGACAGAGAAGGCGGGGTTGGAGAGGTAGGTGGCTATTACTTCCCTCAAGGGGTTATTTCTGCTACTTTCAAGACTGAGGACTACTGTCTTAGTTAATGACAGAAGATGATGAAAATAGCTAGGAGGAACTAAGTTGGTAAATATGGATTAGGCTAAGGTAAATTTGATGAGCCGAATATAATTTTTTTGTGACCATTGACTTTTAAAACCTTTTTTTACAAAGGTTTTAAACCTTTGTAAAATGTTACTTCAAACCTGGTTTATTTTTCCAGCCTTCCCCCTGCCTCCTTTTTGAATAAAAGTAGGATGGTAAAGTCTAGGCAATACTGACGGACAATGGGTTTCTAGGAAATCGTGACTAGAAAACATTTAGGAATACCATTCTAAGTTAACTTTCAGACTTGCTTCAAATGTGAATTGAACTATCAGCAACTGAAGTTATAGAACACTTTGAACTGAAAATAAAGTCAATTAATTGTATAACTTTATCTCAACTATTAAGGTGCTCTTTTAGTTTTCTAATATTTTGTCTTTGAAATACTAATCCTTCATTGCCCTCTGGTTTTCAATTTTTAATAAGTTAGATAATATCATTTTACTTTTAAAATTTCAATTTAATATAAGTAACATTTGCTTCTCCATCCTTTCATAATGCTAAACACACAAAAAATTCTGCTATCTTTGGATATTTCTGGTTGATAAGCATTCGGCATATTTTTGTTGTTTCAGTATATGAGACTTTTGTAAAAAGAAAACAAAAGGTAAGTGAATAAAATAACTTCATTGCTGAAGATCTAAATTTGCTTGCCCAGTCTTTATGAGATCATGTGATTTCATAGCTCTCTGAATATTTTCTGCTAATCTAGGTATGTTTAGTAAAGAGAGGCTTTGTAAAATTTCTTCTTAATTACAGAAATAATTTTTTCCTTTTTTACAATTTCAACCTTTATTTTATTTTATTTATTATTATTATTATTATTATTTTGAGACAGAGTCTTGCTCTGTCTCCCAGGCTGGAGTGTAGTGGCGTGATCTCGGCTCACTGCAACCTCTGTCTCTCAGGTTCAAGTGATTCCCGTGCCTCAACCTCCCAAGTAGCTGGGATTACAGGCACATGACACCACGCCCGGCTTATTTTTTGTTATTTTTAATAGAGAAGGGGTTTCACTATGTTGGCTAGGCTGGTTTTGAACTCCTGATCTTAAGTGATCCGCCCACCTCAGCCTCTCAATGTGCTGGAATTACAGGCATGAGCCACCACGCCACACTCAACCTTTATTTTAGAATCGGGGTACATGGCCGGGCGCGGTGGCTCACGCCTGTAATCTCAGCACTTTGGGAGGCCGAGGCGGGTGGATCATGAGGTCAGGAGATCGAGACCATCCCGGCTAAAACGGTGAAACCCCGTCTCTACTAAAAATACAAAAAAATTAGCCGGGCGTAGTGGCGGGCGCCTGTAGTCCCAGCTACTTGGGAGGCTGAGGCAGGAGAATGGCGTGAACCAGGGAGGCGGAGCTTGCAGTGAGCCGAGATGGCGCCACTGCACTCCACCCTGGGCTACAGAGCGAGACTCCATCTCAAAAAAAAAAAAAAAAGAGAATCAGGGGGTACATGTGCAGGTTTGTTACGTGTGTACATCGTATAATGCTGAGGTTTGGGGTATGATTGATCTTGTCACCCAGCTACTGAGCATAGCACACAACAGTTAGTTTTTCGGCCCTTGCTCTCCTGCCTCCCTCCCCACTGTAGTAGTTACCGGTGTCTATTGTTGCCATATTTATGTCCATGAGTACCTAATGTTTAGCTCCCACTTATAAATGAGAACATACCATGTTTGTTTTCCTTTCCTGAGTTAATTCACTTAGAACAGTGGCCTCCAGCTGCATCCATGTTGCCACAAAGAACATGGTTTTGTTCTTTTATAGAAACAAATTTTTAACTAACTTTTATTATTAATTTCAATTGATATGAGAAACCCTGAAAATAATCTGCATAAATGTGTAGAATATTTGGAAGGTGTCTGTAATCTCCATGTTTATTTGTTGTCATTAAAGCACATTGGTTGGCAAAAATAAGAAAAGCAATCCATGTCATAGTAAATATTACGTTAGGAGAAGGCAAACATAAAGTTTAAAAAGATTGGAAACAATAGCAATTTAATAGAGTGGCCTCTAAAATAAAATAATTTGTTATAGTGCAAGATGAAACTATCAAGCCTCCAATTTATAAGTATTTCTTGCCTAAAAAATAGAAAAGAAATTAAGCTTTACTTATCATTAATATAGATATTTACATTGGCACCTTCACACCCTCTGTATATTAGCAAAGTTCAGTTCATACCAAGTGTTTAAGTTATACCCAGGGCATATTATAAGAGTCGATGCTGTTTGAGAATTACTCTAACACTCTTGGGTTCCCTTTCACTGTTTTGCTATGGATTGTGATTTCCCTGTCCCATTAAGTCACTTTTAAACCTTATTATTTTCAATATTGTAAAGTTTAAATACTTTGTAATGAGGAAGACAATGACCACGAAATTGTTGTGTTCTACTGGTTATCTTCCCAAATTACTTGAAGTGGTTGTTGAAATAAAAAATTGAGTTTACATTGCAAATTAGTTAAGTGCTCCAAATTTGCTGAACTTTGCTGCAATTACAGATAGGCCTCCGTAGAATGCTACCTGGTAGATACTTTTTAAAGACAGTTTAAAATTGATTCCATCAAGATAAAATTGGTATTTTATCAATGAGTGATTCATCAACTGTCTTTTTGAAAGAAACTCACAAAAGGAAAAAGCATTTTGAAAATGAGTCTTTAGAAATATTTCTATTGTTATGTGATTTTGCTTCATTTTAGCAGCAGCTGTAAATATGTCACCTATAAGTACTCTAATAATTGCTTCTTAATTAAAAAGACACAAACAAAAGAAAAATTCTTAAGCCAAGCACACTAACGGGTGCCTGTAGTCCCAATACCTCAGGAGGCTGAGGTGGGAGGACCGCTTAGTCCCAGGAGTTTGAGTCCAGCCTGGGAAACTTAGCAAGACCTCCTCACTAAAAACAAAACCCAAACCAGCAACAAAAAACTTGGTAACATTTTATACCTGTTTACAAATTTTCTAAATAAAGAATTTCAGTGGGTCATGAACTCATTGCTAAAAATGTAACAGTTCAACAACTTTGATTAGGTGTCAAAAACAAGTATTTAAGAAGACACCACGCTGATGAATTTCAACAAAACATTTGCATAATTTTTAGATAGGATCGAAAAATTAGTATCATGATTTTTTAAGTGCCATCTTTCCTGTACTCTTTCTATTAGAAATACAGATCTTTGTGAAGTATAATTTTCAGCCAAGTTTAAGAAGCTGAACTAAACTCTCAGGTTACAAAATATTAAAGTAAGACTTTCACACAATTTCAGCATATGCAATTATATAACTTTCACTAAAAAAATAATAATTTTATTAAGAGCAAAGATTTTATATATCATTAACTTGAAAATTATATAAACATTATTTTCCCCTTTTAATCTAGTCTTTAAAATATTCTGCTTATATATCTATAATTATTGTTAAAATAAAAACTTCAGCTGAATTAAATTTAAAAGAGTTTAATTGAGCAATGAACAATTTGCAAATCGGGCAGCCTCCAGAAACATACCAGATTCAGAGGGACTCCAGGGGTGCCTTGTGGTCAGAACAGATTTATAGACAAAAAAAGTAAAGTGATGTACAGGAATTGAAAGTGAGGTACAGAAACAGCTCAATTGTTACAGGCTGTCATTTTGCGTTATTTGAACACAGTTTGAACACTCAGCAGGGTATAAGTGGTTGAAGTATGGCTGCTGGGATTGGCCAAGACTCGTCTATTGTTAGAAGCACATACTTCTAAGTTAGGCTTTCAGTCTTGTCTACCTATTAAGTTAGGTTGCAGTTCATCCAAAAGGACTCAAATATAGAAGTACAGAGTCCTTCTCAGGCCATACTTAGTTTGCTTTAACACTATGCATATGTCATACCATGTATAATACAATGGTACAGTAGTCTATTATTCAAATAGTTGAGTCCATTAATTTAATAAGCTAAAACAAGCAAAATAAAATGTATTTCTTTCAGAATAATAATTCTATTGAAGAGTACACAGTACGTTAATGTCTCTTATTATATAAGCAGTAACATGGGTGGTATCATGACTTCCCTATGGGTCCTTTTGCTTCCTCAGTCCCTTCCTCCATAAAAATATTTAAATTATATTTTATGAATGCTTTGGTATAAAGGTGAATATATTATTTAATTAAAAGTTACTTTTTTATTATTAAAATAATTAAGTCACTTTATGTACCCCTAAAAGTATTGTGGGCCCAAAGTGCTGTGTCTACTGAGCCATATGAATATGTTGGCCCTGGGACCAACACCGCAAGAGGCGACACGGAGCTTCTAAAGGGCACTCCATTTTACCCATCCTCACATTTAGGTTTGTTTCATAACTAGTATTCTGTTTGTTACAAAAATAGCCACACATGAGGACCAGGTGTACTTTGAGAAAGGGCTAATGAGTCACAGAATATGTGTTTTCTCCAAATAATCCCTCAAAGACATGAAGCCTTCCTGTTTGAAAGATGGTGGTTTCCTCAAAACAGCAGCCAGGACAAGAAAAGGGAGAAAACATGCACCCGAAGCCACCAGCTAGGAACAGGTGGACACGGAGGCAGACTGTACACAGGTCCTGCCAGAATCAATAAAACAGGACGTCAGTGCTCCAATCTTCAACAGAATTAAAACCCAAGCTCCTTGCCATGGCCTACAGCCTGGCCCCATGCCATTCTATCCTGTCTCATCTGCCCCCTCATTTTGCCTTCGTCATGCTGGCCTTCCTCCTGTTCCTCAAATACAAACATACGAAGCTCACTGGAGCCTATAGGCCTTTGCAGGGACATTCTTTCCCCACATTGAGGAAAAGCTATCTCCTTTGTGTCACTTAGGCCTTTGATACATGTTACTTCCCCATAGAGTTTTTCCTCCACAACCCTTCCCTCACTGGTACATCACCCTGTTTTATTTTCTTCATAGAATTCACTGCTGCCTGAAGCCATCATGAACATTTATTCATCTGCATATTGCCTATCTCCCCAAATTGAATGTATGCTCTATGGTTGTGGAGAGCAAGTCTATCTTGGATCCTTGGAGCTCCTCGGTGCCTAGAACAGCACCTGGCATTCAAGAAATGCTTATCCAATGAGTAACTATGCTCAACTGAACATCTCCCTCCCAATCCTTTCCTCCTCTACTTCCACTCCTTCTACTTCCACTCAAGTTCAGTTCATGGCCCTGACTCGAGCATATGACCTTTCATTTTCAGAACATCAAATCTAATTCAGCACCTATTTTAACATATTTGAAAATAGCAATTTTGACAGGGTACAATATAGTGTTGTACAATCAGGAAGCTGAGAAAAATCTACCTACACATCTTAAATCTTTATACTTACTGGTACCAATGCACTTCACATGAGTATGCATCACATTATTAACAGACTGAAACATTGTTACATAAAACCTCTTTGTGCTACATCCAGAACTTGGGTGACAGTTTGGGTGAAATGATACAATACATACATTGTACCCAGTGATCATGCATGTTTTTCTCAAAAGTGGAGGCAATAGTAGAGAATATAGTACTTGATATTTAAAATATGAACAGTAGTAACATTCCCAGGGCCTCTTTCTACAGCCACACAGAGCTACTTCCAAGCAGGAAAGTTTCTGAAGTGCCTCACTGCATACTTTCATTCTCTATGGAGCAGTTGTGGTAAGCCTATTGTTAAATGGTCACTAATTGGTAATACTCAACTAAAAAACAAAACTGTGGAAGACAATTTTTAAGTCCCCCGCTGCCTCCAGAGACTGATTCTTCAGCTGCTAGACTTTCTGCTAAAACCACTTCAATTTTCCACTCTCCCTGCTCACACTTCATTACCCATCCTTCTCCACACACACTCACAGACCAGCCAACCAAGAGGAATTTACTTACTGCTGGTGGTGTGTTCAGTACTGTGCCAGAGCTTTGAGGATAAGGAAGTAAAGTGTAAAAAAAAAAAAATCATTTCTGTTCTTGGAGAGTTATAGTCCAGAAAAGAGACAAAATTGCTAGGCATACAAAAATATTGAATCCCGGAGGACAAAATACCACCACAGGAAGCAGACGCAGAGCTCATTTTCCAAGTAAGAGAGAAGAGCACTTCAGGCAAATGGGTAAAGACATAAAGAAGGAATGAATGTGGCTTGTTTGTGGACTTTGAGAAGACTTGGTTAAAATGAAGTCTATGTTGGGAAAAAGTGAGAAATGAGGTTGGTTAGCAAATCAGAACATATCATCAAGATGTGGAATATTAGGCAAAAGTTTTTAGATTTGTTTGAGCAGAAAAGTTGGTATTATATTTACTCTCATCTTTTTTCCTATGTCCCATTTTGTAGAGAAAATAAAAGACTTCTTTTTGTTGAATAACCCCTTCCTGGAAGTCTTCAAAACCCTTTGAAGGTATGTTAAGAATAGTGACTGAAACCTGAAGCTGAAATTTTTAGCATTGATATGTTTTTTCAATGTTCTTCTGCTATTTTAACACTTAAATAATTTGGTCTGGAGGAATGAGAGAAATGATCTTTAATGAGATGTGACTTTTTATGACAATGAATGGATTTTTTATTTTAGCTCATCTTAGGACACAGTTGCTTTCTCAACTATTATAGCAGCTTTTGGTTTGTCTCAGAACCTGGAATAAGAATATTGTATGCAGCTGGTAATACACAGCCTAACTTTTAATACTTTTTAAAAACTTAATGGTTATTTCTAAATTATTGTCAAAAGAAAGAAGAAAACTGACATTTGCAGAGCATGTTTTATGGACCGGTATATTAATTAGGATAGATTAAGATAAATTGCTGTGAAAAATTTACTCTCAAATCCTGGTGGCTTAACAAAACAAGGCTTTGTTTTTATCATGTGGAAAGGACCCCTTTGGCAGAGGTTCTATTCCACATAGTTGCTGGGGGATCCTAGATGACACAAATGTCATCATCTGCAGCTCTACCATCTAGAACACATGGTCTCCTCGGTCCCTGCAAGGGGACAAGAGTGTGAAAAATCACATGCTGGCCCTTCTGTGCTTTCACACTTTGGCCAGGACTGGTCACAAGCCTCCCCCTAACTGCAAGCAGGATTCTGGGAAGTGTATTCTTCTATTTCCATCTGGGAAATGTCTTCCATGTATCCAGGACAGGGAGGAAGGCCAGATTTGAGTGGGCACAAGTAAGGTCTACCATGATCAGACATTGAGACAATGTGCTTCCTATTTCTTTTAATCACCACAGAGCTTTAAGGAGTAATGTTATCCTCATTTTGCAGATGAAAAAAACCAAAGGAGAGGTAAGGTAGAACGAGGTTTGGGTTTGAATTTAGTTCCGGTGTATAGTAGTTGTAGGACAAATAAGCTATCAGTTCACCCCGTGATCACTTTCCGAGCCTCTTGTTGGTGTTAGGAGCTCCTCCTTTGTCTTATAGCAATCTGTGCTACCCCATCATCATCACAGTTACTGTATTAGAACTGATTTTATAACGGTAACTTTCTTGAGGAAAAAGGGATTTTCTTTTTCAGTTTTACCTCTTGTGCCTAGTCCAGTAACCGGTACCTGGTAAGTCCTTAATGTTTATTGAGGTAATAAACTCAAATACTTACCTTTCTGGTCATCTCTTGGAGTAAGAGATCAGAAGATGGTGGAGATGTTGATAATGACACAAAGTACCTTGCTATATTCCAAAGAGGCATAGCCACAAACATGTACTTTTAAAAATTCTTGGGTTTTAAAAAATCCATAATAAGATTATTAATATGATATGGTGGCAAACAACATATAAAACTCACAGGTATGTTTACTTACTATGGCATTAGTTTCACAGGACTGCGATAACAAAGTTCCACAAATTGGGTACTTAGAAAAACAATAGAAATGTTTTGTCTCACAGTTCTGGGGGCTAGACGTTTGAATCAAGTTGTTGGCAAGGTTGGTTCCTTTGAGGAATTTGAGGGAGAATCTGTTTCATACCTCGCCTCTGGCTTCTGATGATGCTGAGAGTCCTTGGTGGTCCTTGGCTTGTAGATGCTTCTGTTCAATCTCTGCTTCAGTCTTCACATGGCATTCTCGTATGTATTTTTCTCTTTTCTTCTTCTTATAATGGCACCAGTCATATTGTATTAAGGCCCACCCTAATGACCTCAATGTATCTTGATTACATCTGCAAAGACCTTATTTCAAAATAAGGTCACATTCACAGGTATTGGGGTTAAGTCTTCAATATACCTTTTTGGGGGAGACATTCAACCCATAACAACTGTGAAGAGTATTTTTAAAATATTTGCCCCGATATAGGTAAGATCAGTAGATTTCAAATGAAAATGCAAATCTTTACTTCTCTGTAAAAATCAGAAGATCTTGAGAGGATGTGCATTCCCACATAGCATCAATCCCCTGGAACTATGAATAGCTACCCCTTTACCTGGGCCCTATGCTCTCCAGTTTGCCACACTTCCTACTGAACCCCCATATCTTCCTAGCACCAAGGCTAAGTTTCAACGGTAGTATTAAAATGCTAATGCCAGAATTCTTATACCCAGCCTGCTTCACTACACTGTATTACCTCTCTGGCCCTGGGGATTCATGATTTTGAAACTCCCATTATATAAAGGAAATCAGCTCTACAAATAGAGACAAAAGTTTACTAAATTCATTTTACCATATAGTACTTCTTTTAGACTTCCAATATTATTCACTACCAAAAATAATTTATTTACGACAAATCATTTCAGAATAATTTATTTAAAGAGTCTGGAATATAATCAAATAGAACTCATGAGAAATGAAAAGGTACTGTGAAAAGAGAAGATATGGTCAATAATCACTTTTGTACAAAAGCAGCTTAAATGATGTTAGCAATAATTAAGAAGAAGAGATAGAAAATCAATTGTATTATATGAACCACCACAGGCAAGATTAGAAGATACTGTATTCAAAATCATTTTAATGTGGTCAAAACATAGTAGAAAATTTACGATTATAACCATTTTTAAGTGTGCAGTTCAGTGGTACTAAGTACATTCAGAATGTTGTACAAATATCACCATCATCCATCTCCAGAACTCTTTTTATCTTACAAAACTGCAACCTTATGCCCATTAAACAATAACTCTATTTCTCCCTCCCTCTAGTCCCTGGCAATCACCATCCTATTATCTGTTTCTAAAAGTTTGATTGTTTTAGATACTTCATATAAGTGGGATCATATGGCATTTGTCTTTTCATGACTAGCTTATTTCAGTCCACATAATGTCCTCCATGTTGTATATCTCAACAGGGTTATTCCTTCTTTCTTCAGGCTTAAGGATATGGTTTGGATCTGTGTCCCCACACAAATCTTATCTTGTAGCTTCTATAGTTCCCACGTGTTGTGGGAGGGAACCGGTGGGAGATAATTGAATCATGGGGTAGGTCTTTTCCGTGCTGTTCTTGTGATAGAGAGTAAGTCTCATGAGATCTGATGGTTCTAAAAAGGAGAGTTTCCCTGCACAAGCTCTCTCTTTGCCTGCCACAATTCATGTAAGATGTGACTTGCTCCTCCTTGCCTTCCACCATATTTGTGAGGCCTCCCCAGCCATGTGGAACTGTAAGTCCATTAAACCTCTTTTTCTGCCCAGTTTTTGGTATGTCTTTATCAGCAGCATGAAAATGGATTAATACACTGAATATATTTTTTTAAAATCCATTCATCTGTTGGCAGACATTAATGTTGCTTCCACTTCTTGGCTATTGTGAATAATGCTGCAATGAATGTCAGTACACAAATATGTTTCTGAGTTCCTGTTTTCAATACTTTTGTGTATGTACCTAGAAGTGGGATTGCTGGGTCATGTGATAATTCTATTTTTAATTTTTTGAGAAATCTCTGTACTGTTTACATTCTCACCAATAGTGTACAAGTGTCCTAGTTTCTCCATGGCCTCACCAACACTTGTTATTTTCTGATTATTTTGACAGTGGCCATCTTAACTGGTGTGAGGTGATATCTTACTGTGGATTTGATTTGCATTTCCCTAATGATTACTGATGTTTAGCATCTTCTCATAGGCTTGTTGGCTATTTCTACATCTTCTTTGGAGAAATATCTATTCAAGTCTTTTGCCCATTTTTTAAATTGGGTTGCTTTTCTTTTTCTTGTTGAGTTTTAGTAGTTTTTTATGCATTCTGGATATTTACCCCTTATAAGATATATAGTTGGCAAATATTTTCTCCTATTTCATAAGTTACCTTTTCACTCTGTTGATTGTTTTATTTGCTGTGCAGAAGTTTTCAAGTTACATTAGTCCGATTTGTCTGTTTTTGCTATTGTTGCTTGTGCTTTCAGTGTCAAATCCAAGAAATCATTGCCAAATCCGATGCCATGAAGATTTTTTCCTGTGTTTTCTTTTAGGAGTTTTATAGTTTTAGATCTTACATTTAGGTCTTTAATCCATTTTAAGTTTTGTATATGGCATAAGGTAGGGGTTGAATTTCATTCTTTTGGATATAGATACACGGTTTTCCCAACATCATTCGCTGAAGAGACTGTCTTTTCTCTCTTATATAGCCTTGGTGCCTTTGTAGAAGATCATTTCATCATTGTCCTTTGAGATTCCATATGAATTTTAGGATTCTTTTTTTCTATTTCTACAAAAAATATGCCATTAGGATTTTGACAGTGATTGCGTTGAATTCATTGATTGATCTGGGTAGGGTAGATATTTTAACAATATTGTTTTGCAATCCACAAACATGATGCATTTCCATTTGTTTGTGTCTTTGTTGATTTCTTTCAGCAACGTTTTATGGTTTTCAGTGTACAAGATTTTTGCCTCTTGGCTTCAGCCTATTCCTAAGTATTCTTTTTGATACTATTGAAAATCATATTTTTTCTTAAATTGTTTTCAGGTTGTTTACTGTTAATATATAGAAATGCAACTGATTTTTGCATGTTGATTTTGTATTCTTCAACTTTGCTGAATATGTTTATTAGTTCCAACAGGTTTTCTTATAGGATCATTAGGGTGTTCTACATAAGATATCATGCCATCTGTAAACATAGATAATTGTATTTAGTCCTTTTGTGTTTGGATTCTGTTTATATCTTTTTCCTGTCTGATTGCTCTGGCTAGGTATTCCAGTGCTATGTTGAAGGGAAGTGACAAGAGTGGGTATTCTTGCCTTGCTTCTGATCTTAGAGGAAAAGTTTTCAGTTTTTCACCATTGGCATGATGTTGGCTGTAGGCTTTTCACATATGGCCTTTATTATGTGGATGTCATTCCCTTTTTATTTTCCTTTTGTGTTGAGTGTTTTTATGATGAAAGTTTTTGGAGTTTTGCAAAATGCCTTTTCTGCATCAATTGAGATGATCACATGGTTTTTGCCCATCATTCTGTTAATGTAGTGTATAACATTGATTGATTTTCATATGTTGAACCATCCTCACGTTCCAGGAATAAATTCCACTTAGTCATGATGTATAATCCTTCTAATGTGTTATGGATTTGGTTTGCTAGTATTTTGTTGAGGGATTTTGCATCAAGAGGCAGTGTTCTCCCACTTCCATTTTTCTGAAGAGTTTGAGAAGATTAGTTTGTCAATTTTGTTGGTCTTTTGAAAGAATGAGCTCAGTTCTGCTGACTTTTTTCTCTTCTGTATTTTATTAATCTCTGCTCTACCCTTTATTATTTCTTTCCTTTAGATAACTGTAGGTTTAGTTAGAGCTTCTTTTTCTAGTTACTTAAGGTGTAAATTTAGGTTGGTGATTTGAGATCTTTCTTCTCTTGTAAAGCAGGTGTTCCTGCTGAGAGATCCACTTATAATCTTATGGAAGTTCCCCTGTATGTGATGAGTTACTTTTCTCTTGCTGCTTTTAAGACTCTCTTTTTGTCTTTGTCTTTTGACTTTATAATGTGTCTTAGTGTGGGCCTTTTTACATTCATCAACATTATAGTTCCTTGAGCTTTTTGAATTTGGACAACAATTTTCTTTCTCAGATTTGGGAATTATTTCTTCAGATAAGCTCTCTGCCCCAGTCTCTCTCTTCTTCTGAAACTTTTATAATGTATATATTGCTCTGCTTGATGGTGTCTTATAAGTTCCTTAGGCTTTCAACACTTTTCTTTGTTCTTTTGTTGTTGTTATTCTCTTGATAATTTCATGTGACCTTTGAAATTTCAATGTCTTTGAAGTCATTGATTCCTTCTTCTGCTTGATCAAGTCTACTTTCATCTGTTCTAGTGAATTTTTCAATTCAGTTATTTTATTTGTCAGTTCCAGAATTTGTTTGGTTCTGTTTTACTAGGTTTTTAAAAAATCTATTTAATGATACTCTCAATTTGTTCATGCATCATTTTTCTGATTTTGTTTAGTTTTCTATCTTCTCTTAAAAGCACATTGAGCTTCTTTAAGACGATTATTTTAAATTCTTTGTTAGCTACTTTCACAGATCTTGTTGTTTCTTTAGGATTGGTTTTGGGAAATTGGCTTTATTCTTTTGAATTGGCCATGTTTTCTTATTTCTTTGTATGCCTTACGTTTTGTTGTGATTTTTGCATTTAAAACACAGCCACTTCTCCCAATCTTTGTGCACTGGTTTTGTACGGGGAAGATCTTCATAAATCAGCCTGCATAGAGATTCTAGTGGCCTCACAAGCCTTTTATGGGAATGTATCTTCCCTGAACTTGTGCATGTAATTTTATAGTGAGAGGTTTGCCAGTTTATTTTTCAGGAACTTGTCATCTCTTGCTCTCTCTGATGTCTGTCTGTAGTACTGCAGTTTCTCTGGTGCTGCCACAATTCACTGAGCTGCATTTTGTTCTCAGGCATCCAAAGCATCCCGGTTCCCTGTTAATGCTCCAAGTTAGGAGAGATAGAAACCAATCTCTCAGGCAGTGCCCTCCTCCCACCCCAAAAGCTGAAACTTGGACATACATTCCAATCTTCTTCTTTCCCCCAAGGGAGAAGCTGTACATTGGGGCTTTTCATTCAGATTATGAACTGTAACAGCTTAGGAGGAGCTTGCTTCTCCTTCCCATTTCAATGGGGCTATTCTTGACTTTGTGTTTGCCTGGTGTACTTCAACTTTCTAACTGAATTCTACCATTGTCATAAAGGCTTTTTGAGCTGTGTATTGTTGTTAAGTCAGCGTTTCTGTTGGGGAGCAAGGTCTAGGCACCTTCCTCTGCCATCTTGCTGGCATTATTCCTAGTACTATTAAAAGTCATAACACCCAACTTTAAGGAATACACAAAGAATTTACAAATGAGAAAATGAAGTCACTCAAAGGACTCATGAAATGATGCTAAAATGTTAATTTTTTTCAAAATTGTTGTTTAAATTTATTATAAAATATGAAGTAGCCACTCTATGTAGCATTCAAAGAAAATTTACTTAATAATAGGGAAGCAATAATAGATCTTTAAACCTAGAGTGGCCCTGGAAATATGTCCCTCAGTCATTAAATTTTCAATGTTCAAATTCATTTTGTCTTCACTTTTTACCTCCTCCAACAAATCAGAAACTGTTTCTCCTAGTATAACCATTATCTTGAGTAAAAACAACATTACCAGTCACCAGAGCAATACATTTTCCTGTCTCTCTTCCCTTTTACCCTCAGCCACTTATGATCAGCGATTTGGTTCTGTCATTTGCTTTTTCTTTTTTGTTTTTGTTTTTCTTTCTTTCTTTCTTTCTTTTTTTTTTTGAGACAGGGTCTTGCTCTGTTGTTACTCAGGCTGGAGTGCAGTGGCATGGTCTTAGCTCATTGTAACCTTGAACTCCTGGGCTCCAGTGATCCTTCTGCCTCAGTCTCCCAAGTAGTCAGGTCTACAGACACGTGGCACCACACTCGGCTAATTTTATGTAGAGATAGGGTCTTGCTATGTTGCCTGGGCTGATCTTGAACTCCCGGCCTTAAGTGATCCTCCCTATCTCAGCCTCCCAAAGCACTGGGATTACACACATGAGCCACTGAACCTGGCCATGGCCTTGTCACTTTTTACCTTACAAATATATTGGGAGAAATGTATTTCCTTTTTCTTTTTATCCTCCCTGTTTTCCCTTTCATTAGGCCCTCTCCACTACACCTTTTAGAAAACTCAGCTATGAATAATCACATGAACACATTAAAGTAATTCAGGCCTTCATTACCTCCTAAGTGAACTGTTGCTCTTCCTGGAAACTGGTCTCCCTGTACATGACTCCCCAGTGTGGGATTATTTTTCTACACTCACACCATGGCAATTCATACCTCTGTGTTCTATATAAAATAGTGCCTCTACTCAAAGACATTTAAATGCCTTCCTTTGCATCTTTTGTTACTCATCCTTCAACTCCGTCTCATTTCCTCTTTGGATGCTACATAGTTCAGTTAGTTTCTTTTCTTCTGTGCTCCGATAGCATATCTCTGTTTATATTTTATTACAATCACTTCTCAAACTGTGATTCACTGATCAGCAGTATCCATAGCCTGGAAGCTTGTGTGAAATGAGGAATCCCAGGTCCCACTCCAGACCTAGTGAACTACAATCTGCATTTTAAGGAGATCCTCAGGTGGTTCCTATACACATAAAAATTTGAGAAAGGCTTTTATTGACCATATCATGTGAGGTTTGGATGTCTGCCTTTCACACTAAATGCTGCATTTCTCTAGACAACAACCATTTATTTCATTTTTTACTTATTTAATACAGTGTCAGTTTATGCTAACCACTAAATGTATATTAAATAAGTGAAAGAGAAAATGGAAACAGATGGTTTAGTGGTCACCTAAGTTGGAGTGACAAAGCCAGGATTCTATCGACATTTATGCTATGCCACTTACAAAATGTCTTTCCTTTCCATTTCTGAACCTCCAAGATGATGGATGACACACTTATAGTCACAAGGCTATTTTAAGTGGCAAAGAGGACTCTAGAACACTAGAACACTAGTTTTTTTTCTTGACACTTAGTTGAAGATCTTCCCATTGTGTCATTTGGCCTCTATCTGTCAGAAGAACAAATGGGAAACACATTAATTGAACTTCTGTCCTCACAATGCAAGTCTCAAAGAGCATCTGCCATGATGAATGAAAATATGTTTGTAGTTCACAGTGTGCTTCAAGTCATTAGTACTGGATTAAAGTCCAGTAAGCCAGGATCAGTGAACATCTTTATGCCAAAGTTAAGGCAGATGCCCTAACTGAAAAACAAAAAGGAAAACAAAAACATAAGAAATAATTAGGAATATAATTAATCAATTTACCAATTTGATTTTCTCTATCTGGTGCAAAAATTTTCTTGTAGCATTAATTATATTTTATAGTACATTCATTTAAATATGTGATACATAATGATTACAAATTTCCATTTTGAATAAGACATATTTATACCCCAAATGATTCTTTATTTATGTATTCCAAGTATGCTTGAATATTTTGGGCAGAAAACATACATGATGTTTTATAATTGCCACCAATATATCTTGCTTTTCTTTGTTTCAGTTTTGAAATAATTATCATGCCATAAGTGGCCTATTTACTCATTATTCCTTTATTTATGGGATATGTACTATGTACCAGGCACTGTGATATGCTATACCATCAGGAAATTCTACCTCTAAGAATCTTATGGGGAAGTCGGGGAGATAGCCAAAGAATCAAGTAGTTTACAATGAACTTTTACAAAGGGGTAAACAGCGGGTACTTACTATGGTCTGAAATTCATATGTTGAAATCCTAACCCAAGGTATTAGAAGGTGAAGTCTTTGGGAGGTGATTAGGTCATAAGAACAGAGCCCCCATGAATGGGATTAGTGCCCTTTTAATAGAGGCTCCAGAGGTAGCCTCGCCCCTAGCAACAAGGCACCATCTATGAACTAGAAAGTAAGCCTTCACAAGACACTGAATCTGCCAGTGCCTTTATCTTGGACTTCCTAGCCTCCAGAGCTGTGAGAAATAAATTTCTGTTGTTTGTTAGTCACCCAGTTTATGGTGTTTTGTTATTGCAGCCTGAATGGACTAAGACAGTACTAAAGGGCATCTAGTAAGAAATAGGACCAGGCCCAAGTTTGGAGAACAGAAAAGCTTTTGCAATGATAACTATGAAGCAAGGTCTCAAAGAATGAGTAGAATTTAATATGACAAATTATGTAGAATAGGATGTTCTAGGCAGAAGAAGAGAGCTGCATGTGTAAAGCCCTAAGCCAAGAGAAAGGATGAAAGTTTCAAGATAACTACAAGTAGTTCAGTAAGGGTGGAGCAGAGCTTTGCTGGTGCAAGGGAAAGAATGGTATGGAGAATGATAAGTTAAAGCCAGACAAGAAAGCAGGGTCAAGATCATGAGGGGTGCTGAATGTCCCACAAAGGAATTTGGGCATCATTTTAAATAATAAGAGTAATATGTAATGCATTTCTAGTGCTTACTGTAGGCCCTGCATTGTTCAAAACTCATCTCACTTAGTTTTCACAACCACCATATGCTCCAGGTACTCTTACTACTCCCAATTTTTCAATAATAAAACATACTCTGAGAGCCACTGCAAGTGAAATCTTCTCTGAAGATTTGAGCTTCGTTTGGCATTGGCTGCCAAAAGATGAAGCCAGGGAGATTCCCTGTAGGTATTTTCCTTGGGAACCATCACAGATCCACTGTGAAGAGGAAAGCCAGCCAGTTCTGGAGTGTCATCACCTTTTGCTCCAAGAATATTTGCAATCTTTCCCAAAGGAGGGAGAAAAGATTCTGTATTGGCTTAAAAGATTCTGTATTGGCTTAAAAAGGCTGAATCATTCTCAGAGGTGAGATCTAGGCTACTGAAGGAATGACTCAGAGGAGGTGAATTAAACAGAAAGTTCCCAAATTTCCTCATAGTAAACCTTGGAACCTAGTCTCTCATGAAAGGGTTTCTGTACCAAGAACCTACATCCTTGGGAAAGGTGTTTCCTGAGTTTGCTGTCTGCTAGTTTATACACTCTCTCTAGACAATCAATCTGTGCTGTAGTTCAGAAAGCAAAATGAGATGATGTAAAAAAAAAATTCTCACATTTCTGCTCACACAATGGAAAATTAGATGCAGAAGCACTACATTTAACCAACTTTGTTCAACAATCTTTAGTTACACCTGTTTTATACACACACACAAAACAAGTCATTGGAACATCAAAATGTTAGCCCACTTGGTTCATTAGGAGTTTCATGATATTCGTGCAGTGGGTACTGCCAAGTCCTGGGCATATGGCTCCACCATGTGGATGAGACTCTGCAAATAATACTGACAATATTTTTTTTTCTTTTTTTTAAGACAGAGTCTTGCTCTGTTGCCCAGGATGGAGTGCAATGGCCCAGTAATGGCTCACTGCAGCCTTGACAGCCCAAGCTCAAGTGATCCTCCCACCTCAGCCTCCTGAGTAGCTAGGACCGCAGGCATGCACCACCATGCCTGGCTAATTTTTAAATATTTATTTATTTATTTATTGTAGGAACAGTGTCTCCCTGTTGCCCAGGTTGGTCTCGAACTCCTGGTCTCAAGTGATCCTCTCACTTCAGCCTTCCAAAATGCTGGGATTTTAGGTATGAGCCACCATGTCCGGCTGACAATAATTTTTAAAAAAGAATTTAAAGTTATAATAAAAATCAGAGATCATAGGTCAAACCCTTATTTTATAAATGAAAAGAGTTAAAGCAATTATATGAACTAATTCACTCTTAATTCACCCATTCAATCATTTTAATTATTGAATAATGAGATTAATATGTTCAGTGGGTATTTGCTTTATTTTTGTCTACATATAATCTAAGCCCCTTTTCTACTTGGGAGCAATTTTGTTGTGTAAATGTGGTGGGGCAAAAACCCCACTTCCCTCTAGGGAATGGGAAAGAACATTTAACCTCTCTTCTCACCCCATGAACTAAGATATAGGCATGTCTCTTAGTAAACCAACAGGATATTCAATGCAGGAATGTTGGATCTGTAGTAAGTGACATATTGGGATAGTTAGAGGTTGTTCTGGAGGAGGCAGTAAAACTTGACTAGGTCAAGTAGTCATAGTAGTGGTAGCTGTTCATGCCAGCAGCAATGGTGAGGACCTAGTGGTGGCACTGCTAGTGACAATGTCCTATCAAGCTGTTACTGAGATATAAGTTTAGATACATTTTCTCTTCCCACTCTCTAAGGCCCATTTCCTGAGCGTGGTTATTTAGCCTTCCTATGGACTGTCTGAGCCAACCTATATTCTTCCAGTGTAGTTCTTTTCTGGTTAGTAAAGCCAGAGTCTGTTTTTGTTGTGCAGCAAAAGACCCTCATTTAAACAGAAATTGTTACCAGTCGCTAGTTACAGCACAGAGCCTCAGTGAAATGGGCAGAATCTAGGGTTTGTATCTGACCTTGTTGAGGCTGAAGGAATTTTAAATCCTAATCATTTTAGGGATGGAATTTAGATCTGCCTCATCCTAGCATGGAAAAGTGAAACAGCTAATTAAATTATTTCCTGTGGTCACCTGGAACAAATCCTACTACCCTGTAGTTGTCACATGCTGTGTGGTTGCCAAGACAGGCTGCGTGTAGATGCCCCAGTCACCAGTCCTAGTCTTTGAGTCAGACCAGTTTAGGTACTAGATATGTGAATGAACAAGCTTTCAGATGCTTCCAGCCCACAGTCATTGAGTCATCCCCAGGCTTCGAGACTTCCTAACTGAGGTCACAGACATCATGGAGCAAAGATAAATTGTCTCCCACTCCAATTCCTTACCCACAGAATCCATGATTAGAATAAAGTGATTGTTTTAAAACACAAAGCTGTGGGTTAATTTTTTATGCAACAACAATAACTAGAACAGGAACCTACACCAATTCAGCTGTTAAGGCACTGGTTAGACAGCCAGGCACTTGAAAATAGTGAACTCGGAGCATTGTGGAGGAAGTTTAGGGAAAGGGTATGCTGAAGGGGTATGACCCTTTATAGTGAGCCCAGAACGAGAATATATTTCTTGGAAAGTTATATTCACCACAAAGCCTCTAGTGTGAATAAGGTGACCCACTCAGTAGACATAGGTCACCCTTCTTTCTCAGAAAATTACAGTGGACTCAAGAACCACATGTTCATCATGGAAGGAATGAAGGTTATTCATGGTTTCAACAACATGGAGTTCTTACCAATGGTAATATGGCTACGGTCTTTACAAATGATCCATTTTTTTTTTTTGCAGTTGCAAGATTTGATAGAGTGAAGTAGAGTGAAAACAGAGCTCCCATACAAAGGGAGGGGACCCAAAGGGGGTTGCTGTTGCCGGCTTGAATGCCTGGGTTTATATCCCGATCATTGTCCCTCCCGCTGTGCTCTCAGGCAACAGGTGATTGGCTATTTCTTTACCTCCTGTTGTTGCCTAATTAGCATTTTAGTGAGCTCTCCTTACTATCTGATTGGTCATGTGTGAGTTAAGTTGTAAGCCCCGTGTTTAAAGATGGAAGCGGTCACCTTCCCAGCTAGGCTTAGGGATTCTTAGTCGGCCTAGGAAATCCAGCTAGTCCTGTCTCTCAGTCCCCCCTCTCAACAGGAAAACCCAAGTGCTTTTGGGGAGGTTGGCCGAAGACCGCTCTAACTGCTTCCTGTTGAACTGGGGCATAGTAGGGGTGGTGCAGTTGAGATTTCCTTGGGAGGGGTGCCTTCAATGTCATTAACATCAGAGCATGGGCTAGCAGGCCGGTCCAGGGGTCCACGGTAGATCTTAGTCATGGACTGCATCTGGGGCTCCATTTGAAGAACGATTTGTAGTTTTACAGCTTTGATTCTGGAAGAGACAAACTTAACAAGGAGGTTAAAGATATAGGGATTGAAATGTATGGCCTGCAGTGCAGGGGATTATTTCTTTGGCACACTTCACAGGCCCTGACTATCTGCCTGATAGTTTTGAAAAGGCCTGGTCCAGTAAATAATAATTTGGCCATCTGATGGGTGCTATCAATGCCTAAGTGAAAGATTTGGTGAAGGGTTTTAAGTAATTTCCATTGGTTAGCTGCAGGCAAAAGTACTTTTCCTTCTTTGGTGGCTAGCCATCCTGAGGGGAGAAAACTGTGTCCTCATGAGGTTCCCCAATCTATTTCTCCTGCTGAGCATTGGGGCTTGGTTTCCTGGAGGGGATTACCCCATACTAGGGGTCCTTCTATAAGCATCTCTAATGGAGGGTCCTGCCTTGTGGCTCTTTTGGCTTCAATATCTGCTTGACAGTTCCCTTCTATTTCCCTTTCCCTTCCTTTCTGATGACCCCAGCAGTGTAAGACTGCCACCTCTTTAGGTTTCTGTACAGCCAATAATAATCTCCTAATGGCTTCCTGATGTTTGATAGGTGTTCCCTCGAAATTAAGAATTCCCTTTCTCTCCATATTGCTGCATGGGCATGGAGGACTAGGTAAGCATACCTAGAGTCTGTATATATATTTACTCTTTTTCCTTCTCCTAATTCTAGTGCCCGAGTGAGGGCTATTAGTTTTGCCAGCTGAGCACTAGTTCCTGGAGTGAGGGGATTACTTTAAAGTATTCCATTATCACTGACCACTGCATACCCCGCTTTTTGAAGTCCTTTTTCTACAAAGGAACTTCCATCAGTATACAAGTTGAGGTCAGGATCAGTTAAGGGAAACACTAAAAGGTCCCCTCGAGTGGCATAGGTTTGAGCAATTACTTGTTGACAGTTATGTTCTATCTTTTCTTCATTGTCTGGAAGAAATGTGGCTGGGTTAAGAGTTGCACAAGTGTGCAGTCGCAGCACTGGCCCTTCAAGTAACAGAGCCTGATGTTTAAGTAAATGGTTGTCTGATAGCTACAAGTCTCCTTTAGCAGTGAGTATGCCGTTCACATCATGAGATGTCCACACAGTAAGATCTCTTCCCTGTATTATTGTAACTCCATTTTCTAATAGCAGTAGACCATCATAAGTCCTTATAAGCATTATACCTAGAAGGACCAAAGAACTATTTGGTGTCAGGTTGTCCGGAGTGGGCAACTGCCATCTTTTAGGGAATAAGGAGTGAGTAGCAGAAATCTTTCCTTCTTGCAATAAATATTTATTCTGGATTTTTTTTCTTTTATTGATCATTTTTCTCTGTCCTTGCTCTATCTATAGATTGTCTACCATATGCAAGGGCATGGTATCCCACACAAAGTTGCTTCAGTTTAAAGGAAATAACTTTATAGAGAAACAAAGCAATGAGCTAATGTTCAAGGGATTTGTGGGTATTGCATACTCCATGAAAACTCAGATGAGCTTCATTCAGAGTCAATAGCTTGCAAATTTGAGGTACTGTCCTGCAGAATACAGTTTATGTTCTGAATAAGTGACTACCACATGGCATTCTTTTACCCCCTTAGCTAAAATATATGCGTCTGGAGTCCTAGGACTGGAAACTGGGATGCAAGCCTTTGAGATTACACTTATTGACACATTCTAATTGTCTGCTTTCTGTCCTTTTGATTTTGGACTCTGATAGCATAGCACCAAGAAAAGGGGAATTCTCTACCAAGAGACACAGTAATATTGCATTGATTTGGAAATTAAGGCTGTACGAGTTTGGAGTTTTAATGCCGTAAGTAAACAGGGAAATAAAAAGATTGTCACTGTTGTTAATGTGTTATTGTGTTTTCTTGTTCCTCTTGGGGGAAAGTAGAGTTATTGCTATACTTGGGGATTGGGAGAAAGTGTCAACGAAATTATACTGCAACCTGATTCAGGAGGGCCACGAGGGGTTCAAATCCCTGACTCTGACCCAGTGAGATTCAAACTGAAGGCAAAGGAAGTGAAGTAGAGGAGGAGACTCACAAAGTTCCATTGAGGCCTCAGCTGAAAAACAAGCCCAGTAGTACACTACCTATGTTCCTTTTGGTGTATTATACTCATACTGTGTTGCTTTGTTATTAATGGTTTCTGTCAATTTGTAATCAAGAGTTGACTGGTACAGTTTCCTAATTGGTTGTTGACTCATTTTTCTGGAAAATGATACAAAAAGCAGCAGACATCTAATTTTAAGTTCATATGTAACTGGAATCATATGAATTTGCATCCATTTTAACTAAATTACATTACATACAGCAATCATAGCTCTTGAATAATACTACATTTTAGGTAAGTGTGCATATAAAACATTACAAAATGGGTTTGATTGAAACATTTAATCAAATAGTGATTTAAACCCTAATGGGACTCTCATTTCCTGGATTTTATAGTTATAGAGACTGTACCTGTGAAGTTATTGATTTTAGATAGTATTTTTCTGATTCAAAACATTTATGTCTCAGCTTAACATAAAATCTTTCATGTGCCAAACATAAAAATTACATTTCAACTAGTTTCTACCGTGAAATTGAACTCCTTTCTTAAATATTCTTTATAATAAAAGTAATGGAGTTTGGGAGGAGAACATTACTCTTTAGTATATTACATTCAGTACCTTATTATTGGGGGAAAGAGTGTCAAAGTTTAAGAATTAATCATTTTTGGAGACTCTATAACTCATTATGATATTTATATATTAAGAAATAAATACTGTGAGTTTAAAAAAATGATAACCAGCTATGGGATGGAAATAAGCATTTTATATTAAAATTATTTGCCACATGACAGGAAAATGAATCCTTGAAGGATACAAGCTTTGGCTCATACAAAGAAGAAACTATAATGATTTGGGGTTGAAGTCTTTCACAATAAATTGATAGTTATGTAAGAATAGTATTTTACTTTGTTTATAGAGCAATTTATCATAGAAAAGTGTTTAATTAAGACTGTAAAATGATTTACCACTGACATTTTAAGCATTTCCAAACATTTCCACATAAATTAAACATGATGTAATTTAGTGGTGGATTAAGCAATGTTCCACTGTTGATTCATGTGGAAATCACAGAAGTTCACTGATTACTATCTTTCCAGTGTGTATTAATGTAGATGTCATAGGTATTTTCATGAGAATCACACTTCAATGTGCCATTTTAAATATTGAAATAGAGTTTTCAAAATGTCATAATCTTTTGCAGATCCATAAACTGTTTGGAATTTAATTTATAAGTAAGTACTATAGTATTAGGATTACTTCAAGTAAAGCCATATATTTAACTTAAGGCATATTTAATTATTTGTGTTTTTCAACAAATAAGTTATTTCTTGTTAAGAAGTAATGTTTTTTATGGTTATTCATTTTTGATTCTAGCATAAAAATAATCTTGGCAATAGGCTGTTTCTTAATTCTGCTCTTTTGAGCTTCCTAATAATCACACAAATTATTCACTCTTGTTTTTAAATTCATATCCAGATATGCATCAAAAGGAACTTAAGGCAGGTTACTGATATTGTTTTTAATATAGAGAAATTCAAAATGTTTTGAATTGAGAGTATTTTTAAACAAGGTAAAGGAAAAAATAAGTATGGAAAAGTTAGATGGAGCCAGAAGTCGAGTTAACATCTAAAAAACATACACTTGCTAGTGATGAGCTGCAAATTTGGCTTCAGGCTCTCCAGCAGCCAGATATTCCTTAAATAGCTTGGGTCTGTCTTCTCACAGAAGCCAAAAATTTGTCTGAATGACCTTGAGGCTACTCAGCCTTGCTTAGTAAAGCATAAGATTACAAGTAGACCTTGCTTCACACAAGAGATTTGTTACCAAGAAACTGTGTGGAAATGGAAATTTTGCACATGGAATCATATTATAAATGCACTAATGAAGGAATCATAAATGGCTCCTTTCAAAGAAAACCTACAAGTACTCCCTGTGTAACATGGAACTAATAAACTTACTTCTGTTATGCATTTAGCATTTTTAATGTTGGATTTTCTGAAGAGTCAGTGATATCGTTTCAATATATGTCCCTGCCAAATCTCATGTTGAAATGTAATGCCTAGTGTTGGAGGTGGGGCCTAGTGGGAGATGTTTGGATCATGGGAGTGGCTTTCTCATTAACGGTTTACCATTATCCCTTTGGTGCTGGGTTAGCATTATCCCTTTGGTGCTGTCCTCATCATAGTGACTGAACTCTTGGGAGATCTGGTTGACTAAAAGTGTGTGACAACTCCCCTCACATTCTCTCTCTTGCTCCTGTTCTGGCCACGTGACATGCCTGCCCCCATCTTGCCTTCCGCCATAAGTCAAAGCTCCCTGAGACCTCCCCAGAAGTTAAGCAGATGCTGGCACCATGCTTGTACAGCCTGCAGAATGATGAGTCAATTAAATCTCTTTTCTTTATAAATTACCCTGCCTTGGGTATTTCTTTATAGCAATGCAAGAACAGCCTAATACAGTCAGTATAATATCATGGCAACATCCTTTCATCTCAGTTTCATGGTAGTAGACATATTAAATGTATGCATTGGACTTTTCAGGGCAGGGTTTTAGTCAATATGTAAAAACTTCTAATTTCCATTTTGTTTTGTTTTATCATGTTTTATTGCCTTCGTTTAATATTCTGAGGGCATAGGGCAACCTGCACATTTAAATTTCTTTCTTCAATGCACATACATTTGAAAATGTAAATAAAGGTAGCTATAGCTATAATCCAACATATCCCTAATATTCACCAGTTATTGTCTACCACAATAAATTCTAAATATTGAGCCATGAATCATTTAAAATATCTTTATTTTTTTAAAGTCCTTTTTGAATGCTTGTTCACTGTTGGTAGGAATGTAAATTAGTTTAGCCACTGTGAAAAGCAGTTTGGAGGTTTCTCAAGTATTTAAAAATAGAACTACAATTCACCCCAGCACTCCCATTACTGCATATGTACCCAAAGGAAAATAAATTGTTCTACCAACAACTATGCAACAGAATTCACCACAGCAAAGACATGGAATCAACCTGGGTGCTCACTGATGCTGGATTGGATAAAGAATATGTGGTACATATACACCATGGAATACTTCACAGCCATAAAAAAGAATGAAATCAGGCCCTTTGCAGAAACATGGATGCCCCTGGAGGCCATTATCCTAAGCAAATTAGCACAGGAACAGAAAATCAAATATTGCATGTTTTCACTTATAAGTGGAGCTAAATCTTGGGTACACATAGACATAAGGATGGGAACAATAGATACTGGGAACACCAAATTAGAGAAGTGAGAAAGCAAGGACTAAAAAACTTCCTATTGGGTACTATGTTCACTATTTGTGTGACAAGATAAATGGAAGCCCAAACTTCACACAGTATACCATTGTAACAGATCTGCATATGTACCCTCTGATCTAAAATAAAATTGAAATTAAAAATAAATGAAAATAAGCTTTAAAATCCTTTTTGCTTTTACTAAAATGTATAATCTTATACTTAAAATAAAAACAATCAGAGTTATTGGAGACTTTATACCTAGAAGAGGCTTCACAGATGAAGTGACAGCTTCCCATTTTGCAGAAAAGCCTATAATGCAGAGAGGGTAAGGTTTTGCTTCCTGTTCTATCCCACTGAGTATTGTTAAATGAAGTCCTATGTATTTGCACACTATTCTCTGATGACACTGCTCAAGCAGTCACCTATGATGGTTAAAGTATAGATAAGCACTAACATGTCATCTATGAAAACAAGGGAGTCATCCCATGGTGTTACATTACCATTTGGAGAGCCATAATTTTCTTTCCTAATAGCTAGTATTTTCAGATGTTAAAAGACACAAATCAAAGAATAGAGTCACATTAGAGTCATTGCCTATATTTGAGACTTCATGACAAAATGAAAAGTTCAATATTATATTTCTTACATTGAAAAGTACTTTAGGGCAATGATCTACTTGGGAAAGAAAGTATTTCCATATGAATAACTCAAAAAATAAATCAACAGCCACACAAAATGAGGGATAATCAATCATTGCAGACAAAGTCAATGAATACCTGGCTAGTTTACTCCAACATGATTAAAATATATAAGTACTATTCAACCGTAAGACTAAACTGTATAAACTAAGTGACAAAACTTTTAATAACAGGTGAGGAAGAACGGTTAATTTCTTCATAAGGCGTCTATTTATATTGAATAAATAAAAAGAAATTAAAAGCATTTTCTCTATTTACAACAGAGCATTTGAATACAAGATGAGAATAACGAGAAGATGTTCTTAGTGACACAAAACCATGGTCATTTAGTTCTCCTGATAAATTATTTAACCAAATAAAGTGCTGTTTAAGAGCTGGCATTGAGTTAACCTTTATGTCCAAAACTGAAAAATGAAAGTGTGGCTAGTTAGCCAGGGTGCCTTTAAAAAAATACACAAAACAGGGTGAAAGAAAAAGTACATGAGAGAATCAACAAATAGAAATGAAAGGTTAAATGGTCATATCAAGATGGCAGATAAAGGAAAACAAAAGTGGGTCGGGCACAGTGGCTCACGCCTGTAATCCCAGAACTTTGGGAGGCCAAGGCGAGCAGATCACTTGAGGTCAGGAGTTTGAGACCAGCCTGGCCAACATGGCAAAACGCCATCTCTACTAAAAATACAAAAATTAGCCAGGTGTGGTGGCGGGCGCCTGTAATTCCAGCTACTCAGGAGGCTGAGACATGAGAATCATTTGAACCCAGGGACAGAGGTTGCAGTGAGCTGAAATCGCACCACTGCACTCCAGACTGGGGTGACAGAGCAAGATTCTGTGTCAAAAAAAAAAAGAAAGAAAGAAAGAAAGAAAGAAAGAATGAATAGCTACTGAAAAGGGAGCCTGAAATTCATGTTGATGGTCACGAAAAACAGTCAGTAACAGGAAAGAGTAACGTAAGTGTCTACTGTAGTTTAAAAAAAAAAAAAGACATGGCATAATTTTTGAAGTGAAATCTTACTTCAAAAAGATTGAAAACCCTACCCCAGAAATTTATTATCAATCTTTTCTAAAATGGCTAATTTGGAAAGAAAAAAGTTACATAGTTGATATTCCTGTTTTAACACCATTGCTGCTATTTATTCAATATTACCTACCATAAGCTGGATGGTAGCTATTTTTTAATTAAATTAATTCAAATGTTGTTTGAGAAATGCAAAATAATTAATAAATGAGCTAAATAAAGGGAGGAAGAGTATGTGGGTTTTTTGGCATTAGAAGAGTATGTCAATTTTCCTCTTCTCACCTCCAGCAACCATAACTATTTAACCAAACACATAAAAAACTGCAGACCTTACCATTTGCCTTCAAGGAGAATGGGTACGTTTCAGGTTTACAGATGCATTATCCATCCTAGTGAGAAAACAGATTGACAGTGCTAGTGTTCTACTTTAGAATGATGATAGTTAACAATAGTATATTATATAGTTTCAAATAGCTAGAATAATATTGAATGTTCCTAACAAAAATAAATAAATGTTTGAGATGATGTGTGATACATATAATTAAGCTGATTGATCACTATATAGTTTATGTATTGAAACATCACTATGTATCCCATAGATATGTATAATTATTATATGTCAATTAGAAAATAAAATAAAACTCTAAACATGAAGTATAGTTATACCTCAGAGATACTGCAGGTTCCATTCTAGACCACTACAATATAATAAATATTGCAATTAAGCAAGTCACACAAATTTTTTGGTTGCCCAGTACATATAAAAGTTATGGACACACTATACTATAGTCTAGTAATTGTGCAATAACATTATGTCTAAAAAACAATGTACATACCTTAAAAATACTATATTGCTAAAAAATGCTAACGATCATCTGAATCTTCAGTAAGTCGTAATGTTTTTGCTAGTAGAAGGTCTTGCCTCAATGTTGATGGCTGCTGATAAATCAAGATGGTGTTTGCTGGAGGCTGAGGTGGTTCTGGTAATTTCTTAAAATAATATACCAGTGAAGCTTGCCACACTAACAAACTCTTCCTTTCACAAAAGATTTATCTGTAGCATGCAATGCTGTTTGATAACATTTTACCCACAGTAGGACTTCTTTCAAAATTTGAGTCAGTCTTCTCAAAACCTGCCGATGCTTTTTCAACTAAGTTTGTGTAATATCTAAATCCTTTGTTGTCATTTCCATCTCAAAAGAACACTTTCTTTGCTCTTCCATAAGAAGCAACTCCTCAACTGTTCAAGTTTTCTTATGAGATTGTGGCAATCCAGTCACATCTTCAGGCTCCACTTCTAATTCTAGCTCTCTTGTTATTTCTACCACATCTGCTGTGATTTCCTCTACTGGAGTCTTGAACCCTTCCAAGTCATCCATGAGGGTTGGAATCAACTTCTTCCAAACTCTTTTTAATGTTGCTGTTTTTACTTCTTCCCATGAATCACAAATGTTCTTAATGGCATCTAGAATGGTGAATCTTTTCCAGAAAGTTTTTACTTTCCTCGGATCCATCAGAAGAATAACTATGTAAGGTATAGCCCCACAAAATGTATTTCTTAAATAATAAGATATTTATTTAATATTATATGTTAAATATTAATCTCTTTATATATCTTCAACAGAGGTCCTGGGTGACTAGGTGCATTATCAATGAACAGTAATATTTTGAAATGGATCTTTTTTTCTAAGCAATTGATGTCAACGGTGGGCTTAAAATATTCAGTAATCCGTGCTGTAAACAGAGGTGCTGTCATCCATGCTTTGGTGTTTTGAGCACAGGCACAGTAGATATAGCATAATTACGAAGGACGCTCATATTTTTTGGAATGCTAAATGAGCACTGGTTTCAACTTAAAGTCACCAGTTCCATTAGCCCCTAACAAGAGAGTCAGCCTGTTCACTGAAGCTTTGAAGCCATTCATTGACTTCTCTCTAGCTATAAAAGTCCTAGATGACATTTTCTTCCAAGAGAAGGCTGTTTTGTCTATGTTAAAAATCTGTTATTTAGTGTAGCCCCGCCTTCATCAATGATCTAATCTAGATCTTCTGCATAGCTTGCTGCAGCTTCTACATCAGCACTTGCTGCTTCACTTTACACTTTTCTGTTACAGAGACAGCTTCTTTTGTTAAACCTTGTGAACTAACCTCTCCTAGCTTCACATTTTTCTTCTATAGCTTCATCTCTCTCAGCCTTCATAGAATTGACGAGAGAGTTAGGATGTTGCTCTGGATTAGGTTTTGGCTCAAGGGTATGTTGTGGCTGCTTTGATCTTCTAGCCAGACCACTAAACTGTCTCCATATTAGCAATAAGGCTGCTTTGCTTTCTTATCATTCATGTGTTCACTGGAGTAGCACTTTTCATTTCCTTTAAGATCTTTTCATTTGCATTCACAACTTGGCTGTTTGGTATAATAAGCCTGTCTCGGCTTTCTTTTTTTTTTTTTTTTGAGATGGAGTCTCACTCTATCGCCCAGGCTGGAGGGCAGTGGCGTGAGCTCAGCTCACTGCAACCTCTGTTATTTTCCAGTTTCTCTGTTATTTTCCAGTTCATGATTGTCCTGCCTCAGCCTCCCAAGTAGCTGGGACTACAGGCATGCACCACCACTCCCTGCTAACTTTTGTATTTTTTGTAGAGGTGGGGTTTCACCATGTTGGCCAGGCTGGTCATGAACTCCGGACCTCAGGTGATCTACCCGCCTTGGCCTCCCAAAGTGCTGAGATTACACGTGTGAGCCACCACGCCCAGCCTGTCTCGGCTTTTGACATGCCTTCCTCACTAAACTTGATCATTCCTAGCTTTTGGTACAAAGTGAGAGCCTTTAACTCTTTCTTTCACTTGAACACTTAGAGGCCACTGTAGGGTTAATTGGCCTAGTTTCAATATGTTGCGTCTCAGGAAATAGGGAGGCCTGAGGAGACAAGAGAGATGGGGGAATGGCTGGTTGTTGGAGCAGTCAGAACACATACAACATTTCTCAGTTGTTTGCTGTCTTACATTTTACAATTACAAAAGTGTGACACAAGGACATGAAGTGAGCACATGCTGTTGGAAAAATCGCACTAATCAAATTACCTGATGCAGGGTTGCCACTAACATTCAATTTGTAAAAAATCCAATGTTCGTGAAGTGCAATTAAGCAAAGCACAGTGAAATGAGGTATGCCTGTATATTTAGTGCCCTGCTTTTTAACTTTTCCTTTTTCTCTGTTATTTTCTCGTTCATGATTATAATTATTTGAAGGAGCAAAACATTCTGTGGATGTTTATTTATCTACTTGTCTATTGTTGAACCATCAGTTTGCTCCTTGGGTTTCATTTATAATTAACACTTCATTTGAGTTCTGCCTGAATTTATATACTTTTTTCTTTTTAATTATTGCCTTAGGATAAATTCCCAGGAATGGGAGAACCTGTGCCAAGTGGTATGAACGGTATGAACATTTACAGTACATTTACAGTACACTTCATAAGTGTTGCTAAATTGTTTTCTAACAGGAATGTACCAATTTATCCTGTCCTTAGCAATAGCTGAACATAGTTTTCCCCCCAAAAGTTGACAGCACTGATTGTTTATCATTTGTTCGTCTTGTGTTTTTAGATACTTTTGTTCTCTTTTTTTCCTCATTATCCGAAAGGGAAGAGTTGATGAACTCAGAGAGCATAGGATTTTTAACTTAGTTTGGAATGAATGAGGAATCTTGTTTTCATTCAATAGCCTTTGTTACATCCACTGAATGAAATATTATGCGGGAATAAATAAGGACAAACATGAATGCTACCTGGTAATATAAAAAAACACATTCTGATTGCTTCTCAGCCTTTTGGATGAGATCAAGTGTAAAAACACATTCTGGAATTCAATTCAAAGGAAAAGGGAGACTTATAGAGTTTGGCTTGTCCACTTATGTTTCCAAACCAATGCCATATGAGAGACAACTGTGTATACTCAGCCTTGTTTTATGCCAAAGACTTTCTTGCAACATGGTCTGTTTCCAAGAGTAATACACATCTATTTTTCCAAGAACACTGCTTGCTGCCCAACCACTTCTAGCTACCCACAAAGTTCAGAAGAAATGGACTGAATGTGAAGCCCTGTAACTTTGCTGGATGTACCCAATTGGGAACACTGCAAAACATTCTTTCTAAAAGGATAGGCCATCTATCTAATTCTTTTCTTGGTACATATCTATCTGGTTCAATTGATTCCATTCACATCCCAGTTTTGCCACTTCACTGTGAAAATTTGCATGTGGCTTAAACTTTGACTCAGTTTACTCATCTGTAAATGGGAATAATAATAATGTTTCTTATATGTCTGTTGTAAGGATTAAATAAGTTATGATATTACAGTATCTGGGATCACACAGTAAAGCATTAAGTAAATTGTCTTTTTGTTGTTGTTGTTACGTGAGAAACCTGACTTTCTGTATTGCACCAACTCCAAATGCCCAAGTCAAAATAGCTTGCTAGTGACTGTCATTGCCGCTCCTTGAACTGTTATTTTTCCATTGAAAATATAATACAGATAATAAAGAACATCATAACAGCAGCTGACATGATTGAAAGCTTATTCTGTACCACATTCAGTACTGAGTGTTTTATATGCATTTTCTTATTAATCTTCACAAGCACTCTATAAAGTTGGTACCAGTTTTCAGATGCAGTGACAGATGCTTAGAGAACCTAAATAACTTGCAAAGACTGACCAGTAAGTGGAAGAATTTGAACTTGAAAGCAGTCCTTCCCATCAGAATATATGTAGAAAAAGAGAAAAAAAAGTGCATAAATATTATCAGTGGTTGTTTCTGGATCATAAAATTAGGAGTGATGTTTTAATTATCTCTACATCTATCTTTTATATGTATAAGAACATATTTCTCTGATAATAAGTTTTTTCAATCTATTCCAAATAATGAAGATAATAGCATTTCTAGCTAACAATGAATAATAGCAATCTTATTGCTCACTCTTGTGAATTAAAAAGTAGTCTATCTTTGAATCAGTCTCTTTATCCTTTGCACAAAGAAGTTCTGTTATGGCTTTCTAAAAATGAATACAGTGTTTTAGAACCTGAATTCCATCTACTTTTAATTAGCAAAAATATAACATGTGCAGATTTTTAAAAATTCAAGTTAAAATCCAACATCAGTTTTAAGTTGGGATGAGAAGGCCTCCTTGCCTTTGCCCCTGATGTCCCTGTGGGAAATTTCCCCCCACGAGCCTGCATGGTGATCAGCAACAGAGAAGAGAGGCCAAATGGAAGCAGAAACCAAGGCTAGTGACATGCTCAGAAGAGGAAAGTTTGTCCCACACTGAATTACTTCTCAGAACTCATGAGGAATGGAGAAGAAAGAAAAGCAATGGTGGCAGATCAGATTCATGGTCAATTGACATTTATTCTAGTGCCTGCCAAGTCCTGGGTGCTTTCACCAGTATTATCTCATTTCATTCTTCAAGAACAATGTAAAATAGGCGTTATTAGTCTCACTTCACAGGTAAGGGCAATGAAGTCCAGGCATCAAGCAATATTCTGAAACCCATAGAGATGATAAAACAGCAGACAAGGGATTAGAACTCTGGTTTGCAAACCTCTTACTCCTTTCTATATATAATGCTGCCAACACCTTCATCACTCCCAATTCTCAGAAGTAAAAGGCATGCAGTAATCTATTATTAGAACCATTATATATGAGAAAGTATCTATAAATTAGAATACTATAACAAAAAATAATTAGTAAATAAAGAAGTATGGTTCTACTTGCACACCAGTTCTACACTTCCTTTTTTGTTTTTTTGTCTTTTTTTAATGTAAGAACCTATTCTTTGATGACATGTTTCTGCTCAGGATAGTGTTTGCTAAGTCTGTGGCCCTTGCTATGAAGTGCAAGGCAAAATTTCATTTAGCAGTTCATAACAGATTTTATGTGCAAAAACAAATAGACTCATAATATTACTTCAACTAGAACCACAATCCACAACAGACTTGCTAATTATTCTCTCCTCTGAGGTCTCTGGAAAGGTGATAACCAGTTCCATGACCCATCCCTAAGGCTCTCATCATCTTTGACATTTCTGTCAATTTATTATTTTCGATATCTGTCAACATAGAGATTAAACAGAGGAGAATGTGGACTCATATTGCTTCCAGAGCTTTATGAGGATAAGGACATTTAGACAATGGAATCGGTTACTGAAGCACGTTATGAAGATTTTTTTTTTTTTTTCCAAGAGGCTGAGCTGTCATTTACTTGGAATGGCTTAGGACAGTTCTGACTGGAGGCAGGAGTATGGACTCATTAACCTCCTAGCCCTGTAACTCTGTCAATCTCAATTCTCACCAGTTTCAATCAGATACAGCTGCCTCTAGTTTCATTCTGGTTGGTTTAGTGTGGTTGTGTGTGCTCATGCAATTTTCTGCATTGCAGGGGAAAGAAAGTATCTTCAATATGTGTCTATATCTGTGCATGAGGCAGTGTGTATGGTCAGTCTTTCCTTACCGAAAGTCTCAGCATAAAATGTATTGATAGAGGTGTACGCTGGTATATAGGAAAGTACCCTGTGACAAATATAGTTGATTCTTTTTATTTCTCTTTGCATAGAGATGAACACACAGCTACAGTGCTCTCAGGAGGCCTAGGAGTTGACTTAGTCCAAAGGAATGACTGTGCTATTTTTGCACTTTCCCTCACATTATTTCTCAAGGCTTGAGGGAATTTAAATGTGACTTACTTGGCAATGACAAGTGTCTGTCCCTTCAGTGCCTCCTGAATGAGATCATTTACACAAATCACTTCACCATAGCTCATTGTATTTTTCATAGACAAATAGTATCACTTAAATAGAATCTAGACTTCAAGAAAGGAGAGGGTTTTTTTCTTCTTCCCTTAAAAATGACTTTGTAGGCCGGGCGCGGTGGCTCACGCCTGTAATCCCAGCACTTTGGGAGGCCGAGGCGGGTGGATCATGAGGTCAGGAGATCGAGACCATCCTGGCTAACAAGGTGAAACCCCGTCTCTACCAAAAATACAAAAAAATTAGCCGGGCGCGGTGGCGGGCGCCTGTAGTCCCAGCTACTCGGGAGGCTGAGGCAGGAGAATGGCGTGAACCCGGGAAGCGGAGCTTGCAGTGAGCCGAGATTGCGCCACTGCAGTCCGCAGTCCGGCCTGGGCGACAGAGCGAGACTCCGTCTCAAAAAAAAAAAAAAAAAAAAAAAATGACTTTGTAAAAAATGTCACTATGAAATTCACAATATTGGTGTGATGATTCATTATATGTTTTCTGGAAGAGACAGGGATATTTCAGAACACCTTAGTATTACAGATAAAAGACTTGAGGCTCTGAGAAGTGAAGTAACTTGGATAAGGTCTCCTAGTAAATTGGTACATCCCCAGGCCCATAACCCAGATTTCTGGTTTCCTGGTCCAGACTGCACCCTCCCTGCATTGTGTAACTGCAGCCCCACACACTCTGGAATAAAACTGATTCTAGCAAAAACAACAATAATTTAAAAATTGCCTTCAATTAAATGTTACTGAACTTTTCTCATGAAATATAATTTTGGAAAAAGCAATTGTCTTTATAAGTATACATAATTCATGTCTGTTATTCCTTGATTCTTATGAGAATTTTCTTATTACTGAAATAGTGAAATTTGTCTGTTCTCTTGTTAAAATCTATTAAAATGGAAAAAAGTAATAAAGCTTAAAATACATAATAAATATAAAATCAGAGAACATGACCAGACTTATTCACCTCTACGGAAAGAATAAGAAAGGCGCAATGGAGAGGGGGGCATTAGTTAGAGGCATAGTACTTTATATTGCGGGTACTTGGTGAATGTTTTTAAGCTCGATCAGTAAGGCTGGGCGCGGTGGCTAGGCCAGGCGCAGTGGCTCACGCATGTAATCCCAGCACTTTGGGAGGCTGAGGCAGGCACATCACTTGAGATCAGGAGCTTGAGACCACCCTGGCCAACATGGTGAAACCTCATCTCCACTAAAAATACAAAAATTAGCCGGGTGTGGTGGCGCATGTTTGTAATCTTAGCTACTAGGGAGGTTGAGGCATGAGAATCACTTGAACCCAGGAGCGGAGGTTGTAGTGAGCTGAGATCGGGCCACTGCACTGCAGCCTGGGTGAAAGAGACTCTGTTTCAAAAAAATAAAAATAAATAAATAAATAAATAAACTCAGTGAATTCACTTCACAGGAATTTCCAAGTTTGTAAGCCACTTTTACAAGTACTATGAAAGAGTTCTGTGCTTATATATTTGTGTATTGTTTATGGCAGAATATGTTTAAATGGAAACGAAAACAACTTTGGGCAAATTAAACCTAACCAAATTTTTAAAAAATATCTCTTTAGAAACTTGAGAGAATTCTACAATTACATCAAGAATGAAGCTGGCTATTGTCATATTATTATGCTATAAATACTATTGAGTACCTCTATTATAAGATTTGTAGGAAGGTAGAATTGGTATTTCTAATGGTCTATGCCTCATTTAGTCAAGCTAAAATATAAAATTTACTATCTTTTTGTTTTTTGTTGTTGTTGTTTGTTTTCAGACAGAGGCTTGTTCTGTCGCCAGTCTGGAGTGCAGTGGCGTAATCTTGGCTCATTGCAACCTCCACCTCCCAGATTCAAGTGATTCTCCTGCTTCAGCCTCCCGAGTAGCTGGAACTATAGGCACGCACCACCAGACCCAGCTAATTTTTGTATTTTTAGTTGAGATAGGGTTTCACCGTGTTGGCCAGGATGGCCTCGATCTCTTGACCTCGTGATCTGCCCACCTCGACCTCCCAAAGTGCTGGCATTACAGGCGTGAACCACTGCGCCCAGCCAAAATTTACTGTCTTATTCATGCATTCTTTCAACAAACATTTATTGCATGCCTAATATGACAGGCAATATAGAAGAATGAGGACTCTAGAGTCAAAATGCCTGGGTTCATGTTCTGGCTTTCTGTTTACTAGATATGTAATCTTGGATAACTTGTTCCTCAGCTTCCTCATTTATAAGACAGAGGTAATAATAATACCTACTGTTATTTTTTATTAAATGATTAACATCAATGAAGCATTTAGATGAAGATATGGTAAGGGCAAAAGCTCCTGTTGTTATGATGTGTTATGGATTGGGGATAGAGGGCAAACAAGATAGATATGGAGTCTACCCTCATGGGAAAAATTGGGTAAACAGCTTTTACACTACAATTATGTTAAGTGCTAAAAGAAGGTATAGCATGAATAATATAACATAGTTCTAACATCTCTTTAAACATTCATGCGTAATTTTCTTCTGCTATTGCAACCAAGGGAAGCCACACAGTACACTGCTATTCCACATGTTGGTAACTGAGATTTGAAATCTTTGTTATTTCTACACTGAATCATACCCTTTTAAATGAAGCAAGTGAAATTTCATATCTGTGACATTGTGTTGGGCAGGCATCCTTGGAATAATTCATTTCTCCATTTTATTCTTATTTCTTTATGACCACTTAAAAGTTTCAAGAAAACAATCTTAATTTCATTGTGCTACATTCCTTAAGGCACAAATCTTTGTGATGCTTCAGGGACCTTTGTCTTGATAAAGACAAGTACTTCAGAAAAAAAAAATGAGGAGACCAACAGCCAGTGTTTGTTGACGATGAGCTCAGTTGTTCTTCACATTGTGCAACAGATGGCATTGACAGACTGATGGTTGGGAAGGAGGAAACCAATTTCAAATACACCGTTGTCTCATACCACAGCACCATGTCATAATTACATATTGATTTCCTTTCTTCTAATCCCACTGTCAGCCTTCTACAAGTGAGCTGATTTGGATAATCTGAAAAAATATTAACCAGATATCTCTCAACACACTTGTCATTTTGGCCCCATCTCAGATATCAAAGAGGCTTGAGGCACAGATTTTAAATTTATATTTAAATAAATATAGGCTTGTTCTGCAGACAGCTCATCTAGACAAGAATTTAAAAAAGAAAAGAAAGCTGCCAAAGAATCTTCAAGAAGTCAAACTCATTTCTCTGAGATTTTTCTTAAAAAATAAAACAAAATGATTTTTTAGGATTCCCCAAATGAGGACGGGACAAAAAGTGAGCCGAAAGTCCCAAGGTTGCTAAAAATGACTTACTTTATCTTTGGCATGTGTATTAAATGTCTTATCTTAAATTTAGACTAGGTTTTTGAGGTCTCTTCTAAAATACAGGGGTAATAAAAATGTTTTATTGCTTTTCTTTTCTTCCACAATGACATGGGTATTCTTTATGGTAGGAGAATAGAAAACTTGGGACTCACCCTTTAAATTGAAAGACAGATAACATAAGCACTGGCCACCTGCTGCCAAGCAAGGTGCGGTCCAGTACTGCTGTGGTTATATGGTGAACTGTGACAGCATTTCCATGGTGTGGTACTTGAGTGCACTAAAAATAGGCAACCGTGAACTATACTGCAGTTGAAGGACAAGATAAAAATAGGAAAGAAACCTGAAAAATAATTGTATAAATAGAGTACAGGGATTAACAACTCAACCCACAGGATTGAATTCCCTAATAAGTTTTGCTATTTTTATTGAATGCAGTAAATAAACTAACATTTAAATATTTAAGAGAAATGTTTAGTATAGAAGTGTTTTCCGAATTTAAGAATGGTTGACATTCAAGCAGAGATAATGTATACCATAATTTTGAATAGAAATTCTTTAATCTTTTTAGCTGGGATGTGCCTTTATATCTTTTAATGGTACTCCTTTCACTAAACACACACATATAAACACACACACACACAACTTGGATAATATCTGTCAGCTATAAAAAATATAATTGATCTTGTAGATGTAGCTAAAACCTGACCTTTATTTGCAGAGTCTCAGCTTTGATCTTGTATTCAATTCCCAGAAAACAGTAAGGACTGGGAAGAGCCCAAGAAATGAAGGCATTCTATATCATTTGGCATAAATGTAGCCAATATAGAGATGGCATCAAATGGTTAAATATTCTTCATATTTCCTTAAAATGAAACATTTAAAATGCTGGTTTCAATAATTCTGGGATGGAAAATCTGTACCAGATTACCAACTCTTGGCCTCATATTTCAGTCCTCTCTCATTTTGCCTTCTGTATTTCCACCAAATATGCCATCGATTCTTAACTCTGCTTTTTTTTTTTCCCCCCCTTTTTCTGCCACGAGTCTAGAGCCAGAATCCCATCAAAATCAGACTTGGATTTTGGCAAAGGATCATTAACTTCTGAATTTCTGGCCACTTCCAGCAGATTAATTTTATGATTATGTCACCTTTCTGCTCAAAACTTCATAGGATTACTTAGAGGAATTCTACACTCTCTAAACCTGCTATTCATTTTTAACAGTAATACATTAATTATGCATTTATTTTATTCAACCAATTTATATAATAAACATCTCTAAATCCACTGTCCAATTTATATCATAGAATAAACATCACTGATAACTTACCTATGTGTCCCTTGCCTAACCTAATCCTATCCCCCTTTCTCCCTCTCACAGGTAACCAATCTCCTAAATTTAATGTTTATCAAGCCTCCTTTTAAAAAACTCTTAGCAAACATATGTACATCTAATTTAATTTTATAAGAAGGTTATAATTTTATATGTTGCCTTCTGTGGCTTTCTTCAAAATTTTTGTCCTTGACATTTGCTTACTATTATTTATCTGTGCCCATCGGAACTTGGGCTGTTTCTTTCTTTCTTTCTTTCTTTTTTTTGCTATTACCAAAGCATCCAAAGCGTACTGCAAACATTCTTAACATGTCTTCTGGAAAATGTACCTACTTTGGTTTCTCTTGGGTAAATGCCTAAGAGTGAAACTGTTGAGTTTTAGGTTGTACCAGCAAAGGTACTGGTAGGAACAAGATCAAATTGTGTAATTGAGGAAAGTTTAAAAAAAGAACTATTATGGGACAACAAAACATGCTAGGACTAGCAAGGGCAAGGATCCTTAAACATCCCTAGCCCTAACAAGGCACAAACAGGGAGCTATTACTTAATCTCAAAAGGGTAGCTGCAGCTTTAAAAGATTACTCAACAGAGCTCTAGCTTTCAGTAGAATTCAGTTAACAAACTGGCAGAGAAAGAGTTGATCTCACTAAGAACCTTGACCTGACTCTCTACCCTTCTCACAAATGTCTTGCCATGGTCTCTCATTGGCTGAACCAAATCAGAAGGCAGAATGCAAGGAAACCATTCATGATCCCCTTCCAAGAACACAGTGCAGGGTGGAGAGGGCTAAGATCTAGATCTAGAGAGATAAATGGATATATGCAAATGTTAGATATTATAGAATTCCCTCTTATTTTTCAAAGTGTTTGTACTAATTGATACTCCCACCAACAGTGGATAAGATCATACTGGGCCATATCCTCTCCAACACTTAGTATTATTAGACTTCTGAACTTTTGTCAATAGGCTCAAATTGTTATCTCCTTGTGGTCTTGATTTGCATTCCCTCAGTTAACTGCTAACACTGAGCTTTTCTTCGTGTTTGCTAGTTAGACACATTAACTCTTCTGTAAAATTTCCAGTCATATATTATGGAAATTAAGTTTATGCTGAAATTTACAGAGAAGAGCAAAGAGCAAGAATAGCCAAGACATTTCTGAAGGAGAAGAAAAACGAGCAACTTTTCTTCAAGATATAAAGGCTTATTATAAAGTTACAGTAATTAAGACAGTAATATTGGTGCAGTATACACATTTTGACCAATGGAACAGGAAAATAAAAGCCCCAAAATAGACTTAGGAATTTAGGGATCATCAAAAATGATGGAGATAATATGTCAGATCACTGAAGAAAGGCATGGTTATTTAACTAATACAGTTAAAAAATTTGACTATTCATATAGGGAGCAAGAAGAAAAATGGATTGCTATCTGAAACCATACAAAAAACTTCAGATGAATTCAGACCTTAAATTTAAGAAGCAAAGCCTTAAAACTTTCAGAATAAAATACCAATGAATGCCCCTGTCTGACCTCAGGGTAGAAAAGGAATCCTTAAACATAATACAAAAAATCTTAACCATAACAGAAAATATTGATGCATTCAATTATGTTAATAAGAAATTTTCATTAAGACAATTTAAATAAACAATAAGCCACAAACATGAAGATAATATTTAAATTCATGTAACTAATAATGAGCTAGTATCAAGAATATATAAAGCACTTCTGAAAAAAGGCAAATGACCTAGTGGAAAAAGGGACAACTTACGTTTCTAGCATAGTTTTCTTTTATGACCGTGTTTTATGAACCATCACTAGTCTATAATTCTTGGAGGACTAAAATTGTCTTAGCTGTCTTTGTTTCTTTATGACCCAGCACAGTGCCTGTTGGAAAGAAAATGGTCAACGCATGTTCATCAAATAAAGGAACAAACTTGTCACCCCAGAATAATGCAGACTGTTAATAAAACTCACCATATGCATGCCCTCAGAGTCTTTCCTCTTATATTCACATTACCAACTCCTATCCACCCAGTTTTGGAAGTCCAGATCACCAGTCCCTTTACATCATGTCTTCGCAGCCTCTAGCATTTAGCAAATATTTCTCTGGGACATCTCATGCACTGTTGGATTATGTTTCTCCACATTTCTATGTCTGTCTCCTCTGACTTTGATTCTAGACTTCTCAAGAAGGCCATACTTCTCTAAAGCACCCTGCCTAGTAAAATTCTAGGAGGTGTCCCATATTTATAGGGGATGTGGTGCAACACCTCGTACAAATTACCAGCCATCCATCAGGTTTCAAAATGGCAGAATAAGTGGTCTTGGAGAAATACTGGTCACTTTCATTATGATTTTTCTCCGGTTTAGGCAACTGAGATAAGGTTACAAAGATTAGAAACGTAATTTATGAGGTACTCATTGCAAAGGAAAAAAAAACTTTTTGAAGATTGTTCAAGTACACAGTTACAATTGGAATAAGGCAGCAGAGTATAGCAGAAAAAAATGGGGCCATGGTATCAAATATGTCTTCAACCCCAGCACCACCCTAGGGTGCTCTGAACTTCATGAGTAAAATGTGATAAAAATCTACCTCAAGGGACATGTAGCAGAGTAAATGGTAGAGAACTGGTATTTAAATTTCATTTTCCCTATTTCTCTCGTCCCTCTTAAAAATAATGCCGTGTTCCAAGAACAGAAAACCAAACACCGCATAAATGGGAGCTGAACAATGAGAACACATGGACACAGGGAAGGGAACATCATACACTGGGCCTCTCGGGGGGTGGGGGCGGGGGCTAGAGGAGGGATATCATTAAGAGAAATATCTAATGTAGACGATGGGTTGATGGGTGCAGCAAACTACCATGGCACATGTATACTGATGTAACAAACCTGCATGTTCTGCACATGTATCCCAGAACTTAAAATATAAATATAAATAATAATAATAATAATAATAATACTGTGCTCCATCAGATCTTGCAGTGTATGGTGTTTTTTAGTTAAAACTGAACCATAACACCCTTAATTAACTTTGCTAATAGTGAGATGCTTTTGCCAAATTCCTACTTGCCTCCAATCATCTATCCTGACTTGACTAACATTCTTAATGGGTGGAAGGAGAACAAATGGCCACAAATTAAATGTCTTTATCCATATGAATAGAGTGCAATCGGTCACTGTAACAGGAGTGTCTCAATAATTTATTTATTGACTTTATTATAATTTCAAACATGCAGACAAGTTAAAAATCATGTACAATATAACCCACATACCCACCACCTAGATTTAACAATTGTAACCGTCATAATAATAATGTAGAGAGTAATGATGACATTACCAAAATTTCCTAAGTATATTATTTTCTGATCCCTTGAAGGTATCCAAAACCCACCAACAGAAATCATCCAAAAAGTTTCTTCACTATGAACCCTTCAGTGAACTTTTCCCCATTCATAACATGGGGGCATCGCTGAGGGAGAACTACCAAGGAGCACACAGGGTGAGTTACTCTTTTCCGTAATGACGCCTCTTGGTTTCTTGACTTAGGGAGTCCTGGGCCTGCTCACTTCTATTACTCATATGGCAGATTCTGCTTCTTCCTTCTTTGTACACTTTCAGGTTTTCAATGAAATAGCACAGTTGCCAGATTTAGCTAAGAAAAATACAGGATGCCTAGTTAGCTTGAACGTCAGATAAACAATATAAAAATATAAGTATATCCCAAATATTGTATGGGATATGCTTATACTAAAAAAAAATTTGTTGTTTATCCGAAGTTCAAATTTAACTGGGCATTCTGTATTTTATCTTGCAATCCTGTGAAATAGACAAATTTAATGACCTTCTGAAGGGGGTCTAGATGACTTTGACAGCTGGGCTCTCATGCTTCTAGGTCTGAAGACAAAATGAGAGAAAACTATAGAGAAAGGGAGAGAATATACTTTTGCACTACGACTAAGAAAAAAAATATTTAGAATTGCTTTTAACTGGTTGGGAGCTAGACAGAAAGTCTGAGGTGTATTTGTGTTGGATTTAGTAAGTCATCTGTGAGATTCTGGAGGAAACAGCGTTGTGGAACTGAACAGACTGAATCAATTTATGATTAGGGTTAGAGTCATATGTGTATGGTTTGTTTAACAGGGTGTATTGCACCTATTGCCACATTAATGCTGTATATAAACCAACCACAAACCTTGGTGGTATTGCTGGGGTAAGCATTTATTGCTTACACATCAGAGTAAACTGGGGGCCTGGCTCTTAGGTGATCTAGGCTGGCCTCAGTTGGGAGCTCTGCTCCCTGCATCTCTCATCCTTTTCTTAGGACCATTCAGCTGTTTCAGAGATGTCTTTCTCACAGCAACATTTCAAATACAGTGAAAGCAAGCAGAAACACATGAACCTTTGAGGGCTGGTCTTAGAACTGGCACAGTGTCATTTTCACTTCATTCTGTTACTCTCAAAACCTGCTCCTATGGGTGGGAGAGGGGGCTCTGCCTCTTTAATGAGAGGAGCTGCAAAGTCACACAGCAAAAGGTACGGATGCAAGAGAGGGAAAGAACTGAGGCCATCACTGCTATCACAGCAAAAGGTATGGATGCAAGAGAGAAAGAATTGAGGCCATCACTATGCCTATCGCTATCGCAAGGCGTGGGCTGGAAACTAAGAATAAACTGGGGAGCAAAAAAGTTGCTTCTTTTTGAAAACTATACATTTGTTTGCAACTGTAGCATTTTTTTTCTTCTCCAAGAAAAGTAATTAGCAAGACTTACAAATGATTTTTTCCAGTTTGTGAAGCAGAGATGCCAACAGATCTCTACAAATTACCAGAATGTTCCACAACTCTTCTCAAAATACCTGTCAAAAAAGTTCTGAGCACATGGTGGCATTTTTTCCTTGTTGTAAACACAATGTATCTATATGAACAGTCTAACATATTAAGGATGGAAATTTGCAGGAAAGTGGTAACATTTAAGAGAAAAGGAAAACCAACTGAAGATTCAGAACAAATAACTTCCTATTCTGGTATCCCTTGAAATCTAGCACCAGTTTCTTCATCATTTGCTACATTTAGTCATGGGGAAGAACAAATTAGTAATTGGATGTGGGACTCTGAGACTCCTCTGCTTCTGTGACCTTTGTAAAGTAGCAATCTTTGCACACCTTTTAAATATGTGGATCAAATAAAAATCTTGTTGTCAACTCTGAAATAGCAAATAAATAGGAGATATTTTTACATCTAAAACCTCAGAAATCACTTTGACCCTGGAAATCTTCACTATGACCTCTAATTGCAAGTTCTTTTCTTTCAAGTCAGTTATCAAAATCAGTAGATTTTAAAAATGATGAGTTTGATTCTTAGTTCTTTGATACTTATTTTCTCTACTGGTAGTGGGTACAAAGTAAACTGGAATTAGACACATACATAATTGTATCAATTGGGACGCTTTGGGTTTTAAGCACCTATAAGTAACTAAGTCTCAGGACAAAGATTGGTCTCATTTCAAGGACTTGGATAAGATGACAGAGTGTGTATGCTGTTGCCAGTGCCTAGTGGCCAAGGCCAGATCTGGCAGTTCATGAAGAGGTGAAATCGGAAGAAGGGTCACTCCTCAAAGAATAGGGAGTATATTAGGCAAATAATACCTGTTCACTTATAGTATTGACATCAGGTAACTTTAAAAGATGAATTGCCTGCCGTTTTTAAAATAAGGTTCATTTTTATTCATATTAATTCATTTTTCAGAAGAGAAAATGAAGCATAGAGAAAGTAATTTGCCCAAGATCCCATGACTCATAAGTGGCAGACTTGTGATCTGAACCCCAATCTCTTCACTCCAGCCAACATTATGTACCGCAGCAAGAAACAATAGAATGGCTAACAGAAATACGATCGATCTGTATGTGTAAAAAGAAAAGCTCTTCCAGAACACTGCTGGTATAAAAGGCAAGTTGTTACATAGTATTAGAGTGTGACCTCCTTTCATGTTAAGAAACACACATACACACACACACACACACACACACACACACACACAAAAGCCCCCAACAAACCTGCACACATGTACTTCATATAAATACATCTATATAGGGCTTCATATCAAAATATTAACAGCTATCTTTGGAGAGGAGAGTGGGATGCTGGGGATGAAAAAGAATGTATTTTATACTCTATCATATATATGTAATCTGAATTATAATTTTAATATTATATAAATAAATAACTTGATTGGAGGAAAGAAGGAAAAGCAAAATGCCTAGATGCTAAAAATTATACATGAAAGTCAAAAGTTGGTTCTAGACCATTCCTGTATCTTCCTTGTGCTGTTATTTTAGGATATGATGAGTGAAAACTACTTGTCACAAATTTCTTTCCCCATTGACAGGATAGCACATGTTCTCCTAAAATGGTGTCGATAAGGCAACTTTTCAGAACATACATGTATTAATGGTTTATATACATAGCCCCCTAAATCCTATGTGACCTTTAAAACATTATTTTATTATAATTATAAACTACAAGTATACTAGAATTTAGAATATAATAAGCACTTGTTTTCAAACAGCAGTTTATAAAATACTACGAACACAATTGATGCCTCTTATAAATCTCAATTCAGTCTTTCTTGGTTCCCACAGGTAACCACCAGCAAATTTTTTTCCTACATATACAGCCATAATTTATAGTATCATTTTTTATATTTATACTTTATGTAACTAATTTCATAAAACACGACTTGTTCCACCACTCACTCTTGTCACTTGTTTTTGAGATGTATTCATGCTGACATATATAGCTCTAGCTTGTTCATTTGGACTGCTGTGTGGAAGTCTATCATATGAATATATGCATTACTAAAGCTGAGCACGGGTTAGGACCCCTTTCTGCTGTTTTACACAAGGCTGCCGTGAACATTTTTGCAGATGTCTCCTTATGCATGTGCATAAGTACTTATTTAAGGTAACATGGTAAGGAATCTTTAATTTTACTAGATATTGCAGAACTGGTAGTTATGCCAGTGTATTTTCCCACCAACAGTAGAGTTCCCACTGTTTGATGTTCCTGACAACACTTGCTATTTTGAAACTTCCGTTTTTGCTAATTTGATGTGGTACCTTTCCATGTTTTTAACTTGTATTTCCCTGATTATCAGTGAAGAGTATTTTTTTTCCATGTTTGTTGGCCTTTTGAATTTCCTCTTGTAAGAATAATGTGCTGATATTTCTATTAGGTAGACTTATCATGAGTTGTAGGAACTTTCATATCTTCATAAATTAAGCCTTTCTTATATATTAATATATTGAAAACATCTTACATGTCGCTTGTCTTTAAGTCTTCAATCCAACTCAAAATATATGAAGGTTTAAATTAGGGATCCAAATTTATATTTTTATAAGTAGATAATTATGACAACACAATTTTTTAAAAAAAATTCACTCCTTTCTCTACTTGCTTATAACAACATAACTTAAGTATCTATATATGAGGGTCTCTCCAACTGATTCAAGGAAAACAGCAGCAACATTTAGCATTTAAGATGGCCATGCCATGTATCAGGAACTATGCTAAACATTTTAAATGCTTAGACCATGCATTTTGGAGTCAGAATGCCAGGGCTTAAATGTACACTAGGGATCCCTGATAAATGGTAAATCTTACAAATTTCTTGTTTGTTCACTGGCTAATAGAAATGTATGCATCAGGTAAGGGAAATAAATATGCTGGTTGACACAAACTATATATTTTAAAAAGCACCCCAAATATACAACTTGCTTTTATTAAATTGAAAAAAAAATCCCCAAGAGGCAGATATCCCAGTAGTTTTAGTGAAAACAAATTTAATATCATCTTGTTTGAACAAAGCTTTCAGAATAAGTGAGCAATTAAATTCTTAAAGTAGGGACAGAACACCAACAGGCTCTAGACTCCGGAAGAGCTGTAAGCCGACAAATGGGCATTGTTTTGCTTAACAGTTTTAGCTTCAATGTAAATATATATTATTACTTAGAATATTAGCATCTGAACTATATAATGACTATTTTATCATTTTACTTGAATTAAAACCAGAATTTCTGGAACTTCCAAATAGTCTTTAAAGTTTTTCAATATAAACATAAACTAACCCCTATTCCTCTCTACATATCAAATGTGAAATAACTGTCACAATATATCAGCATTTTCACAGAAAGATGTTTAAGGCTTCTGGCACATAAAATGTGTAATTTCTGTGTGACAATGTCATAATTATATACAGAAAATATTTAAAATTCTTGTAGAATTTAAGTTCTAAAGATTAAAAAAACAAGAGTTCCATGTTAATAAAATATTAAAATACTATGAGCTTCCCATAAAATTGACAGTGATTTGTAATTACATAAAGAATACACAAGGCAAGTCTTTCACACTAAGTGATTCATCATTGAAAATAATTATTGAACTGAATATACTTATTTGGTATCACTAGTTTTCTAAATCATTCTTTCAGCCCAAAACAGGCTTTCATATAACTTATAAATATTTCCAATTGCTACACTGAGGCAGCAAATGTCATATCTATGTTTGTCCTAGTTGTATGTCATACAAATATAAAGTCTATGAATCTTATACTTTTGTCTAAGTCACCATTGTAGAGAATGTGCTGGTAAGTGAAATCAATACAAAGGAATTATTTTTCATTTGTAAAAAATGAAAATCATTTACACCTTGTTTTAAAGTTCTAAAGCAGCATATTCAACTCTTAAGGCAAAAAAAAGATCAAAAAATTACTATAAATTATAAATTCTGGTAACTTTTCTTCTGGCATTAAAAGCCACAACACAAATTCTAATATTTTAATAGATAATATATTAGTGTACATCTGAATATACATTTGCCAAAATGTTCCATTAGTATGAAGTTGGTCTGAAGTGGAAGTGAAGTGCAGTGGTGTGGCAGGGTAACATTTAATGGCCGTCCTGGGCATCAGGGGACATGGAATGGCTGAGTCTTGACCTTCCATTCACAGATATTGTATTTGATGGAATGGTAACCTAAGAGAAAGAAACACACTTTGCACCCATCAATTTAAAATGGGATAGCTGTCTAATTTTCAATTTTCAACAGTTACCACATTTTAACTTCTGCTTAATTGTAAATGATAAGTATCTATTATTCAATAAATTATAATCAAGAATAAATGTTCATTCTACCATAAAATTTAAAAAGAGAGAGTCGTTATTTTCACAACAAATAAGATAAATAATCCATTAACACATCTTAATCTGTACAGAATTACCAAATCAACACAAAGGACAAGAGCACAAACAGACTGCAAACCAAGCTGTTAAAGAGCATTTTTAGCTAGATTAATTCTGTAATTCTGGCTCCCCAAAACTGCCTCTGAGAATGTAGAAAGATAAAGTGAATTCCACAAAGCAATGAATTTTACAAGTTTTGTACTGATGGTATAAATTAACGTGAAATCCCCCTCCCAATGGCCCCCTATTTATTCAAAACAAAAAAACTAGCCCTTGGTTTTAAAAATGCTTTCATATAAAGGATTTAAAAATTAAAATCTGTGACTGTTAAGCCAAATGACTGAAGACTGAAAAGGAGTTTTTTTTTTTTCCTTAGTAAGTAAACTCCTAAGTTTCAAAATTCTATGGCAAAGTCTTCTATTCACAAACTATAAGTGAATAAAAACACTAAAACAAGAATTTTCTACATAGTGTGAAATTCCAGCTTTTGAAAAATGTAAAGTCATCTGTATTCTGAATAGTAAATACCTATATTTTGAAACATCATACTTGCAATATAATGAAGATATTTTAAGACAGTTTAGATTATAATTTGACTAATTTAGATTCATAACCAAACACTATCATTTTCTTACAAGAAGACAACTGGAGTACAAATGGCCACAGATTTTCCTATTAACCGAGTAAATTGGTTAAAAGGAAAATGAAATTGGCAAATTTAGTTTGGACTTGGCTTCCTTGCGCTTCGCTTTTTGCCTTTTACTAAATAAAGATTGGTCATCTAAACTAATGAGTTTTCTCGATTGTCTGATGAATCCAGGATGGAGCAGAGTGATTGACGCTACACACCTAAAAGGATACGGTAAGAAGAGTTGCCACCAGCAGAAGGGAAAACTCATCTGCACTCTCTTTAGTATGCCTGTGAGATTTCTTTCCAAGTATAGCCAACAAATGACAGGTAATGACTTTCTTTCTTTTTTTTTTTTTTGGAGAGGAAGTAGAATTTATTGGTTAGTATTAAGAGGGGAAGCACAGTGAAAGCCCTCATGAGTGCAGGGCCCGGCACTTGTCCACAGGGCCACAACTGGGGATGTACTTGACCCCACAGCCATATGAGCCACTTCTCAGCCACCATGTCTTCAAATTCATCGACATTGAACTTGGTGAAGCCCCATTTCTTTGAGAAGTGGATCGTCTGGCAGCCAGAGAACTTGAACTTGGCCCTGTGCAGGGCCTCAATCACATGCTCCTTGTTCTGCAGCTTGGTGCGGACGGACATGGTAACTTGGCCAATGTGACCCCTGACCACAGTGCCCTGGGGTTTTCCAAAGGCACCTCGCATGCCTGTTTGAAGCCTACATTGGGGTAATGCAAGGTCAGAGACATGAACATACATCTGAAAGGCCTATTATCAAGGTCCCTTAGAGCAACCTATAGAGGAAACAGGCTGCATACACCACCAAGGAAGCTGCTGTTTGCAGCCATTGCACACTGGGCCCCCATAAGGAAAGGAACTCAGTACACTTAATTGACTGCAGAGGTAATGACTTCCATTGTGGAACCTTGGTCCTAAATGTTTCTGTGTACAGGATAATTATTTTGTAATCCTTGCCAAAATTGCAGTTCTCATAATTCTTTGTGAAGGAGAAAATTTGTTTTAGGCATTTAGAAAACGTATCGATGGCTCTAAATGTCTCCACGTAAAATATGCTCATTGTACCACCATATACAGAATCCACTTAAATGTCCACAAATAATGAACAAATAAGCTACGTCACATTCATAAAGTCAAATACTATGTAATCTTTAAAAGAATAGTATATGAATATATATATAAACAATTTTAAAAAGCTTCAAAGAGACATTTGTTTATGACTGGATTTGCAGAGGATTCCATTTTGTAAATTAAATACATTTACATACTACAGAAGTGGGCTAGAAGCTTACAGAGCAACCTATCAAGAATGGTTATTTTTGAAGAGAAATGACATCTGCTTTATTATTTAAAAACTTGTTTACTAAACTTTTAAACACAAGAAGCCATCAATAGAATACTAGTTTACGCATTCTGAGGGCAGAGATCTTACTGATTTTAATGCCAGTTTATAACTACTTTATATTTATTTTAGTGCCTGGGACAGTGTAGTGCTCAATAAATATTTCTTAAATGGAATATGGTAACTTTTTACAAACATTCATAAACAAGAAGGTATCACTTGAATGTTTTTGAATGAGGAACATATTACACTTATAATACAGATACTTAAAAAAACAGCATTTAAGAATTTACTGATGTGAATATCTACTAGTTGATTGTCTACTCTTGAAGTTTAAAGCATTTTTAGGAATTTCACATAGCTTTCTTTTTTCCATAAGGAATGCAACTATAACAATTTCTATCATTTACATTTACTTTAAAAATGTAGAAATCGCTGCCAACCTGAAACTCTTTGGTTGTTCAAATTTAAACTAAGGAAATATGAATTAAAAAAACTAATTAAATAAACAATACAAGCCAGCAAGATTCTGTGTGACTTACCCAGTTTTTTCCTTCCCTCCACCTTCTGTTGAACCAAAGATAAATCTTACATTTGAAAAACACTTAATACATAGTGATAAATATCAATATCATTCACTATTTTCAGACCTTACTTGTAATAGGGTAATAACTTGATTTTTAGTAAATCAGAGACCATCAAGTACTGAAAGCCAAAGTTGTTCTTATGTCAACACAGGCCAAGGGTAATGAATTAATCTGTCTTACTCTTTGTAAATAATTTGCTGATTAATAAACCTTAACATCACACAATTTATAACATACTGAGCTTGATTTATTAATGCTTTACTTGAAGAAAAGACTAATCTCTGTGACTACATGTGGGTTGAGTAGGGGTAAGGTATGCAAAAAATCCCTTCTGAAACATGAAAAAAAACATGGCATATTTATGACTACATTTACACTAGAGCAATCAACTAGATAATTGTTCTATTGTGAACCAACCATTATAATGAAGGTTAATTGCCTGCGTATGAACCAGAGCCATAAGACAAGTGGGTACCTGGAGTTAAATTGAACATTTGGGTGCCAAGATATAGAGAAACACAGAGCCAACTTTCTGATGAACAATCTAAACCTACTATCAAAATCACTGGAGATTTTATTTGGCAATATAATTGTTGTTCTATAAAACAAATGTTAGAATTTAAAAGAAACTAGAAGAAATTTTCAGTACAGAACAGAAACATAAGACTTAAGCAAAGATCACAAGAAATTAAGAGCCTGCCTGTGTCCATTTTTACTTCCTTTTGCAATTTTTTGAAATAGAATATATGTATAGAAAAATTCACTAAATGTAAATACGCAGCCCAGTGAAAAACAAATGTGCATACAATGCACCACTCATGTCAAGAGAAAAAATACCTCCACGTTCCCTATTAATCTTCTTTTAAAATTGTGGTATTTTCTTCAGCATAGATTTTAGCCTTATTTTGAATATTTTTATTGCATTACAATAAATAACATTTATCTGGATTACTTAGCTTTTTGATTCCCCCTTAAATTGTGTGCATGGCCTACATCAATAAGCCCTCACCAACCCCTCCTTTTTTCCCTCTGGAAGTAAGCGCTATCATAAGTTTTGTAATTACTTCCTTGCTTTTAAAAATAACTGCCACTTATGCATGCATCACTAAATAATGTAAATTAGTTTTGTATGCTGTCAAACTTTATGCATATATATCTGTGTATTTTTGTGCACATTGTTGCATTTTACTATATTTTGTCCATTTGATGGCTATATGACAGTCCATTCTTTGAATATACTGCTATTAATTCTACTAATTGGATATTAGGGTTATATTTATTTGGAGTTTTTACAAATAATATTCCCTGAACATTCTTATGTGTGAGAGTCCTGGTACACAATAACAACATTTTTAGGGTACGTAACTAGAAGTGAAAAATGCTCGTCATGAAGTTTGTATATTGTGAACTTTACTAGATACTATGTCCATTTTTAGTGAAATGAGATGGATTATAGATGAGATTTTTATTTTAAAAAAATTAGAATCTGGCACTATGCTCAGAGCTATCAATAAGGTTCCACTGAAAGAGAAAATTTTAGATTCAATAGAACCTAAAGTAATTAGTTTTAAACAGGAAACAATTATAGGATAATCATTTATTGCCCGCTTTTTATGTTGATTCATATTCAGCTCATTCTAGAAGCAATGAGAGTTTTCTGTGTGAAAGGACTGCCAAGTCAGGGTCCATAACACACCAAGTATATAGCTGCTGGCCTGTATAATTCTGTTGGCCTAAAAGGCATTTCCAACTTAATGCAGTTTTCTGCAATTAGTTCATTGAAACTGATGAATATCTTCACTGACCTAGTATAAAGGCATCGCAATCAGTTTCTGTGTAGTAACTTGGTTCTCCCATGGGCCTGATATACCACTGTATCTCAGGACCAGGCTGTGAATGCACAGAAGACAGAGGCTTCATTTTATTCATTTTCATGTTCTCAGTATCTAGTACAATATTTGTTACTTATGTGCTTTAAAAGTGCTTGCGAAATTTATTGAACTGAGAAACCAGTAGTGCTTGGTTTGAAACTCATCCTTAATTTACAAGATCAGAAAAAGAAAACTTTTCGTGAGGTTGTGTAATTTATTAACAAGGGCATTTATCCTCCTCTAAAAATATAAATTTGTCATGACCGATGAAAAACCAATTTCAATATTAAAAGCTATACCAAATTGTTATGCTGCCTGGCACCTAAAATCAGACTCTACAAATAATTTACAAAATTCAAATCTAATCCACTGTAGTATTCCCTCCTGTTTCCTCCACTCCTGACAGCACCCAGTATTCTGCCTTGTCTCCATGTTTGCCCAGACAGGGTGCCAAGTCCTCTGGGAGGAATGGCTGTCACTCATACCTCCTCACATACACACCAAGGAAGTTGGCTTATGCAGTCAAGTTTGGCCAATGTTGATATGGTTGAAAGGCCCGGAAAGCCTTTCCCCATTTCTTTTCCTATCTTTGTAGCATTCCTGTTCCTTTGCAGGTTTAATTTCTGTTGAGCTCAATGTTTTGCTCAACAAGTCTCTTACTATTCTCTAAATGGCTTTTAAAATGATCACAGAAGGAATTCACAAAATGAAATGCCTCGGGAGTTAATGGAATAATAAGTACTTTCCTTGTCTTAGATGCGGAGGTGCTTCCAACCAGGAGAATTAAGGGGAGAAGACAAGAGAGGTTTAGGGAGAGGACTCTCTCTGGGGAGTCTAAGTGCTGATGCCTTGTTCAAAGCTTCACCACATCTTCTTCTCAGTGGATGAAGGGAACCCAAGGAGGAAATTCACCTGAAAAGAATTCCCTGTGACACTTGGGTGTTTTTCCTGAGAAAAAGCAGACTTCCTCTTTTTTTCTTCTTCTACCCCACAGTAAGGAGGAGCTAGACAACTTTGGCAGGACATTACTAAGATTTGAATTTCTGTATTATCTATCATCTACATTCTCTAGATATTCTGCACTTTTTTTTGGTTTAACCTATAAAACTCTTCCCTAAGCCTCATATATGTTAGTAACTAATCATGGCAAGAGCTATGACTACAAACTTGTAGGTTCCTATCACTAATGTACCTTTTTTGGAACAGGAAGGTGTTTTCCAAAGAGTCTTTCTCGAGGTGCTAACATAATCTCTTAAAATCAGAGTCCAGGGTATTCTCTATATAGTTATGTAAGAATGAACAAAATTCATGTTCTGCAACTGGCCCATGTTGTGGAAAATAGACCTGACATATTTTTCAAGTACGTGTAAGACTCTGGAACTCTTTCAGCTTATACTTCAAAGACACAGAAGAGTAACTTTGGGAACCCTATTTAGATTTACATGCTAGAAAAATTTTTCCCTAAGTATTAGTTTGACAATGGTGACAATAAACCCACTGTCACCCATCTGATAAAGAAGACTTACCCTTTTCAATTTGGCAGCAGCCTCTCCCGAACGGATTGCAGTCAGCAAACTCTGTCGCATCTGTTCTGGGTCAGAGCTTTGGAATGTTAAAGAACTTTGTCTCATAACAGTGAATGATGGGCCATCAGTTGGAGTTGGTATTTGGGAATTCTGTTCATTATGTGCAGAGTTATTTTCCTACAAAAATAAATGTGAAATATTTATATGAATGCCAAGAAAAGAATGGGCCATTTTTTGCAAAACATTTTCATCATCAATAGTTCTTTAACAATCACCATTTGCCACACTGGTGTTTCAGACACAGCTCTGTTTCCTCACCCACTGAATTATCTCTGCTGCCAGAGCTAAGCTGGAAGATGAGGGCATTATTCTCTCTTGAACTCAGGAAGCCAAAGAAGAAAAGTGGTACCACTCTTTGCTTCATAAATACAGTGGTAATTTTATTGTTCTTGAGTTAAATACTGCTGACTTCACCAATACACAGAACTGGTTAGAAAAGCCAAATTAAGATTTTAAAAAATACTGCAAACTAAAAAATGACCCATTTTCATGGTTTCAACATACCAGGCTATGAAATTACTATTTTTAAATGAGCAAAACAGTCAAATAGACAATGTCATATTTGTTGAATCTAATATATCTTCTAATAAAGGAATACTAATTACTATGCTACACTTAGTAGCTTATTTTGTGTTTCTGGAAGTCACATGGACTAAGTGCTAATCATGTTTTATTTTTTGCCATGAGAATCAATATAAAAAATTAGGAACTTCCAAACTGAAGACTAAAAAATTTAATTACGCTTCTCAGGAAGGAATATTTAGTAACTGATGTAAGTGGCATATGTTATCAAGTAATCTTAAATGTCTTTTTCAAACTGCCAAATACGTATCTTTACCAAAAAATGAGCCAAACAGGGCTCAGGCAATGACTTAAAAGCTTTATTATCTAAACCAAGCTTCCATTGTTTAGGAATGGTATTCTATTCCAAGAAAAATCACAGGCTTTGTGCCCAAGTAAAGAATTAATCTTTGTATCATACTTCTATTCCTGATGCTATATCAAAGTAATAAACATAAATGTAAAATACATGAAAAATATTAAGATAAATGTTGTTATACAATTATGGAAAAATATTTACTTGGCAATATGGTTAACATTCTTTTGCTCTAGGAATGTTTGAAAAAGTAATATTAAATACTTCTGGAACTGTCACACAAATATGAATGTATTCTTTAAACACTATCAGAGTAAGAGTACACAAAGTATTTCTTTAAAATTGCATGAGGATTATCATAAATCATGCTGTGAATTTCATCTTCTCCTTTGACTCTATTATCTGAAGCTAGCAAAATACAACATTTAGTTGACCAAACACTAAGTCAACAACATTCCTTTATGGTAAATATTTAAGGTTAGATAGTGGTTAGATAACAGTTTGGTCAACATACATATTATAGTTGAAAGTTGACACTGAATTAACAAAATGGGGAATTAAGAAAATTACATTTTAAAACTCTGCTTTCAATGTATTTATATGTGAAAATGTACAATATATGCAAGCTGAAGTTGAGTGTATATGATGGAAATCACATAGCTAAGAGATGCTCAGTTATTTTGTCTAGCCTCTCATACTATTATTTTTCCATTTCATTAAGACTATTTCCTTTACTATTACATAGTAATGTAAAATTGGAGAATAAACCAGAAGATTTAGACAAGTTAAAAACAAATTAAGATAACACAGGAAAATAGAACCATTAACTAGTAAATATATCATACAAATGAGCAAAGAAACTTTAAAACATTTGCTAATGACACAATTATATAATGATGACCTTACAGTAATACCTAAACAAGTTATATAAGTTATAATTGTGAGCAAATAATCAGATTTTATGTATCACCACTCTCTTCACTACAATAGCTTAATTTCAGATGAATATGAGTTCAGAGTTAAGTAGCACACAAACATCAACATGCTTGTTAACCCCCATTAAACCATGTCATTAAATTTGAATACTTATTTTTAAAAAGGCTACAGTTACCTTATCAGACACACCAAGCTGTGGGATGTCCACAAATTTATTTACAGAATGAGTCTTCCCTTCCTCTGTGTTGGCTGGAGGTTGGACCAATGCACTGGCACTAGGTGACTCGGTGCGCTCTTTACTGAAAGACTGTGACCTTTTCACTACAGCAAGAGCAAACGGTGAAGGACCAGAACTTGAGTATGGTCGTGGGGCACCAAAAGTTTTCAAAGTCTTCAGATTTTGTGTGGATACCTGACTAGCAGGAATTGTCACAGGTTTTGGAGCTATGGGAGGAGGGGAGGCTTCAGCAGGAGCCTGACCGATGACATCATCATCAGTTTTTTCAACAAGGGGTTGTGGAACAGAGTGAGGCATTTTACTTAAGGGAGAAAGAGTCTGCTCCGGAGAAGGCAGCATATCCCTTTCTGCCTCTTTATTTGTCAGTTCTTTTGGAGCAGGATTAGGGGCAGCATGGACACTCTTGGCAGCTGCAGATGTCACATAGTGACCCGATACTCTCTTCTGCATCTGCAAAAAAAAAGAGCTGGGTTTGGCCTGGGCATTTGAAGCCCGAGATTTAAATTTTGATTCCAAAATATTGTTTATTTCTTCCAAATTTGGTGCAAAAGGAGCTGTGCCAGTGTCTCTTGTCATTTTGGGAGCAGGTTTCAGAGGACTAACCATGGCATCATCAGGTGAGCTCACAGAACTGGGCACTTGATGCTCTGTTCTCAGGTTAGGCTTCGGTTTAAGGTTTGGCAGTGGCTCTTCTGGGCTTTCAGAAATAGCAGAATCTTCTGTTTGGATGGCAGTTTCTTTCACATTCTCATGAGTGTGCTTTTTCCCTAAAGCATGCATGTCCTGATCATCTTTATACTCTATGGTTTCTGATTGCCAGTCTTTCGATATTTCCAAGGATTTGGGAGGCACTATTTTATAAGTAGTCATGCCAATTTTGGGTATATACTCTCGTGTAATTTCATTTGAAGGTTTTGGCTTGGGATTGTAGTCCTGTCTATAAAGTGGGTAATTCTTTAGGTAAGAAGCAGTGGAATTTTTGTCAATCCTATCTACAGGAGGCAAAAGATCATCATTACCATGTGCACAAATTGGATCTTTTACGGTAAGCGGATCTTCTGAATGTATAATTAGGGTGCCTTGACTCCTGAATTCCCTTGAGGTATTTACAGAATCTTGTGAACTTAAGCATGAGTGTTGAGTTGATATGTTGTTATTTGAAGTTTGCACACATTCTTCAACTTTGGAGTCAGATAAATTATGATCTTGGTGTTTCCCATCAAAACTGTTACAAGAAGGGGTTGTCTGAATTGCTGCATCTTTTGTCTTTTCTGCACTGGGTTGATTCAGTTTTTGATCTGGTACTGATGAAGCTGCTAGATGGTTTTCCTTGTAACTTATAGCAGTATCAGTTTCATGTGCCTCAGAGTTTGATGGTCTCTCAACTTCCATATCAATGTTGTTATTTTTGGCAACACCTTCTACATTGATTTCTGTTTTCTTCACTCCATTTTTCATATTGTCTTCTGTGTTCTCTGGATAGACAATTATTTCATTTTGAACTACTGAGAGAAAAAAATCATCAAGTTAAATATATGAAAGAAGTAGAAAACCTCAAGTTTTTAATGCCTACTTTCTCCAACCTGAAATAGTTTGGTTTGAATTCTACAGATAATTTTCAACTCACTGACTATATAAAGGTAGGTAGTAGCATACAGAGAAAACAGTACGTGCTTTGGATTCATACAGACTGAAGTTTGGAATCCCTGGCTTAACTAGTGTGGCCACAACATGTTAATTAACCCCTTTGAGCCTCAGTTTGCTCAGACATAAAAAGGTGAAAATATTTATATTATATGTGTATCATTTAGATAGCATGCTCATTAGTATATTGACCAGAATAAACACTCCATAGAAGGTAAATAAAGTTTTTACTTCTTAGAAGATGTCATTCAGTCATTGTTCATGACAAAAAATAGAAATTGACAAATTCAAAAACTGTATTTTTCCTCTATTTTGACTGTCTTTTCTATAGCCCCTAGCATATTTATATTTTCATACCTAACATTAAAAGGAAAAGAATCCCAGCAAATGCAGTTTTAATGAAGGCCTTAACAGAAAACATTAAGATTTATAGTAAAAACAGAATCTCAGTTGATTGTCTTGTTAACTAGGTATCTTTGCTGAAGGCTGTTAGAGGACTTTATTTTTAGTTATAACATGGGTGATTTCAATGACATGAAATCAGTCATAATGGTTTTGATTTTTCTCTGTTGGAAATAGGCATCCTTATTCTACAGTCAGAGTCAAAATCAAAGTAGAGAAAATAACCTTCCTCTCCCTTGCACTACTTTTCCTCTTGATTCTAATTCAGACCTCCTGAAAACAAAACTCATTTGCCAGTGTCTAGGTTAACAGAGCAACAGCTTCCAGTCAACAACATGATGGCAAAGCACTGGCAGGAGGCATGTGGAAGGAAACAGGGTTTGGAGTCTGCACCATGTGCCCAGTACCGAATTAAGTCATTCCTCTGCTCCTCTATTCAAATGCCCTGAAGAATCATGCTTCCTGCACCATCACTGTGCTTATCTTCAAAACCCTAGTGGCCTTTTCACATATGGCAATAGTTTGCACAGCACAAGTTAAATGTGAGCCTTGGGGGTCAAACTGTGAAATTATGTCAAGTTATTTCTCTATAGTTTTATCATTACCCACTATTACCTATAAGAATGAGATGAAGTACACTGCCTAAAATGTAATAAGCTATATTATATAGTTTCTCTCTTAAAAAAAGAAAAAGAAAAAAGATATGCATGCAGAAAAATATCATGTTAGGTAAATTTGTATACAATTTAAAAACATATCTTCACATTTTTAAACTCTGCCTGATTGCACAGTTATTTGGTTGTGGCAGTTAATATTCTATATTGTGTTGCAAGATTCCTATATTAAACATGTAATTTTAAAATGGAACTCATTTTTATTCTTCCCAGATAAAATGCAACTGAGTATCAGAATACGTACCATCTACTTAGGTGAATTCTTTTCTCAATGACCAATTATTATTAACTATTTTGATTTACAAAATTAAAGACCCATGTTCTTAGGAACCATAGAAGAGGCACATTTCTGCCTCTGCTCTCAATTTACTTGGTTCATAAGTATTTTTCAATGTTCATATGAAAAACACTATTTTGAACAGTTATAAGCATGAAAGAATTTAAGAAACAATCTCTGGCAGCAGGAAATGAGTCTAAATGTATTTCCTTCTTTCTTTCTTATTTCTAATTTTCCACTGAGTATATGTATTTCCCAGAAATATTTTCCAAAAGAAAGAAAGTCAATGTAAACATATATTTTAAATTGAATCCCCGTTTAAAAACCCTAATTTATTGGTTTTAGAATTATAAGTCTCTCTTTTTCATATTTTTGGTAGGTTACACCTACTTTACCATTGTCTAACTCTGAATTTCTTCTCAACATTTCATGATCATTTCCAGTGATTGGCAGTCCTGGAAACCCAGAATCCATCCTCATATACAACTGACAATGATGTTAACCAAGTGTTTATAAATGGCTAGATCATTTTCCAAGAATGGCCAGTAGAGGGAGAAGGTATCTTTTATACTATAGTGACCCTCTACTCAAAAGTGACACTGACATTGACAAACTTACAAGAAGGTGATTTAGATAAGGGTAGGTAAAAAGGAAAACAGAATAAAACTACTTTAAGAATAATAGACATTATTTACTTTAAAAAACAACTAGAGTTGACAAAAGTCGTAGCAAAACAAACCATATGCAAATCAAAGTACTACGTAAATGTACTTGTGACTCTGGCACTAACTTGACAACAAAAGTCTTAACAAAAATGATACAACTTGACTATTGTTTTAAAGAGAAAGAAGCAGCTTTTAAATCATAATTTCTCAATAGGAATGCTATTGCCATCACAGTACATGCTGTGAAAAACTGACTCAAGTGGAAAAGAATGAAAAAATTATTTGCTTTTAGACCTTCTCAGTATGATATCTCACAATGGTATTGAATGTGGGAGAAAATGAATCAGTAGCACACATAATCAAGTTAATGAACACATACCACACACATACAATTATATATATATATAATTATATATATAAGTATGACATTGCGATTATCTATGTCTTATTCAAATATGAATACTACATCCTAAGTTTTCTAAATATCTTAACCTAGTTTTCTAGATTAACATAATAGATTGGACTATGAGAATTCATAAGCCACTTCCTTCTTAACCCCTTAAAACACCATTGAGTATTTTTTGAATTTTCTATTTGCATAGGATTGTTTTTCTGAAATTCAATACTAAGTACATATTTTATGAGTATCTCAGGATTCTGTTAGGTGCCATGAGTAGTGCAAAGTATCACATGTAATTTATCTGATCCAAGACTGCCTAATTCAGTTGAGGAATCATAAATATAGAACCGCAAAGCTTCTAATAATCAAGTAAAAACATGAAATGATATGATTTGGATAAAAATTGAATGGGTAAAATAGATGAAAAATTGTCTTTCAGACAAAGACAACATGAATATATGCCTTATGATATAGAAATAAGCAAATGACATCATGAGAAAAAATAAGTTGTGCTAATATGAGGATGGGAACTGGGAAACAGTGGTAAATAAGGTTATATTATTAGATGATTTGGGCCTTGAAAAATCAGGCAGAAAAGTTTCATCCAAGGAAGTTAGATGGAAAAAAAGAGAAACAGATCGCAAATAGATACACAGAAGAAACATTTTTAAGATCCAAAGTCTAAATTAGATAATTTCTATGTTTTAACAACAAAAGTAGTACACATGGTAGTTAAGGGCACACTCTAGAGCAATATTGCCCCAGTTTAAATCCTAGGTTCACCACTTACCGTAGTAGTTGTGAGACCTCAGGTGAGTTATTTAATATCTCTGTGGCACAATCATCTGTAAAATGGAACTAAAAATAATAGTACCCATAATATCCATAAATGAGGTAGGTATTAAGTGAGTTACAGGAGATTAAATGAGTTAATACATATAAAGTGTTAAGAACTGTCCTTGGCACATAATAAAAGTAAGAAAGTGTTGGCTATTAATTTATATAACTCACCATTCTCTTGGTTTGGGCCCAACGACTTCAAGTTTCTTATACTGTCAACTACCTTCTTTCCATTGCTTGTATCATATACTACACTGTGTGGTTCTCTGGAAGATACGACATTGTATGTTATATGTTGATACTATTGAAACACACACATACACACACACACAGACACACACACACACAATGAGAAACAGGCAATAATTTCCAAAGACAGATGGACTAAAATAATCATTTATTTCTGCCAAACATCGGAAATTTAATAGCAGAGAAAAAATATAACTGAGAAGAAATGCTGCTATGAAACATTAGCTTTCATGTGGTGGTCCCATTAAAAAGAAAGAAGCTTGGTAAAATAGACACTTTTCCAAAATAGTGGCTTTATTTTGCTATTATCATTTATTTGCCTTTTAAAGAAAAAGGAAATTAAATGAAACATTTTAGTTTTTCATCTGGCAAGGTCAACTATATAAATAAGAATGTAGATTGACCTCACTGATCTTTTTTTCCCTTTGGTGGTAGAATAGTTTAATAAGGAGACAATCTCATGCAAATTATAATAAACGTCTGACATATATGGTTTATTTTGCTTGGTTGATTTCATCTTTATCCATGTTGTTGCATTTCAAACCTAAGTGGACTAGACTATAGCTGTCTGTTTCTAGAATAAAGCAGAAAGTACATTCTCTGTTTCATAAAGTTGACTGCAAAGATAATACTCGTGATTTAACATCATATTCTAATATGCATAATTGTTTTCATATACCAGTGAAAATCCACCAGGAATACTTGGTAAAAATTGAAAATTAAATATTACATATAGGTCACATAGGTTAACAGGCAAAACACCCACAAAAAGAAAAATTTTCATTTTTGAATCACACAAACTATTTCTCATGGTTTATCTGACACAGGGATATTAGAACTGTCACATTTGATTTTCTTTGAATGTAATTACATGCAAATAAGTACTTCATTAATAAACATTCTTATATAATGGTAAAAAGGATAAAGTCAAAACCAAAGGGCTGACTATATTTATGTTTAAAATATCAGATCTATATTTCAGAAGACTAGTATTAATTAAACTAACGGCCACCAACACTCCAGCACAGAGACTACTTACTGTCCATCTGTGCTTTTAGTTTCTTGTTTTTCTTCCATGGAGTTTTGTGAGAACTCTCCACTACCATTGCCAAGGGCTGAGTCAGGATCATTTTTCAGTGTATTTATTATATCAGTAGATACAAAAGGAATATCTTGTGACTTCGGAGAAATATTTTCAGCTTCAACTTTAGGCACTTCACTCAGTTCTTCCTTTTCATCTATCTCTTCAAGGCTATAATCAGAGCTTATTCCAGCTACAAAGAAATGCAGATATAATCCTAAATATTAATTTGCCTCATTCATCACATGCAATTCTGGCAAGGAAGGAATTTTGAAAAATAATAATTAGCTGGACTCTTTTAAATTCTGCCTCAAAAATAATAGTGAAGTTCTTTCTCCTGGTGAGCAGTCACGTTAACATAAAACCAGATTATCTCAGACTCATAATTCCCAAAACAATTTGCTATCACTCTAGGTTTTATTCATGGTAGAGACAAGAGGTTATTTAATCTCATAAACTTTAAGTTAAATATTTCATTTAAGAAATGTCTTACAATTGAATGGTTTTTACACTCATCCAGCAACTCAATAGTGCAAATTAAAGGCAAATTAATAATTTTAAAAGTGAAAATGAAAAGCACATGAGATTTTTGTATTGTCTACAAGGGCACTCATAAAATTTGACTCAATAGTTATTAGTACCAACTATACTTGAGAATTACCTGAGCCCCCTTTAAAAATATTGAGGCTCACACCCTACTCCACAAAATCAGAATCTCTGAAGGGTGGGGCAAGGGATTTTTAAGACTACTTAGATGATTCTACTATGCAACCTCAGTTAAAAGCCACTGACCTAGATGCTTAATTTGTGAAAATACAAATAGAGCAAGTATTGGACAATGAAAATTAAGTTTTATTCCTAACCAGTTTGATTCTCAGAGGCAACTTGCTTTAACAGTTTTTCCTGTATGTCCTGAGAAAGTGTAATATACATACATAGGCTGATAACCATACTCACGTTTCCTTTTGTTAGTTTATTTAATATAAATGGAAGCATACTGTAGCCACCTAGCTTTTTTTCCACTTACAATATCTTAAATATCATCCATATTAATATATATGTTTACACATAAATATTTTCAATAGCTGTGGTTAACATTTCACTGTATAAAAAAAATGTATTTTATCACCAACAACCAGTAGCCAGCAGGGTAAAAGAGAAGGAGGCATCCTGAGCAGTTAATGTTCATGCTTATTGTCAAGATTAGCCATGGAAGTAAATGTAAGCCAGAGTGAGGTTCTGGATTTTTGCTAAATATAATTAAACATTTCCATATACACCACAGTATCTGAATGAAATTTAATTTTATCCCAAGGCTGGGGATGTGGTGGGAGGGGGGGGCGGGGTGGGGAGGTGGTGTAGCATCCAATTATAGTAATCAGCACATTCAGAAAATTTAATTTAAATTTTTAACATAATTCAATATTTAAAGTACTTAAAATATATTTTTAAAATTTTATCTCTAAGTATACAGACAGAAAAGTGTGCTATTTGTGCTCTTTGAGAAATAAACATGAGAAATTTTAATGGTATTTTTATCATTAATAAAAATAGATTACTCAATAAAAAATATTTTAAAATTTAGGTTTAAGTGAATATTCAAATGTACATATTTTGGCAAATGATGCTTTATTATGATGTGAAATAGAAATAATGTGTCTACGATAGCATATTGTATCTATGTGTTAAGAACGTATTTATATAATTTGAAAACTCTAGGCTGGGCGTGGTGGCTCACGCCTGTAATCCCAGCACTTTGGGAGGCTGAGGAGGGCGGATCACAAGGTCAGGAGATCGAGACCATCCTGGCCAACATAGTGAAACCCCGTCTCTACTAAAAATACAAAAAAATTAGCCAGGTGTGGTGGCGGGCGCCTGTAGTCCCAGCTACTCAGCAAGCTGAGGCGGGAGAATGGCGTGAACCCAGGAGGTGGAGCTTGCAGTGAGCCGAGATCACGCCACTGCACTCCAGCCTGGGCAACAGTGAGACTCCTCAAAAAAAAAAAAAAAAAAATAATAATAATAATAATTTGAAAACTCTGTATTGAAAAAAAATGAAAGGCCATGATGGTTTAGATACAAATGTGTTTTTTAATTTTTATTATAAGGTCTTGCTTTGTCACCCAGGCTGGAGTTCAGTGGCATGATCATAGCTCACTGCTGTCTCAAAATTCAGGGCTCAAGCAATCTTCCACCTCAGCCTCATGAGTAGCTGGTATTTTAAGTGTGAGCCACCATGCCCAGCCTCAATTGTGTTTTCAAAGTGACCCCTCAGTATATATAAGCCAAATAGAAGAGAAGCTAAAATTCTTCGGAACCACTGATTTTATTTAACTAATCCACTCTGTTGTATTCATCTGTATGGTTGGGAAAAACAACAAACTCTACACCCAGATAAAATTTCAAGTGAAAAAGGGGAAACTTCTCTTTCTTTATAAAATATGTTTACACAAGGTTTCAATAGCTCATCAAATTTACAGTCGATGATATCTTAACCTGCCTGACACAAAGCACCAGCCAGGAAAGGCCTGACCACCTACATGTCAATGATGTTATGGCTGCCTCAGGTGTCCCAGGGCACTCAAAGACAGAGGTTTCCTCCATCAGTTTGGGCGCAGTGCACTGCTCCTGACTGGAAAGCCCAGGGTGAAAGGTTTCTGCCAAAGAAGTAGAATCTGTAGAAATGGCACTTAGACAACAGAGTTAAGGCAAGCAGAGACCAAGAAGCATTTTGGAAGAAATCAGATTTGTTAGCTCACAATTATCCATGCATTAAATAAGAAGAGGTAAAAGGAAAAAAACAAATGAAGAAAAACAGATATGAAGCAAAGTTTGAATAGCATGCACTCCTTTTTATAATATTTCAGTGACTTCTAATTTCACTCAACAGTTGTAATTGTTATTATTCAATACATTTCCTTTGTGGAAAAAAATGGTGCCATTTATATTATTCTGAGTAAAAGCTGAGAAAAATCATTACTAGTTATCTGAGAGTAAGATTTAAAATCACAGAGGAGTGAAGAATTCTTACATATATATGCTAAAATTCCAAATTCTTAAATACCACTTAAAGATGAAAGATTCAAGAGTGTTCCTCCTAAATGTTTCCTGTATTTGGAATATAAATTATAAAAATCAGGCGAGTCATATTAAGCATTTTTTATACTTACAGAATTATCCCCATGATAAAGTCCTAGCATAATCATATTCTATTTTTGGTATGATATTACTAGTCTATCACATTCATTGATGTCTAATAGTAACTCTAAAGATTAAAACATTTTTATCATACTTCTTAGAAAAGCTACTAAGTAGCTATTATTAAAAACACTGGAAAAGTATTACTATAAATTATGTAACTTGTAATGGAATTTTGTTTGGAAAGAATCCTAGAGGAGAGCCATATACTGCAACAGAAAACATTTTCATGGTAACAGATTTTTACCATTAGAGTAGGGTAACTTGTATGTTGAGTTCATACCTAGAACAGTTGCATCAAGAAATTGTGCTTACACTTTCCTGTAAGTTTTCTTCTGCACACACCAAGGTACATTCCTAATTACGGTGTGTCATTACACTTGGGAAGGAGGTTAATAAATGTTAACCTGATACTGCATAAAGGAAAGCAGGAGACCACATAGAAAAAGTACTCAAGGACAATTCCAGAACTGAAATTTTGATCTCTGCCAGCTTCATACTCTAATTGGGTTGAGGGGCAGAGGGGTGGGGGCAAGAATTTATTTCATAATAAAAATTTGGGAAATGAGGCCAAAGAATCTGTATCTCTTTCATGTACAAAGCATCGCAAATGGACTCATTTCTCAATTATCATGGACGTCCTTTTTCAGTAATTACACCATGTAGAATAAGGGTGTCATACCTGGGCTGGATAGCTCCTCAGGAGAGTTTGCTTCTGAAGCACTGTCTGGAGGAACTCCATCTACTGGCTGTAAGGCTAAAGGAAAGAAGCAACACAACTTATAAAGTCATATTCACAAATAAAACAATTCCTTAACAGTTTAACTTAGTTATATAGTTCAGAAAGCAGTAAGCCTTGCTAGAAGCCATTTTACTATCTAGCTGTAAAACACTAAAATCCACTTAGACTCCCTTTTCTACATACAGCTAATCCTGAAATGGCAGCATCTTTCTGAATAAATTCACAGATTATGACATGCTCATCTTAGGATAATGGAGCTGTATAATTTTGACACTTTATTTGGTGATGTTTCAGATTTTTAAACGGCAGCAAAGTGAGACTAATCAAGATGTATTTAAAAAGCCTAAGTATTATTTAAAAAGCATAACTTACATACCCATATCTTTCCTACTGTCCATATTAAACAAAACACAATACAAATGTAATGTTAATGAAACAACCACATTACCAGTCACACGACTATTTTCATCACTTTGATGCGGGGGTATTTTGGAGGGTGGGGAAGGTGCTTTTCGCTTTGTCCTTCTCAAAGATGAATTCCCTGCAGACATGCTGCTGAGCTGCAGTGAACCTGCCCTCACTCTTCCTGCTTCACAGGGACTCTGGAAAACAAAATGACCAAATAAAATCCTACATTTAGAAATCAGTAGCAAACTTTAGGAAGACACTGAACTTTACGTCAAGCACAGGATATATCCAAATGGAACATAACAGTCATTCCTTAAAAACGTTTATGAAGCATCTGCCACACACAGAAGCTGGGCTATGGGATAGATATGTAAAGAAAAATAAAATACGGCCTTTCTCAAGAAACTTGGGCTAGAATGGGAAACTGCCACACAAACAACTAACTGTAATGTAGAGGACTCATAAGTAACAGAGTTAAAACCTAACTTTTAAAGAAAAATCTGGAGACATTAAAAGGAAGGGATGAAAAAGGGAACATTATTTGTATAGTAGTATTTGGCTTGATTAAATCTACCTCTTTACAGCTGCAGTGTTTCAGTGAGGAACACTGCAAAAATCTATATGTCTACCTGAGGCCAGGTCCTTCAAGGTCACCTACTGCAAAGAGCTACTGCTCACACTCCTAGCCCGTGACTGTCAGCAGACCCTAAGACATCCTCCTTCAGCAGGGGTCAGTGCCTCCTGACCAAATGCCATGTCATCTTTGCTCTTTGCCTTTACCAAGAATGAATGAATGAATGAATGAACGAATAAATAACTATTTAAAAGAGTTGTTCAGGTGGCTCACACCTGTAATTCCAAAGTGTGGCTCACACACTTTGGAAGGCCAAGGTGGGCAGACCACCTGAGGTAAAGAGTTCGAGACCAGCCTGGCCAACGTAGTGAAAGCCCGTCTCTACTAAAAATAAAAAAATTAGCCAGGCGTGGTGGCATGTGCCTGTAATCCCAGCTACTCGGGAGGCTAAGGCAGGAGAATCGCTTGAATCCCAGAGGCGGAGGTGGCAGTGAGCCAAGATTGCGCCATTGCACTCGAGCCTGGGCGACAAGAGTGAAACTCCATCTTGAAAAAATGAATAAATAAACAAAAGAGTTGTTTGCAGTTTGTGTCTCCAATTTCTCTTATCCCACTTGAATCCTTTCAATGATACTTTTCCCAGCCTTTGATCCATTAAAAGGATTCCTATCAAAGTCACCAAAGACCTTGACTATGAAGAAATCTGTGGCCACTTCTCAGAACTCACTTATGAGACCTATTAGCAACATTAAACAAAGCTGACCACCCTCCTAAAATACATTATTTTTCTTCCAGGAGACCACATTTCTTACTCTCTATAGATCCGTACTCTCTGGCTACTCAGTTTTCTGTGTCTGCTTCTCTTCATCTCCTGATCAACACTGGTGTGACACAGAGTGTGGTCTGTGAACACATTCCATTTAGTATCTCTGCTCCCTCTCCAGAGGATCTCATCTATTCTCTTTATGTATTATTTGCATGCTGATGAATTCCAAATCCACGTCTCTATCTTGGACCTCTGTTCTGATCTCCCCTTAATGTCTGAAGCCTCTTCAATTTAGCATGTCTAAAACTGAGATCATGATGATTCCTCTTTATCCCTCTGCCACATCCTATTCTCACAGCCTTCCCTGTCTTAGTAAAGAACAAGTCATCCTTCCATTCACCCTCATCTTGTATCTGTCACATCTCACACTGAGTCAACCCTTTTTTCCCTTCCCTTAGAAGACATCCAACATCCAGCTTAACTGCTACTATGTTGTCTGACTCATCATTAGGAAGTACCTAATTAGACTCCATCTCCACATTGTTTCCCTATAGTCCTTCAACATAGCAGCAAAAAGAATCTGCTATCTTTAAATAAGATCAGAAAAAAGGATCCTATTAAAATGTAAGCCAGATTAGGTAACTTTGGTCAAAACCCACTAATAGTTCCCTTTATAAGTCCATTAACAACCCGGTGTCTAGCTTTCTCTGGCCTCTCCTTTGGTAATGGAATGGCTCACTCCACTCCAGCCACACTGGCCTCTTTGCTGCTCTTCAAATGTGCCGGCAGAGTTCCTCCATCACAGGGTGGTCACCCTTACTGCTCCCTGTGCCTGGAATGCTTTTTCTTCTGATAACTCGGTGTCCCTTCATTTTCTTCAGGCCATTTCTCAAAAGTCATTTTTTTTTTTGAAACAGAGTCTCACTCTCCACCTAGGTTGGAGTGCAGTGGGTGACTTGGCTCACTGCAGCCTCCACCTTCCAGGTTCAAGTGATTCTCATGCCTCAGCCTCCTGAGTAGCTGGGATTTCAGGCATGCAATATGACACCTGGCTAATTTTTGTATTTTTAGTAGAGATGGGGTTTCACCATGTTGGCTAGGCTGCTCTCGAACTCCTGACCTCAAGTGATCTGCCTGCCTTGGCCTCCCAAAGTGATGGGATTACAGGCATGAGCTACCATACCCGGTCAAATGTCATCTTTTCAATGAACTCCTCCCTGACTCCCAACATTTCTTATCCCTGCTTCCTAGATTTATTTCTATGATGAGCATTTAATTGCTCTCTAACATACTATACAGTTGACTTATTTGCCTTGTACATTGTCTGCTCCCACTGGGGTTGACCACAGAGGCAGAGATTTTTTTCCCCTACTATTTCACTCACTGCTGTATGTCCAGAACCATGTCTGGCTCACAGAGGGTTCTAAGTAAATACTCCTTGAATGAATAAAAAAATGAATGATATGCTGCCATCTTCATTTGTAAATAAAAGACCTTGACATACTCAGACCAGGGGCACGTGTAAAGCTTGGGGCATTCTAGTCTTACAAGACAACGTAGGTACCTCTAAGGGAAGTGAACTAATTCATAAGATATTTTTCAGTCTTTATGCCTTGCTACACACCAAGAAAAATTTGGCAAATTTACTATTTTGTAATTTTTTAATATACCTGCCAGAGAGAAAGGGAAGCCTGCCCCCAAAGAAAAGGGTTTGAGTTAGCCATGCTCTTTGCCAACTGTGTTAGGTACTAAAGAGGAAGGCAGGTCACTTCAACAGGGAGAGAAACATTTAGGTCTACAGTGGCAGGAGCTTCACTGAACAAACCTCTCATAAACCCACTAACTGTGCCTCATAACAGGGGGGTGCGACAAGGTGGCACCAGGGAGATTTTACCAACAGTTGAAATGTTAAACTTCTCTCCTACTAGTTGGTAAAGAGCTGCCTCCAACCCCATCCCATTACTCTGATTCCTCCTCCAAAATTCTTCAGATTTCTCTATAATCCAGCAAGAAATGAGTTAAAGCCTGCCACCCAAACTCAGATTCTGTCTCAGAGTCACTGAAGTCAATTCTGACTAAATATTATGATCATCCTGACTGGGGTAGGCATGGGGGTGGATTCTCAATGGATGTTTGAAATAATTCAAAACAAGGGCCCGCTGCAACAAAAAGGTAAGAAAGAAGTGCACCAAGGAGTTGCCAGTATTTAAATATTGTTTTGAATAGAATATAAAGGTTAAATAGAAATCTTTCTACTGATAATGCCCTTCTGTTCTAAAACTTTCCCTTGATATCTTAAGAGTAACACATTTAGGAAACATCAGAAAAAAGGCCAAAAGTTCTCCCAAAAGAACATGGCCCTTCACTTTAAAAAAATAATTGTCTACAAATCAAAAGCAGTAGAAGATGTGATTTTATTTCTCGGATTTACTTCTGTAAAGCCCTATTAAAGCCATGCTCCACTCCTATGGCAGATCTAGTTTACCAGTAAGAATGCAACAGGTGATCAATAAGTGGTAGCTTAAAGCATGAAGCAACAAGAGCATTTGATTTTCCTCCCTAGTTCCATGTTTCCCTTGTTTCAACTGATTGCTTTCATGAGGTGTATAATAAAAATGTGTTCACCTTTAGGTCACATTCCTAATCTTTGTCACTTACTGGTCTTTTCCATGATAAAAGCAGCCATGACATGAATTTCTCAATGAGAGTATCTACTTGGGAGTTAGAGCTCTTATATTTTGGTTATAATAAAGCAGACAGTATAGAAATAAAAATGGAGGAATATACACAGACTCACAAATTTTTATGAGCCTATTCATAACTAAAGACAGAATAACCATAGACTCATATATTTCATTATTCAGGCTAGAGGTCTTAAAATAAGCTAGCTTTTTGTAAAACAGAGTATTTATATTTTTATGGATAAAGAATTTAAAATTTGTCAAAACAGACATATTTCAGTTTTATAAATGCTAAATTTTTTTCAACAGCATTTATGAAGATAACTGGGGGAAATGCATATTGAAAACACAAAGCCATGGACATCAGGGGAAGCATTTATTTTACAACCCTATTCTGTGACATTCACCACCCTTACCATGTTGTGCATGGGTATCATGATGGTAAATGGATATGCATTACTAAAGCTGAAATTTGAATTAAAGAGGCTAAGAAAAAAGACATTGGCTGGGTGCCGTGGCTCACGCCTGTAATCCCAGCACTTTGGGAAGCCAAGATAGGTAGAATATCTGAGGACAGGAATTTGAGACCAGCCTGACTAACATGGTGAAACCCCGTCTCTACTAAAAATACAGAAATTAGCCGGGTATGGTGGTGTGTGCCTGTAATCCCAGCTACTTGGGAGGCTGAGGCAGAAGAATCGCTTGAACCCGGGAAGTGGAGGTGCAGTAAGCCAAGATTGCGCCACTGCACTCCAGCCTAGGCAACAAGAGTGAAACTCCATCTCAAAATAAATAAATAAATAAATAAAAATAAAAAGACATTAGAGGAAAGTGAACATGATTGTCACTAATTGATACGACGTACAATTATGTGGTCTGTCATAACTGGAACTTACGCTGTTAATAATGGTTAAAACTTATTAAAGTTGAGGACAAAATGTAAATTTAACAACTGGTATAAGTCGTGCAAAGGCAAGAGTTTTGAAGAAATAAGAATAGTGAGTTTAGATAATAACCAACAGATTAATGAAGGACAGAAATGTAAATTTTCTTTTGAAATATGAGTAATATTCATATTAACATTCAAGGAAATAGCTTAATATATATATTTTTTGTTGTCATAAGACACAGAGGCAAGAGGTTTTATGAAGACTCTTGGAAAATAATTTCAATTATTTAAGAAATTGCCAAGGGAAGTTAAGATAATAAAAATCAAATAAAAATCAAATTGTGTGTTAACTAAAACATCACTCTTAACACAAAATGGAAGAACAACTGGGACTTGAGAAAGAGATGTTCTACATCTACTAAAAAACCTTCTCTTGGGGAGGCGCGGTAAAGTCTGCAGGAAAAGAAGGGACATTTAAGTTAGGAGACTTCGATATTTCTAAATAGACTGTAGCCAGGAAAGCACATGTATACACTGGGATTTACAGAGAATATACATATCTAACATGCAAGACTGGAGAGGCTCCAAACCCAGGAATGACTAATGCTAAAAGCAGCCTTACTAAACTGCCACAGCATTTAAGTAATATTTAAGTAATACACATCATGAATTTAGAATGCTGAAAAATTAAATTAAATTAAATTAAAAGGCTGGGAAGACCACTGATCCCTAAGCAGCAGCATTCTTTTTTTTTTTTTTTGGAGACGGAGTTTCGCTCTGTTGCCCAGGCTGGAGTACAGTGGTGCGATCTCAGCTCACTGCAACCTCCGCCTCCCGGGTTCAAGCAGTTCTCTGACTCAGCCTCCCGAGTAGCTGGGATTACAGGCAGCCACCACCATGCCTGGCTAATTTTTTGTATTTTTAGTAGAGATGGGGTTTCACCATCTTGGCCAGGCTGATCTTGAACTCCTGACCTTGTGATCCACCTGCCTCGGCCTCCCAAAGTGCTGAGATTATACGCGTGAGCCACTGTGCCCGGCCAGCAGCAGCATTCTTAAGCTGTATTTTCTTCTGTGCACTTTAGGAGTATGCTCCAAAGAGTCTCCCAATAGTTCTGCTCTTGCATTCATCAGAGCTAAACTACCCACTATTTCTGAATCTGAATTTGTCTAGTTGGAGAGAGGCTTACAGAGAGTTTGCAAGGTAGAAGGCGACCCACTACAATGATTCCCAAAGAAATGGGTTTTGGAGTCAATACAAGCGGTTGAACCAGGAAACATGCCATTTATTGTCTCTGTGACCTTCGGCCTCCTCATTCATGAAAAGGAAAAGTACTAGCACCTATGTCAAAAGGGGCTGGGATACTTAAATGAAATATTATATGTAAAATACATAGCACAGTGCCTAGCATACAATACATGCTTCATAACCATCAGCTGATATTATTACATGCAATTTGTCTGTTTTAAAGTACATGAAAGTGTTCTGCAAATAAAATAAGAATTATAGTTATACAGATGTTGGAGTAAAAAGCATAGGTAAAAGGAGGTATTTAAGATTGTACTCTCTGGTGACTGTGTTGGTAAGAGTCCTATTGGAATCAGTCTCAGTAATAATTAACCTTAAAACTCAACAGTGCCCAATGTTCAGGAACCAATGCTTAGTCTACTGTATAAACATTCATTGTGGGTCTAAAAATCTCCACCTTTGAGTCAACTCAGGTCTCTTCAACATACTTTAAAGGACTTTAATAAAAGTTAAATATTTAACACTACTTTGTTGAATCAGTGATGAATTCATGGATATGTATTATAGTACATACATTTGAAATGTCTCATAAGCAAATTTAATGTGAAAAATTAAAGAACCATTTATAACTGTCTTCAGCTTTTACTACCAACAAACATTTACTTTGTTCAAATTATGACTACATTTTAAAAAGTGGTAGAGATTAAAATTTATTAAGTCTAAAGGCTTTACAAAATGAGAAAACACAGAGGTTTCTACTTACTAGGGGAAACTGCTTTGGTTAATCATTAGAGATGTTCAATTATTTACTTTAGTTAGAGTCACTGATAAGTCTGCTTGCCATTAATGAAAACTGCACTTCTAACAGGAATGCACATCACTGAATTTTATGGTCTGTAAAAAGGAAAATACCACAAGGAGAAACAGAATCTACTAATGAAAGTGGCAAGGTCAGGTTGAAAACCATGCCAGATTGTTAATCCCCCAGAATTCACACCCAGATCAGAATTTCCTGATTCAAAATCCAACTAAATTTAGCTGAAGAAAATAGAATCAAACGGCATTCAAGAGATTTACTGAATACTTGCTCTGTACTAGTTATTAGATCACTTATTAATCATAGTTGAATTATAAAAAGTGGGTCATTGAAATTGACGTATCCTGGATTAAAGAGTTAAATGAAAGAATACATATGGAAAATAAAAACACTCAGGGGATAGAAACATAGAGGCTCAACTTCAATAATGTTAAATGTTTCTAATAGAATCTGTTGGTTCTGTTTATGATTTTCACAGGTGGAAAAGGGTGGGGTTAGTGGAGAGAATGTAAACAATCCCTTGAAATTGTCTTAAAACTCATGTTTTGTTTTTCAAGGGACAGACTCACATTATTCTTCTCCAACCTGGACATTCACAATAAACACTATTAAATAGTATAAAATATCTTATAAATTGACATTAATTTATGGTATTTGCTATTGTGTCCCAATAACTGAACTTTTCATATATCTGAGGGTCAAGTTTTAACTCTTAACTCTTGATGGAAGAATGTTAAAAAATTTTTACAACTTAGACAAGCAAGTCAATTTTAAAGTGTCATTATTATATATATTATTATTACACTATAATAAATGTAATTTAGAAGAATGAGGTCTTGTATTGAATTTGCAAAATAAGCTGTGAGTTTTTATCACAATTAAATCAGTTTTATGGTTGATGTGATAAAATTAGCTCAATCTCACAAGACACAAATAATGTATATAATGATGAGGAAAAAAATCACTAAATCCCAAATAAAAGTCGCCTCATAGAAGTTTTGGTGTCCACTGTTATATGTGTATCTTTTTACACCTGTATATACATGATGCACATAGATACACACACACACGTGCATGCAAATTTTGGCTTGTATTGTATGAAAGCATACTTGCCAGTTTCTTTGTTATATTATTGTGATTTGTAAAAATAAAATGTTATCTTTTGGTGGGGTGGGGGAAGTTTATTTCTGATGTCCTGTATCTCCCTGTGCTACATCCTTTTCCTCTTTGGATGGCACTTCCTCCACACTCCTGAAAATCTAGGGCTTATGCATTCTATTTTCTTATTCTCTATATAAACCTGTTTTAAGATTCTTCACTGATGGCATAGAAAATCTTAGCCTGCCTAGGTTTTGTAGATTAAGAAAAGTCATATAACATCAGAGTGAAGGGGTATAAGGAATAGAGGTGGCATGTCAGATCCCAGACAACTATAATAACGAGAGAAGAAATAGGTCAGCAGTACCAGGGCCTGGAGCTCTTACATCTACACTAGGCCAGCTATCACTATGTGGACAATTTTAATGCTGCTCCTACCAATCTGCTGAAATAAATATTATGAGAGGAAGCAATGAGGTTACAGCTAGGTTCACTTATATGTGATCTAAATACCACCACCAACAGTAACTTGTACCTTTTTGGTTAATAAAATTAAACCCATTCAGGGGATTCTGAGTGGCCAAGCTTGCCACTAGATTTCTCTTAAAGTCATCTACTTTAAAACTCATTATTAGTCAATGGTAACATGGTTACCATGGTTAACAAACTCATTAACCTAAGCATGTCGTCATCAAATATCAAGTCTTTTACCTCTTTTTAGTAATGCAATACCTATGCAATTGTGTTAACTTTTGTGTTACAGTCAGGAGTTTGGGAAGAAAGATGTCAGTCAATGTTTTATTTTGTTATTGTACTTTAAGTTTCTGAAATCCTCAGAGGAGTAATGCCAGGATTAGACACCGTCATCTCGTTAACGTTGATCAAACCAAAACAAGCACGTTCATCTGTTAGAGGCCAATTTTAAAAAATAGCAAAATAGCATAATTTTGTAATACTAGAGTTGGAAGAGACTTTGGGAAATTTAATTACACAATCTTATTCTACAGAGGAGAAAACTAAGTCATAGAGAAGTTCAGCAAAGGTGAAGGAAAAAAAATGACAACGGCAAAGAAGAAGATAATAGACCTATTAGTAGAATTCAGGAGTCTCTCTCTCAGGCCAGGTCAGGACTTCTTCTTTCCAGCCCTTGTCTAGGCACAATAGAAAGAAACACACACACACACACACACACACACATTAAAAAATCCCATGTTATTCCCCTGTAAGTTTTTTCCATTTGTCTTCCTGAGGCAATCCGTGCTTTCATCAACCCTATGATACTCTGATAAAGTATATAAACTAAGTCTTACTCATGATAATCCTCTGCATACAGCATTTAGTAAAAGCCCAATGATGAGGGTCTAGCTCAATGGTACATCTTGGATGAAAAAAAAAAAAAAAAAAACCAGGATGAACCACCAGAAAGCAGAGCTCAGGATCAAGTTTAAAAGACAGGGAATGGTGGTAACCATGATTCCCTGTGATCACAGTGATGAGGATAGAGGTGTTTTTAGCCACAGGGTAGGAGAATGTGAATAATCTAGAAGTTAACCGAGTTTAGGACCTATACCAGAGTGAAGCTACAGTCAATCAAACAAACTGGGGCCAACTCAGTTCATCCAGAAAGGCAATTAAGGCTGGGAGCAGGCTTATCCCAGGGACACCTTAAGGTTATCACTGTGGCTCCAGAAAAGAGGCCTGCTTCTATCTGCCCTGGCCTCTGTTAACACATGCTGGTTACCAGAGAAATGCAAATCTTCCCATGAGGTCACAAACATCACAGAGATAGAGAGGCTAAGTAAACTTCATACTGGTAAAGTAAGCCTCCTAACAGTAATTATTTTCAATACTATTTTATTAACTCAGCATGTTATTTTAGAGAGGTACGACTTTTTACATACTAATAGACAAGAATGAGAAATCCATATTAATTCCACAAATGACCTACTGCTCTTTGAATAATATATTTTTCCTTAAAGTTTAACAACTTATTAATTCCTCATAATTCATAGTTCTTTTAGGCTAAAACTGTCAGAAACCTAAAATGTAATGGCCCAGAGGGTTGTCATAAGGATTAAATAAGTAATGTTCTTAGAGCCTTGTCTGAAACATTAGTAAGCATTATATAAGCATTCACCATTGCTTTTGTTATTGTGATTATGACCCTTTGAAAATCTGATGAAAACTACAGTGGCAAAGTATGTATTATATCTAGGAAAGCCTTAAAAAGGGGAGCAGATTAAATATTATACTGTGTTGGTACATTTCTCTACTGAATGAAACCAGTCATATTTTTGGAAGTATAGACAGCTGTATTCTGTACAGCAAACTGCAAATGCCATGGTAACCACTGTTCCTAGGCAATTGTAGAATTATGCATGGTGGTCCACTTTCTATATAATAAATATAAGAGGAAAATGGAGGGGAAAATAAAATATAACAACCTGTGTAAAAATCTAAAAAGGGGGATGTTTCTTAAACATTGCAAATACATACTCTATTACAACAGAGGGTACAACCTTACATACTCTATGTAAAATAACTAGGATTAAAATTAAGTAAAATAGCAAAATATGTACCTGTACATTTCATAAGTATATGACAATACATCATCTTATCTGCTTATAAACCATGATATATATTAGAATATAAAATTGCATAAAAGATGAATAATGTAAAACATTTAAAAAATTAAGTCAGTTATTTTAAAACTAACACTCTAGGTATTAAATTTCACTTGCATAATACTAGATGGCAAAGAGTTTCCGTTTCTCAATAGTTGAGTGTTTGTCTGAAGCAGGATGCAAAATGAGATAAAATAAAATGCCCAGTGAAGATCATTTCTTACAGTGTTTCCAGCCACAATGTAATATCCCAGAGAAAATGATGTGCCATCCCCGTAGCCAGGAGAAAAATTGATTGCTGTTGTATATCCATCATTCCAAGCAGCAGTCACACCAAATGTGCCAAATGAAAAATTCTCCAAAAGGTTCTGTGAATTCTATGGGTCAAGATTACCAAATACTTTTCCCTGACTCTTCTTCCACTTATTCAAATGTAAAATCAGCTTATGAGGCTAATTTGTCAATAAGACCAGAACATCCTTTGGCCATTGATTTTATTAAATGTGCTCTTCATAAACTCTTGGTCAGCAGATACGGTGCAGAAACTAGATTTCTGAACTTAGATTTATCTGAGAATTCTAAGTCACTTTCAATTTAAGTCAATGTAATCGAATTTCTGACTTCCCATTTCACAAATGACAATCTTATCGTAAATAACTGTGTACATTTTATATAAGAATATATGTTATATGGTTCATATAAATAAAGCATGATCTATTATATGTCTTGTTGCACAAATGGCATTTCAAATCATCAGGAAAAATCATATTTAAAAAATGCTCAAAAACTACCAAGAAATACTGCCAGAAAATTTCTAATGGGAAAGTTTTCTTTTCAAATGAACATTTTCATAGAAGATGATATATTCACCTTCATAGGAAAAATGACATGAGACTTGAAATAATGTGAAAGAGGGTACATAGAAATTTAGGGATTTGAAAGGATACTGCAGCAATAATAGTAAAATATGTGTTCTTCAAAATGTATTCTTTAGATGGAAAAAATAATTTTAGATGCAGAAATATTCTAAGAAAGCTTGGGTTAAATCATTTGCTAACTTGGATCTTTGCTATCTCGGCTAACTTTGAATAGTCTTTGGAAACTGCACAGTTAGTTTGTCAAAATTAGCTCAGCAAATCAACAGCCTTTTATGTGAGCATTTTCAGTATAAGCTCTAAAAAAACACCATCCATATACTTTAATTTGCTAATATTGAGAAATATCTTAGAAGAATGAGGCAAATTATTAAATATAGACAGCCAAAAAATATAAAATAAATGTGGTTGACAAAATTTTTCCTAAGCTACAGATTTACTGACATCAGTAAACCTTGACTAAGGCAAACATAGTTTCTGTGGCTCTTAAAAGAACAAGAAAATGCATTAAAAACTCAAAATGAATAAAATTGCTAATTATAAATCCCTTTGTCATGTGTTACTGACATTTATCTCTCTAGCTTTATTTACCCGCATGAATAAGCATTTTCTACTTCTCATGCAATGTAACTATTTCCAATATTTTCTTTCTGCTTTATTAAAATGTGCTTTGGAGAAAAAAAATGGAAAAATTAGAATACTGTACTTCTGTCAAACAGCGCACCCTTGTGGTTTATTTTGTATCCTGAACAATAAAAATTAAATAAAAGTGTCTAAAATTCACATACTTAGAACCAATTTGGTCATACATATTTTTCTTCCAAGTTATGTTTTCCTCAACATGCTATCATTTTCAATCACTAAAAATAGTGATATTTTACATTTTCAAATTGAAAACTAAATTGTTAAAATAGATACAAACGTTTATAGTGATAATGACCATCTTTGATTTTAAATTTAAAACAAGCAAGCAGTGAAATAAGTATGATTCACTTGTACGTTCATATGTTTTGCTGAATTTCCTGAATATTTGCATCTGGCTATATAAACCACATTTTTACTATTTTAAAATTCATTATTATTTTTTAAAGACACAGTCTCACCCTGTCACCCAGGCCGGAGTGCAGTGGTGAGATCACAGCTCATTGCAGCTTTGAATTCCTGTGCTCAAGTGATCCTCCCACCTCAGCCTCCTGAGTAGCTGGGACTGCAGGCACACACCAACATGCCTGGCTGATTTATTTTATTTTATTATTTTTTGTAGAGGCAGGGGTCTTACTTTGTGGCCCAGGTTGGTCTTGAACTCCCGGCTTTTAAGTGATCCTCCTACCTCGGCCTCCCAAAGTGCTGGGATTATAGGCATGAGCCATCAAGCCTGGGCTATAAACAATTTTAATTCAAGGATCAATTATATTTATATGCATTATGCAATGTACAGTATAGTTTAGTTGGACCTTAAGTTTTCAATATAACCTTATCTAAATTCTGGCTTTTCTATAAAAGCTTAAGAAATATATTGCTAAAAATTACATGGTCCAATTACCATAAAAGTAAATGTAAGCAATCTTTAAGTTAACCACGTACTTCTGAAAATTTACCAGATATATGAATGACATACTAAAATTTTACGATATAAGTGTGACACATTCTCATTGTATATACTATACCTGGCTATGAAAGCAGTGATTAATGTTTACTTATCAATTCTCTTGAACACCTACCATGTTACAGAATTTTGCTGGAGAACACAATTCCTGCCTTCTGGGTGGGGAAAAGAAAAAGGTAAAATTTAACAATGCTGCAAGCATTAAGCCATAATACAACCCTAAAGTTTATCTTTAGAGGATGAGGTAAGTAAGTCATGTTATACCCATCAATTTAATATTATTCAATCCTTCGAAAAGGGAAGCCCTTTATGAACTGCTAAGAATATCCAGAATAAATAATTCCATACCAAGAAGTAAAGTATAACATGCATGTAGTATATGGCCACCTGAGGAAAAAAAATATTTAGCATGAATATTGGTTTTAATATGCATACATTATCTCTGGAAAGACACACAAGAAACTGTTAACAGTGGTTGCCTCTGGGCAGGAGAACTTGGTGGGGGATAGGGAAGGAGAATTTTTACTGTATTCCTCTTTTTATCTTTAGAATAACATATAAAACCTATACATAATGCAAATTAAGAGAAAATAAAAAGGGACAAGAGGAACAAATTCAGAGAAGGTAAAGATTATTCTGCGCTGGCATCTTCAGAAAACTCTCCATGAATCTGATAAAAGAATGGACATCCTTTGGATGGGTAAGTAGAAATGAAGAAGATGGAAGTGGGGCCATTCCATTCTGAAAAGATACAGAACACAGGATTTTTGCATCAGCAACAATAAGTCAAATCTTCTGGTTAGAGATAGAAGTATCCTATCCTATCAATGAGGAGGCATTAAAAAGTTTAAAAGTAAAATTGTAATCATTCTGTAGAGGATCTTGGATGCCCAGAAAAATGACAACAAGCTATGCAAAATTTCTGAACTGAGAAGTGATAATTAAGAAATACAAATGCAGCAGCTTGCCACGTTGAGAATTTCAAAGACACATTAAGTACTGGTTTTCTCTTTATACTCTGTCCTGGATTTCTCTACAAAAGATGTCAGCAGAGGGAATAAAAGACATCATGAAGGGAGACTGAATGAAGGATTTGTCTCTAATTAGATGTAAAAAGAAAAAAAAACAAAGATGAACTTGAGCTTTTCAGTCTGGTGAAAAACAATGATTCGGATCTTAAATACGTCTTCCAGGTAGTCATGAGTCAATAGCAACTGTGAATTCAAATTGCAACTGGAAGAATACCGAGACTGGAATTACGAAGTTGATGTACAGTTTCCTAGGGCTGCCCTAACAAATTACTGTGACTGGGTGGCTAAAAACAACACAAATGTATTCTTCCACAGTTCTGAAATACAGAAATCTGAAATCAAGGTGTTGGCGGAGTCATGCTCCCTTTGAAGGCATTAGGGAGAACCCTCCCTTGCCTCTTCCAGCTTCCACTGACTCCTGGTAATGGTTCGCTGTGGCAGCATAATGCCAATTTCTGCCTGTCTTCACACGACCTTCTCTGTGTCTCTCTGCCTGTGTGTCTCCTCTTCTTATAAGGATACCTGCCACTGGATTTGAGCCCACCTCAAATCCAATATGAGTTCATTTCTAGATCCTTAAGTACATCTGCAAAAATTCTATTTCTAAATAAGGTCAGAATCACAGGTTTTGGAAGGGTTAGAGCTCAGACATACCTTTTGCAAGGAACATATTCAAACCACTACAGTTGAGAACCATCAGCCCACAAACTCAAAAAAGAAGAGATGTCTTCTCTGAATAAGTGCAGAAATATAGACCAAGACCATGGATTTAGTACCTCCAAATTTAGAAAATGAATAAAAGAAACAGTGACAAGAAAAAAAAAATAGAAGAGGGCTGAGATATAAGAAGAGGTTCAAGACCAAGGAAGAAAAAGACAAATCAAGACCAAGGGGGTAATTAACCACATCAAATATATCAAGAAGTTAGTTGCAGAGATGCCTAGGAAGGTATGAATTTTTGTGTGCACTACAGCTTTATCACTAAGAATTTTTGCAATGAATAAATAAAAAATGGTTCTTCAGCTTCTCTAGGGAAAGACAAATAAGTCTGGGTCCTACTGAACAATACATCAAAGAACTATCCAGATGTCCAGATCAAAAGAAAAAATAATTAGAAAATTGTATAAAGATGTGTAGTTTGCCAAAGGCAACATACTAAAAAAAAAAAGATTACTTAACACAGGGGCAGCAACTGGTCACAGAGCAGAGGGAGAGAATCAAAAGAAATAGCTTTCAGTGAGGTCACTGGTGGCACAGCCCAGAATTTTAAGAAACAGACTATTAGAAAGACAACATAGACCTCTTGGGGAGCCAAGTACAAAGGAAGTTTACTGAAATAGATTGGATGAGGACAGCTGGAATAAAGATTTGTGAGCATGGGCTAAAGTATATTTCTATATATATTAATATATGCAAAAAGGTAGCTACTCAAGAGTATAATTTACACTCTTCTATGATACAACAACCCTAAAAATGCTACTTCTTATTGTGAATAAATTTAAAAGGGCTACAAGCACAAAATAAAGTCTTTGGGACCCTGACTTGACCCCTGCTTACCATGCTTAATTTCAGTCTCTGTTTCTTGCTCATGTCCAGGCAAGCCATCGTGTTCACATTCCTGCGTCTCTTAACAGGGTTCCTTGGCCTAATGCACTCCCACACATATTTTAAGAGTGAACTCAAGAATCATCTCTCCGTGAAGATTCTCCCAACTCTCAAGCAGTTACCCTGCAAATTCTTTGTCAGTATGTGACTCTATAACTTGACAAAAACATTATCCTCCTGATTTGTGAGATTGGATGAGATTTTATAAGATGAGATTTTATACCACAAATACTAAATTAGACAAGAAAGTCTTCATAGAAATAAGAAACTTAATAGATAATTTTCCAAGTACTGAGGTTAAGCATTTTCAAAATTCATTTCTATCTCTTTGAGTTGCATGTATGATAGCCTATAAACTACATTTTAAAACTATGGTTAATTTTTTTTAAGTAAAGGAAGCACAGAAATGTGTACCAGGTGCTTGGGAAGAGTTAATTTACTTTAGCATTGCATTTACTAAGCCCCCAAGGGGGAAACAAAATCTTTCAACTAGACACAAGAAAACTTCTCAGTGTCTCAATTATCTCCAAATAAAATCTGCTCTCAAAGTTACTTAAATCATTCTTTCTGATTACCAGCAACAATATATACAGTCTCATCTTCAATCATATATACCTAAAAATTCATTTATTTTTCACATGGATAAAGCAAGGAATATGCAGATTGTTTAGTCATGAAAAGTAGTTTGCAAATGGATCTCCACAAAATGGCAAACTCAGGGAAAATTTGAGATTAAAGGTGTGTAATAGTAAGAAACTTTGAGAAAAAGGTACACATAGAACTGTGCTTTGAAGATAAGGGTGCATAAAGGTAACTGTGATATATTCTATATAAAAAGGCTCATTTTCTTTTTTCACTGTGGAGTATCTATGTACTAGGTAGATACCAGGCTATTCCCTGGAGAATCTGAGTCAGGTCAAGAAAATACGTGTGGTTAGAAACCCATGAACACAACTCAAAGACTGTGTTACTGTATAAAAAAGAACTATTCAAAAATAAAGACTGTATTTCCATTCCTATTACATGCACCTAGCAAGAGCCCCTAGTTAGGCCTTAGTAAACCAAGACTTTAGGTTTTCAGATTTTTTTTTGCTTGAATATGAAAGTTACTTAAAATGGACATTTATCCTTTACTGCATCACAGACCTGTATGTACATAGAAGATCTATTCCTAGTACCAATCTTAGAATGAGCTATTCATCTTATTACATATTAGTAACTGTTACTAATTACCAACTGTTATAGGACTACTTCTTACTAGTCTACCTAGAAAAGATGTTAGGTAAGAGGAAAAATAAATGGTACACTGCCTCATCCAAAAAAACAAAATAGAAAACAAAACTACACACCTTATCTGTCTCATCCACGCTCATGGATTTCACTATACAAGAAGCAGGCCTCTCCTGGATGTGTGCAAGGTCTTGGGGGACACTCTGAGATGCTGGCATCGGGGGCAGTGGAGCCCGCCTCTTCTTGGGTGCATCCGACGGCAGGGTGTTGGAAATATATGGTTTGGAAATGGTATTGGACCTTGTAAAAGTTGGGCGGTGCTTATTTACTAGAGGGGTTGCAGGGGCACTTGCAGTCTAGTAAAGAATGACAAAGACAAAATCTAGTAATTTCAAGATATTAGTAAAAAGCATTAGTAATTAAAAATAATTGAAGAATCTTACAAAATGCAATATAAGAAAATACTTACTTGGTCTCGCTTTTTCTTACTGCGTTGAAAAAAACTGAAAAACCCTTTATTTTCTTTCTCCTTCATAATATCTAGGTTTTGTGATATTTGGCAGGACTCTAAAATAGAAGAAAAGCATCTTACTTTTGTATGTGAGGTTGACTGTTCACTTCCAAGATTTCTTTCTCTTACTTCCCCTTTGCAAACTTATCTAATGCTAAAAGCTACTAATTATAGTCTACAAAGAAGCACCTTAAATCTTATTAAGTTCTCAAAGCAACAAGCAAATATTGTTCCTATTTCACAGCAGAGGAAACTGAAGCTTAAAAAACTAAGATACATAATCCAGGCCAACACTCAGGAAATGACAGAGCTACGACACAAACTCAATTTTTTTGACTCAGAGTCTGTGTTCTGCTTTTGAAGTATAGAAGCAAAATAGAAAGGACACTTCAAATTACACAAGACATGAAATCGCTACCACACAGTTTGTTCCTTTATTTTGATTATACTTTTGTCTCACAGCTAAACAACTATGAAATATCTTATTCTACAAAATGTGAGTCATTATAATTGCTCAGTACTTTGTTAAATGTTTCATAAAAGTTATTTCTTTAATAGGGTGGGTCTCAACTGGGACCAATTTTGTCCCCCAGAGGACATTTGACAAAGTCTGGGGACAATTTGATTGCCACCATTGGCAATGAGGTTAGGAGACTGTGCTGTCTGCATTTACTGGGTAGAGGCCAGTGAGGATTCCAAACATAGCACATTGCAAAAGACAGTCCCTAATGACAGAATTATCTTGTCTCAAATGTTAATAGTGCTGAAAATTAGGAAGCCCTACTTTAGTTAGAAGGGCAAATGTCAAACCTCAAGGTTGTATACATAATATTTATATAAAATTTTCCAAAAAGCATCTCCTAATATCAACTGAAGGGCCTACAAACAATGACACAGCCAGTAGTGCTGAGCCTCCCTGGCCCAAATTGGCTATAAATTCCATTTCCCATTAAAAGAAACCATGATTACTTGAGAATGGTTGATTCTCTGTTGGTATCAAAGAATCTACAAGATAAACTTGGGACATCTAGCCATACTAGAAAGAATGCTATCAAAGTCTACCAGGTTGTGTTAAAAGGACTCAGGAACCAACTTGAGACAGTTTCTACTGGTAAAAATAAGGATAATTTGGACATCATAAAAGTAACTCAATAAACTGAAACATGTCACATGTGTTTAATTTCATATGTTCATAATGATACTAAAAAAAAAAAACTCTTTTTTCACCTTTGTGTTATGCTAGAGAACCAGTCCATTATTTTAAAAACTGATGAAAGGAAATCATCCAACTTTTATTATACCTTTTTCTTTTCTTATTTATTTATTTATTTATTGAGACAGTCTTTTTTTGAATCTCACTCTGTCGCCCAGGCTGGAGTGCAGTGGCGTGATCTTGGCTCACTGCAACCTCTGAGTCCTCGGTTCAAGCGATTCTCCTGCCTCAGCCTCCCAAGTAGCTGGGACTACAGGCATGCATCCCCATGCCTGGCTAATGTTTGTATTTTTAGTAGAGACAGGGTTTCGCCATATTGGCCAGGCTGGTCTCGAACTCCTGGCCTCAGGTGATCCACCCGCCTCGGCCTCCCAAAGTGCTAGGATTACAGGCATGAGCCACCTCATCCAGCCTATTCTACCTTTTTCTGATTGAATTCGACTTATGTAGCAGTCATATAGCTGACACGGAGAACCTTACTTTTTCAGTAATATTGACTGCAATAGACTTTCACCATTTTTCAAATCTTAATTAACTAAGATGTAGACAAAGATCATTGATGGCTAACATCAGAAAAAAATAACTCGTTGTTACATGTTTGCTGATGGAAGTACACAGCAACACTTGTGAAGTATTCTTGCCAAAAAATCTCTCGCCAAAATCTGATCAAGCCTCTAGATTTAACCATCAATTTACAGGAAAGAGAGGGGAAATTTACATTGAAATAAAATTTCAATGACATTGGCAATAAGTTAAACATTAAGTGACACCACAGGAGGCAAACAGTAAAAATCTGAACACGGGAAGCTATAAAACAAATGACCTAGTTTCTTCAATAAATGAGTAGCAAATTTTTCTAAAAGGTTGGAAAAACAATGAGTGGTGATCTGTAAAACTAAAAAAATATTTCTTCTACTAAGCAACATATGGATTTTATGGTAAATCACAATATAATTTCAATAACATTTGACATAAAATATTGTGTATTAAAATTTGTGAGACATAACTAAAGCTAAACTAATAGATAAATATATAGTCTTAAATGCTTTTATTTAAAATACCTGTCTAAGAAAACCAAAATAAATTATGGCAAAATAGGGACTACTTCAGGAAAGGAAAGCTAGTTAACACCAAATAAATACAATAATACAATATGCCTCAATAACATATGAAAGGAAAACTATTTTACAAAGTAAAACTTTTAAATCTGATGATTCAAATATTAAATAAGCAGCATACATTCTGCACAATGAGTTTGACAATGCTAGCAACTAATAATAACGAACACGTAGATAGCACTTTATGGTTAAAGTTTTTTTGCATGCCTAAATGTTTCTTAGAATGACCTTGTGAGGGAAGTATCAAAAGTTATCACTCTGAGCCCTTTTTCTCATTGGAAGATGCTAGCATTTACCCTGCAGGATATATATATATATATATATATATATATATATAAAATGAAAGCAGTGGTATTACTCCATTACGCTCTCAGGAACTATAAGTGAACAGAGAGTTTTCGTAACTTGCACAAAGACAAACAGGCATTAAACAGTAGAACTAAAACTGGTATCCATTTAAAGATTATTTATATTTGTATTATTTTTACATTTGCCACTATTTCAATTTAAGATGGAATACACCGCTTATCGCATATGGATACACAATTAAATTTACTCAGAACAGTAGATGAAAAATTCATATGGTTGTGCAATACAATAAATATAACCAGAATATTTTTTATTTTTTATTTATTTTTTTGAAACGGTCTCACTCTGTCACCCAGTCTGGAGTGCACTGGCAGGGTCATGGCTCACCACAGCCCTGACCTCCCTGGGCTTAGGTGATCCTCCCACCTCAGCCTTCTGAGTAGCTGGGACTACAGGCATGTGCCACCACACCCGGCTAATTTTTGTATTTTTTGTGGAGATGGGATTTTGCCATGTTTCCCAGGCTGGTCGCAAATTCCTAGGCTCAAGCAATCTTCCCACCTTGACCTCCCAAAGTGTTGGAATGATAGGTGTGAGCCACCGTGCCTGGCCCATATGGTTATTTTTGGTGAAGAAATTTTCAGGTACATGGTCATCCTCCACACTAGTTAGCCATTAAGTTTTCACTTAAAGCTCTACATCAGGGATCATAGCAAGTCAGGTTAAACAGTAAGACAAGCAAAGGCTTTAGCTTACTTAGAAAAGCAACTCAAATACTGTAGTTTCCTGTTTCTAGAAGGCAGGCTAAATATAATTGCATGGTAAGTTCTAAGTTTTCAAAATAGTATCAGAAAAAATAAGGAGGCAAGGGTAGTGACAGCATTTGGATTGACCTTGTAGATTCTGATACTGTAAACTTTCTTAATTTTAATATTTCACTCTCTTAAGATTTGTCCACAACATTTCATATTCTAAATAAACCACATCCTTCCATTACTGGAAGGGATATTAGAAATCAGTGCATTCGACAACCTCAAAATGAGGCCAGAAAGTTTATGGAATTTGCTTAGGATTATGCAGATAGAGAGTGGCAAAATTAGGAGTAAAAGTCAAGTACAAGTAATAAAATGTTGTTGCTAGAAAGAACCACAGAGACCACTATTTCTAATCTCCTATTATTATAGAAGTAGAAGGTGAGATTTCACTAACACATAATATATGCAGTTTGTTAAGGCTTGTTTTTTTAGTAGGCTGGTAATTATTAGGGTAATCAATTATTTGAGACTTTTTCTTAATGGGTGAAAAAAGACTTCCACAATTTATTATTGGGCAATTTTTAATACAGTTTTTCTCTATGAAAGGAATGTATGCCCATTATATAATTCTGTATTATAAAGAAAATAAATAATAAAAAAATCACATACCATAACCCTACCACCCAAAGGTAACCACTATTGAAATTTTTTATGTATTTCCTTTCAGCAATTTCATATAAAAGCATTTATTCACCTATTGTGTTAAACACACTTATATGGTATAAAAGCTAATTTCAACATAAGCATTTTCCATCTTATTACAAAATATTCACAAACAATGACTGCAAAATTTCATATGATTAATATAACACCATTATTCTGAATTACTGTTCAGTGAAATAATCTGAAATGCTTCCTCGGTACTACCAAGCTATTAGCATTTGTACCCAGTAAAGATCCTAGTAAATCATTTTTCCTTGTATGAGAGTAAAGAATACGTTTTCCCACACTGTTAGAATAATTTTTAAACATTTGTTGAAATGAAATTATTATAATTAAATTCAGAAATCAAGGGGAAGGAACCTATACATTTTTCAAGGAAATAAAACCCAAATATTTTCTAGGTTAAAATCTCATACAGAATGAACACGTTAGTGATGTTAAGAAAGGGTAAAATTAGAAGCTTAATTTCAATATATCCAATTTCATGTTATAATTTGTTTCTACTGATTCATACATCTTACCTTGTAAAGATGACTTACTGAAGACAGTAACAGAAGTGGCTACAGAAGGAGGGGTATAAAAGAGGGTAAATTGACTGTGAAGATGATGTTTGTTCAAGTATAAAACATCACTGAGTTGAAAAAGTAGTCTATGGATTACATAAAGCCACCACCTCAGGATAAATTTTGAAGTCTCTATGCAAAGAGTATGTAAATAATTGTCAGCTTCACTAAACTTTTATTTCTCTTAGTGAAACAGATTCATGTTGAATAAATGTTTGCATTTGTCTACTAGACATCATACAAACCAGCATTATCTAAGATCTCCAAATTTTAATACATCATTTCTATAGATTAAAACTGGGAGCTATTTCAAAAATTTTTTGAATTAGACTGATACATTTCATAAGCCAACTTATTTTGGTGTTGACCTTAGGAAAAATTTGGCAAGAAACTTCCAAACTTGAATGATAATTAAGACTCAGACAAAATCATAGTGAGTCCACAGTAATTCACACTTGATTAGAATAACAATGACTTTATATGTAAATTTTTATTTTCTGTTTAAGCCTCAAAGCCATGAAGAATTAAGTTAAATCCTACCAAAAAAAAAAAAATCAAAGAAAAAATATAAATTGTGGATGATGGCTAAAAAGACAAGTTTTAATTCCAATTTCAATAACTGAAATTAAGTTGTTATATTTAACTTGATTTATATTTATTAACATTTTGTTTTCTTATTCCTAATGCCAAGTAATTACTTTTATCTATAGGACCCATTAACTGCCATTATGAACTTGAGAACACCTTCACACAAACACAATGCACAAACATATACAAATATACACATCCCACTAAATAAATAAAATAAAAGTCTTACTTACCTCTGTTGACATCCATCGCATATAATTCTCTTAGTCCCAGGTCATTAAGAGATTTTGTCAAGTCAAGAGGCTCCTGCGATTGATAATCTTTCAACAATAGTGTATGCAACGGATCAAACTCACATTTGCTACATATAATAGGGGCAAGCTCTTGAAGCGATGCATGTGGACTCACTCTCACTATGGTCTTCTGTGTTTTCTTAAAATTAATCACTACTCTCACAGTTTTCTGAAACACATATTAAAGCCATAGTTGTACCATAATTCACTGAAACAAACACTCTACAATAATGTCTAGAATAATGAGATAACCTACAGTTACATATTCAAACAATAAACAGTACTTTCCTATTTGGTGTGAAATTCTCTTTTTGATTAATGTTACTTCCTAAATCCAAAGCAAGTTCTTAGAAGCAAACACATTAGTTTATTTATTAAATAATCCAACCATTCTATAGTAAGATTTTAATTAAATTTGACCCTAAAAAACTAGCCTCATATCTAGTACTACTCATGTTTTCACTTTGTTCCTTAAAATATTTACTTTAAAATTAGCAAATATACATAGTACAAAATTATGTATATTTTATCCTACCCTTTGAGGAATATTTATCTTTCAAATAATTTCTCTATTGCCTCAATAAAAAGGGGTATTTTGGTTAAGTCACTAAAATTTTTGTTTCTATTTGAAACATTATAAATGAGATAATCCATATGAAAAGCTTAGCAGACTTCCTGGCACATAGTCATTTATCAATAAGAGAACATTAGCTATTGTGATTAACTTTTGTTGTTACTATTACTACTTTGGCTAATTTTAATGTTTTAGTAAAGAATATTTAAATCTCTTCATTAAATATCTAGTACTAATAATTTAAAATTACTACAAAGATTTTAAGCGTCTCATCATTTTATGTAATTGAATTAAATCCTGTATGGAACTTAGCAACATGAGACCATACTAAGTGAAACGTACATTTTGCAGGTCCTTAAAGACCTTTATTCACAAAACTAAGACCCTTTGTATAATCCCACGCTATAGCATAAATATAACTATTTCCATCTAGAAAAACAGCAGGGATATGTAATAAACACCTAGACAGAAACAAATACCTAGACAGAAGGCAGTCCAATATCCCAATATATATTAATAATATTAAATCATATATTGTAGAAAGCAAGTATGTTTTAATATTTTCAAAAACTCACCTTCTTTGAAAAAAGCTTCATAACAATATGAAGAAAATGCAAGAATATGTATATTTAAGTCACATGTATCAATTTAATATACAAACTTTTATATATATTATAAAATGAAAATGGTTGATGTTCATAATGAGAGTATTTCTTGAAACCCATAAAATTCTACCCTATTGCTTATAGCAATAGAACAATTTTAATAAGAACTGATATTAGAATTATTGTGGTTAAACATTTTTGCATGAAATTTGTACATTAAAGAAAATGGAGTTAATGTGTGGCACACATTAATAGTTTAGATGTTAATAAATTCAAACACAATGAAGAACTCGAAAAAAAAACAAAAACACACATACAAATAGATGTTAGTAAGTTACAACTGCTGCTTACCAAGTACACAGAAGCCAAAAAATTACTTTAAGAAATTATTAATTTTCATGAAAAGATTCTAAAACCTTCCTTTACATATACTTTTTAAAAGAGTAGCTTAAAATACAAATCATTCATAATTGTTACATACTTATGCAATCATATTGATCATTTTAGAGCATTAAATCTAAAGTACTGCCCAAATTCTATTTAATCCAGGGATCAATAGCCAACTGAATCCTAAACAAAGTGCCTAGAAAAACATAATACTCACATTCACATCAAATTTAACCAGTAAAGTCCATTTTTATTTCACTTACAATGAGCTGCTGATAATGACTGAATAAGACATCAAAATATATAATGGAATTCTTACCTCTGGTATTATAGGTGTAGGTTTTTTCTTATCCAACATTTTTGGCTTTAAAATTACCTTCTCTACCTCCAACATTCCTATTGGTGTGTTTGGCTTAAATTTAATGTGGTTCTGTTCAGCTGACAACAGATCGATTGTGTAACTTGATGGATTTAAGTGATACTGTGCACAAAGGAATATCAACAAGTCCATCATAGGTTTACTGTAAAACAAGAGTATTTCATTACCCGTTATTGTTTTGAGGATTTTCTTAGAATGCTTGTCTTCAATAGATAAACAAGTCTACAAGATAGTTTTTGGAAAAGCAGCTTAAATATTGAACTACAGGTCAAGCTACAGGCCAAGGCAGGAGGACTGCTTGAGCCCAGGAGTTGGAGACCAGCCTGGGCAACATGGCAAGACCCTGTATCTACAAAAAATAAAAAAAAAAAACAATAGCCTGCTGTGGTGGGTGTGTGCCTGTAGTCCCACCTACTCAGGAGGTGGAGGCCAGAGAACAACACGAGCTCTGGAAGTTGAGGTTGCAATGAGCCGAGATCGCGCCACTGCACTCCAGCCTGGGCAACAGAGCAAGACCCTGTCATAATAATAATAACAATAAAAACAACAACAACAACAACAACAAAAATAATCTCCAAAAAAATTGAACTACAAGATATTTAAACAGACAAAATTGTAATAGTTAAAAAGTCCTGGGATAGTCAAGAGAGCATAGATCCTAGTGTCAGTTCAACAACTACTTTTATGTTTTTACCAAATTGTTTCCAAATTATAAATTTCAGGAGGAGGAGTCCTTTCCTTACCCAAGAGCAGTCCTTCACAACACATTATTTGTAATATAACATTGGCAGTCTTTAGCTTATGAATTGGTTACAAAGTTCTCATAAGAATGAAGCATTTGGAACCACCACCACCACTTTTTGGCTTTAGAAAACAGACTGTAAATATCTGCATAGGAAGTCCACAAAATCCTAAAAGGTGTAGTACAAATTCTTTAATCATCCAAAGGTTATGAATATTCTCTAGGCACTGGAATCACAGTACAAGTATTATAGTATATCTGTTCTCATAGATCTAACACTCTACTGGATGAACTAAACCAAGTGTCAGCAAACCACAATGTGCAGGTCAAAATGGGCCCACAGTCTGTTTTTGTAAATACAGTTGTATTAGAAAATAGTCATGCCCGTTTGTTTATATAACGTCTCAGGCTGCTTTTGTGTTAGTTACAACAGCAGAATGGAGTAGGGTGACCACACCTACTATATAGGCATAGCCCACAAAGCCTACTATTTTTATTTCCTGGCCCATGATAGAAAACGCTTATCAGCTCTTGTGCTAGAACATAAAATTGAAATAAAGTAAATGCATGAGATAATTTCAAATAATGAATGAATGTTTAATACTATTGGTAATACAGGACTTATTTCTATAGAAACTTTCATACCCAACTTGGAATTCAGGGATACTTACCAATTTTTTGCTTCCCTTTCCATAGATTCTCATTGTTGACACAGACTTATATTTTCATTCATATCACTGACAGAACAACATAGTCTCTGAGTCTTTCTTAATACTGTCATCCCTTAAGGAAAGCACACTAAAAAATCTTTGGTATCATGTGCTTTCCCCAAATGTCAGGTGATCCTAAACTGTTAGTTCACACTTAAGAATAAGGCACTAAACCGCAGTGTGTACATCGTATTTTTACAGATGGAGGCATAGGTTCATGGGATTCACTTTAGGGTAATCGGGTAGCCAGCCATCTGCATCCCACCTCGAAAGGGAAATGCACATATCAGTAAAAAGTTATTCTCCAATTTCTTGACTAGAGATATAAACCTGGTTACTGGCTTTTGGGAACTTGACAGGGAAATGGGGCTAGAAATCCCACCATTCAGTATGCTACTTTTATTTTAGTGCACCTGTTTTCATACGGCACGTCACCCCTAGTAAGCTCCCAGGCCTGCAGCCTCTGATGCAGTTCTTCCAGACAAGGAGTCTCCTGCAGAGGTGGGGAAGGATTCACTGTCGGACACTGTGTGGTCTTGAAGTCAAACAACACGTTACATAGATTTCAGATCATCCCGTGTTCAGCCCCCATCTCTACTTTCTGTGGTCGCTGCCTACTCCTAGGCCAGTCCAATCTTTATGGGATAAGGAGTATGTTTCTCAACGGTCCCTCACACATCCCTTCTCCCCCACATACAAGTAGCACCCTATTACTTGTATATATATAAAGAAAAATAAATAAATCAAAGGTTCTAAGTCCCTCAATTTAAAAAAAATTCTCAGGAATACATTTCAATTCTCAAAATACATTTCCTGTGTCTTTATTAGATGGTTGCATAATATTTAAGAGTTTTACATCCTTCTTTTGAGCCACAGGCTATGCCCATAAATGTATCTATATTGCCCATGTTTTGGCTTTAAACAGGACATTTTAAATTTCATCCAGAGAGAGACTAGCAAAATGGTCTTGTGGAAGTTGATTTTTTGGTAATATGGTACTCTACAAGAGCAATTGGATGGCACATACCAATTCTAGACTTGGAAATAGTACTTTCTTTGATAGTAAATAAAGTTAAGAAGGATTAGGTAATGTCTAGTTATATACTATTATAAATGCAGTTTAGCTGGAAGAGAAGAGAACTTTCATTGCCAACTGAAGGGGTAGCTGTCTGCTGTTGTCTATGAGTAAATGATGATACATGCAGACTGTATTTCTTTCTCTCTATATATAAATGTGTCAAGTAATAAATGTAAAAACATTGAAGCTCATTCTTCCAACATCTTTTACTTCTTAAATATACAGTTTTTTTGAATCTTTGCCAGAAATACATAAGTTAACAAGACAAATGGCCGGGTGCGGTGGCTCACGCCTGTAATCCCAGCACTTTGGGAGGCCGAGGCAGGCGGATCATGACGTCAGGAGATCAAGGCCATCCTGGCTAACGTGGTGAAACCCCATCTCTACTAAAAATACAAAAAATTAGCCAGGCATGGTGGCAGGTGTCTGTAGTCCCAGCTACTTGGGAGGCTGAGGCAGGAGAATAGCGTGAACCTGGGAAGCGGAGCTTGCAGTGAGCCGAGATCACGCCACTGCACTCCAGCCTGGGTAACAGAGAAAGACTCCATCTCAAAAAACAAAACAAAACAAAACACAAAACAAAAAATTATTAAAGTTTTGTTTGGTTTTTATCCCTATTTTTGTGCCATAATTTTCATCGTTTATGTATAAACATATAAACATTTAAAATACATTTTTGATTTTTTTAAAAAGAACAATTTGATTCCTTGTGTAGAAACATTGGTATTTCTATCTGTGATAAATTAATTTTCTAATCTAATAAATAGTGTGGGTAATTGGTTAAGAATATTAACATAATGGCCTATTCCCTCAGTCATTTTATTTATCTAGAAACTTTACACACTATATCAGATATCATGAGAAAAAAGTTGCCGACTATATCATGACCTTTGCACTCAACACTGCCTATATGTTTTCTACTAAAAATGCCTCTTTGAGAGGCAACTGAAAACCACAGAAGTTCTTTATGAGTTTATTCTCTCATTTTATAATTCTAGGTCCAATTCTTTATTCAATAATTTCAGAAGCCAAATTTGTCTTGAAAATATTCCTATTGCCAGACAAATAAATGCAGCAATCCAGAAAGTTCTGCAATAGACATAACTACATATGTGAATTTAATACTGCATATGAATTGTTTCTGGGGAAACAACTGAATTTTCAGTAAGTGGTACTGGGAAAACTATCGGATGAAAAAGAAAAGTTGTGTATCTAACCTGATTCCTTACACCAAAGTAAGCTCCATGTGGATCTTTCTATGGTTTGTGTTTTACAGTAATATGCCCAATGGAATTTTCTGCACTGATGGAAACGTTCTATATCTGCACTAACACAGTGGTTACTGGGATAGTGGACTCCCAAACCAAATTTTTTATTCAAATTAATTTAAATTCAATATAAGTAGACACATTTGGTGAATGGCTGCCATACTGGATAGAGTAATTCTAACACGCTGGTTCTCAAGGTGTGATACATAGACCAGCAGCATCAGTATCTGCTGGGAACTTGTTAGAAATGCAAATTGTCAAGCCCCAGCCCAGATCATTAATCAGAAACTCTGGGAATGAGGAAGAGCAATCTGTGCTTTGACAGGCACTCCAACCTATTCTGATCATACTGTAGTTTATGAAGTTTATGAAACTGATCTAGAGAGAAGAGAAAAAAGAAACAAGTAAAATATATAAAATATCAGATGGTGTTACATGCTCTGACAAAAAAAAAAAAAATAAGGAAAGAAGTTAGGAATGTCCTAATTGAAAAATGACACCAGAATTGAGACCTTGAAGGGACTGGGATATCTGCGGAAAGATAGCTTTGACAAGTACAAAAACCCTGAGGCAGGAATGTGCTCTAAGTGTTTAAAGAAAAACAGAAACTAGTCGGCTAGTGAAAACAATAGGCATGAAATCAGGGTGATAATCTTGTAGTGTTTAAAGGCCTTTCAAGTGAAGACTTGAGATTTTACTGAGTGAGACAGAAAGCCTCCAAAGAGTTCTGAGGAGTGATGTGATCTACTCTACTTTTTAAAAGGATTACATTCTGGTTTTTGTATTCAAAATAGCCTGGAGGAGCAGCTACAAGGTTATTGCGAAAATTTAGGTGGGAGATGGTGGTGTCCTGGACTACTCAGATTCTAGATACATTTTGTAGGGAGCTGATAGGATTGAAGCTAATGCAGAAAGGAGACAGAGACAGAAAGAGGAGCTAGCCAGTGGAAAGAGGGCAGGATTGGAGGGACAAAGTGGCAGTGTTGCTGAAAGTAACCAACAGGAGACCTAAAATGCAAATTTCAATGGTTTGCTATGTGATGTGCTTACTATAACTCTACAAGCCATCACTAAGGTTCTGGTAGCCTTGGGAGGTGTCAAATAAAGGATGAAATTTCAAAAGCAGAAACTGAAAAATATGAATCCAGAGGTGGTAAGGCATAAAGTCAGAGCCAGAGGTGACCCCAAGAACGTAAAACTCTTGGGAGTTTACAATGAGATTATAAAGGGCATTGAACCTTCCACAGGAAGTGGAACAGGGGTTCAGGCCAGCCTTACTTAGATCTTAAGCAGCAGAGTGACCTCAAGAAGTTAACTGGGTTCTGTGTGTACATAGATGTGAGCTCCCCTCTAGCAGGACCACATCTTAGTAATCTTTAGGCACCTGGCTAGGTCGCTGTTGTCGAATGGGGAATTTAGAGAAAACAGTGATTAATTCTGCTTGAAAGTCAAGGGGCTCAAATGCATAGTAGACTAATACAACTGACACATGAGAAAGCATACTTGTTGAGAGGAGGTTCATATGCTTTAGAAAAAAGTAACATGGTGAAAGCTCTGTTGTTTTTTATAATTAATAAGCTTGTTTTGCCTAAGCCATACCATCTTTACACAAAGGTGAGACATAAACATTAAATAGGGTTAAGATCTTTTCCAAAAATAGACTCAGACTAGTTTGAATGCTTTAAATATTTAATTGAAGCCTCAGCATTCAGCACTGTAACACAGGAAAGCTGACCCTGACCACAAGATTTTGAGGTTGGGAATTACTGACTGTCTAGCTTTACCATAAAGGAGTCATAACACTACAAAAGTAGGACATTAACTTTTAAGCAGGTCGTGCTTCCAATGGAGCTGCCGCTGGGGTTAACTAGTCACAAAGTGCACCCACAGGAAATAAAATAATCGCTTGAATAGAGCTCAGAATTATCCACCTGGATGCCAAACTACTTCTGCCAAAGATAACAATTCTGGTTGGATAATCATCCCCTAGTTGATGCACCTGAAGGCAGTTGGCTAATGGGTTTGACCACAGGATCACCACAGAAAAGATGCCTGTCTTCCTGTTTCCTAAGGCAGGAGCACACGTGAGCAGTCCATCTAAAACCTGAGGCAAATCATTAAAAGTGGAAAAGGATTGGATGAACATTATAATCACTCCTCTATATTATTACACCACATTGAATTTTGGGTTATTTTATTACTCAGCAGAGTCTGCTTTGCATTAACATTATTTACAGAATTTTTTCTCTTGTAAGATAATATAATAATTTTCTAGAGGGCTGATTTTTTTTTAAGACTCTAAAAGCTCTTCTTTGAAATGAAGAAATCCCTATGAGATTTCCCACTTCTTTCAGAAATAAATAACAATTCCCTGGATTAGTTTCATATCTGTACCTTGTAAGTGCACACCAACAACCCAATTACACATACCAGTAATAGTACAGAAATTTTAAAACATTCTCTATTGCTGCTGATGTTTATCAATCTTATGCTAACCCATGTAGTTCAGTAATGAGTTCAGGAATGAAGCAGTGCTCTCTCTGTGTGTGCAAGAAATGAAATGTACCAGGTACACGAAACAAATAGACCCATTCTCAAAATTGAGAATGCTTATTATGCTATAAGAAATATTTTGAAGAAAATAACACATGAAATTAAGATTTGAAGATAAATAGTAATAGGTCAGATTACTAAGCTGATAAGTTCTTAACATACTAAAAATAGATATTACTAAATGTAAAAAGCCCCACAATTTTTAGAAAGTCACCACTTTGGACTCTATCTGGTTGTTTATCTTAGGTGTTATACTCAGAGCTAATTATAAATAATTACCATCATAAAAATTGTGATTTAAGAACACACCTACTAAACACACATACATGCCCCTTATAAAAACAAAAATACTACAAATATATCTCACTATAATTGGGGCAATTTGAATATAGACAAAGGATAACATTTTATTGACATGAAAGATGGAAATCATTAACTGAAAAAAAGCAGGTTACAAATAGCACGTACAATATAATACCATATTGTTGTAAAAAAGAAGTGCACATATAGATGGGTGTACATATATGTGCATGCCTAAGAATAAAAGGCTAGACACTGCAATGTTAGAAGTTGCAATCTGCCTGCTTAATGAAATTGCATTTACAATTTTTTGGCTTATCTGTATTTTCCAACTTTCTAAAACATCTAACTATTGCACTTGTAATCACAAAAATTTAAAAACTAAAATTAGTGCTGAGCACGGTGGCTCACATCTGTAATCCCAGCACTTTGGGAGGCCAAGGCAGGACAATCACTTGAGCCCAGAGTTTGAGGCTGCAGTGAGCTATGATTACACCACTGCACTCCAGCCTGGGCAATGGAGTGAGACCCTGTCTCTAGAAAAATTTAAAAATTAAATTAAGTTAAAAAACTGAAATTAAAAAGGGTCATTATTATAAGGTGTAGACGCCAGGAAAGCAAAGGGAAGAGGGTGGCCCTGCCAGGAACAATGTTCTGAGGACATTTGTGAATACTTTGTCACCCCTTTCCCAACCAGGGGAGCAGGCAGGTGACAGAGGCTGACATTCTCCTGGGCTCAGAGCCATGGGGGACATGGGAGGGCAATGACAGAACCTAGATGACAGGATGATTAAAAACTCAAATAGTACCGATTAAAAACTCAAGTAGTACTGTTATGTCTAGGTACTTGCACAGTTAAAATGCCAACTTTTGTTTTAGGCAATTACAGCAGAATAAGGATCTAAACCAAAATTTAAGCATCTTATATAGTTAAACATGGTTTGTACCACCCTATAGATTTTTGACAGTTAAAAAAAAATTACCCTGCTATAAACATATATTTATCACACATTTGTCATCACTGGACACTTCTCAATAAATATAAATATGACGTGAACTTCAGAAATTTTTCTAGATCCATACTGTTGTTACTCTCGTTTTTTCAGCAAAAATCCCACACCGATCCCTTTATCTTGTCATTTTTCATAGTCTACTTTTTCCCAATAGGTGGCGCTGTAATCCATGTAAAATGCTCCCGAGTTCCTCAGCGGACCAACCCTATGCCAGGCAAAACCGCGGGCTTAGGCTCAACTCTGCTGTAAACTGGTGCTATGGGACAGGTAAATCAGGCTGAAAAGCATGTGCGACATGTCTCTGGGTTATTTTATGTGAAAAGCCCAGAGAGGTGAGGTGACTTGCTTGAGATCACACAGCAAGTCTAGAACAAACTGTAACTTCTAGTTGGGACTTCTAGCTTGGAGTTCTGTGCTTTCTTTGTGTTTTCAATTATGACATCTCACATGTGCTCCAATCAAAACAAATTCCTATTTGTGGTAAGGGCGTAAAAGAAATATCTTCCTCTGTTATAAATGGTGCTTATTTCTTCCTCCCTCTTGTAGGAAAGTGTGATAGCATGCCATTGAATGCTCTCTCAACAGGCTAAGAAGGATTCGTGTCAATCTTTTCAGATTTCCCAAAATGAACATTTTGCTTTAAAAGTTTAGCCTGGAGAAAGGGAAAAGAGGAAAAAGGAACTAATACTTATTCAATGAGGAATAATTACCTATGAAGCTGATACCCGACTATAAGATGAAGACCATATACAGATCATATACAAATGTACCCACATATTTCCTTATTCTATGTGGTTTCTATATCTGTTTAGTCTATAAGCTCACTTTCATTAAAAATTAACTTTTCCCAAGTACTAGCAGACACCACTGCTTATGCTGTTGTGAAGTATAGCATTTTCTGAGAAGAAGAGCCACGAGTTCTGTAACAGTAGTCCTTTAATGTTCATTTCTAGAAAGGCAAGGAACTGCTTTGACTGGTGAAAAAGATGTTTATCGATTATATACATGATACACAGACACACAGAAACAGGTTGAGTATCCCTCATCCAACATTCTTAAGGCATGAAGTGTTTTACATTTCACATTTTTTTTCAGATTTTGAAGTATTTGCATTACACGAGTTGAGCATCTCTAATCTGGAAATCCAAAATTTGAAATGCTCCAATAAACATTTCCTTTGAGCATCATATTCACACTCAAAAAGTTTTGGAATTTGAAGCATTTGAGATTTTGGATTTGGTATACACAGTCTATACACAGACGCACACATTTATATATGTGTGCAAACATATATACATACATACACATAGACATACACACACATACATCTATACTACACTGTATCTTATATATAAATTAAATATTTTAATTCCTCCTTCTTTCAGTCCAACCATCCATGATATTAGGATATGCAGAAATGCCCAAGAGTTTTCAGGTTAGCATGGCAACCCCCGCCCAATGTAAGCAGAGCCTCACAAAGGCAAGATAGTAGAGACATGGTGACTTTTGGTCATTAAAGAGATGGCATCACTAAGTTCTGGTACCAAAAATAGTTGAGCTGGCAGATGGCTACCAACCTAATTCAGGATAATAAGTTTCTCCCTGAGCATAAAGTCTGTGACCACCGCCAACCCCACTGTGTTTCCTAATCTGAACAAGCTCTTTGGTGAAAATCAATGTACAAACAAGTGCGTTCTTCTGAAGATACCACTGTGCACTCACATTCCCCAAAATAGAACATCCTGAGCCCACCTGTGCATGAGATCTATGGGGGGACTTTCCAAAAATATTCCCCAAGAACACATTTTGAGTGGGAAACTTATTTCTGAAAAGTGAACTGAGGCATATAAGTTTCTGAAATCTGTACTTCCGTCAAACATTGATAGTATTCTTCACAATAAAGGCATAAGAAATAGTACTACACTATCAAAATAAATATACAAGAAATATTCAGACAAATTCAGAAAGCATGGTCTCAAAAAACTGCATTGAAGTCTTTTCAGAGTTACATATAGAACTCTATTTATCTAAGAAACTCTCACACACTTAAAATTACCTCCACCAAATTCTTGTATTATTCTGTTGAGATTTTTCATATTCCTTTTATATGGTAGTAACAAAGCCATGAAGAAATTTTATTTTTGTCATTATGAGTCTTCCCATTAGGTAGTTAACATTTTTCAGTAGTAGTACATAATTTTCTATTTGAACATTTCTTTTTGTTGTTAAACAGTTTTGTGAAACAATGGGTCAGCAGCAGCTGTGACACTCAAGACATCCCTAATCACACTATTAAGATATCCCAAGTCACACTTTTAAGATATATCAAGTCAAACTCTAAAACATCTTGGATCGCATTAAGATATCCCAGAATCACACTCCTAAGATATTCAGAATCACACAACTACTTTAAATCACAAACACTTAAAATAGAAAATTAGTCATAGCATCAATGAGTCATGCCTGAATTATAAAACTACTGCGAACAAAGTCCCTAAATGAAACCCCATAGTAAAAACACTGATATACATGCTGGGCAACATGGGGAAATCCCATCTCTACAAAAAATACAAGAATTAGCTGGGCATGGTAGCACACGCCTGTGGTCCTAGCTACTTGGGAGGCTGGGGTGGGAAGATTGCTTGAGTCTGGGAGGCAGAAGCTGCAGTGAGTCCAGCTCTTACCACTGCACTCCAGCCTGTGTGACTGAAACCCCATCTAAACAAACAAACAAACAAAAACACTGATATAAATTCTACTCTCAGAAAAACTCTTCAGCCCTAAACAAAATTTAAAAAGGAATCAGAATTTGGGGCATTCCATTCCTACCTTGCTCTCTGCCTGGAGAAAATATCTTTACTTAAAAGATTCTGGGTAAACAACTAGGACTCATTCCAAGTGCTTCTTCATACCATTTATGTTGCTACCTCCATCTACACATAAGGGTTTAGGAAGACAATATTCATTTTGATAAATTCATGAAATGCCTACCACATTGCAAGAAACTGTGCTAGGCACTATAAAGAAAAGTAATGATATTCTCATGGCTCTGTGGTTTCTTCAAAAGGTAAGACCTACACATACATTGCAGCATAGAACAATATGTAATAAATATGATATAAAGTGTCGGAAGATTTTGGAAGCCAGAGTTAATCACTGATTCTGGGGAGATCAGGGAGCCTTTATATAAAATATGTCACCTGAGCTATATAAACTAACTGGAGAAAATGAGGCTAGTGAGTTACACGAGGGGGGGAAAAGTTCATAAACGTATTGAGGTGAAAGAAATAGAGTATTTGTAGAAGAACAAAGGAAGAGCAAGAGGCATGTGGTGAAGCTTAAGATACACAAAGAAGGGCCAGGCACAGTGGCTCATGTCTGTAATCTCAGCACTTTGGGAGGCTGAGGTGGGTGGATCACCTGAGGTCAGGAGTTCGAGACCAGCCTGGCCAATATGGTGAAATCCCATCTCTTCTAAAAATACAAAAATTAGCTGGGCATGGTGGTGTTCATCTGTAATCCCAGCTACTTGGGACACTGGGGCAGGAGAATTGCTTGAACCCGGGAGGTGGAGGTTGCCGTGAGCCAAGATCCCGCCAATGCACTCCAGCCTGCGCAACAGAGCAAGACTGTCTCAAAAAACAAACAAAAAAAAGATACACAAAGGAAGGAGAGTGGTGGTGAAGGAAAAGCCTACTTAATTTTGGAGGAGAAAATAAGGTATCCCAATCTCCAGGCTAGGTAGTTTGGACTCCTTTAATTTGACATTGAATTGCTGTCCTGCAGTCTTTTATCAAAGGTAGTACCACAAACAGAGAGGCATTTTAGATTAATCTGAGGGTGCAAGGTAAATGAAGAGAGCCCAGGGTTAAGAAAAGCAGTTCCCAATTAAAAAAAAAAAAAAGAGAGAAAGCCAATAGGCGCCAAGCCCTGATAGTATTTCATTTAATCATATTTAATCCTATCAATTCGGCTATAATACATTTTCATAGATTTAAAAAACTGCAGCAATTCAACAACAGTTGGTGGCCCAGAAACATAAAGCTGACTGATGGAAAGTTACTCAGATTTAGGGACCTGAGGGGGCAAACATGCTGGAGGGAGGGTGGGAAAAATCTAGGGTGCTTGTAAGTACAAATGTAGGTGAAATATCTGATGCAGAATCTATCAGGTATGAAGAAAAAATACATATGAAGAAAATTTAGACATGAAGAAAATTGCAGCATCCTACAGAACAGTCATAAATTAGACTTGAGGAGGATGAAGAACTAATTCAGTTAAAGAGAAAGTGGATAAGCTAGATGTTTAAAAAGCTGGTATTCAAATAAGGAACCCTAAGATCTCAGAAATGGAACCGTTTTAAAGTGATGAGATTCCACCATTCTCTGGTGGAAACAGGAAAGTTGACCATGGATCTCGGTTTCCAGAGTTGAGGAAACAGAAGAAAAGTTAACTCGGGGTGGCATGTGGAAAAGTCTAAAATAACTATGACGGGTGACAGGACGGAGAGAAAAAACACGCTTCTGATATTAAAGTCACTGAGGTTTAAAAAACAAAATCTGAAGAACCCAGAGGTGCAATGATAGCAAACAGAGAATAAGGCAATATGAAGAGATGACTGTTACATCCCTAAGAAGAAATTTTCAAGAGTATTTGTGATGAAACCAACATCACCTGAAACCCTGAAGAACTAGAAAAAAAGTTGACTTTTTTTTTCTTATTTTGAATTCAGGAAAAATTAAAAAAAAATAAAAAAGGAATTGCCTTTATTACCCCCAGCCAGATCCATTAACCCTTTAAAACCAGAGTAATATTATTTCAAGAATTGATGATAATGGCCATTGTCTCTAACTTTCAAGATGTCTTTCTCACACATACGAGGCCATCCACAGCTGCAGGTGGGAGCCTACCACAGACAATTTTCTCAATCTCATAAATAGGGTTCAATGTGTGATCTCCAAAGTGACTTTCAATACAAAATAAATGGCAAAATGCAACTTCCTCAAATTTAATCAGAGTTAAATAATACTATATTATTTGCTAAAGCTGAACTATTTTGTTTTCATCTACTTTAAATAATCTGTAAAGTTACACATGATTTTAATGATAAATCTTAAAATTAAGGTTACCTTGAATGAGTTTTTCTAGACAAAACCAGATTATAAGAATGCAATACCCAATATATTCTTTTCCTTATACACAACACACACACACAGAGAAAGAGAGAGAGAGAGCGAGCGAGCGAGCTAAGGTCAAAACAGCTTAAATTTCTAAAACAGGATTCCTGATAACAAATAGGCAGTTGAAGGTGAAAGAACAAGACCAAGTCTATAGTTCATGTAACTTTCCACTTCAAAGTGAAATGGAAAATTACACTTGGCTTTTTTCCATTTTTCCAATTTTCGCAAAGGTATTTAAAAATACCAGTCTTCTAAATCACATCTTTCCTTTTTGCTGGGATAAAGTTTGATTTTACTTTTCTACTTAACTCACCCACATTTTAAATAAAGTAATTAAATCATTCAATGAAATAAAAAAACTGCCAATTAATTTACAGACAGATTTAACTGTTTTGATACATACAAAAGTATTACATTTTAAGAGTAATAAAACTCTTAAAATTAAGAGTTTTGTAAACTTAAAGAAGCAGCTTAAAGTGGGAAGAACAATTTGAGAAGAAAAGGATAGGATTTTCCTGTGGGTCACTGGGCTTGTTTTGTAAGTTTGGTTTACAAAATCAATATAACTAATGGCCATTCCTCCAGGAAAGGCTTATTTTTAAAAACTTGTTAAATAACTAACGAGATATGAAAGGGTTCCAAATTTCAAGAGTCATTTAATTGGGTTTGTGGAATTCATAGCACTGATATTAAAACATTGATAGAAAATTTTTAACACCATTTTAGCAGTCTTTTTTTTTAACAGGTAACTAAACTGAGTGATAAATGAAGTGTTTTGTCAAAGAACAAACATCAAGACGTATATCACAGAGACTTTCAATGGTGGAATAAGAAGGGGAGGTCCTGATATTTCATTTACTCCAGCGTACCTGCCATGAACAGTAGTAGATTTGATAATATCCCCAGGTAGGACCACTGAGAGTTCAACGTCTTTATCTATCATGTTTTCTTTCTGTTCCATGATGAAAGCAGTGGATTCTACAGAATCAGCAGCTGAAGAGACATCAGTATATTTGGTCTCAGCTGGAGGAAGTGGTGCCTTGGCTTTTGGTTTTCTCCTAAAATATAAAGAAAACACAAAAAATACAAAATATTTTATTTTTAAGGTAACTTTTTAATATGATGTATTTTTATAAATATGATCTAGTAGTGGTTTTTCACATCTAGAAAAAATGTTCTACAATGTTAACTGTTAGTGTTGGATGGTCGAATTAGGATTTTGTTTTCCTTTTCCAGTCAGCATTTTGTTTTGTTTTGAGTACTATGCCTACATTACTTGGACATAAAAAGAAACATGATAAAGAAATTTTATATTGGCCTCTATTAAATTTAGTTACTGTGTGTTCACTATAGCAAGTCAAGAGGAAAATGTATTTTCTTTGATTAGATAAATTACAAAAATCCTTAATGTTTCAGGATAGAGATCAGTATCTCACTCTCATTTCACAGTAACTCTTACCTTTGGGCCCTTCATCCTATTTGTTTCCGATGTAGTATGTTCCACCTCTCGATTCAGACAAACCCTACCTTATCCTTCAGAGACTAGTTAAATTCACCCTGTTTGCCCCAAACTACCCCTTCCACAGAATTTCTTCCTTCTTTGAATTGATATAGCACATACCAATTCCATAGATGTAACTTTTTAGATCTTTTGGGGGGTACCAGTTTCAACTCTCTACCTACATTTATAACTCCCTGCAAAAAAGAAGCATGAAGCATGCTAGCCAGATGTGGTGGCACACAGCAGAGATTCCAGTTACTCGGCAGACAGGTGGGGGGATCCATTGAGTCCAGGAGTTTGAGTCCAGCCTGCGCAACATGGTGAGACCCTATCTCAAAGAATGAAAGCAAGAAAGCCGCATGGTATGGATGGCTGTATTTCCCACTGCACATAGATGGCTATTTCCCACTGTACCTAGCAATGAACTATGATGGGTTGTTTGATAAATAATATATCTGCTTCAATGAAAAACATTACTAATAATTTTCTAATAAATATTTTTGCATCACTAAGACAACCTCTTAACTAACTTATAACAGAAATAGTAGACATTCTGAACTTACATAGGCCAATCCAATGATTTGATGGATTGAAAAAATAAAATATGAAAATAAACTATAAGTAATGACATATTTATGGTTTTATTTAAAACACTGTGAATTAAAGTTTTTGAAACTATTACCTTTATAAAAGGCTAATTGGTTTTAGAAAAATGAATACTACTCCTTTCCACTCAGAAAAATACAGATTTCAATTCCTCCCATCCTTACTTGCTAGGCAAACATAAGAACCAAACAGGATCAAAAGGCTTCTTTATAAGTAAATATATAACATCCACCTATTCGGTATTTTCAAAATTTAAGGTCTCACAACTCCAACTCCTTTAACATATGACTCATCGTGAAAAGACTGAAGCAAGGTTCCTACAATGTACATTCATTTACTAAAATAACAAGCCCTTAACTCTTAGTGGTATAATAATAGAAACATATTGTACTTCAGAAAAGACTTATTTTACAAGAGCAACAAAACTACATTTTAAAAAACTGTTACAATGAATAAAAGCTTATGAAAATCCCTGTAAAGAAGAATGCCCCCCAATTTCAAATTTCAATTTTTAAATCTGCGGAAATTAACCACTCATGTATAACAAATATTTATTTTATAACAGACAATTATCAGAGCAGATTCAGCTAAACACAGGAAAGGTAAAGATGAGTAAGACTCAGTTCCTATTCCTGAAGGGTTCATCGCCCCAAAGGATTGACAGGCAGGCAAAATTACCATCAAGTTTGATGACTGCTCTAACACAGGTATGCAGATGGTGCAGCTGCGGGTCACAGGAAGAAAACACAACTTTCTTAGGAATCCAGAAATGTCTTACAGATGGGAAACATGAGCTGGGTTTTGGAGAATGAATAGAAACACACAGAAAAAGGCAAGAAATAACTGATATTTTTGGCAGAGGAAAGTTAATAGAACCATAAAAGAAAATGGTAATTTTTGGAATTAAATGGTTTGGTAAAATTGCACAGAGAAGTCAAAAGAGATGAGAAATCAGCGAATCGACTGAAACATTTTATAAGTAAGAGAACTCAGTAAGGTAGGTTGGCACAAAGTTCATATATGAAAGTGTCAATAGCCTACCTAAATATCAGCAAAAACTCATCAGAAAGTACAATGAAAGAAAAAGTAACTTTGGTAATAGCAACAAAAATGAATTTTAAAAAGACTCTCCAAGTATTCCCATCTCAGTCAATCACATTTCTTTCATTTGTCCAGACCAAAAATCCTTGTTCTCATAAACATACATCTAATCCATCTACAAATTCCGCCAGCTCTATATCATAAATAGACCCAGAATCCACCAACCACCTGGATCACCAAATACCTCTGCTCAAGCTGCCAACTGGTGTCCCTGCTCCCAACCTTGTCACTTCATAATCTAGTCTCAACGAAACAACCAGAGTGATCTTTTTAAAATACAAGTTAGAAGACTAAACTTTCAGGGGTCATTTCTATAGTTCATTACTAGAGAAGTTTCTCTGAATGTGTGGAAAAATAAGTCAATAAAATAATAAAATAAAATACAAGTCAGCTCACTGCCTCACTTCTCACATTCTCCAATGGTTTCTTGCCTCAACCAGAAAAGATCTGGAGTGCTATACAAATGTTCCTCTACTTACGATGGGATTACAACCTGATAAATCCACCCTAAATTGAAAATATCAGTCAAAATGTACCAAATACCCCCAATAAACCCATCACAGAATCAGAAAATCATAATTCAAACCATCATAAATCCAGATGTCCCTCAATTTATGACGAGGTTACATTCTGACAAACCCACAATAAAGTTGAAAAATCATACATCAAACCATCGCAAGCAGGAGACCATCTGTAATAGGTCCTTCCTTCCTCCCTTACCTCCGGCCTCTCCAGTCCCCTATCTAACACTTTCTCCCTAGGATCACTGCATTCCAATCTCAGGACTCTTGCCTTTTCCTTGAACACATCCAGAATACCAGGCCCTCTACAGAGTCTGCTCCTGACCTTAACACCCCCATCTCTCTGCTTTACTTTTGGCCACAGGGTTAATGAGCAACATACTTATGTCTCCTTCTGTTAAAGGGTAATTAATTCCATGAGAGTAGGGACTTGTCTCTACCACCTTGTCCACACATTTGCAAATACACAGAATCTCTGGGACCATGCCTGCCATGTAGTAGGCACTGATACTTGCTGAAAGAGTGAATTCAATGACTACTTTCCACAGAAGATGCACTACCTAAGCCTAAAACTGGGAAGGAAAAGAGTCCTTACCACCAAAAAATAAAATGAGCTTTCATTTCAGGATTACTTGTCTGGGATTTTTTTTTTAAAATTAACTGATTATGTTTTATTTTTTACAAGATGAATGAAAAATACACACTGGATTTATTAGCAAGGGATAACTGACAACTTTGTAATTCTGGGGAAGCATTCCCTGTCTACTGCACACTGCAGTGAACTCCTCTCACTCACAGTTTTGATGTCTGTGTGTGACAGTTTTACTTCCTCAGGTAGTTTGTATCTATGATGAAAATCCATCTCTAATCACTATACATAAGCCAATTTCTTTTAAGATGGGGAAAGTAGGACAAAGCGCTACTTGAAAAACCATTCACACAGAACTTTTTTTTTAAGACAGGGTCTGGCTCTGTCACCTAGGCTGGAGTGCAGTGGAACAATCTCAGCTCACTGCATCCTCTATCTCCCAGGTTCAAGCGATTCTTGTGCCTTAGCCTCCTGGGTAGCTGGGACTACAGGCACATGCCCAGCTCATTTTTGTATTTTTACTAGACACCAGGTTTTGCCATGTTGGCCAGGCTGGTCTTGAACTCCTGACTTAAGCAATCCTCCCACCTCAGCCTCCCAAAGTGCTGGGATCACAGGCATGAGCCACCACACTGGGGCATTTACATTAGACTTCTAGGAAAAACATCCTAATGTTCTCAGTTGTTATTTCAATTTAATAATGTATTTGTAACTTTTGTTCCTGAAAAATGGAAAGCAATGTGAATAAGACCAAGATCCTTCCACAGTGAATGTGCAATACAACCGAGAAGATGCAATGCATAATTACATAATACAAAACGAAAAAGAAGGGTCATCAAACAGATGGCAACTTTGAAAATTTAGGTCAGTGAAAGCCAGCTGAGACCAGCTGTGTGTGGTGGGGAGCAGGATCAAGGCATGCTTCAAAGAGAAAAGACAAGAGACTCAGGTCTTGAAAGAAAAGTAGAATTTTGATAAGCAGAGCCTGTAGGGTCAATTATATGTTAGTTCCCAATTGTGATCCATACACATTAAATTTAGGAATGTGTTTATCCAGTTTGCTTACTACATAGTCCAGTCTAGTGAAAAGAATACCAGATGGAAGCCTGGATTTGGCCTGAATCCTAAGTAGCTTTAAGACTTTAACTTATTTGACCTTTTAGTCACCAGCAAAATTTTGAAAATATCTTTTACCTACTCACATTCTCCTAACATTAATTTTTTGGTCAGAGGCTCCGAAGTAATAACAAAATTGTCACCCAAAGTTAAAAGTACAGTGAAAATAATCAAATGTGTGTTATCATCTAAATATAGGAAATTCTGATAATATAAACTAAAGAGAAAAATGTAACATTAACATTCAATAACAACTATACTTAAGAATACTAAGTTTTTAAAATATTTAAATATTTAAAAATCACAGTAACTGCCATTGAAGCCTCCTCACCCCTTTTAAACGGGAATGTTTCAACCAGTTTTCTTATCAAATAGATTTTCACATATGCTTTTCTTCACCGGTGGCCTTGTTTGACTATCAGTCTACTCTTTAGAGGCTTTTCCCCTTAACAGTAAACAACAGCAAATTTCACATAAGGGTAGGTGGAGAGGAGGTTATACTGGAAAGATATTTATAATAAGAAAACTCCCCCACATCAGGGCAAAAATTCATTATTCAAGCTTAAAAATAACAAGCTACAGTAAATTATTGCTTATGCAAATCATTGCTTTATTAAAATTATCTCAATATTATACTCAATTTTAATAATGAGAATTAAGGCAAAATTTGCATTATTCAATAATATATTTTGATAATATCATAATCTCATTTTAACACCGAATTCAATTAGTGTCCTACTATTACTGCTGATTGGTCTTTTTATCATTTTGATTTACAGGGCACTCCAAAATCATGTGCCCACTGTAATCATTACTCCATTACTGTCAATATAATATCCTTAAAATAGATAAAAAGAGGAAATAAAAGAGCTCAGCAAAACATAATTCTAGTCTTGATTTGAAAAAGCAAAGGTTTAAAATGCTGTATGAGATATACTTACATCCTTAATAAGCTACTCAACTCCAATGGGCTCTCATCAGTTTGCTGTATTTATCATATTTATAAAGTATTCTTATAGATTCATTCAGAAAAGTGCTATACAAAAAATATGGCTTCAATATTAAATACAAAAATATGAGTGAATTCTCAGTCTTAAAACAATAGGGTTTTTAAGTATTGCAGTCTAAAGACCAAAAATAAATTTAACAGTAACCCTCTCTCAGCACAAAGAGGGCAATCAAACATAGATAGGATTTATTGTGGTAAGTGTTGATGAGGCAGTCCTTCAAAATAACTGGCAGTGTTTTGATGGCCACTAAAGTATGTATTTCAATTATAAATTGAAGACCAATTTCTCAACACGATTTCTCAGTTTCTCTGTCTGGGTTTAATGAAACAACAGAAGAATTTTTTAAACAAGATTTGTTCAGAAGTGGGCATAACATTGTATTATGTGCTCAAGAGAATACAATTAAAAACAATAAAGCCCTTTTTTCTTGATGAGCCTAATTTCAAATAGTGAGTATGTCAAAAGGGCTTGAAAAGATATGCAATAATGAAAATCGACAAGGAGAAACCCAAAACATTATATGACTCTCATATTACATTTTTTTTTTCTCAAGGTTGCCAATAACCTATGAGGGTCCAAATCATAGACAACTGTCTGTCTCATCTTGGTCACACTGAGCACTATTTCACAGCCACTCAAGTCCTCTGTGAGGGATTGTCTTCCCTTGGCTTCTTCATGTGGGCACACAATCTACTGTTTCTTCCTTCTTCACTGCCACTCCTCAGTCTCCCCATCCTCACCTCCTCTGATTTCTAAATGTTGGGGCAACCCAGGGTCCATTCTCTGCCTTTTTCTCTTCTTTCTACAACCTCCACCTCCAAGAGACTTCATAAAAGCCCATGGCTTCAAATATCACTATATGTCAGTGGCCGTCAAATTTACATCTCCAACCTGACTTGTTTATTGAGCTCTGACTTTTATTCCCAACAATCTCATGGTTATCTCCATTTGGATGTCCCATAGGTATCTCAAATGTTCTATAACCAAAACTTGATTCTCCTCTTCATCTCTAATCCTCATTCTCACACAAACCTACTCTATATTATTCCCCATCTCTACAAATGGCTCCACTAACCACCCAGTTAACTCAAGCAAAAAAACTCCAGCAGGCATACTTTAATTCCTCTCTGTCCTTTATCTCCTATTTCCAATCTGTTAACAATTCCCCTGGGATCTAAACTCTAAAACATATCCTGAACTTCTATACTTTTCACCAGCTCCCTGCTACCACCCTGGTAATCAAGGCATCATCTTTTCTTGCCCAAACTGCTTCAAAAGCCTTTTCACTGGTCTCTCCTGTTTCTCCTCTTGTCCCTTAAAATCTATTCTCCCCTGTAGTAGTCAGAGTGAACTTTTAAATATGTATGCCATTAGGTCAGTGGGGGAGAAAAACAAGAAAGAAGACATAAATCAGATCACATCTCTCTAATCCTTCACTGGCCTTCCAATGCATTGATGAACCCAAATTCTTTTCCTTGGCTTGCAGGCCCCAAATGAGCTAGCCTGGTGGTTCTCAAAGTATGGTTTCAGAGCAGCAGCCATAGTACTTGGCTGCCGCACCCCTGAGACAGACATAATCAGAAACATTAAGGGCAGGGCCTTACAATCCACATTTGACAACTCTCCAAGTGATTCTGATGTATGCTAAAGTCTGAGAACCAATGAGACAACCTCAGCGCCCCTCTTGTTACTCCCAGTTTCAATGCCCCATGTAATTCACACTGGCATTCTTTCCTGAAATAGACCCAGTCTCTTCACATCCAAGAGCCTTCCATAGCTTTGCCCTCGGTCCAAAATGCTTTTAACCAGAAAACTTCAAATTGCCTGCTCCTTGAGGTCATTCAGAATTCAGATAAAATATTTCCTCCTCTTAGAGGTATTCTCTAACCACTCAAAAAAGGTACCAAGGCACACCCCACCCATCGTGGCCCACTCTTCACATAGCCCTGCTTGGTCCCCATCACATTTATCACTATCTGAAATCATCCTGCTTATTTACTTATTTCCTTGTTTTTTATTTGACCCCAGAATAAAAATTCCTGGAGGGCTGGGACGTGGCCTGTCTCATTCTCTGCTGGCACCTAGAACTATAACTGGCACAAGATGGGGTTCTCTATGAGCATTTTTTTTTATTTAGTTGAGGAAGGAAGGGAGGGAAGGTCATATTAGTTTCATCAGTTCATAGGAGAGCAAAAACTTGGTGGGTTGCTGAGAGTCAACCTGTTCTGTAGCCAGAGGTATAAGAAGTCATTCAAGTCATTCATGAATATCTACTGCTAAGTCCTTTAAAGGTGCTTTTGGTCTACATTTAATCTTATGAGGCCATTGCCACTGCCATTTAGCTGGGGTTTACAGAGGTTTAAGAAATTTGCCCCAAAGCGCATAGAACATGGGACAATTACAAATGAAAACCCACCAAATCCCCCCGCCAATAACCCTAGCAAAGGCCACCCAAATAACTCCCAGTGTTTAAATAAGCCCCAAAGACATGCACATGGATAAAAGATCTCAATCCTCAGGAAGTTTCTAAATGGTTTTCCTATTTGGGGAAGGGATTAAATTGGGACTGACAAAATTTTAGATTGTATGAAGACTCCCTCATTTTGCCCAGACGCTCGGTAATTTGCCTGAAGCCATGTAATCTGTGGGACAGGACTCAAATCTGTAGCTTCCTTTGACCAATGAGAATTATGATTAATATCAGAAAAGAATAATCTAATTTTTCATTTTTAGGAATGGGACTCAACTTTCAGTTATACTTGGTATAATGTACCAAGCAAAGAGGCAGTGGCATATTCACATCAAAGAAGCACATATGGAATGCTAGTGTCATGTCCCAACAGTAAAAGCCAAACAGAACACAAGAAAAAGTAGTTTCTATCCAGTATCAACAGCAGCTAATCCTTGAGTGTTGACTGTGTGTTAGAAAATGTTTTTTACCTGCACTAACTCGTGTCCTTACTACACTATATGAAGCAAGTGCTGCCACCTCCACATTCCAGATGAGGGTGACATGCAGACAGATTAAGGAACTTGCCTAAGGTTCCTTAGCCAGTAAGTGGTGGAGCTGAAATTTAAACCCAAGGTGTCTGATTCTGAAGTTGGTGCTCTTTACTACCACATTACATCATTTCTTTGAGATCTTAAACATTCATCAAAATAAACAAAAACAACAAGTGAATGAGCAAAAGCCAGGTAGTGAAGGAGAAAAAAATATGTGGTTATTGAATATCTTCTAAGTCCTGTACAGGTGCTTTTTGTCTACGTTTAATCTTATGAGGCAGTTACCACTGCCATTTAGTTGGGGTTTACAGAGGTTTAAGAAATTTGCCCAAAAGCACAGAGAGCATGGGACAACTACAAATGAAAACCCACCAAATCCACTCCCCACTACCCAATAACCCTAGCAAGGGCCATAAGCCTCAACATTTAAACAGGAAGGCAGATACCAGATGTACCCATACCCCAGCCCTACCACTGAGACAGCTACTTCCCCAGGTGAGGTTGGAGAAACAATATACTGGACATCAAAAGGCCTGGGAGTATCCTAAATGGCCACTTGTGTTACCGTAAGTAAATCACTTAATTTCTCTGGCCTTCCATTTTCTCATTTACAAAATACAGGTATTGAACAAGATGATCCCATGCCCCTTTACCTCTGACATAAAATATTTATGCACAATTTTGTTTAGAAACTGGAAATGGAGACAAGATAGTTAGGACTAGGGTCAAGGCAGGGCACAGTGGCTGCACTAATTTACAAGTAGCATTTGGTTGAAAGAGTCACATGGACAGGACGCCCATTCCCAGGGAGTTCTTCCTATGCTGAGAACACTTCTGCTCCTGGTCAGGAAAGGGTCTCCTCTGAGGCTCACAGGAAACAGAAGCCTGGAAAATGGGATCCATTTCCAAGTGCTTTTCTCTCTCTTGGCATTCACACTAGGAAAAAATGATAAAGGGAATGGCAAACCCAAAAGAAAATTTTGAAAAGCTCTTGTTTCAGTCTCCCACACTCAATTATTTTACATTTCAACACCTGGAATACCAAGTCCCTACCACAAGCCATTCATCACTTCAGGCTTTCTGCCCCCATAGCACCTCCACTTAAGTCTGACCAATAATCCATAGTCCCATCAATTACATCCCATGTTTCTGCCACCTTAAATCTCTCTCTCCAAGGTGCACAAACAAAAAAAAAAAATGCAGAGATTTCTATTATCTTAAATACGACTTGCCTGCTTCTTCCAAGTACTCTTTCAAGTACCTTGTCATTACCCGCCTTTCTTTTGCAGCAAAACTTCTAGGACTCTGCTGTCCAATATGGCGGCCATGTAGCTACTGAGCACTTGAAGCATAATTAGTGTGACTGAGGGACTACAGTTTTAGTTTATTTAGTTTTAATTTGAATTTTAAAACTGATACTTGATTCAGTTACTGGAAAATGTTTAAGTATATTTGGGATAAGTTGAGTATGGGAATTTTTTTTTTTTTTTTTTTTAAGACAGAGGCTCACTCCGTCACCCAGGCTGGAAGGCAGTGGTACGATCTCAGCTCACTGCAACCTCAGCCTCTTGGGTTCAAGCAATTCTCGTGCCTCAGCCTCCTGAGTAGCTGGAAGTATAGGCATTCATTACCATGCCCAGCTAATTTTTGTAGAGACAGGGTCGCACCACGTTGGCCAGGCTGGTCATGAACTCCTATCCTCAAATGATCCACTTGCCTCGGCCTCCTAAAGTGCTGAAGTTACAGGTGTGAGCCACCGTGCTGGCCCAGAATCTATTTTTTCAAGTATAAATTTCATGACATCTAAATACAGATCGGGTATTTCCAATGAAAATATAACATCTGAGTTGAGAAGTGCTATAAGTGTAAAATACACACTATATTCCATAGACTTAGTAAAAGGTATTAAATATCTATTGGTAATTATTGTATGCTGACTACATGTTAAAATAATATTTTTATATACTCAGTTTAAGGAAATACATTTACCATGGTGGGCCTTCTCTAAGATGATGTCCAATGACTGCTTCCTTGTGCAGTCTCCTCCCTTTGTACGTGGGCTGGACTTAGTGACTCACTTCCAGTAAATAGAATGCAGCAACAGTGATTGGCTGTCATTTCTGAGATTAGGTTACGAAAAGACCATGGTGTTATTTTAGGTACCCTCCTGCTCTGAGAGAATCCAGCTGCCCTATGGGGAGTCCCATGTGGCAACTGACATCTCAGGCCAATAGTCACAAGAGTGAGCTTGGAAGCAAATCTCTCCCCAGTAAAGACTTGAGCCCCAGCCTACACCTTGACTGCAGTCTCATCACTCAACCAGCAAACTAGAGAATGACAGTTCTACATACACGCTGTACCTGAGTTTCAGTTTCAGGTGATTTGACGTACTCGCTGTTCTAAAGCACTGCTCCTGGCATCACCTACATTTAGAGCACATCGTCTTTGCAATCCAAGAACCTTTCTTGTTTTACACAGAAGTCTATTTTAAATTCTTTTAGGACCTTGTCTATATTTAAAGGAAACATGTAAATCCTTTTGTTCAATAATTAGCTATGATGATCTATCACACCCATCTCTGTGTGACAATGAAGTAGAGCAAATCCAAAGACAAGACACAGGTTTCCGGCTGGGTGCAGTGGCCCACACCTGTAATCTCAGCATTTTCGGAGCCCATGGCAGGAGGATCACTTGAAGCCAAGAGCCTGGATGACATAATAATACTTCATCTCTACCAAACAAATTTAAAAAATAGCCTGGCATGCTGATATGCACCTCTAGTCTCAGCTACTCGGTAGGCTGAGCCGGGAGGATCACTTAAGCCTGGGATGTCAAGGCTGCAGTGAGCCACGATTGTGCCACTGCACTCCAGCCTAGGTGACAAAGCAAGACCCTGTCTGCAATAAATATATGAAAATTTTTTTAAATGTTGTTTTTAAAGACACAGGTTTCCCTCTAGCATGTAGAGTATGGCAGAAAGAGTAAAGACGTAGCCAAGTGACTAGCACAATGCAGGAGTGAAATACCCCAGGGTACCTTGTGCATAGTTTCCAAAGTACATCACCTTATCCACCAGAAAAATTTTTTGAGTCAAAAACCATTAACATAATTTTGCCATTTTTGATTAGTACATTACCTTCTGCATAGTATGTTCAATTAATTCTTAAAGAATGAATCTACTTAAATATAGTTTCATTAGGTTGATTTTTTGTTGTTATACCTCTCTCAAATCTTCCCCTTTTACTACTTTTAAGGAACATAGCAATTATGTAAAGTGGGCCACAGGACACAATAGAACCTCTTTGTATCATTAGACCTTTGAGAATAAGGTTAGCATGAGTAGATGAAGCTTTATTGTAATTTAGTTGTCATATACCCAGAAAGACATAACCTGCTCTGTGTTCTAACTCATGTAATAAAAGGGTCATGTAGGTAATGACAGGATTCTTTAAATTTAATTTAGCTCGCAACTCAAAAGCTGTTATTTCTTAAATGAAATTAGATAGTTCACTTGCTTCTAAATGCCCTTTTAAATTCATGTAAACAAATGGACAGTATTTATCATCCTGCCATACTTTTCATGTATATATAAAAAATCACTATGCTGTGCAAGGGTGGTTCCCAAATACATCTTAGAAGTTGTTCTGCCTCATGCTTAGTTATCATTTCAGACCTTTAATAGACATAGGGCCAGCTTTTGTTCACCTTACTCTAAATACATTCTATACATATAGTACACACATACAAATGTGTGAGTATACATACGTGCGTATAGTGTGTATATGGCAGCATGAGAGAGAGAGAGAGAATGAGGGAGGGAGGGAGGGAGAGAGAGAGAGAGAGCAAGAGTGAGGGAATGTGCTAGTGAGCACCATGAGCACTTATTTTCCTTTGGCTTTCACTAGAGGTCTATTCCAAATTCACTTGCCAAGTAACTTTTCCTGAAGCAACTCTTATTCTCCTATTCTAAGCAGATATGTACTCCAGTAGAAAACATATGACTCCTAAAAATACTTGTGGTGAGGAAAAGTTTAATATTCACTATGATAGCCAGTTACTGAGATGCTAAGTAACATAATTCTCTCTCTCCATTCCCCCTCTACTCATCATCTTCAGGTAATTTCCAGGGAAATTTCTTTAACATTTAGTAATATCCTAATAATATTTTCAATTCCAAAACCCTGGTTTCTATTTTTTGTTTTGCTTATAATATCTAAAATAGTTAAAAAATGGCAAAATATATTTTTATAAAAGTTGATAGAGTAATAGTTTATTCCTAAGCAGCATCTCTAAGTCAATAAACTTATTCTAGTATCTATAAATTTAAAATAAGTGCTTTAGATAATCGTTGTATAACTTGGCCTTCACTGTTTTTGGTGGGGACATGTGGGCGATACGGCAGGGAGAAAACAAAAATATCTAGCTCACTAAATACATACAGTGTAATCTTCCAGTGACAACATTAATGCATTCCAGAAAGGCACAGGGTAATAAAAAAAGATACACACTTGCAAAAAGGAAAAAAAATCTACATACTAATCACCAAGAGTTATTGATAAAAATCAAGATTCAGAGTCAGAGATCGTGGTTTGTGTCTGGGTCTGCACAAATTAGTTATTAGGTCATTTGATCTCACTGGAACTTGAATTGCAAAACTGGAATAACACTTCCTGCCTCTCAAGGTTGCTGAGAGGGTTAAATGGGTAAGGTATATTCATTGTCTAGCACAATGGTTCTCAAACTTGGTTGCACAATGGACCCACCTACATTTAAGAAAATACTGAGGCCTAGGTGTCACTTTCAGAGATTCTGATTTAATTGGTTTGTGAGGATTTTTAAAAATCTCCCCAAGAGATTCTAAAGTGCAGCCAATTTTGAGAACCACCGGTCTCATATAATGCCTAGCACACTATTAAGTATTCAGTTAGACTTAATGATATACCTTCATTGGAACTTTATAAACTCTAATACACACATAAAGGCTTCTACCTAGTTCAATCACATTTATGTAAATAAATGTTCAATAAATGTTTATGTAAATAAATGTTCAAAAAATAAATGTTCAATCACATTTATTCACTCAGGATCAGTGAATAAAACATATCTTAAAAGTAGTCCATAAGTTTAATAATAAGTGTTTCAAATTTAAATCCCTGTTACATTTTTGTTTCCTTTTATCAAAGAGGAAAATTCCTCATGAAAGAAACAAAAATGATCTTTTACTTTATATTTTTTACTGAGATACAATTTACATAAGAAAATGCACAAATAGAAGTGAATAGAATTTTACATATATACACACACACCTCTCTCTGTCTGGGTTTCTCTCTCAAGGAGTCACCAACACAGACCAAGATATGGGATGGGAAAATATAACTACAAAGTAAAAATTAAATATTAGACCAGGCGTGGTGGTTCATGTCTACAGTTTCAGCTACTTGGGAGCCTGAGGTGGTAGGATCACCTGATCCTGGGAGGTCAAGGCTAGAGTGAGCCAAGATCATGCCACTGCACTCCAGCCTGGGTGACAGTGAGACTCTGTCTCAAAAAATAATAATAATAATAATAAAATATTAAATTTCTTATATATGTCCCATAAATAAGAAATTTCAGTTTGTCTCTGGGTTTTCCTAAATATCTTACAGGGGATGTTTACTTTTTGAACAGTTATGAAAGTCAAACTTTCTTAACAAGAAAAGGGAACAAGATGAGAAAAACATCTTGGGGAAAAATATGAGAAAAACCTTCAGCAGAAATAGCTATATCAAAGGAGGAGATATAAAATTAATGTAAACAAACGAGCGATTTGAGAAAACAGACTTAAAAGAAATATCTACAATGAGTCACAAGACAGTCAACAACATTTACTGGGCACCCACTGTGTACTTAGTGCTATATAAAGAAATTGTGAGCAGATTAAAGAAATACCATATGAGGCCCTCAGATACCAATAACTTAAAAATGGAATAAGTCCAACTAAACAATGGCAAAGATGTCCTAAATGCACTCTAGGAAAAAACTCTACATTAACTGAATGCTTATCTAGTTGCAGAAACTATGCCAAATGTTTTATATATATAATCCCCTAACAAATACTACCCTTTTTTGAATAGAACCCTAAAATAATTCATAAACATTTATAGAAATGACCAAATAACTTCTCTCAATAACAAACCCAAACCACAAAACCATGTCCCAATGCTCACTTATGATTCCAGTCATTCTTGCACAACTTTCTGCCCATACAAGTGTCAGCAGCAGCTGGACTCAACATCATCTACTGAAAGCTTCCTTTGCACTTGTGTTTGTTGCCTTGCAAGCAACATATATGGGAGAATCACTGTGGTTTAGAAAAATTAGTCCAAAAAAGGTCATAAAAATGTGACTGACACTACAATTAAATTTTTTTTAATGATTAACAAAAATATGAGAAGAGAGAACTATGTGAAACTCTGACCTCTTTTTTCTTTGGCACATAGAAATTAAGTATAAAAGGCCTTATTACAAATATATATTTCTACTTTAAAAAGGTTAAATTATTATTCAAAAAATTTGAAGAAAAAGTTACTCATTAAAAACAAAATTATCTGTGGATTTTTTAAAATTTTACTATACTTGCTCTCTGAAGCAATAAATATAGAAAAAAAAGTTCTCCACCAAAGGAAGTTAAAAAGTTTTAGTTGATTTTTTTTTTAAATTTCAAACACACACTAGGTTAGAAACCTAGCATTTAAAACATTAAATGTGAGAGTTATAATTATTAAAATATATGCACATACACATATTAAAGAGTGGGAATGCATGTCAGCCAAGCAAGCCCACTGGTAGATCAGCCAACCAAACAATAAAACCAAAAGTTGCTTTCAAGTCACAATGTGAATAACATACTCTCAAATATGAACTTGGGTAAATATTAAACATCGTTGAGTTATCAGACTCTGTTAAAATTTTAAATTCATGTTGGGGTAAACCTATCATTCACCACATACTGATAAAGAAAACTCCCTGAAATAAATTTGCCAAAATAATTTTCCTAGTTACAGGTTTTGACAAATACTAGCTAAAAGAACTATTTGGACATAGTATCTCAAACAGAGTTTAGAAATACTAAAATCAAAAGTAGCACATTATTCAAAAATTACCTTAAATTGGATCTAAATTTAAAACATAAACTTAAAAAATTTATAGATAAAAACATAAGAAAAAAATCTTTGGGAACAAAAGTTAGGCCATAGGATTAGCTATGACATCAAAGGCACAATCCATAGATTTAGTATACATATATGTATATAAAAAAATTTGACTTCATCAAAAATTAAAAACTTCTGTTCTGTGAAAGACCCTATTAAGGGGATGAAAACGCAAGCCACAGACTGGGAGAAAATATTTGCAAGTCACATATTCAGCAAAAAGACATATCTAGCATATACAAAGAACTCTCTAAACTCCATAGCAAGAAACAATCCAGCCATGAGATGGAAAAAGGTGTAAACTCGTTACCAACGAGGGTACACGAATGGCAAATAGACACACAAAAATAGGTTTAACAACATTATCTATTAGGAAAATGCAAATTAAAGCTATGATGATCTACCACTACACACCTAAATTTTAAAATACTGGTAATACCAAGTACAGACAAGAAAGTGGAGAAACTGGCTCTCTCATATGTGGCTTGTATAATGTGAATGCAAAACGGTGAAGGCCACTCTGGGAAGCAATTTGGCACTGCCATATAGAACTAAACATACACATAACGTATGACCCAGTAATCTACTCCTAGGTATTTGCACAAGAGTAGTGAAAACTTATATTCACAAAAACCTCTACATGAATGTTTCTGGCTGCTTTCTTCATAAAGACCCAAACTGGAAACAACCCAAATGTGCTCCCATGGGAGAAACAATAAAAAACTATGATGCATCCATACAACAGAAAACTACTCAGCAATAAAAATCAGCAAAGTTTTGATACATTCAACTCGGATGGATCTCAAGGGTACTAGGCTGACTGAAAAAAGACAGTCTCAAGGAGTTACATACTGTATGGTTCTGCTTACGTAAGAGTCTCAAAGGGACAAACTTCAGGTCACAGAAAACAGATCAATGGCAGCCAAATTTGGAGGCATGATGAGACTATTAAGGGTTAACATGAGGGAGTTTCTTTGTGGTGGTGAAGAGTTCTGTACTCTGATAAAGAATGGTGCAGTTACATAAATCTACACATGTGGCAAAGTTTCATAGAACTATAAACCTAAATCAACAAACATAATGATTATAGAATGCATGTAAAAAGCTGATGAAATCAGAATAAGGTCTGTACCTGTGTTAATAGCATTAGTATCGATGTCACTTCCTTGGTTTTGACAACATACTACCATTATATATGATATTATTATTGGGGGAAAGCTAGAAGAAGGGCACAGAGAAACTTTCTGCACTATTTCTGTAACTTCTTTCAAAGAAAACTAGTAAAAAAATAAAAGTTACAATAAAAATATATCTAAGGTAGTGATTCTCAAAATTTGGTAGATATTAGAATCACCTATGGAACTTGTTTATAACACATGTTGGCTTCAGTTCGTACCTATTTAAAGTAAACCTGTATACAGGGTCCAGGTAATATACGCTGATAATCTAGCACATTACAGTTTGAAACCACCGAACTAAAATAAAGGCAAAGATATTGGAAAAAATGATGATCCCCATCAATAACTGTTGTTCTATTTAATGGCTAATTACTAAAGAAGTCCTACCCACACAAGACCTCATTCCCAGATTATATAACTGAGTCAAGAAGCTGTCACAGATACAGCAAAAGACATGCAATGATGTTATGGATCTATTTAATAATGCAAATACTGGCCAGGCACGGTGGCTCATGCCTGTAATCCCAGCACTTTGGGAGGCCAAGGCGGGTGGATCGCCTGAGGTCGGGAGTTCGAAACCAGCCTGACCTACATGGAGAAACCCTGTCTCTACTAAAAATACAAAATTAGCTGGGCATGGCGGCACATACCTGTAATACTAGCTACTCGGGAGGCTGAGGCAGGAGAATCACTTGAAGCTGGGAAGCAGAGGTTGCAGTGAGCCAAGCTCGCATCATTGCACTCGAGCCTGAGTAACAAGAGCGAAAGAGCCAAGCTCGCATCATTGCACTCGAGCCTGGGTAACAAGAGTGAAACTCCATCTCAAAAAAAAAAAAAATGCAAATGCTGTTAGTCATAACACATCTGATAATACAGAAGTGAAAACACTGACATAAGAAAAAAAACCCATGCTGTGAAAACAAAGGTGTGTAGAGAAAATATATCCTCAATAAGACACAGGCGTCACATATTTAAAATGTCTATTATAGGCCTTTATCTATGCTTTTATATGAAATAATTATTGTTGGCAAATCATAAACAAAAATAAGCATCGAGGCACTTGATTTAAAAGTTTCCTTTGTTCGATATAATTCATGAAAAGATCAACCTAAATATTACTCCATATACAACACAGTAAGAGTTAAAACCCAAGAAGTTTCCAAATCTTCACTCAAATTCTCTCCTAACAGGATGTCCACAGGAACATACAGGTATACAATTTTCACATTTATATTAGGCAGCTCTATGCCAAGTACCTACCAGGCCCTTTTCACCTTTTCTCAGCAAAGAATGAATCACAGTTTTTCCACTATCTCCCTGCCATCTCATAAGAGAAGTAGCAATGCAACTAGAGAATAAATCAAGTCTTAGATCATCATTTCTGAAAGGCTGCTAATCTCTAACTTAAACCGTTCCTATAACCTCTGAAATGCTAGCTCATTTGCTCTTCACTCTGTGGAAAAATAAGTTCTTTTGGATGAAAAATTATGGTCATTATGTGATTATGCTCAAATAGTTCAGCTGATTAATACTAGCCTCAAGTGAATCCATAATTATAGGCTTAATCCTTCCTTATAGGGCTATTTAACCTGACCATGCTCTTTGGCCACAGGTGACAGTGCCAACCACTGAGCTAGAAAAAAAGTGAGTATCACTGGGCAAAATAAAAGTCAACTGAGCATGTGTGTTTGAAGGAGGACAAGTCTATGACAACTCAAAGTACTTTCAATGTAAGTTTGGCCAGTAGTAGCATCTACTGTACCACAGATGAAATAATCCAATATACAGTGTCCTGAACTAACCAGGAGAGGTAGTGGGGAACTAGAAAAGAGTGCTGGATTACAAGACAGTATACTTCAGTTCTAGTATCAATCCAACATATACTGAGCTGTGTCTCAGCTGTCTCGTTTAATCAATATATCAAATGTATAGTGTATTATACGAGAACAAACTAGCTAGCCTGGTAAAAGCATCTGATCATCTTAAATCACTTGCATTATTAAAAACAGCATAAGGTAAGTGTGAACAAACTATGGCCTACAGGCCAAGTTAAGCCTATCATCCTTTTTTTTTTTTTTTTTTGAGACGCAGTCTTGCTCTGTCACCCAGGCTGGAGTGCAGTGGTGCGATCTCGACTCACTGCAAGCTCCGCCTCCAGGGTTCAGGCCATTCTCCTGCCTCAGCCTCCCGAGTAGCTGGGACTACAGGCGCCTGGCACCACGCCCGGCTAATTTTTTGTATTTTTAGTAGAGACGGGGTTTCACCATATTAGCAAGGATGGTCTCTATCTCTTGACCTTGTGCTCCGCCTGCCTCGGCCTCCCAAAGTGCCAGGATTACAGGCTAGAGCCACTGCGCCTGCCCGCCTATCATCCTTTTTTAAAAAAATAAAGGTTTGCTGGAACATGAACATGCTCATTTGTTTACATATAATCTATGAGTGCTTTCACACAATAACAGAGTTGAGTGGTTGTGACAGAGACCTTAGAGCCTGCAAAGTCTAAAATGTTTACTGTCTCGCCATTTATAGGAAAAGCTCACTGATTCCTGGCATAAAGGGTCACATTTCCAATAAAGTCACCGTACAATTTTAAAATCCTTAGTTTTATGCAAAAATATACTTCGTACGTATCAGGTTTGAAAAAAATGTCTTTTTTCTTTTTTTTTTGTTTGAGAAAAAAATGTAAAAAATTTGTCAACACACACTATAGGTATGGTTGGGAAAAGAAGCACTCTCATACCTTGCTGGTGGGAGACCAAAATGGAGGAATTTTCCCTATAGAGAAATATTTAGCAATAACTAACACAATCAAATACGTAGTTACCCTTTGGCCCAATAATCCTACTACCAGGAAGTTATCCCAAAGACACACCAGCTTATGGCTTATGCGAAAGGTTAGTTCTTGCAGCATTTTTGAAAACAAAAGACTAGAAACAAACCAAATATCCATGAAGTATAGACTATATCAAATTATGGTACATCCACTTGATAAAGTATTATGCAATCATGAAAAGGAATGAAAAAGATCGCACACATTCATGACTGGAATATATTATCAAATGACATAAAGAAAATAAGTGCTTTTAGTATACTATCTTTCGATAAAAAGTAGATGGGGTTCTATATGGAATATAATAGAAACAATGTCAAGATAAAAATAAAAATGATTACGTGGGAGAAAAGGAATAGGGATGAAAGTTAGATCTCTACAAATGTATCTTAAAATTTTGCCTTTAAAGATTAAATGTTTTTAAATAACAGCTTTTCTTTTTCTTTATGTTTGAGACAGGGTCTCGCTCTATCATCCAGGCTGGAGTGCAGGGGCGTAACTGTGGCTTACTGCAGCCACGACCTATTGGCTCAAGAGATCCTCCTGCCTCAGCCTCCAGAGTAGCTGAGACTACAGGCATGTGCCACCACATCTGGCTAATTTTTTTGTTTGTTTAGTAGAGACAGGGTCTCACTATGTTTATCAGAGTGGTCTTGAACTGTTGGCCTCAAACAACCCTCCTGCCTTGGCCTCTCAAAGTGTTGGGATTACCAGGCGTGAGCCACCACACCCAGCTAGCTTTTCTTTTTTATATGCTTCTAGTGTGATATATTCTAAAGACAAAAACACTAAAAATTTTAAAACTGTAACCAGTTGTCTTACTATTAGTAGTAATTTTAACAAATATTATTTTGAAACTATAGTATTTCATATAATTGTAAAATAAATATCTAAATGTATACTGCTAGGAGTCCATATTTTCTGAATAAGAGATAAACATAAAATTGGAGTTAAATAAAAATGCTATAACTTTAGATTTGATTGAATATATTAGTATGAACATGATTTTCTTCTTTCAAAAATGCATATTATCCAGCTGTCCACTTGAACGTCATCACCCAGTAGCAAAGAGCATGTAGTTATGGTCTGAAAATATATTTCCCACCAAAGGAATCAGGGTTCCTTGAAAAAATGACTGAGTCCAGGTGTGGGCCAAAAAAGCATATGAGACTTTTTGGGCAAACAGAATGTTCTAGGATCAGAGAGGTTATCACAGACTATGGAGGTCATGGCAAAATGACTCAGCAGGCAACTGGAAGGGCCTCTTTCTGGCCCAAGATGGGATAATTTTAACACTAAAAGAATGACTACATTGTATTGAAACATAACATTTATTTTAAAAATCCATGAGTTATTAATAATAAAAACTAAATAGTCATTATGAAGGCTGCTAAGGTAGGACATCTCTTAGTACCCTGAAAATTTAGGGAAAGAATCAATCAAGCATTTATACTGCCTGAAATACAGTTCATACAGAAATATAACATTTGATGAACAAGGGTTTCCTTTAAAGAATTCTAGATAATAAAATACAGAAGGAATAAAATAATTAGAAAATTATTGGTTTCAATATTTGCTCAAAAAACAGTATTAAGCAACCATTCATCAATGAACTCTAAGCCATGAGGTGAGAATTTAACTGGGAACATAATAAATGGATCAGATGGACACCACCTGAATCCACTTTTCAAATTTAGCATCACTAAATACTGGACAGACATCATGCGCTTCATGACACGTTGCAATGGAATGCATACAGTACCACATATGAAGTACTCTTATCTAATACATTTAATATGACTCTAACCAAAAAATTAAGTAGATCAAAAAACAATATAAACACAACCACAAGAATGTAGTTAGCAAGATCCTGAATTTGCAACAGTCTGCAAGATCAATAATCCAATTTAACTAACGAATCAAAATGTAGGAACAAAGAGAAGGGAGTGGGAAAGAACCCATATAGAATGAGAGACTTAAGTGATATAACCACCAAATGTTAGATACGCTAATGCCATAAAAGGTATTTTTTTAAATTTCCTTATCTGTTACGATATATAACAAAATATGAGTAAAATGGCTATGTGTGGATTTTCTTGAGACGAATAAAAGGGAAAAAGTGGAGAAAGCTAAAGCAAAATTGGCAAAGCGTTTGTGACATTTAAAGCTCGGTGAAAGGTGAGTAATGAATACTCTCACCTTTTGTGTTTGAAAATTACTAATGTTTTTACAAAAAAAAATCTTATGCTCTATGGTATATATGAACAAAACAATAATTGAAACACACAGAAACAAAAGAAATTACTAAAGCTAATCAAAAATACATTTAGGAATATTGACCTCCTAAATGAAGGTCGCTTTTGCCTTTTCATCTGTAAAATGAAGGGCTATCTGGAAGATCTCTGAAGTTCTTTTCATTCTAATATTTCTTATTTGTGCTTTAAATAAGCCAAGATCATAATTTTTTTCTTTCTAATATCTCTGCTCTAACCCTAACCAACCTCCAGCCTCAGGCACCCATTACAGTGTTTTCTGTCTCTCTATATTTGCTTTTTTTGGAGATTTCCTGTAAAAGGAATCATGCAATATGTGTTCTCCTGAATGGCTTCTTCCACTGAAGCAGCTCTTGAGGTTCACCCGTGTTGTAGCATATATCCATACTTAGTTACTTTTTATTCCCTAATAGAATGCCATTGCATGAATAGACATTTTATTTACCCATTCACCAATTAATGTATGTTTGAGTTGCTTCCACTATTTGGCTATTATGAATAATGCTGCTATGAACACTCACATACAAATCTTTGCATATACCCTTTTTTGTATGTGATATGGTTTGGTTCCCTGTCCCCGTTCCAATCTCATGTTGAATTTGTAATCCCCAATGTTGGAGATGGAGCCAGATGGGAGGTGACTGAATCATGGGGGTGGATTTCCCCTTAGTGCCATTCTTGCAATAGTGAGTTCTTGTGAAATCTGGTCATTTAAAAGTGTGTGGCACCTCTTCCCTTTTGCTCTTCCTCCTGCTCCAGCAATGTGAAGTGCTGGCTCCCCCTTGCCTTCTGCCATGATTATAAGTTTCCTGAGGCTTCCCTAGAATCTGAGCAGATGCCAGAATCATGCTTCCTCTACAGCCTACAGAACCATGAGCCAATTAAACCTCTTTTCTTTATAAATTACCCAGTCTCAGGTATTTCTTTATAGCAGTGCGAGAACGAACTAATACAGTATGTCATTCTTAAGACTTCACAGCATAGATATATAGCATGTTCCTAGTACTCTCTGACTACTCCTGCTTTCCTCCATGCACATGGAAATAGTTTAAAGCCACTGGCATTTAAAATTATAATTTACTCGTGAAAGACCAACAGATATTCAAGAACCATAAGCCACACCTATATTACACAAAACACAGCCTTGGACATAAAATTAATTATCCAAGAAATATTTTGATTATGATTAAAACAGTATAATAACCACAAGCCTCTACTTTTCCATTGAGCCATTCTTCCTTCAATTACAGATCAATGGTTTGGTATAAATGTTCAGTATATCATAAGGATAATGAATAAACTAACATGTCTAATAAAGAAAGATGTAGTGGGTACAATGCAGACAGCATAACTGTGTTTAACTTATGTACTGGTTTCACTACGGAAACACAGAGAGGGATGGAATTCTACTCCAAGTGTCGCTTATGCAACAATGGGCAGTTCAAACGTGTACTTTTAAATTCAAACACAAAACTGCATGAATGCTTTTTAATTTTTTTCTCACATATTTAAATAAGTTCATTTTTTGGAAAAATCACTAGAGTTTTAAAACATATAGTTAGAAGAGACACTACCATTATCTTATGGAAAATAGTTTAGGATTAATGATTTAGAAAAATTATCAAAAAAGGAGGCAAATATAACAAAATTCTCTAATATTTCTAGTCAGCAGGTTATAAAAAGGTCAGGTAAAGTGGGAAATCAAAAGTTCATATAACCTCAAACATTCTAACTTAAGATGCACAGATGTAAATTCATTCACTGCTCTTTGATGTAGAGTGAAAGCTTTATTTTTTAAATGTACCCACTGATGGGATTTTCATCCTGTCCTTCTTGCACACATAGCATACAAAGGCTTGCCTTTGATGTTCTCCTTTTCTACGTAGATCAAACATTTCAACACATCTGCAAAATAATTTACATGTAAATTCATTTATTTCATATTTTTATTTCATTATTTTAGTGTCCCATTCAATTATAATTTAATAGCATAATTTTTTGGTTAGGGTAGGTAGCTCACCAAAGATTATTTCTTAAGTACTTAATTTTGCTTTTATGAAAACAGCTCTTCCTGTTTTTACATTGTATGTATATAATATTTTTTAAATTACATTATTAAAATAAGCAATTGTAAAAACAGGCCTTAACAGGTTAAGTAATAGTAAAACAAAATTTTGAAGAAATATAACTGGCATGAGAAGGTGAACTAGAAATTACCCTACTGGTCCTAGCCCCAAACGGTGCAAAGAACAGACTTTCAGCATGTATTACTGAGGGACTGGAAATCTTATCTGAACAAGTCTGTTGACTGAAGTTTAAGAACTTCTACAGGTCACTAGATGCAGGATTGCTGGAGAACTGTGATCCATACACTGACAAACCTTTAAGAAATCATGACCTGAAACTTGATTTTTTTTTAGTTTGTCCAAACAAGTGCAGGCCAAGCAAAAGCAACCACCTGCTACTCCTTAATTTATTACACAATTTGTAAGAAAGGCAGTAGAAAATGAGAATACTGTGGATAGATCACATGCACCAGAAATAATACAAATGATTCTCTCAATAAAATAATAATCTAAGCCAAGCTTGTCCAACCTGTGGCCTGCAGGCCACATGCAGCCCAGGATGGTTTTGAATGTGGCCCAACACAAATTCGTAAACTTTCTTAAAACATTATGAGATTTTTTTTTTTTAGCATATCAGCTACTGTTAGTATATTTTATGTGTGGCCCAAGACAATTCTTTTTCTTCCAATGTGGCCCACGAAAGCCAAAAGATTGGACACCTTTGAATTAAGATATAAATACAGAAGCATAGCTTTCCAGAAACCATTTTTATTCATCTATAGAAATAATCCCTCTTATCTGGGGAAGAAATGATCCAGAACCATCTTATGTCTATTAGTTAAATGCCTCCTATCATATATCCCTTAGTAAATCACTTGATAAAAAGAAATTTTAAAAATCTACTGTAAATCTTATTAGTGTCATCAGAATTGAAAAATCACAATTAAATTTAAAGATAAGTAATATGTATTGACAAACGACATTTCTAAAAATCTCCGTGAAAGCACTGGCCTTCCTATTTCCTTAACTATTTTTAGGTATATTTGTATTGCAAGCACACGATGGCACACTAAGCAAAGAAATCTGTTTACACACTAAATGTTTCCATACAAGCAACAATATGCAAATGGCTTATTGTAAATGTTCACAATTCTTAGTGATTAATTCAGATTAGCAAGTTCATATTAGCGAATGGAAGCTGACTGAGTCCAGGCACCTTAACTCTCTGGTTTAATGCTGTGTCTTGAAGCATCTAGAATATTTATTGGAACAAAGAAGATGCTCAATAAAACATGGTTGAATGATTTCTCTTTCAGATACACACATACTCTACCATGTGTTCAAACATTTTCCTAATTTTGAAAAAAAAATCTCGTTTCTTAAAAGCATGCGGGGTTAGAATTTTTAATGTATTTAGTGTGAAATAACAGTTCCTTTCAGCATTTGACCCTGATTCATAGAAAACAAGAACCTGCACAAAGAATAAATTATCCTCAGCCATTCAACAATCAGGCTGTCTTCTAGCAATGTATAAAAATAACCAAGCTGTAGGGTTGCTAAACATCTATATTCCATGAAAATCATTTTCTTCTTCCCATCTATTGTAGAGACATTTGCCTTTTACCTTCAGACTGGTGGTTTGGCAACTCTACCAAATACATCATTTTATATATATTATCCCCAGTCATCAGTAAATAAGAATATATTTTATATTCCTGTTTGTGTAAAAGGCCAAATTACAGATTAATTAAAATGAGCTCATTTAGGAGTAATTGGGATGGATGCGGTGGCTCACGCCTGTAACCCCAGCACTTTGGGTGGCCAAGGGAGACAGATCACTTGAGCTCAGGAGTTCGAGACCAGCCTGGGCAACATAGTTAGATCCTGTCTCAATTTTAAAAAGAGTAATTGCACAGAGTTAAAAGAAGCAATGCATGGGAAATAACTCTAAACCAGGAAGGGAAGAAACTCGAGTTTTGCCACATATACCCCCCCCAGAGCAAGCATTTATTAAGCACCTACGCTGGCTTTGGGTAAAGAAATAAGTACAATTCCTGTATTCAAAGAACCAACAGTTTATTATTTTACAATATTAATCAACTACACATAAAAAGTCTCAAATGTTACCTTGTTCTCCCTTTCTCTTTAGGTGTCTTTGGTCAAGAAATGAGCACTTTTGAAGCACCCATAAAAACATAAATAATGGAATTTACTAAGGTACAATGTGCAGGAGATTATATATGAATTAAACTAATTATTACCACAACACTGTGAGTTGTTGTTTTGTAATTTACAGGACAAAGCATAAATTCCTGAGAAGGGAGTTAACTCGTCCTCAGTTAGTAAACTGCAGCCCTAGGTTTAAAACCCAGAGAAGTTCATTTCAAAACCCATTTCTTTCTCCTATGCCATTCTGTTACTGTATGCCGTATCTGTGTGCCCAGCACCACTGAAACACCAATCTAAGATCTTAAAATTCTATTTAGAGTGCCAGATGGAAACAAAAAGAAAAAAAAAACACACAATACATTATGTGAACCTATCTAATAGATATGTCTTCTGAAATGACATCTACTAAAAGAAACACTAACTTATCAAAAGAAAACCATTAGCTATATGCATACTAAAGACTAATTCATTATAATCATGCCTTCACGAGCTGTAAAACTATATTAAATCTTTTGAAACAAAGGAAAAATACCCATATTCTGAAAAGTAAACAATGTTTTCATCTGCCTAGTTTAAACAAACAAAAATACTATTCCTGGCCCGCCCAACTACCATCACATTCAGTACCATAGAAAGGTATCTGATTTAATGTATAAACACCGTAAAATCCATTGCAATTCTTCCTCCCAGAAACAAGAAGAGGAAATGACAAAGAAATATACAGTAGTCTCATTTATACAAACTTTCCCTGAGGAAATAGGTGGACCTAGAAACAAAGGCATATATAACACGCCAAGTAATGGTGGTGGTCAGTACTTAGCAATGTCTTAGCAAAGACTTTGTTCAAAAATAGCCTTTGGATATCAAAGCCATTAAAACAACTTTTATAGCACAAGAATTCTGGTATTATAGGTGTGGTCCAGTTATTATAAATGTCAAGATACAGGAGCTAAAATCCTAATTTACACATTTACTTTTTGATCCTAAAATAAAAATAAGATATTTTTATTGTACTGATCTCGCATAAAGATCATTATGTTCTATATATTGTCCTCAATTTCATAAGCACCACTTATGTTACTCTTACAATATTTTCTTAATTGCCTTCTACCACTTTTCTTATAAAAAGCTAGAAAATATAAAAATTTTATCTCAAAAGCAAAACTAATTCTATGTCACTGAGAGATCATTGTTTATATTTATGAATTTAATGAGATACCTATAATTTATGTGCACTTTAAGAAACCACAGATGACGTTGACCAACAACCTAAGTTTTTTACATCAACAGTATGACACTTTGAAAATCATCTTTAGTAATTTTAAACAAAACAAAAAACACACATGTAACACGTAATCAATTTGATATTCCATCCAAATATGTTGTTGTTTAAACAACAGGGTATCACTGTCTTCTAGAGTTTCTCATTAGAAAAAAAAAATTGTGTACTGTGTTTCAGTTCAGGCACTACAGCATGATTAGAGTACCCCTATTAGACAAAACATAAACTCAAACTTAAGTACATTTTGCAAAACATGAAAACTTTTAACAAGTGACCTCAACTAGAATTATAAATGGGCTTGTCCATATGACTTGGGAGTTTCATGACATAATTGACAACAGGCTAAAGTTAAAAAACAAAAATGGGTCAGTACAAGGCACACTGTTCTGAATAGATGGAGACAGGTTTAGAAAGCACGAGTTTCTAATTGTACATCACCACATATATGGTTTATATGCCAACTACTGCATGTGTCTTTGTAAATTACTATCTACTTTCCTTTGACAAGAATAAATTGTGATAAGAAGGCATCTAAACATTCCAAGTTATAGCTATGTAACTTCAAAAATCTACAGAAAAGTCATCCAGTTCTAAAGATTAATGCATAATTATTTCAAACATGAAAATGGAATATAATTATACTCAATATTGAATGTATAATGAGTCTGTGTTAAACAATTCTATTACTCACCTTAGCTTTTTCCTTTTCCATATGGTTCAGTAATTTGCTTTCTAAAGAACGTATGCATAGTGGGAGTAAACAAGACACCAAGAGGTACCTTCTCCTCTTCCTTATTAATGACATCATTAAGTTTGCTTATTTATAGTCTCGATCATCTAACCTCATGCCCTACATGAATAAGGGGATTTGTTTAGTTGTTAATCCTCACAGTGTGTGGTTAGCAGCAATAAACCAGTGACAGATAGTAATTTGATACTATCTTTTTTATTTTTAAAATAAAACATGGCAAGATTGCAGTTTGTGCTGTTCTGGTTTATGTCAACCTTAAATGTGATAAAGTTTCTTTATCAGCAAAATTTGGAAAATGTAAATCTCATGTATTTATTTTTATAGGAAATTTACATTTGAATTATATAAGTTAGATTTCTACCAGGTATTTAGAAACACAGCCCTTGTTTAAAAAATATACAGTCAATGATTCTATTGACTATTTTTCACATTTTAGATACATCTGATAATAGCAAGTAGATTTTTAATTTGAACATTAAGAATCTCTCCTAAGTACATGTATTATTTCTCCTTCATTCTGTAAAGGTTTTCAATTAATCTTATCACTTATTCTAAGAAGACTTCTTTAAATACTAATTAGCTCTGTTAGAAGAAATACTTTATACCACAAAACAATGTTAATTCAATTTTTTCTTTTAAGTCACCAAACTTTCAACACAAACCATTTGGAGTTTCAATTAAAGGATGCATTTAGCTATCCACAGATATTCTATACCACAATTTTATCTTACATAAAAAGACTAATTCTCACATTCATCTAATATTACATAATACCAGACATCTATTTAAGGGATGAAGTTAACGCAGTCCTTAATAAAAGAATAATGTTTTAGCACACACAGAAAGTACAGTACTGTAAGCAAGGAGATGAGTCAAGTTGCATTATTCAGTTAGTTTAGCAAAATTATATGTAATCGTGTACCAGCCAACTTAGAATGTCCACGAGCAACTTCTTAGTCCATGCTGACGGAGTTAATATTACACTCAAAGTCTGCTCTAAGGTTCATGTGCTAAAGGATTCTTTATTTTTTAATTTAATGCAGGTAAATTGACTAACTGCAATTGTTACTACCAAGAGGGTTGTTAATACAGAGAGGTCCATGCCAGGATCGTACAGGGGAAAGAGTGCCAATCTAGAGATCAAAATGCTTAATTCTAGTTTGAATTTCTGTCCAGTACCCGAAGAAAATACCTAAAGTTAGCTTCATAGGGTTCTCATATTTTAAATGATAGAGACTATTCCTTGTAAAAGCTAAAGCCCTAGATTAGCGTGATTATCATATTGTTTATTGAAGAATTTACCATAATTTGAAAGGAACCTCACCATGTCTTAAGGCTAGGAAGTGTTTCCAGTAAGAACATAATGAACAGCAGTAGTTAATATTATATACACACAGTTTAATGGATTAAGCATTACATTTAAAATAATTTTTATTCTCTAACATGTATATACATTTAATCATTACATATACATTTAATGCATTAAGAAAAAAATTCTGTACTTTACTCTCCAAAGCATCAATTCAAAAAACATAACTACTTCAGCTTTTTCTACAAAAATGCTGATGGAGAAAAAGAGTCCTCAGACATATTAAAATGTGCAAGGGTAATCATAGTTTGAGAGAAAATATTAGATATTTTTAAAGCAAAAGATTAGGAAAGGTTAAATTATTTTAAAAGTTTTACACAACGTATTTACTTACAACTGTTCCAGAAAGTCTCCATAAAACAGTATTGTTCCTCTAGCGCTTTACTTTTAGAGAATGCTGAACCAACTGTCCTGCTCTGTTACTAACTCAACTGTTTATCATGTATGTGTAAGCGCCAGGCACTTCTTACCTCTGGCAAATATGTAAAAGAAGGAATTCACTGGTCTTATCCAATCATTCTGGGAATAATCATGTTAACATTTTCACAGGCTCTTTTTCTAAAGAGAATGTGCTTTATGCAATAAAAATTACAAAAATAAAAAGCAGCTTCTTATCAAGCAATTTTAAAATTGGAGAATCCAATTTTTTGTTTCCTTTATAAAGTTATAAATGCAGATTCTCAACATATACAAAATCTTTAATTATCTTAATTCATCGTTTGATCTGATTGCTAAGAAGCACATCTGTATAATATTTTTTAAAGCCTTAAAATTACTTGTAGGATGATAGTTTGAAGAAAGCTGAGTATATAAAAATAAAATTCAGAGAAAAAAGCAGGCATTTAATTTTGTAAAAAGAAAAAAAGAACCAGGTAAACTTCCTGGCAGATGCCCTAAATTGTCTCCCAGTGGGCCCAGGGCAAACATCATTTTCTACCACGGAAGCCTCAATACGGCCAATGGAAGCTGGTATTTCTGTTTCATGGCTTCACTTCTACTAACATTCTACTGTGAAGGCCCTGATGTGAAAGGAGAAGAATTTAAACAGCTAGATTTTATAGTCAGTCCTTTTCTAAATCAAAGTGCATCTTTGCAACAATTCCGATTTTTCCAGAATGTTCAAAATCAAATGCAGACTATTCTAATATGAGTGACAGAAACTTTGATACAAAATCACATGTCCCATTACTTTCACTGACAGAAGCATTATTTCTTCTTCCATGTGTGCAATACTGATTGATAAGGTTATAGCTCAAAATATCACAAGAACTGTGACTGGCACTTGCTTTCTAGCCTTGACTGTCTCTTATACAGCTCTACGTACTTTGTACCTACATCTGTCTCCACAACAAACATTTTTAAGAAGGTGTTCATAAGAATGAGTCTAGAGCGTTAATGCATAGCATGAGGATTGTGGCTAATAATATTGTACTGTATACTGGAAACTGGAAATTTGCTAAGAGTAGTTTTCAGGTGCCTGTATCACTTTTTTCAAAAAAAAAAAAAAAAGTAACCATGTGAGGAGATACATATTTTAATCTGCTTGACTGCAGTAATCATCTCAATATGTATATGTTTATCATAACAGCCATGTTGTATATCTTAAATATATACAATAATAACTTCAAAAAACAAGATGTTCAGGTTAGCACGGCAGTACATGCTGTAGTTCTATGGGGAGGCTGAGGTAGGAAAATTGCTTAAGCCCAGCAGTTTGAGGTTGCAGTGAGCTGAGACTGTGCCACTGTACTCCAGCCTCGGCAACAGGAAGAGACCCTGCCTCTTAAAAAAAAAAATGCATTCATAGTTTCTACTTCTTTACCTCATAGCCTCTTGTGAGCCCACTTCCATCTGGCTACCACCCCCAACCCCACCCACACTGTCCTATATCTTCATTAACACCAATGCCCCTCATGCTGCTCCAGATATTGAAGAACAGCATTCTTCTGTAATCTTATCTTGCTTGATTTCATCATGGCACTCTAAACATTTGATGTTGCCAATCCTGAAATCTTTCCCTGAAAACAGACTCCTACGTGCAATACATTCTGTTTTGTCTCTGTTGTCCTGCTGGTAGTTTGTTTTGTTTTGTTTTGTTTTGTGTTTTTAAAATGGAGTCTCACTCTGTCACCCAGGCTGGAGTGCAGTGGTGTGACTTTGGCTCACTGCAACCTCCGCCTACCAGATTCAAGTAATTCTCCTGCCTCAGCTTCCTGAGTAGCTGGGATTACAGGCGTGTGCCACCAGGCCCAGCTAATTTTTGTATTTTTAGTAGAGACAGGGTTTCACCATGTTGGCCTCGAACTCCTGACCTCAAGTGATCTGCCAGCCTTGGCCTATCAAAGTGCTGAGATTACAGGCGTGAGCCACGGCACCTGGCCCTTGGTGGTAGTCTTTAGTGCCCAAACACTCCCTCCTCTTATGCCCTCAAAGATACCCCAAGTTGTATAATCAGTTATAAGGGATCACCCTACTTGGGGGTCTTACTACCCATATTTTAAAATCTCTTGGCTGCCCATTTGTCATCTCAAACTTGATAATGCCAAAAGTGAACTTTTCACCCCTCCTCCCTTAGTTTCCCTGCCTCAATAACAGCCCCAATACAGTCCCAAATCTAAGAATTTACCTTGGTTCATTCCTCTCTTTCCCTCACTTCCATTTTCAATCCAAAAAAGATGCTGAATTAATGTACTTCGTCTCCACTTCAACAAACCCCCCCAGTCCAATTCAACCCCCGGTCCTTTCCCACTCCACCCTGACAGTCTCCCTGCCTCTGCTCTCAGGCGGCATTCCAATCTCTTCCACAAAACTTCCATGTCACCATCTTAAAATGTAAACTATCAATTCATTCTCTGTTTTAAATCTTCCAAACGCTTCCCATGGCCCTTAGAATAAATCTCAAACTCCTTATCCTGGTAAAGGAAGCCCCAAACTGCAGTGCTATCTAGTTCTCATGGCCCCTTCATCAACCCACTTTGTTCCAGCAACACTGGCTTTTTCTAGGTCTGGTATATACAAGCACCCCCCGTCTTAGAGGCTTTGCCACTACTGTTCCTTGGACCTGGAATGCTTTTCCTCACTCAGATCCCTGTTTAAATGTTACCTTCTCATAAAGATTCTTAATCAAGTCTACGGTAGCATACCAATTGCTAACCCATCACCCTATTTTAATTCTCTTCAAAGCATTTATCACTGTTTTTTTTTAATTTATTTTGTCTGTCTGCCCCCTCCCCGCCCACCGCCAACCTGGTTCCCCCTCAGAATCTAAACTCTGAGAAGAGACACCTTCTCAGTCTTCTCCTGATGCCTATAACAGGGACTGGGACTCGACAAGCAATCATCAAGTCTTTGCTGTCAAATAAGTGAATCAGTTATGAGGAACACTTTTCTTTTTAATTTGATCACTTAACTATTTATATAAATTGTGATTAAGTGTCTTTGGAACAACATTATGATTAACATATATAAAAAGGACAATACTATTAGCCCTTGGAAAAAAACACAAAAATAATTACGATAGATATTTAATTTTTAAAAATAAACATTGTTTTGGAATAATTTTAGATTTACAGAAAAGTAGTAAAGTAACTAAAGACAGTTCCCATATACACTTTACCTAGTTTCCTTTAATGTTAACATCTTATATAACAATGTACCTTTGGCAAAACTAATACTAAAATTAGTGATTATTAACTCCAGACTATATTTGGATTTCAAGAGTTTGTCCACTAATGTCTTTTATATGTTCCATGATCTAATCCAGAATACCATATGGCATTTAGTACAAGTTTAATTTTGAATTGTAGCTTGATTTTTTTTTTATTTTTCAAAATCTCTTTTCAGTTCTGTATCTGGCATATACAAACCTTACTATTGGTTTTATTTAAAAAGAAGTAATTTGATCCAATGTAAAAGAAATAATATGCCAGGAAGAACAAAAATTCACTAAATCATGAGTTACACACACACACACACACACACACACACATTACTGTTAAAGACAGACAGAATGATTACTACAGTATAATCCAAGATTCTTTTTAAAATTTTCTTTGCGTACCTTCCTAAGGATGCTGCCTGCCCTAAGCGTCTCCTGAAACGTTTTGTATATGCACCTATGCACCTGAGGATTCCAGGCAGCATTAAGGGAGAGTGACACAGGAATGCTGCTATATACCTGAATGTAGATAACAGCAAGAATGCTCACAATGATCCTTCTTAGGGAAAATGAGAACACAATCTTCTAAACCCAGATGAATGACATCCATGAATAGTAAGCTTAATATCAGCTTGATTTCCTAAAGCAACTTTTAAAGAGTGTAAAACAACTTCCTTAACACAGGCATCACTGAGGCACAATAGAAATGAAATGGATCAAGTGTAAAAGAAACTGGCATAGGGGTACCTGCAGCCAGCTGGAGAAAAGGCTAGCAATAGTACAGGCTATTCAGATCTAACTAATTAATACTCTGGGAAACAAGAATCTGTGTTAGGAAGTTTTCCAGTTTTTCAAAAGACATAAGAACTCTGAATTTTTATGTAAAATTTTCTATGTTGTCAAATAATTTGCCCTGCTAAACACAGCATTCTATGTGGCCTTGGGAGAATGGCACTGTAAACTCTAAGCCAGTGGCTAGATCTCACCACTGTTATCTGTTCCTATGCATAATGGCCAAGAGTTGCCAACAACAGCCACAAAAAGATAATTCTGGTGCTTCTAATAGGATGGCTCTAATAGGCATAGCCTCAGATACATGAGAAAATCAGACAGACTGATCAGGGGAAACTCACTCAACATTTACTGAGCCTTTGTGACATGGAGAATTGCAAGACACTGAAGGAATAAAATGCCAGCTCAGAGGATGGGTGTGTCAGAAAGGGTTATACTTGGGAGGAATAGCAAATGCAAGGGGAGAAAAGAAGTCTTAATGCTCCAAAGAAAATAACTTTCCAGCCCAGCACAGTGGCTGATGCCTGTAATCCCAACACTTTGGGAGGCCGGGGCAGGCAGATCACTTGAGGTCAGGAGTTCAAGACCAGCCTGGCCAACATGTCAAAACCATGTCTCTACTAAAACAAAACTTAGCCAGGGTTGTGGCATGTGCCTGTAGTCCCAGCTACTCAAGAGGCTGAGGCATGAGAAGTGCTTGAACCCAGGAGGCAGAGGTTGCAGTAAGCTGAGATCATGCCACTGCACTCTAGCCTGGGCGACAGAGTGAGTGAGACAAAAAAGACAACTTTCCAAGCAAAGCCTTGTAGGCCATACTGAATTTAGGTTATCTAAAATCAGTAAAACAGGGCAGTCATATGATCTTATTTGCATATGGAGATATCATTATAATGAAAATGGAAGGGATTGATTAAAAGGTTAAGACCAGGGACAAGCAGACCAATTAAATGATCAATAATGCAGGTAAAAATTGCCAAGACCTGGTAGCACTGGGAAGAGAGGGAAAGAAATAGGTTTAGGAGACATTTAAGTGATAGATCAGCAAAATTTAGTGACCGAGTCACAGGTTAACAAAAGGGGAGGGGGAAGACCAGGAGAAATCCCAGTGTATGACTATGATAATTCAGTAAATGATGAGACCAACCGCAACTAGGATAGAAATTACAGGAGGAAGACAAGACTTCACAGGAAATGAGTCATTCAGGATTTTTGAATTTGACAGTCATATTGGAAACATGGTCTTTAAGTTTCGCAGTCTCCAAATGAGATCAATTGCTTGTTGTTGTTGTTGTTGTTGTTTTGTTTTTCCCTATCCAAATTGTTTTTCTTCTATCCAAATTACTTTCCTATTCCTAAGTAGGGGTAGGAAAATTTGGTCTTTTCTTAGATTCTAGGTGGAAAAGTGATCCAAACATGTAAATATTACCATAGATCACAGGTTCTCTAATGAGAAAGGATAAACAGTACGAATCATGGCAAAGTCACCATCTTTGCCTGGGAAATTTTCATCAGAACTGTCCTGCTCTCTCTTGATAACTTGAAGGAATCTGGGCTATCCCAGTCTTCTATTTTCCCGACAGGAAAAGCCAGGGAAGTTCCTTGCTCCCTTCAGCCTTAAGAACGATATTAAAGAGCCTTCACCAAAACTGATGAGGTCTTGAATCCCTCAGAGAATTCCATGTAAGCTTCAGGAGATGCAGCATTCTTCCTCCTTGCTCTTAATGACCTGTCCTGCCCTGCCCCACCCATGCCATTTCCCAGAACACAGAGCCTATTTCCACAGGACGCTTCCCAGCCTCCCACAGATTCTCAGGCCCAGGCAGGACGGTCACCTTACGGCAGGGATATTCTCTCTGAGTCTCTCGACCAAAAAGTCCCCTTTTAGCTCCTCCAAACAGAGACCACACAGACTAGGGCCTTCCTTCAGGTCTTTCTTCATCAGCCTCTGTCCCAATAACTGAGCCTAGAGGGAAAGAGAAGACTTAAGATGATAGCACTCTGCAAATTTAGACCGAACATTAAAGGGAGGGTAGGGAATGTGCAGGTATGAGACATGGGTCAGGCCTCCATCTATGGGAATGTTCTCATATTGCACTCAGGGCCAAGATGAGGCCTAATGAGAAACAGGTTTGCCTCATGAATTTTAAAATATTTTAAAAATATGATATGATACTTTTATTTCTTTTATAGCTTAGATAAATAATGATGTCACTCTGCTATCCTACAATTCAAGCAAAGTGTTAACTTTACTAAATGTGAGGCAGTCTAGCAACACAGAGCTGACTACCTGGACCCAATTCCTGGTATTTCCGTAAGCTATCTGTGTGACCTGGAGCAAATTACTTATCCTCATTCTCCTAGATCCACATCTGTAAAATGGGGTAGTAATAACCGCCACTAAGGGGACTGTTGTAACCAAAGTTCTCAGCACAGTGCCACTTGGAGGCTTTTCTACAACATAGAAATGGCTGACACGGAGGGTTCTACTGCCACAAATGAGAACATAAGAGGCCTTTGTAGTAAACATTTCTGGGAATGAAAGGAATTCCACGTAATTCCTCCCTTTTATAAAAGTTTAAATTTATAAAAATTATTGGCCAACTTAAAGACATATGTTCTTTTTTTTTAAGGCTTCTGGGTCAGTCACATGGAAAAGTTTTGAGATTTTCATGGCTTTTCTTGAGAGCAATCTTTTTAGCATGGTTTCCTCTTGGACAATAATGAATAATTTAACATTAATTGAAGATCTAATTATTATTTTCCTTGGATCTCAGGATAATGGGTTATGAGCTCAAAGACATAGATGATATTATCACCACAGCGAATGGACAAGAGCTGCAGCGCTCCTATTTATTCCACAACCATTCCACTTTTGTGTGTTTTCAGCTTTATGCCTTATTTAGAAACCAAATAATGTTTGCCCTGGGTGGTGCTGCCGGAGTATCTGCCGGGCTAAGTGGAAATCCACAAGGCAGGGTAGGCGACAGACAGAGTGTAAATGCTGTGTTTTCATGGAGACTGCTGTCGCCTTGTGAGGTCTCTGGGCAAGGAGTAAATGTAATTCTCAGTCAGTAATTTGCTGTTCCACTAAGTCAACTTTAGAACAGGCACCTTTAAGAATACCTTGCCTGTGATGTGCGTATTTTCTCCTGGGCGTTTCCTTATACTTAGGAGAATTTTAAATACACAAACATCCCTCCAGTATTTCAACAGCAGTAACGCATTTCCCTCTGTAATAGTCTGAGTTTCATAATGTTGCACTGTAATTATAAAAGTTTACTGCTTCAAAATCAAAAACACAAAAAGTAAGATTCAATACCTTTTACATACATCACAGTGAATACTACACAGAGAAAACAAACATTTATCTTCTTTACATTGATTTAAGTTATTAGACTTTCTTTTTTAACCCAAAACCTTTTATTTTTTAGGTACCTCATATCCATATGACAAAAATAGCACAATAATGGCCCATGCCTGTGATAACAGTATGTGAATACTTGTGGAGAGAGGCTGGAACAGTTTTGAGAAAGGCTGATAAAAATAAAATTGCTACTAACAAGTTGGAGAAGCATTGGGCCAATATTTAATTTTTAGATAAAAGAATACTTTGGTATCATCATGGTCAAATCAGAAGCTTTCATGTTCACTGTACACTTACTGCAGACCAGACACTTTGTAAAGTGCTGCTGAGGTGCTCTTTCCCCTTTCTCACAATCCACAGACACATATCTTTATGGATACTTTACAAGATACTTCACTGATAAGGGTAAGAACTATTTAGCGAATTAGTCAAGGCAGTAGTACACCTTGGAGGCAGGACTTGAACCTAGGCAGTCTGACTATAGAGCTACATTCTTTTCCACTGAACTAAAAGTCAAATTTAATTTGAAATTGTGCCCTAAATTAAAACATAGATCCTGACTTTATTTCAAAGGCTTTATCTGTGAAGGTGCTCAAGACAAAACAAAGCATAAAGAAACCACATACACAGAGAAAACCAATAAAGTAGATCTATTTTCAACAAATCTCAAAAGTATAACAAGGTATTCAAACCTCATTACTGCTTTTTAGAGAAATTGTAAACATGCTTCCCTAAAAACATTATCAATGTGTTGTTGAATTTTTTAAAATGGAATAAAGCTATCCTTTCTTTTAAGTGTTTTTTCTTTAGCCTCAGAGAAGGCTATCCAGTTAAAAAAAAAATGGAACTTTTACCCTCATAACTTAGGACATTTTTTATCCAGCCAACACTTCTAATTCTCATTACTTTGAATTGTCTTTTACTTTTATGTTTGCAATTTTATATTCCCACAAATTACAAAAGTGAGAAAAATCTTGATGGCTGGCTTCATTCTTGCAGTTAATTCTCAGTATTATGAAAGTTTAAGAAAATGCCTGGCCTTTATTACTACTTCTTCTTAATTTTGTGAGTTTCACTTGCTCCTTTAATAAAATTACTAATGTTTTAATAAAAAATTCTTCAGTAGAGCTCCTCATCCCTAAATTAACTGTTAATTATGTTTTTTAAATCACCTAACTGAAAAATTAGTCTAACAAACCGAATAGAAAAGCATTATTTTATATCAACTGAGCAAGAAAGATCAAACCAGTTTCTTTCCATTATTTTGCAATCGGTGACATCATATTATTCACATTAAAAAAAGAAAAAGCAGATTAGTAGATGCCAGGGGCTGAGGAAGAAAGGGAATGGGGAGGGACTGCTTTATGAGTACAGGCTTCCTTTAGGAACTGTTCTGGGCTAGGATAGTGGTGATGGTTGCACAACACTGTACATGTACTAACTGTTACTGTGTCTTACACATTAAAATGATTAAAATGGTAAATTCTATCTTGTGTATTTTACCACAATTTTAATAAAAACAGCCAGATATTTTAAGACTGTTATTAATATAACAAGTAGATTTCTGGTCAAAGATTTATACTTCATAATAGCAACTGAAATATAAAAATAACATTCTATAAATATATCACATTAAATGTTTAATAAAAGTTTAACATTCAAAATAACAAGAAAACCCACTGCAAGTATAATTTTATCACCTATAAAATCAGAACTTCCCCAAGATACATTTTAAATGGTTATACTTAAAATGTTATAACTTCAATAGTTCAGTAGTTTGCTTTGCTTTCCCATTTTTTTTCATATATTACATAAAAGGGAGATTAAGCCTTCAGTATGCAATTATCACAACTATGTATTTTTTGGACTTCTACAGCAATATTCTAAGAATAAATGCCCAAATCCCACAGGTCTTTCAGAAAGGCAAGATGAAGGACAGGCATGGTGGCTCACACCTATAATTCCATCACTTTGAGAAGCTGAGGTGAGAGAATCAGTTGAGCCCAGGAATTCCAGATCAGCCTGGTCAACATAATGAGACCTCATCTCTACTAAAAATAAATATTAGAAAAAAAAATTAACCAGGTGTGGTGACACGTGCTTGTGGTCCCAGCTACTCAGGAGGCTGAGGCAGGAGGATCACTTGAGCCTGGGAGGTCAAAGCTGCAGTGAGCTGTGATTGTGCCACTGCATGCATTCTAGTGTGAGTACAGAGTAAGACCCTGTTGAGAAGAAGAGAAAAGAAAGGAAGAGAAAAGAAAAGAGAGGAGAGAGGAGAGAAGAGAGCCTCTCAAGTTGTGGGCTGTGGCTCTGAAGAAAGCAGTTCAGTGAATCAGTGTGGTCAGAAGCACATGTCCTTGCTGGGCTGGCCAGACCCAAACATTAAAAACTCCTCCTCCATCCCAGACATTCAATTACAGCCAAGATTTAGCAGTAGTGGTTTCAGACACTTTCATATTATAAGCAAGAGATCAAAATGAAGTTAAAACCATCACACTGGCCAGGCGCAGTGATTCATGCCTATAAATCCCAGCACTTTAGGAGGCCAAGGAGGGAGGATAGCACGAGCCAGGAGTTTGAGACCAGCCTGGGCAACATAGCGAGATCCAATCACGACAAAATATAAAAAATTAGCCAGGCATGGTGGTGCATGCCTGTGGTCTCAGTTATTTAAGAGGCTGAAGCAGGAAGATTGCTTGAGCCTGGGAGATCGAGCCTTCAGTAAGCCATGATTATGCCATTGCACTCCAGCATGGGCAACAGAGAGCTACCCTGTCTCAATCAATCAGTTAACCCATCAAACACTTCTGATAAAAGTGGTATTTTCACATTCTTTCTAGAGGTGTGGAGCCAGGCCAGGAGAAGGAGGTGGCAAGACCGGAGTCCAGGCAGGAGAAGCAGCAGATCCAAGTAGACCACTGTCATCTTCTCAGGCTTCCTTTCTCTCTCGTCTCATGGTAGATTCTCTCATTTCAAAGTATTCACAGCATTTAGCTCTAACTTCATTCACATTAAGTTTTCATTTATGCATGTTTTATATGTTTTATATTTTATAGACTTTAAGATCCACAAAGGGAGTAGTATCACCATACTGCGCAACACACAGAAGTCACTCAATAAACATGTGCTTTTGTATATAATCCTAGGTCGTTTTATTATTCTATTTTTATATCTGCATTTTGTATCTCTAAATTTTAAGTTCATTTCTTTAAGGCATAATTTGTAGATATTTCTTTAGTCCTCCAAGTTCCTTACACACTGCTAAAGCATACAGAAAGTGCTGGATCCACATACGTAATTATTTCATGTGGCTGCTGCGGTGAATTCCAGAGTGATGTGAGCATATCCACCCATTGTCCACAGCACTGTGTTCTCTCTGCAAGGGCCAGCTCTAATGTGAATTTCCCTAAGAAGGCATCCTAATCTCTCCTCCCTTCCTTCTGTTTGCATAATCTGCTTCCCTGTCTTCTTTTCCCTAAGCCCTTAGAGGAGGCCATTCATGGGTAATCAGGGTGCAAAAAAGTGCTATATGATACTTATGCATTTATCTGTTTCCCTTTACACTGTGGATTCCCTTAGAGAAGGAAATTTGCTATTTTCATTTTTGGATTCCACTGGTACTAGAGCCAATACATGTTTTTTTAAAAACAATTAAAATACATATAAAATGAAGGTGCTATGGTTTGACTGTGTCCTCCCTTTCTAAGTTGTGTTAGAAACATAATTTCTAATGTGACCGTGTTGGGAGGTGGGGCCTAATGAGAGATGTTTAGGTCACGAGGGCTCCATCCTAATGAATGTATTAATGCTATTGTAAAAAAGGCTTGAGGCTGCAGGTGGGCTCTCTTGCTCTTCTGCCTTCTGCCATGTGAGGATGAAGCAAGAAGGCCCTTGCCAGATGTCCAGGCCTTGATCTTGAACTTCCCAGCCTCCAGAACTGTGAGAAAGTACATTTCTAGTCTTTAGAAGTTACCTAGTCTGGTAATTTGGGCTGGAGTCTGAGACCAGCCTGAAAAACATGGCGAAATCCCATCTTTACTAAAAATACAAAAATTAGCTGGGTGTAGTGGCATTCGCTTGTAGTTCCAGCTACTGGGGAGGCCGAGGCACAAGAATCACTTGAACCCAGGAGGTGGAGGTTACAGTGAGCAGAGATTGCACTACTGCACCTCAGCCTGAGCAACAGAGTGAGACTGGTCTGTGATGGTCCCAGATAGTCACACAAATGGACTATACCAGAAGGGTGCTCTGGACATTCACAAGAAACTTCCAGCCAACCCCATAAATGAATAGAAGTAGTCAAAGATTTAAAGAGTTCTGTTTGGTTTTGGTTTCTTTAAAGCAAGGAAAACAATAGGCAAAGCCCTTCATGATGAGCCAGGAACAGACACATAACTTCAAGCAGGGGTTAATACAGGAAGTTACACGAAATATTTTCATAGGAGCTAGAAGTTCCAAAAGTGAGAGACAATGTAGCTGAGTACTTGCTATGGCAACAAAAATAAACTTTATACCAATATTCCAGTCATCATATAACTATTCTTTCTCCTTGCTGGGAGTTTTCAGTGGTATTTGAGTCCAAGAAAGGAAAGAAAGAAAGAAAAAAAAAAGACATCAGAGGCTTATTCTCAAAGAAGAAAATAGGAAGCTGATTCAGGGGCATAGGCTACAGCTGATGTCTCCTTTGATTCAAAATAAATAGCTAGAGGAAATCCTCCTCCGCAACAAAAGGTAGATTTTTTTTTTTTTAAGTACCAAGCAGGTATAAAACAGGCAGCTAATTTGATTAAGGAATTGAAATGAAGCAGTCACATTAAAAAAGATGGTAAATCTAATTTTTCGGATGAATAATAATGTCTTAAATTTGATTTCCAGTGTTTCTATGTATTATATAAAACTAATTCTAGTTAACAAAGTTGAATTTGCTGCATATAGAAATGAATTAAGAATATTTTCATACGTGGATCAAAACTTCACAAACCCAGAGGGCTTTTCCTACACTCTGTTTGGAGTCTTTTCTGACTGCTCATATTCCACACAGTACTTTGATACATGTAAAGTGCAAGGCACCTTGCTAGAGAGCATAGGAGCTATACTAAGATATAGAGTCCTGCCACAAATACACACAAAATAACATGAATACAAAGTGTCCTAAAAGTCATGCCAAATAAAACAGAGCATATAACTGGGCAGAGGGATGGAGAGTCACATGCTGGAGGAGGTGAGCGTTGACATGGTCTTATGGGATATGAACTTGAGATGTTGAAGTAGAACTGAGACATTTCTGGAAAACTAGATGTATGAACAGAAGCAGGAGGAATAGGAGATGGTTTGGAAAACAGCAAGCAGCTCAGTTTCTTGGGTGATCCAGGAGAAGAAGCTCAAACAACAGTCAGTGATAACACTAAAAAAATCAAAAATTTTAAAAGTCTGGAATCACAGCATAAAGAACCCGTATGCAGGATTTTCATCTCGCAGCCCTGTCTCCCTCAGGAGACAGAGATCCAGAATCACTTCCCAGAATGGCTTCAGTGTCACCTTCCCAGATTCTTTGTCACCAACCCTTACCCACACCATTCTAATGATTTCCATTGTACTTCTTGAACTGCTAATTCCCAAAAAGCTTGGTACACCATTCTTAACATTTTCTATGACAGCATCCTCTACTTCCTTGCCTTAATGTATCTTGCTTTTTTCTTGATTATGCCATCTCCATCACACACTTCTCAAATGGACTCTGTTCATTCTCTGCTTGCCTCCACAGACCAGGGAAAGGAAACAGTCAGCATTTTCCTGAAGCCCTTCTGCACTAATGTATGACTGTAGTTCATTAACAACCATTCCTTCGCCCCCAAGGGTCTCACCATCCATGTCTATCACTTTAACCATGTTAATCACTTAACTTCGAGTTGCCTTCCACAAACACTAAGGAATTGGACATCTGGCTAATGGTAAGCTTATCCTTCCTTAGTGCTGTCACCACTCTCTAAATTTCAGTCCCCATATTGATAAACCATTCAACATCCTACCTAGCTCACTGGCCTTTCCAAACTTGCACTCCATTACCACTAGGAACTTGTCATTACCTGAAACATCTCCACATCAGAAAAGTCAAACATATCAAATGTAATGATTATAATGTATCAAATACAAGTTATGCAGATCTAATGCATGGCATGGTGACTGATACAACTGAAATTTACTAATAGAGTAGAACTTAAATGTCCTCATCACAGACACAGAAAATGGTAACTATATGAGATGATGAATATGTTAATTAACAGTGGTAATCATTTTACAATGTAAACATATATCAAAACATATTCTATATCTTAAATATATACAATTTTTTTTGGCAACTATACCTCAGTAAGGCTGGGGGAAAAAATAAGTATCCATCCTCTGAATATAGCTTCTTATACCTTTCCACTCCTGCATCCCTTGCCTGTGACCTTGAGCCCTCAAATAAATACCCTAACCTCATTTATATGCCATCCATCATTGAGTACTTGAAGAAACACCAGGGCTACACTTTCACCTGCAACCTCAATTACTTTGCATCCTTGGTCTTCCAGCTTATATGGCTCATAACATCCCAACTTGTATTTACTATAATAATAGCTTCCCTGCTCCCATAGGAGCTTCTGAAAAACGTAAACCCTGCAAAATTATTCCATTGTTGATTTCATAGTGCCTTCTTTTATGACTTGGTTTTCTAAATTTCTACAACCAAACCTGAAATAAACTTAGAATTTGAAAATGTGGGAAGCTCTTTATATTGAATAAAAATATCAATCACTGTAACAGACACTTGTCAGATGCTTCCCCGGCCTCCGTTTCATACTTTTTGCACAGGTTAGCAGTCCGGGTGACTAGATGGGATTGATTCCCATAACCTACCCACATAAGTGGGCACTGATTGGCCTAAACCAAGTAGAAGGATCTCCCAAACTTAGTACTATGACTGACCAAAACCCAAGCCCAGGCCAGCTAGATGTTGACATTACTCCGGCCATGGCAACTGCTTTGGCCACTCGGTTAAATCTAGTTCAGAGTGAGGCCACAAGTCTTGTTTGACAATCAGAGAAAGAGATTTTCTTTTCTAAGAAAGACTGATGTGCAGATGTGACATTTGGAGCTGCTACATCCATTGTGCTCCACATATCATAAGGCCTAGGTTCAAACACAACTCTGTACCTTTAAAAAAAAAATCTACAAGTTGCTGATAAAAATAGCTTTCATGGAGGTTATGAAAATTACAAGAGATACATGCAAAGAGTCTTCCACTGGGTTATCAAGGCCCACTTTCTCCCTCTAGAAACACCTATCAGCTGGACAACAGAAATAGGAGATACTATAGTTTAGGCTGATTCCATTTTATGGTTAGTGACATGTTTGGTAAAAGTTTGTCTAGGAAGAAGGAAAAGCCTAAAATTGAGCCAACTTTGAAAGTAGTTAAAATGACTGATGTTGGAATTTACACAGAATACAGAAATAAATGCATGAAAAGTCAGATAACTGGCCGGACACAGTGGCTCACACCTGTAATCTCAGCACTCTGGCAGGCCAAGGCAGGAAGATCACCTAAGGTCAAGAGTTCAAGACCAAGACCAGCCTGGTCAACATAGTGAGACCCCATCTCTATGTTTAACCAAAAAAAAAAAAGCCAGATAACTAGAATAAAAAGTTCAAGAGATGTACAGAGTAGTAGAAAAGGGTTAGTTGGAAAGGTAGGAGAACAAGAATTTGTAAAGTGAGTGGAATTTCTGAATTTCAGAGGTATGGTCATTCCAGTTAGTAACAAACGAGATTACCTGTAGGAGTAGAGGTTTAAACACACACACACACACACACACACACACACACACACACACACACAGATGCAGTGGTGCATGCCTGTAGTCCCAGCTACTTGGGAGGCTGAAGTGAGAGGATCACTTAAGCATAGGAGTTCAAATCCAGCCTGGACAAGTCCTGGACTCAAAAAACAAGCAAGATCTTGTCTCAAAACAAAACAAAAACACATTAAGATAGGGTATTAGATTGGTCATACACCCTATTTTAATAGAGATCATGATGATAGAAGGTTAGAAGGGAGTTAGGTGGTAGAAATGGGGAAGAAATGACCTGGCCAGTAGATGGAAGACAAGAGAGTGGTCATGTGTGTTTAGCCAGATGGTACCCAAAGTAGTCAGAATTTTTGTCATACATATCCTGTCTTACAAGGCTGATAGAATATGAAGCAAAAATGGGGCATGAGACAAGCCAATATTACCTCTGTGCTAAGGAGAGTGAATATCTTCAAAGGAAGTGCAATGTTTTTGAGGAATAAGAATATGTGGGGAAGGAGAGGGAAGTGTGAAGTTTAAGTTGTTTGGCATAGAGGGGGAGCTCAGAGGGTATGTTAGAAAACTTAGCTATTCCATCAAAAGCCTATATTTTTAGCATTTGCATTATTTCTATTCAGATTTAGAATAGGTGAGAATATGAGATTTAAGGACTACTTAACTCTCTACTTGAAACCCAGTCATCAGCAAGCCTATTTCTCATATCAAAACTTAGATGGTAATTGCAGACATTCTCTCTGCTGTTACCCCCTTTAACGGACATTTTGAAAATGAAGTAATTGAGCAGCTGGGTAATTCTCAGCTAAGGCTACTGCTTATTCTTTTGCCCTTAAATTGATAGATATTTTACACACATTGGACTGATTACGAACACGTGAATACTTCCAAAACAGCCAGCTGATTTTGGTCTGTTTGTTTTTAAAGTTTACCATTTGTTTTTTCCTCCCTATATTCAAATACATTAAGGGAAAACAGATGAAGGGGAAAAATACATAACTTCAGATTCTTGAATAATGTTGTTTCATTCAATGTTGTTTCATTATAATATTAATGAGAATAGAAATCAATTCACACTGGGTGGGGCCACCATCTGTGTGGAGTTTGCACTTACGCCTCATGTCTGCATGGGTTTTCTCCAGAATGGCTGGCGCCCTCTCCCTTCCCAAAGATGTGCATGTCAGGTTCATTGGTGTGTCTACATTGTCCCAGTGTACGTGAGGGTGGGTGGGTATGACTGCACCCTGCCATGGGACGGCATCCTATCTAGGATGGCTTCCTGCCTTGCACCCTGAGCTGTTGGGTTATGCTCTGGCCACCCATGACCCTAAACGGGAATAAATAGGTAAATCATTATCCCACATGATTTGTTAACCTTTCTTAAATGTATGTATAGCTCACATTTATTTTAATGTTTAATAATGTGACAGTTTTGGTTTTTATTTAAAAGTTTGGTGATGCTTTTGTGACCAGAAATGTCACACGCAATCTTGTTTACATCAATTAACCTATAGTAAAACTGGTTTCCTTATACATCATTTTACTTAAAGTTGAAGTTTCCACGAACCCAGTGACAACACTGAGGACTTAACTGTATACATAAAAAATCTGAGAGACAAATGTCTGAAATTAAACAGCAACAAAGAGCCTCCCTATGGAATTGTTTCTCTTAACTTACACACTGGTATTTCACACTTGCCTGCTACATATAAAAGGTTTAAGAAGTAAAGAAAGAAAGTTGTAAGACTCCACAAGGAACTCCAGAAAAGAAAACATGGTTTACATAATACACCATTGATCGCTGATGGGAAAATGCTTTGGAAGACTCTCCACCTCTCTCTAGAAACTAATTAAACTTTTGAGTTTAGGCACCTGAGCTAAGAACAATCCGTTGCACACTTCTGCATAACTTGAAATATCATATTATAATGTGCTCTCCAAAAGATAACTCCTATCAGAAGTCTCCAGTAAAGTCTGCATCTAAATTAGTTTCCATTCTGAAAAGTTATGTATATAAATACATACATATAACAATGTATTCTATACACATACTTGATTCTCTGCAGCCTATCTTTGAAAAAGTGCAGAATACTCTGCCAGAGATATAATAGACTCAGAACACTCTCCTAGTGTTATATCTGCTAAGTATTTTTTGCAGGTATTTTGGAATTGAGAGCTAGAGTTTAGCTCTAGCACCCCTTGTCTTAGTAGCCAAAATAACTTCTCAAAATACTTTTTAAAAAGTTACCTACATATATTAATCAAATATTTATTTTTAAATTATTTATTCCCTGAGAAAGCCTTTAATGACATGGTTAAACAAAACAAAACAAAAACACATGGCCAGAAAGACAAAAGTCACATTTTAATGACAGCTGGGAGTGAGGGAGGTCAGGAAATGTAGACATGGAGACAAAGCAAGGTCTTATCCCATTGCTATCAGATAGATAGACAGACAGACAGACAGATATATACATACCTATATACACATACATACATACATACATTTGTTTTAATATGGTGGGTAACCTCCATACCAACTGTCTTCCTGCGTGCCTGCCTGAATTACAGAGGCGAAAATCCTAAATACTTCTCTTCTCAGGCTCCCTTACATCCAGACATCTGTTAATTAGATATGCCACCATGTGTAGTGCTGTCTTTGTGACTCCTGGATCACAACTAAGCTTGAGGAGCAACTTCTCCACCTTCCTGATGGTAGCAGAGGTAGCAGTACCTCTGGCAGGCCAGACAAATGGTGTCACCAGACCTGAAGGCACAGGTGAGGTTCTGCTGCTCCAAATTGCCAACCTTTATATACGTATCAAATTCCCTGGTTTTTGTTGCTTTTTTTTTTTTTAAAAAAAGCAGCCGGCTTTTCCTGTTTTCTGAAACTAAAAACTGACTGATCATACACATTTGTATTTCAATATTAAAGTGGGTCAGATAAGTGCTCAATTATTTTAATTTTTTAAATCCACAGCCTCTTTTGGTAAACACATAAGAGATGCTGCTTTAAGTAGAGAGTAGATACACTTCCCGAAGCAATCCCCATTGGCTGTTTTTCTTTCTTTCTATTCTTTATTTATTTATTTATTTATTACTATTATTATCATTTTGAGACAGAGTCTCACTCTGTGGCCCAGGCTGGAGTGCAGAGGTACAAACTCAGCTCACTGCAACCTCCACCTCCTGAACTCAAGCAATCCTCCCACCTCAGCCCCCCTTGTAGCTGGAACTACAGGTGTGCACCACCACACCTGGCTAATTTTTTTATTTTTTGTATAGATGGGGTCTCACTATGTTGCCCAGGCTGGTCTCAAACTTCTGGGCTCAAGCCATCCACCTGCCTCGGCCTTCCAAAGTGCTGGGATTATAGGAGGTCCAACTCCACTGGACCCCCTTGGCTCTTGGCTCTCCTTGGGGTTCAGCCATCACATAATTAGAAACAGCCTCCTTTTCACAATAGGATCATGACTAAGAAATAACTCAAGTTCAAAAGACGTAGGACCAAATTTAGACTCCATTATTCATTATGTAACCTTAAGTAAATTACTTAACCTCCAAGCCTTAATTTCCTCAACTTTCAAATTGAGTAGTACCAATCAAATAGTGTTTAGATTAAATTATACACGTAACGCACAGTAAGCATTAAATGTCTTTAGAGGAAAAAGACATAATTGTCCCTTTCAAGTATTTATAACATCAATTTTGTATGTATGCTTTACATCTAGAAAGAACACTTTTGAGCATTTAATCTTTCCCCCTGGAGATGTTACTCCTCAAACACGCCTGTCCTGCAATCAGTATGCAGGAAGATTAAGTAATGTACTCTGCTCCACCTCAGGATTAATTCCATTCCTAGGCCCATAATATCCTGGAATGTCTCCTTGGAATGAACATTCTACTGGCAGACACACCCTACAGTTCCTCCCCATAAAAATTCTTACCCCAAAACTCCATTCAACTCCCAATGAAGGATCACCACCCAGTCTGAGAAAGAAAGAGCCACATGCTTATCTTCTGCTTCTTACTTTTGAAAAACAGGCCTGAGATAATCAGCCTTTGGAATCCTACCAAAAGGCAGAAACTTAAATTCATGCTATGGGCCAGACCCCCCAGTATAATGTAATTCAAACCTGTGAAACACCCAATTTATTCCTTGTGGAGTGACTTCTGCACTATTTAAGTTGTCAAACAGAAATCTGTTTAGCTAGAACAAAACATGATAGTGGTTTGTAAACCTTTTTAAAGAAAGGTTTCAAGCTTTTCTTAAAAAACAAAACAAAGCAAAAAAAAAAAACAAAAGTTTTTTAAAAGAAGGGAGTTTGTACCATCTTATATTTACAGCACTACCAAAACTGAACCTTTTACACAAATCTCATAAATTTAATTCTTTAACAAAACTTCATTTCAGGTATTTTCATGTTATTTTGACATACGTTTTACTGTGCTGAAAAATACTAAAGGAAAACAAATGAGTGATTATGATAATATTATGCCCTAATTTATCTATATTCTTATGTTAGTTCCTTTTTGCTATCTTCAAAAAACTAAATGACTAAAATCACTGGTGATCTGAAAATATGTTCTACTTTCAGAGACTTTTGTTGTTATAGCTTCCACATTAAGTTCCTTGTGAAATTCCTTTCCAATATTAACAGGTCCCCATGGGACAAGGAAAAAAAATGCCAAGAAAAGAAAAATCATCCTAGTATGTCATGGAATATAAAAGACATTTGCATGAGGAACCATTTAACAATTCAAAACCAAGCCTGCTTTATAGCAGACTGGTAAGACTATAAGTATATTCCTTTGTAAACTGTGACGGAGTATGGAAATCATTAGCATCATCTATTAGGAAAGTAATTTTCAGTTACAGATTAGGAATGTGTATGTGTTTTAAAATTGTAAAAGTAATGTTACAGAAAGTTTTATCAGATGGTTAAAATGGCTTTTTACATAAATTATTCATCATAATTAGAACCCCCTCCATGTAGTCTCCTATTTATTAATACAAACAGAAGGTCATACTTACTTAGAAATGGCAGAGTAAATTTGAAGGAAGTTCACAGCAGAGCTCTCTTTGTTAAGAAAAAGAATTGTCTACCCATTTAAGGTGCCAATTCCTTTGAAAAGAAAAATCCAAACCTCAAAACTGAAGGGGTGGAAGTTGAACCACAGCCTTCTGATCTGTATCCTGGTGATAGCAGTACCTATTCTTACAGTGTTGTTGTAAGGTTTAAATTATGCATACCATAAATCATTCCATAGATGCAAGGTAAAAGAAAACTGCATTTGTCTAAATGCTCTGTGTTAAGCATAAAAAGAATGTCTTTGAGTTTGGGAGGTATGTTACACCTAGGGAAGGTCCTGGTAAAAACTGTCAGAAGTATACAGATAAAAGTTCATTTCAGGTTATTGCAGAGGGGAAGGGCAGCAGGATGGAGTAAGGAGGGTAGGGAAGAAAAAAAATCAGATTAGGGAAAATGCAGACACACCTCTGAAGAGTCATATAAGACTGTATTTAGAATTCTGACATTTCGGTGACCCTTTACTAGGCACAGGGATGACCTAGCAAATTTTATTCCACTTGTTCAGTCAAGTGCACACTCCTGAACAAGGCAGTGACAGGGAAAGGAAAGAGAAAGAACAAGACTTACTGGGGCTCAGTACATACGCAGCATAAGTACTTGAATTCCCCAGGAATCACAAGGCAATTTCAACCCCCTCATGAAGACTGATGGTTCACAGACACAGACCCTCTTGCCCCAGAATGCCTTCATGTTCTTCTATTAAGTTAACACCATTTACATGTAAGAGCAAAAGACATTGTTGAATTCACAAATCTTTGCCCCACACAACAAGTGCTAATGTTTAAGACTTAGTATTAAGAAAAGCAAAGAAAATGAATTTGTAAACCTTCTAAATCAATGCCAAGAGCAAGAGCCAATAAAAACAAAAGTGAATTGTGAGAAATACTTATCACAATGACCATTCTTCACTAAGCCCACTTCCTTCGAGGACTCTTTTCATCTTCGTCTCTAGGGAAAGTTGGTTCCACATATCAAGTAATCAAATATGCTTATTTTGAAAGGGAAACTACCCTAAATGTCTCTTTAAAGGTACTCCTTTATAATTATGTTCTAAAGGAGAACTTTTAGAAATAATGTTTTTTAAGAAACAATACAGTATTTTGAAGCACTCACAAGTCTAAAGGGGTATAAACTGAAAATTATTTGACAGAAGAATATTATGCATATATATGAGGAGAGAGAGAGGAAAGATATTACATGGCAAAATAATACCTTTTTACTTTTGATAAAAATATGGAGTTCCCTCAAAGTTTAGTAAGTTAAAATGAATTAAATATCAATTAAAAACATGTTTCATGGCATTATTGTTAATCATTTCTATTAATTCGTTATATTTTATTAAATTAACCATTGCAAATATCTTCTAAATTTTTCTTACTCCCAGAGTATCTAGATTGACCAATGACCCGCTCCCAGTTAAATTATTTCTCTCCAGGATCGTAAGCTATGTCTTCATCACAACTTCTTACAGGCTTTAAAAGTCTACATGTATTTTTTTTAATCATACAGAACATACATCTACAATATCTAAGGTGTTTTACTGTTTTCTTGAGACTAAAGGCACCACATTAGGAAACGTAAAATAATACATCCGTAGTCTTAGAGAAAGCCCTGATAATAGTGTGATCAACAATCTTAAAATATACATTTTCTTTAAAAACTGAGTTTTTTCAAAGTTACATTTAAAATTAACTTTTAAAAAGTGCATAAAGTTTTTCTTAGACTAAAAAATTATGATTCTTTGATATACAGTGAATCAAACATAAGAAGCAGAAGCATGTCAGACTTAGAAAGCAGCACTGATACTGTGGTCTGAAGAGTGTGCCCCATGAATGGTGGCCCCTCTAGACACTGTGTCTCCTGGTGAGACGCATGGTGGCACACAGGACCCCACCTACAATATGTTCTAGTTGAAATCTACTTAACTTAAATCTATGTTGCCTAGATCTTGCTTTTCCATATACAAGGATTTAAGAACAAGTTAACACCACCACAAAGAAGAAACCAGAAAGATTCAGATGGCACAATATTTTGTAGGGCAACTATCTTGATCTCCTGAAAAAAAGAGTCATAGTGGACACTACTTGAAGGTTACGGGGCATAACCAAATGCAAAGCAAAGTCCCAAATTAGACCCTAATTAGGACAAAGTACCTGTACATGTTTTAGGGGCATTTGAGTCAATGTAAGGAAGGACTGGGTATATATGAGGATGTGAGAATGGACATAACTAAGATGAAAATGAATTAACATGAAAAAGTGAAGAGCATTAGCAGAGAAAAATCAGTTCACAAATGAGGATAACCAAAACAGCATTTCATCTTGGTATAAACAAATGCATACAGAAATAAACAATCTAGAATTCTATACATTGAAGAAAATAGGAATAAACTCTGCAGAAGTTTGCTTTATTTTACTTATACCTATTAATATCTTCGAACTTTCTACAATGAATATTGTTTATAATAAAGTATTTTAATATAAATTTACTATAATTAATAAAAACTTTAAAAATCTGTTCAGGCAACCAAGCTCCTATAAAATTTAATGGTGGGTGATGACAGATGAAGTAGCTGGCCTTCCAAAAAAAAAAAAAAAAAAAAAGGAGAGGGAAGGTCAAGGGGGAAGGATTGCTGAGGCCAGGAGTTTGAGATCAGCCTGGGCAACATATTAAGACTCTCATCTCTACAAAATATTTAAAAATCAGCAAGGTATGGTGGAGCACACCTGTAGTCCTAGCTACTAGGGAGGCTGAGGCAGGAGGATTGCCTGAGCCCAGGAGTTCAAGGTTACTGTGAGCTATAATTGCACCACTGCACTTCAGCCTGGACAACAGAACGAGACCCTACCTCTAAAAAAATTTTTAAAGAGAAGAGAAAGGGATTTAGTGTCAATAAAATTAGCTGACGAAAAATATTAATTGAAACAATTTCACATTTGGTATTGCCTATAAAGTTTCTAAAAGTTAATGCTATTCACAACACTAGAAGGAAAATGAAGTATTATTTCTGGGACCTTTGTTGATGTCATAAGTTACAGGTAGAATGCGAATGTAACTCAAAGTCCTCTCATGTGCAAGCATTACCACACTAGGCAATGTTGGGCTTCCCTGATGGCTGGAATCTGCCCATATTAAATAAGCTAATCAGTTTCCTTGCTACTCATCATGTGATTTTTTTCAGAAAGTTCTAAGCTATTAAACTACTTACTTTTTCACTCTAACTATTGTATAATGATGGCACTATTTCTTATGCCATTATATGACAGGCATAGTTTTGGGTCCCTTTACAAATGTTCTTGTTAAATTCACTAAACAAGCCTCTGAATTCAGTAGGTAAATCAACTGTATATAAGACAGAAAAAAAAACCCTTAGGGTTATTAAACAATATATCCACCATTTTAATGAAAGAGCTTAGATTCAAACTCCTATCTCTCTGACCTTAAAGTCTAGGCTTTTTCAATTCCTTATGACCATGTACCCGGTCCTGCTTCCAGATACCCATCCTTCATCAAAATGAGGTATAACTGAAATACCATCTTGTTTTTTCAAGAAGTTCTAATTATGGTGTTTTTTCTTTCTACAGTACATATTTCTTCCAAGAAAAGCAAAAGGGAATATAGAGCACTTTTCTCCCACTTTTGAAAAAGCAAGTGAACACCTTCTTCCTCCTTGCAAACAGAAAGTTAACCATTTCTTTACTTTCTTTTTCTTATACAAGAACAAGTAATAGCAGATACAAATGTTACTAAATATCTTCCGTTTTAGGGAAAACCAGATTGGAACTGAAACTATGTAACACTATCTCTACATCATTACACTAAGCCAGAACATAATTAAAACTTACATTGAAAAGATCAATTATTACAGGAGATTGGTTCAGAAATCCATGGTTATACTGGCTTGTGCTTGGCATACCTAAAACAAACCTGAAACAAAGTGGCCAACAAATGTAAAAGAAAATGTATTTGCACCAGTTACAACACAAAAGCTTTCAATACTCTCACTGCAGAATTCTGGCTAGATAAATCAGCTTTTAAAGCAGTGAATTTTAAAAAAATCTAAGGCTCTTATGTAAATTAAGGGAGTTTGTTCCTTCTTTAAAATATCTGCCTTCACATCTCATCATTTACTTTGTTGTATAAAAGTTTTAATTGTGAAATATCAAATTCCTCATACACACATTAATTTTCTAAATATCAATCCTCCACTTCTCCCTAGAGTTTGCCAAGGCTGCCAGCAGAGTCTTAAATAACTCAAACCTAGTTATGTAGATACAACACTATGACTTCTCTTCTTCAAGAAAAATTGTCACAAAGAGATTACTCTGACGTTACATACTCAATTACAACTATTCAAGCCAAAAAAGGTTATCTTTCCCTAATCAATACTTAAATGAGATCATAAATAAGAGCTGAGTATTCAGGGCTGGGAAAGGAGTTGTACTGTCATTTTCTTGAGAGGGAGTGGACAAGGGAAGAATGCTGCAAGATCTCAATACTCAGGGGGACTATCTGCTAACAAAACATATTTACAATGTTTTTCAAATTATTTGGTTCTATTCACAGCAAAAGAAACTGGTCTTGCTTCAAGTTTCAGTTAAGAGGGGGTAAGCAGGCTGGGGGCAGTGGCTCACGCCTGTAATCCCAGCACTTTGGGAGGCCAAGGCAGGCGGATCACGAGGTCAGGAGATCGAGACCACCCTGGCTAACACGGTGAAACCCCGTCTCTACTAACAATACAAAAAAATTAGCCGGGCAAGGTGGCGCACGTCTGTAGTCCCAGATACTCGGGAGGCTGAGGCAGGAGAATGGCGTGAACCCGGGAGGCAGAGCTTGCAGTGAGCCAAGATCGCGCCACTGCATCCCAGCCTGGGTGACAGAGCAAGACTCCGTCTCAAAAAAAAAAAAAAAAAAAGAGGGGGTAAGCAAGTGGTTGCTTACTCTACCTTAACAGAATGCAGCTGTAAAACCCAGACAGAATCCATAAAGCAACAATTTGAAGAATCTGAAAAGTAAATTGAAAAGCAGCTGAATAACTACTTTTCCCCTCCAGTATACCCCAGCTTGGACTCAATGCAGCCTAAACTCAGAAGCAAAGGATTAGAAGGAATACAAGGAGATGCTCTATAGCTCAAGGCCAAGTAAAGAGAAGGGGTTTCCTAATGCACAGAGGGAGTTGCCCTTTTTTTATTGATTGAAAGCCACAAATACTTCCATATAATAGCAATAAACAACTTTTAAGATCCCAAAACGAAAATACTTGACTGTAACTCCATCAAAATATGTAGAGGATCTGTATTTTGAAAACTACATAACATAGATGAAGGAAATCAAAGATGACCTAACTAAATTCAGAGGCATATCCTGTTCATGGATTAGAAGACTCAGTACAGTGAAGATTCTTTTCAAATTTATCTGTATTTTTAACACAATTCCAGTCAAAACTCCAGTGGGATTTCTGTAGATATAGACAAGCACATATTAAAATATACAGTATAATAAAGGAACTAGAATTTTAAAAAAGGCAAAAAAGAATAGCAAGCTGGAGAACTGATACAATTCAATTTCAAGACATTATAAAGAAAGCTACAGTAATCAAAACAATGTGGTATTGACAAGTAGACACAGATCAATGGAACAAAATAGACAATCTAGAAATAGAGCCACACAAACATGAACAACTTGTTTTTGACAAAGGTGCAAAGGCAATTCATTAGAGAAAGGATAGTCCTTTCAACAAATAATAGTGGAATAATTGGACTGTATGCTAAAAATATGAATCCAGAGCTAAAGCTTATACCTTTAACAAAAATTAACTCAAAATGATTAATACATCTAAATACAAAATGAAAAGCTGTAAAACTTTAAAAAACAAAAATACATTCATGATCTGGATTTAGGCAACAAGTTCTTAAGACACCAAAGCATAGTACATTTTTAAGAATTGGTAAATTGGATTTTATCAAAATTAAAAACTTTTGCTCTAAAAATACACAATTAAGAGAATAAAAAAGACAAGCAACAGTCTAGGAGAAAATATTTCCAAATCACATATCAGACAAATAACTTGTATCCAGAATATATAAAGAACTTAGAATATTCTGCAGTAAGAAAACAGCCCAAATTAAAAATTGGCCAGGGACTTAAACAGTTGTCTCAAAAAAGGATATACAAATGGCAAATAAGCACATGAAAAGCTTTTCAACATCAAGTGCCTTTATGAAAATGTAGATTAAGAACAAAATGAGATCTCATGACACATGTATTAGAATGGCTAACATAAATACCAACGATACTATGTTGGTGAGGATGCAGATCAAATAAAATTCTCATGCACTCTTGGTGGAATGCAAAATGGTACAACTACTCTAGACAATGGTCTAGAAGTTTCTTATTAAATATACACTTACCATGACCCAGCAATCTCTCTCCTAGGCAGCATAAAAAAGAAATCAAAATTTTGTACTTGAAATGAAAATACTGTACTTGAATGTTCTATTCATAATGAACCCAAACTGGAAACAATCTAACTGGTATTCAATGGGTGAATGGATAAAGAAACTGCAGTACATCCATACTACAAAATACTACACTTAGCTATAAAGAGGAACCACTGACACACGTAAAAGTTAGATGAATCTCAAAGGCATTATACCGAGTGAAAAAAAGTCTCAAAAGGTTGCATACTGTATGGTTCTATTTTTAAGACATTCATAAAAATTCAAACTACAGTGACAAAGAATAGCTCAGTGGTCACCAGGTGTTATTGATAGGGACGGTCTCATTATAAAGTAACAGCAAAAGGGATTTTTCTGGAGGGATGGAACCAGTCTATGTCCTGATAGTGGTGGGAATTTTGTAAACATGTGCATGGGTTAAAACTCCTAGCACTGGAGCTGGGTGCAGCAGCTCACATCTGGAATCCCAACTCTGGGAAAATAAGGAGGGAGGATTGCTTGAGGCCAGGAGTTCAAGACCAGCCTGGGGAACATAGTGAGATCTCATCACTCCAAAAAATTAAAAAGCTTAGCTAAGGCCGGGCGCGGTGGCTCACGCCTGTAATCCCAGCACTTTGGGAGGCCGAGGCAGGCGGATCACGAGGTCAGGAGATCGAGACCATCCTGGCTAACAAGGTGAAACCCCGTCTCTACTAAAAATACAAAAAATTAGCCGGGCGTGGTAGCGGGCGCCTGTAGTCCCAGCTACTCGGGAGGCTGAGGCAGGAGAATGGCGTGAACCCGGGAGGCGGAGCTTGCAGTGAGCCGAGATCGCGCCACTGCACTCCAGCCTGGGCGACAGAGCGAGACTCCGTCTCAAAAAAAAAAAAAAAAAAAAAAAAAAAAAAAGCTTAGCTAAGTGTGGTGGCAACACACCTGTAGTCCTAGCTTCTTGGGAGGCTGAGGTGGATTGCTTGAGCCCAGGAATCTGAGGTTACACTAAGCTATGATCACACCACTGCACGCCAGCCTGAGAGAAAGAGCAAGAGCCTATCTCAATTTTTTTTTAATTTAATAAACTCCTAGAAGTATACACCCAACAAAAGTCAATTTTACTGCATGTTAATTTGTCCAAAGTTTTAATAGCCTTAATTGATATCCAGGCTGCCACACAGTTTTCTATTTGTTCTTGTGCTACCTCCATTTTAAAGTAAAAGTATCCATGACAGGAGAAAGAAATCACACAAGTAAACAGTATATTTATGTCTATTATCTGTGGATATGCTGTATATTTCTGGCAGAATAATGGCATCCAGAAGCTGAAAGAAGACTGGGCTACAGTGAAGCTCCTACGGACAGAACCAGTCATTTGAATCCCATGTCCTATTGCTTAAGCATTCAAAAGGAGAAAAAGAAAATGTATTTTCTGATTCTTTGTAGCTGCATTTGAAGTAAATATGAAATTTCATTTTAGCTTAGAACCTAGAGTTTAAAAATTAAAACAAAATTTAAGCAAAACAGTTGTAAAATACTTAGCATGTTTTATATTTGTTATTTAGTCAACTCTCAAATTAGATAGCAGATTAAGATTCATAAATAATTGCTAGTGACAAAAGAAAAGTGTATTTGTAGAGAAATTAAAATTGTTAAGAAACTGAAACAAAAAGTAAAATGTTTCCACTTTGTAAACCTCACAACATTTGGCACAATATCTGGCACATGGTAAGCATCGATCATAATTTCAGAATGGGTCCTCTGATAATAGCTTTAAACAGAAAAGTCCACAGATCAAACCTGCACCTCTATAATGTAGGCTAAGATTGAACAATTCATACATCCAAATGTGTATGTGTATTTGCCAGTAATATATCTGAAGGCAAGAGATGATGGAAATATGGAAAAACTGAGTTTACTTGGCCCAATACAGCAGGAAAAAGCACAGGATTGAAGTGAGAGAGGGATTTTGCTGAAATCAAGAGAAGATTGTGGCACAGCTTCCATTGCCTCACTCAGTAGACAGTGTTGACTTTCCAAATAAGGTCCATTGGGTGATCTGATAAAGTTAGAACATACATATGTTCAGGTTTTAGATATAGAAAATCTGTAACAAATTAAAAGTCTGAGATAGTTTATTTTAATACTGAGAGTTTTTAGTCCTTGAAGTATCAGTATTTTGATACATAACTATTTTTGAAAGTCTATAAAATTCCCTGAACAACATCCCATTAGATTTACAAGTTGGGAATAACATTTTAAACTAAAACTCATGCTTAAAGGAGGGAAAGAGAGGGAGGAAGGAAGGGGAGGGAGGCAAACTGAAAAATGAATAATTAAAGGAAGACATGAATAGAAGTTTTCCAAAACTAAATAATCAGGTGACATATCAGTGCTAAATGGTCTTTCTCTTTCTGAAGAACAGAAATTGCCACTTCAAAGATTATAGATTGCAATATATAGATTTTTAATTCAGTTTTTATGACAAGTATTTCCTCAAATAAAAAATTTTCCACTATTATAAAGCCTTAGTGATCTTCTGGAATGTAAACTTGGTCAAAGGATAAGAACCAAAATATTTGGAGAATGTTAGAAAGTAACTTTTACTTCAACTATTTTATGTATGTCAGTTTAAATTTTTGTATATTTATCTGCCTCTCAATAAATGTATTAGTAATATGTGATATCTTTAAAAGCGTTAATCATACAAGATTTAAAAAGCAAAGTTTGGCCGGGCGCGGTGGCTCACGCCTGTAATCCCAGCACTTTGGGAGGCCGAGGCGGGCGGATCACGAGGTCAGGAGATCGAGACCATCCCGGCTAAAACGGTGAAACCCCGTCTCTACTAAAAATACAAAAAATTAGCCGGGCGTAGTGGCGGGCGCCTGTAGTCCCAGCTACTTGGGAGGCCGAGGCAGGAGAATGGCGTGAACCCGGGAGGCGGAGCTTGCAGTGAGCCGAGATCCCGCCACTGCACTCCAGCCTGGGTGACAGAGCGAGACTCTGTCTCAAAAATAAATAAATAAATAAATAAAATAAAATAAAATAAAATAAAAAGCAAAGTTTGACAAAACTAGCATTGCTTATAATCCATCTATTTTTAGATAAGTAGGCTTATGATATCTTTTGTCAACTAACATTGTACAAAATATCACCTTCCTTCTAAAATATGGCTTTAATCAATTTGTCTAATCACAAATATGTATTATACACACGAAGACAGCCAAGGTAGTAAGCCCTAGAGGTACTTGAAGCTTGTCACAGTGGTGACAAGCAAATACCAATAGTCCAGGCCCAGCAGACTAGGCAGGTAGCTACTTAAGGACACATCACACCCAAGTTAGAGGCAGAAAACATCTTCTTGAAGGAAGTGAGGGCTCAACATACTCGAATAATGAGACAGACACAGGCTAATGAAGAGGGCGATGAAATTCCTCTAGATACTGGTGAGAGGCAGAGAGAAGTATCTTTCAGGAACAGGGATAGTAGGAGATAAGGCTAGGGAGGAGGACCAGGCCCCTATCAGTGTCTTACATGACCAATGTTAGGCCTTAGCAAAAAAAAAAAAAAAAGGACATGTTTTAAGCAAGAAAATGACAGAATCTGAGTTGCATTTTGGGGTGCTTTTCTTGGTGCTAATATGAAAAATGGTTTGGAGGAAAGTAAGACCAGAGACAGGAAAACCAGCTGGGAAACTGCTGGAGTCATTCAGACCAGCAATCTCCAGACGTATTGGATCACACAACTCTATGAGTAAAAGAAAAAGAATTAACACAACTTATAAATAACATGTGCTGCTGTATTCATGCGTGCTTTTTTTAAAAATGAAAATGAAAATAATAAAAGTTTACTTATGAAAACAAAGTCTATAATATGAAATGTCTGTTTCATATTATATAAAATAAACATGTAATATGTGTTATTAATGGTACATTGTTATTAAAGGTGAATATAAATCTTTATTTCAAATAGTCTGATAACTGCTTTTGGGGGCTCAATTCTTATCAGATCTGATCGTTTCTTATAACGTGGCTGACAAAATGTTGATACAAAGGATAACTGTCAACTTTGCTATTTTCTTGTGGTTCACTGGTGCTTGCATTTTCACTGTATTCAATGTACAGCTTCTTTGCAAATATATTCACCTGTCCATCATGAAGATTAGTTAATAAATAATATAATGTGTAAAACACTTACCTGGTTTACGTAACCTGCATTATACTGAAAGATGCTAACTACACAAGGCCAACAAGGCATCTCCTAGTGCAGCTCAAATCGACCTCTCCTCCCACAGCCCAACTCCAACACCACACATGGACTCTCTGACCCACAAACTGAGTAACATTCTAGTGCCTACCTATGTTTTATTAGTAAAGCATAATTTCTGATTTTAAAATTACATATTAATAGAAGTTCTAGTGCTTTCTTTCTCATGCCAGTAAGTCATTTTATATGTCTCCTTTCTCTGAAAATTCAACTGATCTAGAAGACAAATGATGATGGCCTCAAGTGGCTAAGGGAAAAGATGCAGACTTTTCCATATTAATATTTGATTCATAAATTTTTGGAGTAATTTTAAGTTTACAAAAAATTGATCAAAAAGTACAAACATACTCCTTTCATCTCCTCCCTAGCACACACATACAGTTGTCTCTATTATACACAACTTGTATCAGTGTGGTAATTTTGTTACAACTAATGAACCAATACTGATATATTATTCTCTCTGTCTGTCTCTCTCTCTCTCTCTCTCTCTCTCTCTCTCTCTCTCTCTCTCTCTCTCTATATATATATATATATATATATATAAAACTAAAGTTCATAGTTTACATTAGGGTTCACGCTTTTTTATTGGTTTTGAAAAAAATGTATAATGTGCCCCTTATTACTATATCATACATCATGGTTTTACCGCCCTAAAAATCCCATGATCTATCTATTTATTTGTTCCTCCTTCCGCATCTCAAATCCCTAGCAATTCATCTTTTTGCTGTCACCATAGTTTATGTTATATAGTTGGAATAATATAGTATGTAGCCTTTTCAGTTAGGCTTCTTTCACTGAGTAATATGCATTTAAGGTTGCTCCATGTCTGTTCATGGCTTGATAGTTCATTTTCTTTTATCGTGAATATTTCATTGTATGGGTATACCACAGTTTGTGTATCCATTTACCTATTGAAGGACATCCTGTTTGCTTCCAAGTTTTGGCAATTATGAATAAAGCTGCCATAAATATCTGTGTGCAGGTTTTCGTGTGGACTTAAGTTTTCAGTTCATTTGGGTAACTACTAAGGAACATGATTGCTGGATCATATAGTAAGAACGTGTTTAGTTTTGTAAGAAACTACCAAACTGTCTTCCCAAGTGGCTGTGCCATTCTCATCAGCAATGAATGAGAGTTCCTGTTGCTCTACACTCTCTCCAGCATTTGGTGTCGTCCATGTCTTACATTTTAGCCATTTTAATAGGTGTTTACATATTTTCTATATCCAGACAATTTCTTAAATGTTTTTATTGGTTTTAAATGAAAGGTTTCCTTTGATTCTCTTAGTTACTGTTAGGGGTCTTGTTTACAAAAAATAAAAGGAAGAAAAAGGGAAGGAAAAAAAAAAACTCCAACGTCACTCCTTTGAAATTTGTGCTGCCATTTCTTCTATAACAGTGACTTCCCAAGGAATATACAGTGACTATCTGTGTACCACAAAACTGAGTTTGATACCTAGTTCTGCCACGTACAATCTATATAACTTTAAGCATGATTTTTCTTTAATTAATATGATATGAATAATTTTCTACTAACTAAGCCATTCTTGAACTCCTGCAATAATCTCACTTAGTAACAGCAATTTAATTTTGGATTTTACAACCATACTTAGAGGATGGCTTCTTTTTCATTTTGTGCAATTTCATTGTAAAATATTAGTAGAAATGTACTCACTATGTAAAATAAACTCAAGCTTCCTGGCTTCTTTTATGCTCTGTAAAACTATAAAGAGTGTGTAATGCCTTCCTTAGATGACTTAATACGCTTGTTTCTATAAATGACCCCAGAGCCTTTGGAGGGTAGCCCTTTGATAACTTTCTTCATAATTTTCATTCTATTATTGATAGATCCAACAGCTCTAATTCTTGATTCAATTTATTTATTTTTCTTTTCTTTTGAGACAGGGTCCCACTCTGTCACCCAACCTGTGGTACAGTGGCACAATCACAGCTAATTGTGGCCTCTACCTCTCGAGTTCAAGCCATCCTCCCACCCCAGCCTCCTGAGTAGCAGGGTCTACAAGCATGTGCTGCCACACTCGGCTAATTTTTCTATTTTTTTGTAGAAACAGAAACAGTGTCTCACTAGTTGCCTAGGCTGGTCTCAAATTCCTGAGCTCAGGTTATCCTCCTGCCTAAGCCTTCCAAAGTGCTGGGATTATAGCGTGAGCCACCATGGCCGGCCTATATTTCTTCTAGAAACTCATCCATTTCATCTGCAATTTCTAAGCCATTACCACAAGTTATATCTAACTCTGGAAAGCCATTACAACATTATTGTTCTCTTTTTCATTAAATTTTCAAGAAGTCTATTTTGACCTTCCCCTAAAAAATGGCTACATAGGACCAGGCATGGTGGCTCACACCTGTAATCCCAGCACTTTGGGAGACCGAGGTGGGTGTATCACCTGAGGTCAGGAGTTCAAGACCAGCTTGACCAACATGGTGAAACCCCATCTCTACTAAAAATTTAGAAAAAAAAAATTAGTCAGGCACGGCAGTGGGCTACTCAGGAGGCTGAGGCAGGAGAATCACTTGAACCCGAGAGGCAGAGGCTGCAGTGAGCCAAGGTCATGCCACTGCACTCCAGCCTGGGTGACAGAGTCAGACTTCGTCTCAATTAAAAAAAAAAAAAAGCTACATAGTTTTTCAATTCTACATTTGTCAAATCATTAATTACTACTTATATGTGTATTATTTACATCCTCTCCATATATTTGTTTTGTTGTTTTAGTATCATGAGTTGAATTTCTTATTCATGTTCTCATTTTCCACTTTGATAATGTAAATACAGTACAGATACTTATTTGCATCTGAGTATAGCCTATTAATAGTATTAGCATTGTTTTTACTGTTTATACTTGTTTTGATTTCTCCTTTGCATTTAGAATAATTTAATTATTCTCCTATTAGCTTATCCTCTAAGCATTTAGGATAATTTAATTATTATTTCCAAGTGGTTGAGTTTATTTTTGTTTGAGCTTTATTTTATTTTATCTTATTTTATTTTATTTCATTTTGTGACAGAGTCTCGTTGTCACCTAGGCTGAAGTGCAGTGGCAATATCTCGGCTCACTGCAACCTCTGCCTCCCAGGTTCAAGCAATTCTTGTGCCTCAGTCCCCCGAGTAGCTGGGACTACAGGCATGCACCACCACGCCCAGCTAATTTTTGTACTTTTAGTAGAGTTGGGGTTTCACCATGTTCACCAGGCTGGTCTTAAACTCCTTATCTCAAGTGATCTGCCCACCTCAGCCTCCCAAAGTGCTGGGATTACAGCCATGATCCACCGTGCCTGGCCTGAGCTTCATTTTAAATAATATCTTTGGGTCCAAGAATGTCTCTGTACAATTCATATTTGTGTAAATGAACTAGACTTTCCTTCTGACCCAATCTGTAATTAGTTTTACAACCTTCCTTAATAAGCACATTTTACCTCAGTTTGATGCTTTATAGTCTTTTGACTTGGTAAATAATTTTTAATACTATGTTTTTGCTGGATTATACAATAGCTTAGGGACTTACTGATATATAGAGGCCCTCATGGTAAGGTTTACAATTTTTGAGTCTAGTTCTAATAGTTTTTCTGTCTCCTTTTGTTTTCATCATCAGTGCTTACCGTTAGTCCAACACATTTATAGCAGTCTATCTTCCACCATTCTAAATCACCATTTCTACCATCTGCCTTTGGTTTTGAAACCAAATAGCTACATGTTAGGATTAAATGTTAAATAAAAATTGATAAGGCATGAACAAACATCTGTTAGTGTCTTTTAAGAAACATACTTGAATTTTGTGGTACTTCCTTTAGCTAGTCTGACATTATTTCCTTACTTCTTTGTTTTAAAGTTCAGTTTTCCAAGGAAGAGTGTAAGTTTAACTAGATTTTTTAAGCATTTAAGCCCTTTAAAAAAATACAACACTATTACTTTTTTAAAAACTTTAAAATTTTAAGTAAATAACATAAAAGTCCACAGTGTTTTATAATCTTTCATATATTACTGCATTTGAAAGAAACTATCACTAAGTGAAGTTGCTTCAACCAGAAATAGCTGGTATGTTGCCCCACTCACATATTCTTAAAAAGTAAGAACAATGTTTCTTTTTATAGCCAAACAATGTGGTACTTTCTACAGCATTCACTAAATACTCTCAAAGTACGTTGGAAAGCAGCACTAGAGCAACACTTGGAATTCATTAATCACCAGACTGTCATCCTCAAAAAAATGTCAATATATGAAGTAGCTGAAATATTCCCATTCTTAACTACAACAGTGTTTTTTTGACTTAGAGGATAAATTGTCATTTAAATTAGGTATGAATAAGATTTATATTTGAATTTTAATTAAAGAAACCAGCAATCTGTTCTCGCCCTTCAATAGAAATCACAGTTGAAAGATATGTGCAGTTTATATATTTTAATATTCTGGTAGGTATGCTTGATAGCATCCATAAAAGCCATTTTAAAAATGTCCAACTACAAAGGAAATAAATATTCATTATTAAGTACCAAACATAATGAACTCTTATTCCTACATGTAACAAAATGTCCCTAGCCAGCAAAATCCCTGTTTCTGAGGACATTCTGGGGGTTGCTATTTATCATCCACAAAATCAGGATATTAACACAAAAAATATTTGGGGGTCTAAAATTCTGTATGATTCATTGCCTAAGCTAAATGACAAATAGCTCAAAATTACAGAATTGGTCTTTCAAGAACAAATAGCCAACTCTCAGGGTATTAAGGACAATCCAAAGACAACAATGACAAGAAGATATTTAACCTCTAAAGAACTGACTTTACAAAAACTATTTTTAAAGTATCTAAATAAGCTGTCGAATTAAAGTGACTATTAGTCATTTCCATTAAACAGACTATAAAATAATTTGTTTTGAAACACCTGGAGTCAGCATCTTTTAATAATTTGAGTTGCCCTGATCATGATATATAATTTCTCAAATACAAGCACTGTACACATTTAAGCTCAAAATTTTATGCAAGATATTCACATGACATTAACATCATATAATAGAACTAGAATTTTATATATAAAGAACCACACAATTCTGGTAATTATTTAAACTGTTTAGTAACAATTTTAACAAAAAAGCCCTCTTTTAAATAAATGCCAAAAGAGCTCTTTAAAAAATCATCTATCTTCTTTTACTTTGAGATGTTTAGAAAATTTTACTTTAGAAAAAATAAAACAAATATCAGATATAATGGCATATGTATGAGGGAAAAAGGATTTAATACAAAAAAATCATTCACTTCTCTAGATCTCAACCCAAACAGACATCATCTTATAATCATATGATTTTTTCATTACCTATAATTCTAGTAAAAAGAAACATCTTTTGATTCTAGACTATGGACAATTTTCCTTTCTGGTATTTGGGATATATTTATGAATTTTTTTTTCTAAAAGAAGAGATTTGAAAATTGGATTTGGGGCTGGAGAGGTATGTTCTAGAAATATAAATCTGTCTCATATACAGATTTTATATTTATCAGAAAATTTATTTTTAAAATTTGTATTGTAAAAATCCAAATTATATAAAAATCCAAAAGTAATTATATAAGTATATGCCATATAAAAACTAAATGAATGACATAGCAAAGAAATTTAATATAGATATTAAAATGTTGATTGTTATAGCAATATAGAAGTATTCATAATTGTCATAAAATTATAGGATCCAAATTTTTAAAACAAAGGAAACACCCTAAAATCAAAAGAGTTGATTCTTTTGGTATGGTAACATTGAAGTTAATTGTTATACATGTCATGAACATATTTTAGTAATTTATAATTCTCCAAATCACTAAAGCTCAAAATTTTTACTATTGAATTTTATTCAAGTTCTCTAAAGGGAATTCAGATATCAGAGATATGGTTCACAGTGGAAGCTTTAAAAAAAACTATCCAAAACAAAAGTTACTTGAAAAGAAGTATAAGAAAAATAACAAAATATATGAAAGGCATGTTGAAATATATGAAAATAAATACATGAAGCATGCTTCAAGCACTAATTTGTCAAAACATTCTTACTGACTTTGAACAGAAATTGCTTAACTTCAAGTGACATGTTACTCAACTGAGGAATAAACAAAACCTAGAGTTAGTCAAATAAGCAAATGGTGGCCAAAACTTGCATAATAGATATAATCCACTTGAAAGAAAGCCCCAGGAACAACAGAAGAGCATTTCTGATTACAGAAGTATTGAATTAGTGATGCAATTCATTGCATAAAGAACAAGATAAGTGAAATAACAGTCATTGACAACTGGGAGTTCAAAAGAAGAGTCAGTTCTGAATCTGAACAAGTTTAAGACACACCTTAAAACTATTTTGTTTACATGTTTCTTCTCATGATTTTACAGGATATGATGAAAATAGGAAAAATTAATTTAAAATCTTTCAGTATCATTAAATAGAGAACTAAGCAATAATGCATGGTGTTTGGAATTGTTCTAGATTTCAATTGTGATAGTGCCATTATAACTGCATGTGTTTATCAAAACTGGCAGAACTATAGGTAATTTTACCATACGCAAATTGTGCATTAATTAAAAATTGTAAAGCACTGTATCAGTTTAACTGGCCGTGATTGTCTTTCAGTGAAATGTACATAACAGTGAATCTAAGATTTGATGTCATCCTAAATTTAATGGAATACCATGTAACTAAAGATTGACTCTAGTTAAAGAGCTAGAATTCCATTATCTGTGACTAGCATTCTATATTGGATTCCAGTATCTCTCTCAATTTCTGGGCTCTAAGATTACTTATTTTAAAATGGTATTCTGACTTCCAGAAAAGTCAAAGTACATTTTTCAAACCCCTATCTGAAAGACATTTAGTGAAAGAATCGACAAGACATAACTGAAAAAATGGAACAGCCAAAAAAGTATATTTAGGTTTCTGTTATCAAGACTAGAAATACATAAAGAACCTGAGCAACAGTCTACAAAAGTTCACCAAAAAAGAAAAAAAAGTTTTTATATTCTCCAAATTGAACGCTAGAAGCATCTACACTTGGAACTATCAACCTAAATTCATAATCCTCTGTGGTAGCATTTTTGCTGAGGTTCAACAGTTCACATAGATTGAGATGTCAAGACCTGTTTCCTTTCATTCAAAAACTAAAATACCTGCAGCATGGTCTTGATTTCTCCTGAGACTCTTGATTAGATTCCAATTTGTAGTAACCATGACAACCCATTTCAAACTAAGGCTCTGAAAAAAAAAATACTTTTTTTCTGACATCACAACTAGCTGAAGATATTTTAAGACTTATGCTATTTTCATCAACATCTAGAAACACAAATAAAAGAACAAAATCATTTCAATTTCTGACACTGTATTATGTACGAAACTAGGTCAGCCAGTCAAGAACACTTGAATGTTGGTTTTACACACAAAATTAAAATCATGATGTATATAGGATTTAAATATCACTATTCTACCACAACATTTTAATTGATTCATTTTACAAAAATGAATTAACTGGCCTACCATGTGTGCTAGGTACATAGTGAAGTAAATAAGGCATGCATTGTCCCTGTCCTCCTAAGATTTTTATAAACTACTTAGTTCCTGTCTGTTATTTATCAGTTTATATTCTAGAAACATTAAATTTCTAGAAAAAAAGTCTTCATAAAAAGGTGAGCAAATAGCCTTTTTGTGACACTATAGAGGCAACAACAGACTAATGGTTAAGTGAATGTGAATGGTTTCACACTGTTCCTCCCATGACCTTCCAAACCTCCTGTAACTCTGGCAAGAGTTCACCCTTCCCTGCCTAGATTTCTCCAGATATAAAACAAGTATCTTAGCACCCCTCTCTGAGTTGTCATAAAAATAAAATACATGCTAAGCCCTTGGTACAATGCCTAGCATATATTAGAGTACGCATTTGATAATTGTTAGTTGATTCTTGTATTAAAAATTATAACCCTGATTTTAGTTTTAAAAAGACTTTGTAAAAAAAAGTCATTGTTTAAATAAGCATTATGCAGTTGCACCCTACTGTATACTAAAATAGAAATAACTTAGTTTTGTACTTTCCCCGTAAGTATGGCATAACCAAATTCATTTATACAAACTCAAATAAATTAGGTCTTGATTATTCACCTCAAAGATTTTACCATTGATTCTTTTAAATAACAACTTTTTTCAGTACATATAAGACCAAAGATTAAATTTCCAAATTTTTTTTTAAAACCACAACTGATTTCTAAACAACTTTTCTAAAATTAGATTTTAGAAAGTGGCACACACTTCTAATTCTCACAGGCCTATCATCAAATGGATAGATATGTGCAAAAATATTGAATAAATACATCTTCACTACATTCAGTTCCTACTTTAAGTATTTTAAACCACAACAGAACAATATGCTAATGTGAATCTACATTGTCATATGAAATTTTGGTTTAATCAACAAAGATCTCTTAGTAATGCACTTATTTTAACCACTAGATGAACAACCATGTACCCCTTGAAAGACCTCACAGGGGTAACCAATGGTACAAAATGTATAAAGTCAAACTGGGCATTCAAGAAGCTTCTCAGGAAAGACTTTTTACCTTGAATCATGGTTGCTTTTTTAGCTAAACAGATAGAAACAGCATTATTTTCATCATGTAACCAGCTACCATCATCCAAATGGAACATCAGGGGTGTTGGTTATTTCTCCACCTGGCTGCTGAGTTGGTGACCCTTTCAGGCATCAACAAGTAGTAAAAACTCATAAGCTAATTATTAAATGAAAGCATCTCCATGTCTCTTAAAATAAGAAATGAACAACAAAGTAGCAAAATAAATACAGGGCTTCCAATTTCAACTCCAATGTTTACTCTCCAGCATCACAACTGAACTTATTGGGCTGCTGGAACACCACAAGGAATTTACAAGAAAACTGTTTGTAGTCAAGCTGAAAATTTCAGCAAAATCTTTTTTATATGATCACATGATTATTTTGAGCTATTTTATGGAAATGCATAAGAGGAAAATGACTGGGAAATAAAATTTTAAGATCTTACCAGCATGTGCTTTACACAGCTCTGCAAAATGGGTTGTAATTTACATTTTATAAGCTAGGGGACAGAGGCTGTGAGAATCAAGTAACTTTCTCAAGGTTACCCAATAAGAAAACGGCACATCCTTCATTCAGACCCATGTCTGTGTAACAAGGTCAGAACAGGCACAAGGAATGCTACTTTTATAAAGTTTTGGAAAAGTAATCTCTAAAAATCCTTCACACAGTATACACTAAAATAATATATAATTTAAATAGATGAATCAGAGTAGTAAGGTAGCAAGAATGAATTACTTTGTAGAAGCTGCTTCATTTCTCATTGTCTCTTTGGTTCCCCTCTACCCTTCCCCATCTGATAAATCGGGACAAAGATAGTAGTATCTCTCACACACAGACATAAGGATAAAATGCTATAATATTAATATATTCAACATACCTAACATTAGACCTAGCATCTAATAAGGTCTTAATAAACAATTGATTTTTGTATTATTACTTTTATTCTTATATATAAAATTAAAGAGTCTTTACTTTCTGCTAGGTGATCAATTAAGCAATCTTCTCTGAGGAAGGCATTGGGTGTGTCTTATCTCTCATCCTGATGGAGTTTGACACATAGATGTTTAATAAATAGTCATTGAATAAATCAACTAAAATTTTCCATATACGTTTATCTCAATGTATGTATACTGACGGAGAGTAAAACAATAAGGTATTCCTTCTGCTAATCTTTCTTTTTTCCCACAATAATTCATTGATTCAAAAGTTTTCTGAGGACACAGTATCTCCATAGGAAGTCCTACTTGGTTAAAGAGAAAGAGGGGGAAAAAGACAGAATTTGCCTATATCATATAAAGAAAAACAGGTAGACATGTACATACAAAATACCTCAATTCAGTCTTTCCTCCATTAAAAGTAAACTATACCTCAACTTTAGAAAAAATGTATAAATTCTTACTATCCTCTAAACCTTCCTCCACCCTCCAAGTTCTCTTAATTACCTGTCATCTAATTATATGCAACAAAGGAGGAGCCAAAAAATGACTATATTTGACATAAGTGTCTCAGCATTTTAGTCTCTTTCTCTTATCCATTATTCAATTTGATAAGTTAACTTACCGTGTTGACTTCTTGAGCTAATGAGCTAATTTGGAGAAGGGCAGACACTGAAATCACTAGTTTCTACTGTGAGCTGGTGAACTTGATTTGATCTTCATAGCAGGAAAGTGAGGTCAGAAATGCATACTTTCCAGGCCAGACACAGGGGCTCATGCCTGTAATCCCAGCATTCTGGGAGGCCGAGGTGGGCAGAGCACTTGAGGTCAGGAGTTTGAGACCAGCCTGGCCAATGTGGTGAAACTCATGTCTACTAAAAATACAAAAATTAGCTGGGTGTGGTGGTGCACACCTGGAATCCCAGCTCCTTGGGTGGCTAAGGCATGAGAATTCCTTGAACCCAGGAGGCGGAGGTTGCAGTGAGCCGAGGTCATGCTACTGCACTCCAGCCTGGGGGACAGAGTGATATCCTATCTCAAAAAAAAAAAAAAAAAAGATTCACAGAAATGCATACTTTCCAAATGCTTAAGGCAAGAGAGCACAGTGATACAGAACACAGACTTTGAAATCAGACAGATCTGACATGAAAACCTGACTCCATCTCTTACTTAATCTCAGTTAAGAAAATTGTATAAGCCTAGTTTCCTCCTGTATAAAAAGGGATAAAACATGAACCCTATGTGGTTGTTGCAGGAGGATGTGAAAGTGCTGCCCCAGTACTTGGTATTAAGAATATCAATAAATCATTAGGACTATGATCTATTTTTAAACAATTTTCAAACAAAGTATTACCATTATCCTAATTGGTTAAAGATCCATGGGAATTGTTCCTCCCCAAACCATATTATTCATTCTAACACAGCCTCAAGCACTCACCCAGATTCCTCTACCTGACACGCACAAGAGAAAGGGAAGGGGTTAGAAAAAACACACAACTATTTGAAAGACTCAAATTCCTCCACTGTACCCTTCTTCGCAAAAAGTAAAATTTCTTAGACCATCGAAATCCTAATTATGGAAAAAACTATTTTTGAAAACCCAGTAGGGACAAAACAATGTGAGCAAGTGCTAATGTAGATAAAAAGAGAAATCTTGCACTAAGAAGTTTATAATTTTGTGTAAAAGCAAGCTTGTACGCAAAAACATAGAAGACAGAAGGTAATATATACTCTGATAGAGTTAAAGTATCATGAAAGAAAAAGAGAAGAAATGCATTTGGTTTGAGGATCTGTGAAAGCTTCAAGCAGAAGGTGGAATTTGGAAGTGGGTCTTGAAAAATGTGTGGATTCCTCTGGGAAGTGAATTGAACCAGTAGAATTCCACACTGAAGAAACAGCAGGCAAAGGCAAGGAGGTGTGAAACTCCCCAGTCTTCAGAAGCTACAGTGGGCCCTCTAAGTCTGAAAAGAATGTGGGTGAAAGGACAGTGTGAGAGATAAGGCCACAAAGGAAAGTTAGGACCAGACACCCCGCATTCTCAATGCCTTCTACAGAATCTGGCCTTTACTGTACAGACAGCAAAGACTTTTGGGAAGAGAAGGAAAGCTTGATAGGAATTGACCGGTAGTTTGGAAATAACCCTGCAGTGTATTAAGTTTTTAAAAGCTGAGGGCAAGAAGAGGTTATCAAAATAGCCCAGGCCTAAATTAGAAATTTTATTTTAAAGGATATTATACTGTAAGAATCCACAGAATTTAGCAATTTCTAATCCTTATAATATAAAAATATATATCTTTCATTCAGGATAAAAGTCAGTGGTTGGCTGTGTGGGACTAAGACAAGGGGGACTTATCAACATGCATGACCAATAGTCAAAAGAACCCCAGGAGTTGCTAAGTAGAGGTTCATTATTAGTTATGAGGGGTTCTCTACACTCTACTAAACAGATATCATCTGGTGGATGAAACACAACAGCCAAGGTCTCAAGGCACTTTGTACCACGAGTAGAAGTCAGGATGGGATTTAGCCAAGGTTCCCAGTGGATCTCTCTGATTCATAGCAGGCTTACAGCTGGTTATGGAGGCCACAGAATTCAAGATCAAGGCCCCAGGAGGAAAAGGTCAGGAAAAGGTGAGCAAAAGCTAGCCAGGGAGTCAGAACCCAGCTATATGAACTGAAGTTAAGTCAGGACTCCAGTGAGGTATATGCAAATATCCATAGGCTCAGTGGGGAACACTGTAGAATCTGGAACATGAATGATGAGAACTCACTGAGCAAGTGTTGCAGGTAGCAAGAATAACTCATAGCCACAGCCACTGGTGGAAGAGGCTTTGTCTGGATTAACCAAACAACTTTGGAACCCACAGTTGAAAGCCTTCAAGGCTGAGAAAGACTGAATAGAACCCAAACTAAAATTGGGATGTATGAATGTGAACTTGTAATATGAAAGTTTTCCGAACTTCTAACCTAAATTCCCTTATCTGAGTGTAATGGTATATATTAAAAAAAAAAAAAAAAAGAAGAAGAAGAAGGACTTAGAACAACAGAGATAAAAATACTGTCTAAAAATAAGATAAATATTAAACAAAACCCTCTTTAGTCAACCACAATATCTGAAGAACTTGCACAGTTTCACCTGTAGCCTCACCTGCCAAGCCTGTACGTTCTCCTCACGCTACGTTACTCCTCAATCTCCAACATTTATGCATCATTTAGAATATCTCTTCCTTGCCTGGCTTGGCAACTCCCATTATATCCTTCACCATCACTGTAAGACCCCAGTGGCCTCAGGCAGAACTAATCACTGAATGAGTTCCTACAGTATATTCTACATACCACTCCTGGGATAGGATCTACTTATTCTTCAAGGTCAGCGCAACAGTTCCCTCTTCTAGGAAGGGAAGCCACCTGGTGGCTTCCACAGCCATGCTTGTTTTTCCTTTATTACTGGCCTTGCCATAGGTAATATCATATCACTGGGCTATTTCTATCTCCCAATTATAAACTGCTCATGAGCCACATCTAAATGCTGATCATCCTTTTAAGTTCACTTAGCCCAGTTTCTGGCATAATTTATCAATATGTTGAACAAATTACATCATTTAATTTTTCCAGTTTCTCAATCACAAATAAGGCTTTGTGTATTTACTTTTTCATATTAATCTTTACTAAATGAAGATATCAATCCTTATTCCACTGGAAAACACACATATATGTACATCATGTATATATGTATATACACACATATATACACGTGTGCATGTACATATATGTACATGTATATGTACATGTATACGTGTATGTATACATGCACGTATACACGTATATATACGTATGTATACATATGTGTGTATATATACATATATACATATGCATGTATGTATACATGTGCATATACACATATACACGTATGTATGTATACATATATGTATGTATACATATGTATACATATACACGTGTGTATGTATACATATATGTATATATACATATGTGCATATACGTATGTGTACATGCGTATGTGTGCATGTACATATACATGTGTACATATATACATATTTACAATGTATGCATGTATACATATACACATATTTACATTGTATACATATACACATATTTACAATGTATACATATACATATTTACAATGTATATATGTATACTTATATACAATATACATATTTACATATATGTGTACATATGTACACATATATAGCATATATGTACATATGTACACATATATAGCATATGTGTACATATGTACACATATATGGCGTATATGTACATATGTAAACATATATAGCGTATATGTACATATGTAAACATATATAGTGTATATGTACTTATGTAAACATATATAGTATATATATATGTACTTATGTAAACATATAGTATATATATGTACTTATGTAAACATATATATATATACATATAATTTTTTTTCGAGATCTTGCTCTGTCACTCGGTGCTGTGGTGCAATCATAGTTCACTGCAGCCTTGACCTACTGGGCTCAAACAATCCTCCCAACCTCAGCCTACTAAGTAGCTGAGACTACAGGTGCATGCCACCAAGCCCGGCTTTTTTTTTTATTTTTTGGTAGAGACAGTGTTTCATCATGTTATCCAGACTGATCTTGAACTTGTGGCCTCAAGGGATCCTCCTGCCTCAGCCTCTCAAAGTGCTGGGACTACAGGTGTGGGCAACCGTGCCTGGCCTGTTTCTGTCAAATATTTAATCTATCATAAACTTAAAGTAATATTTTAAAGACTCATAAAGTGTAAGCATTTCCTTCCAAGAAAAGGGAAAATAAACAGAATTGTCTCTATAATAATAATCAAATTAAAATGCTAAAAATGTTTGCATAAACAAAGCTGCATAATAAATGATAAAACTAGCGAAATATTTAGAACATAGGTCGTAAAGCATCAATAACTTTTACATATTAAGAGCTTTTATAAAGTCAACAAGAGAAGAATGGACATACAAACATAAAAGAGATAAAGCATAGGAAGTGAATTTATAAGGGAAAAATTAAAATTAAATATTGTAAGAGTTTCTCAAACTTATGAATATTTTAAGAGTTTGTCAAATACCTAGAAAATACAAACTTAAAATAATCAGATATTTACTCTGATCATACTGGAAACCACCAAAATTTGACAACGTAAAAAAAAATTTTTTTTAATCAAACTGAAAAATGAGAAAATGCAATGAAAGCTCAGAGATGTCAGGAAATGTGCCAAAGTGTCAAACATAAAGTGAATTTCAGGTAGGGAAAGAAACAATTGTTCAGAAACTTGTTTTACTGTTTATAATCTTGGGTCCAGGTTTTCACTGACTTTCATTTAAAATATGCCCTTAGCTTTAAAAGCTGGGAGATTTTTAAAATGTGTTTTTGTTTAGTTATTTCCACAGGGTAAAAAAGAACATGTAGTTTTTTTTGCCACTGTTTTTTTTTTGTTTTGTTTTTGTTTGTTTGTTTGTTTTTGAGACAGAGTCTCACTCTGTTGCCCAGGCTGGAGTGCAATGGCGCCATCTTGGTTCACTGCAACCTCTGCCCCCTGGGTTCAAGCAATTCTCGTGCCTCAGCCTCCCAAGCAGCTGGAATTACAGGCATCTGCCACCATACCTGGCTTTTTTTTTTTTTTTTTAATTTTTAGTAGAGATGGGGTTTTGCCATGTTGACCAGGCTGGTCTCGAACTCCTGACCTCAGGTGATCTGCCCACCTTGGCCTCCCAAAGTGCTGGGATTACAGGTGTGGGCCACCGTGCCAGCCACCACTGGGTTTTTTAACTTCATAAACTCTAAAATCTTTCTCTATTCAGAACAGTTTATTGGAGTGAGCAAAATGCTGTCATATCCTTACCCCCACTTTTGTTTTGAGACAAGGTCTCACTCTGTTGCCCAGGCTAGTATGCAGTAGAAGAATAACATCTCACTTCAGCCTCTACCTCTCAGGCTAAATTGATCCTTTCACCTCAGCCTCCTGAGTAGCTGGGACTACAAGAAAATGTCACCACACCTGGCTAATTTTCTGTATTTGTTACAGATTTGGGGTTTTGCCATGTTGCCCAGGGTGGTCTTGAAATCCTGGGCTTCGGTGATCTGCCCACCTTGGCCTCCCAAAGTGCTGGGATTACAGGCATGAGTCACCGCGCCAGGCCTGCTGTTAATTTCATAATACACAAGTACTGTCAGGAAACAATAACACTTTACAAATCTTTAAAATTATCTAGTTCTCTGAAATAACAAAATAGTAATGTATTCATACTGTTCAGCTAGCTTCAGTAAGAATACCTGCATTTATCAGAAAACACACAAGTTCAAAATGTGGGCACACTCTAGTGGGCTACCCTCTTGCATGATCACACCTTCTTCCTCCATGACTTTGAGGTTCGCACCAATTTTCAGCAGTTTATGAGCAGTGGTAACCTGGTTAGGATTCCTTAAATAAGAAAAAGTGCAACTGTGTGCTTTATGATTAAAATAATAATCTGCCTTGTTTCAGAAATGACATGGACAATTTTTTGTTTTGTTTTGTTTTGTTTTGAGATGGAGTCTTGCTCTGTCGCCCAGACTGGAGTGCAGTGGCGTGATCTTGTCTCAATGCAACCTCCGCCTCCCAGGTTCAAGTGATTCTCCTGCCTCAGCCTCCCGAGTAGCTGGGATTACAGGCATGCATCACCATGCCCAGCTAATTTTTTTTATTTTTAGTAGAGATGGGGTTTCACCATGTTGGCCAGGATGGTCTCAATCTCCTCACCTCATGATCCACTCGCCTCCACCTCCCAAAGTGCTGGGATTACAGGCATGAGCCACTGTGCCCAGCCATGGACAATTTTTAATTAGATGAGTATCCATGTCAAAATGAATGTGACCTGACATGAAGATGGCACCACAAAGCTCAAAGAACTTTGAGAGAGAACACCTTCCCACAAATGCCATCCCACTCTCCACACCCAAGAGAATTTGTGCTGTCAAGAGAACGAACCTCGTCAAAAACACAGAAAGGAAATGCATAACCTATTCAAGACACGTATTATCAACAATCTTACACATTGTTTATAATGTAATGGGATTATTTCTAGTTTACAGATGTGGAGATGTGGAAATTATGTGATTACTGGAAGACAGCATAGTGAGTGTTCCCAGTCTGTGTACAAGCGATAAAACCCAAGCCATAGATATGGGAGGAACAAAATTAAAACTATCTTCTTACACAAGAGGACTGTCTTACAGGCTCAGAGACAAGGCCTTTTCATTAGGAACCACTGCCAACAATAAAGTTTAGGGAAAGAACATATTTGGCTAGTTGGTTATTTTATTTCCTACAGGAAAAGGGAATTATTATAATATACACATTGTGTGCTCACTATCTCTGCATCTTACCTAGTAGAACCTTTTCTAATGATTAAGGGCTGAAAAACCTGCTTTCCGAGAATCATATTCCATGAATTCATGAGTTACAAAACTACTTTATTTATATTTCAAAAACGATGATCCTAAACAGAGTATCAACTACTAACTTACTGAATAGAAACTGAGAGTGGTGAGCTTAAACCAATCTTGTTAACTTTTCCTATGGCTGATGTCCAAAAACATTAATAACTTAGCTACAGACATTTAATCACTAAATGAAAATCATGGTCCATAAGGTTTATTACTTTGTCAATATTTCATGGCTTTACATATAAATGCTTCCAATTAATACCCACGAGCCTAGGTAATAGATAAGTAATCCTCAATTTCAGATGGAAAACAAAAACACAGAGTCAAAGACATTTATTTGTCCAAAATCTCATAACTGTTCAATGTCTGAGCCAAGATTCAACCACAGGTCCCCCTAAAATGACACACCAGTGACCCTTGGACTATTTCCAGTGTCTCCTAATTGTCACTGTTCATAATAAGTCACACGTTTAAGGCAACAAAGGTAACTGCTAGAGTCTGGTCAGATGAAGAATAACCTCCACTGCTGTCTGATGTCAAACTGGCAGCTCTGCCTCTGTGTCTGCTGAGCTGGGGGCCCTGGGAGCCCCAGGCAGGGAAGGGATTGACCAAAGCCAACCACCTCTTGCTGCCTCAGAAATGTTCCCCATATGCCTTCTGGGTTGTTGGCTATTCCCTTTGGCATCTCCCTGGCCCTTGCAATCCACTGCCCCTGACGAAGGTAGTATTCTCCAAGTCTTGCCATTAATTATCTCAAGCTGGGAAGGTCAGGTTTGAAACTTGGCTCTGGTCAAGAGAAGTTGATGTTAACTTCCCAAAGTCTAATGAGATGAACTAATCTCAGGGAAAATTTCAATATGGGTAGAGAGAAGGTATATACACATTTACATGCTCCACAGTCATGTAAGCTCTCTGAAAAGATTATATTATATTATTATTATTATTATTATTATTATTATTATTATTATTATTATTATTTTGGAGACAGAGTCTCACCCTGTTGCCCAGGCTGCAGTGCAGTGGTGCAATCTCAGCTCACTTGCAACCTCCACCTCCCAGGTTCAAGCGATTCTCGTGCCTCAGCCTCCCAAGTACTGGGATTACAGGCATGCACCACCACACCTGGCTAATTTTTGTATATTTAGGAGAGACGGAATATTGCCATGTTGGCCGGGCTGGTGAAAAGTTTTATTAAGACATCTTATGAACCAAACATAAATTCATCCAAGGAACAACAAAAAAAAAGTATTTGAAATTGCATAATAAGTGGCATTTCAGAGATTTGGACTTTCCTTATTTTAAAACAGTGAGAGTATTGTTTACACTGCCCTGGTGGTTGTTCAAAGATGTGTATTTTTAATAAGATTCAATCATGTTTTCATTACGAGCAGTTACATTACTCCGTAAGTATAATTTCCATATACTGTATAGTAATATTTTCAATACAATTGGCTGCTAGTGACCAGCACAGTATCTGACGCATTGTTTATTTAACAAATACTTACTGAAAATCAACAAACTGTTGATTCAAGACTTCTTTTTCTTCTTAGAATGGGTTATTGATTAAATGGCTTCAAACCCAATCCTCTACAACTAATCTAACTCTCCCTGTTAAATCGATCCCTGTCCACAGGCCCAGTTTCTTCACCCTTCAAGGAGACTGCAAACTTCCAAACCTCTTACCCTCCTTCACCGCAGCAAAGATTAATAACCAGAACTCCTCATGTGTCCAAGCTTCTCCAGTACAGCCTGGTGAGCACCAAGGCTATACTTGAATAATTGCATACCCCTGAACTAAGTGTATAATTATACACGCAGACACCTAACTTACCAACTCATTCTCATAGATGACTTCTCGTTTTTTCCCCTGAGAACATCCCCTCTCTGGCATGTCTCTCCCATGATTGCCAATCACAGGGGATCTTATACATCTTATACAGATTTCTCAAAAATTTGTGATGGCTTTTACTGTTTCTAGCTGTGTAACAATCCCTGGGGTTGGTATCCTCACTGCTGCAGGATCTGTAACCTTTCAGTTCTGGAATCACCTTCACCCAAACGGAAAACTTTCACATCTAATGATTTCATTGGAAACTGCAGAAATGTTCAACAGGTGAAAGGTTGAAAAAAATGCAGAACACACATACACACACGGTTTGCTATGCAAATATTTCAAAACACATTTTTAAATGAGTTTCAAATAATTAAAATAGCCTATAATATAATCCTGAAGAAAAAGGAATATATAAATAGTATACACAGTTAAAAGCCTAAATCCTTATTAAATAGTCTAGGGCCGGGCGCAGTGGCTCATGCCTGTAATCCCAGCACTTTGGGAGGCCAAGGCTGGTGGATCACCTGAGGTCAGAAGTTCGAGACCAGCCTGATCAACATGGAGAAACCAAGTCTCTATTAAAAATAAAAAATTATCTGGGCATGGTGGTGTATGCCTGTAATCCCAGCTACTTGGGAGGCTGAGACGGGAGAATTGCTTGAACCTGGGAGGTGGAGGTTGCAGTAAGCGGAGATCTCACCATTGCACTCCAGCCTGGGCAACAGAGTGAGACTCTGTCCCAAAAAAGAAAAAAAAAAAAAAGTCTAGAAGGATGCAATCTATCCATAGCATTATCTAAAATATATCTGAAAAAACAATGATTTCAAGATATTTATTTGGGATAAATAAATTGGGAAAGCGTTACTTATTAAGTTTCCATTTTGAAAGTCCATTATGCACGTTCACATATTAAAATCTCTGGGAAAGTCTGGAGAGAAGAAAACAGTTTAACAGTTTTAACTTTTTAAAACCTACACTTTCCCAAAGTTATGTGACCATGGGAGTTGTTTTTACAGACAGCATGTTAAATTATAAATCAGAATACATCTTAAGAAAGGCTGAAATGCAAGTCAATTGTGTTATTTATCTCTAGGTGGCTTGCAAAATTATTTTTCTTTACATGTTCCTATTGCTTTCAAACATTCTGTGACAAGCATGTTTATTTTGTAATTGGAAAAATATTAAAAATACAAAAAAAAGTGTTCAGTTCCATTTAAGATCACTCTTGCTATTTCTTATCTTACTGGCTTTGTCAGTAAAGCCAGTCTACAAGTTGTCTATAAGTTGTCAAAAAGCAAAGTGGTCAAGCAAATAGATTCCAAATGACATCTGGATTCCAGGCTCATATCTACCACTGCCTGGCCACATGACCCCAGACAAGTCATACCTTAAGCTGCAGTTTCCTCTTCTGTACAATCTGGATAACATCTACATCTACTGGATGTGGGTTGGATGTGACCATTAAATATAGCAACATGTCATGCATTTAGCACAGTACCTGGTGAATCATAAATGCTCATTGCTTGCATAACCAGAGTCCTGTAAGCCACTGGTCACTGTTCTTAAATTACTGTGACCCTGATACTTTTAATTAGTGGAAATTTGAATAAATTTACAAATATTCATTCAATCTCTGAAGCAATTAAGGCTCCATATTATTTTATATACTACTTGTGAAACATATTTATTATAAGGTAAATTTACCAGGAGCACCCTGATGCTTAAGAAACTTTCCAAGTGCAGAGTTTATGCATGGTTATAATTTATTCTACCTGAAAATTTCCATTACGTTTACTTAGGAAAAAAAATAGATCTTAATTATGTTGAGATTTTGATAGCAGCCAATTGCATTGAAAATATTGCTGTACAGTACATGGAAATTATAGAACAAAATCACTTTCTTCTTACATCAAAACTTAACCTGCAAGAAAATTTTTTAAAGTTTCTATATTACAACAAGCAGCGAATCCAGAAAAAAATACAAATCAATAAATCCATTTGACTGTATTTACTCTATTAAAAGCTTTTAGTCAAGGGTGCGTGAGGCTAATTTTCAGACTATGCCATCATGCTGCCACCATAGCTGAAAGAGTTACAGCTTTAAACAACCTGAAACAAATGCCACTCACTCTTATCCCCTGTACTAAGTGATGTGGTTGCAGTCATCCTGAGAGATGGAGGAGTCAGAAGTTATAGATTCCTCTTGCTCTTTTCAATAACTGAAGTCAGCTTCTTGACAGTTTTACAGCATTTGTGGTAAAGTATAATACCTCAATTTCTTGTTTACAGGAGGTAGGAAATCTGATTTTAATCCATGTGTAAAAAAAGTATATTCAATATATGATAACCTATGATTAGAATGGGTGTCTCAAGTTCCTACCTCCTCTTTGAGTAATGATGCTCGTGTATGACTTTACCATAGAAAATTTTCAGTCACTGCATATCAGTCTTAACAAAATCAAAGAAATGCAGTTAGAGTTACTTTCATCTTACATAAGAGAAAAGTGAAATATTCACCAGAATGGTGAAGCGAGGAAGTTACAATCACCTTGGTAGCATATTCCTAATCTCAGTGGGGGCATTTTTCTCCTCTAAAAGGGAATGTGATTTTCATTGAGATTAGTACACATTTTGCATTCAATGTGCCAAGAACAAGTTCCCTGCATCTGGCACAAGAAGTTTCACAGTGGACTTATGAACTTTCTAACCAACTTCATCCTCCACTTCCTGGGAGAGGCAAATGAGAACAGGGAGTGTACTGTCCTTCACTGGTTTCAAAATAGTACAATAATGATGTCCACATCACAGTCGCCTGTTTTCTAGCAATGTAGATAATATTTAAGATTTCACAAACATAAGCCAAATGCCTGGCATATACTGGTATTATTTTCACACTTTCATTCTGTATTACTATCCTCTTCCACAATAGAAGAAACTGTGGGTTAGAGAGGGGAAACAGTGCCTAAAGCCAGTAAGTGGCAGAGCACAGATGGAGGTCCAGGTCCTGTCTCCAAGCTCACTCTACAGTAGCTGCCTGCCAAGTGCTGCTATCTGACTTCCTGCTGGACCAGTTTTATTTGAAACCAAAACTAATGCTGTTAAATGCCAGAGTGCCAAGTGCACTGTTTCATTGCATCAGACAACTGTAAGGCAGCCGGCAGAGTTAAATGTAGAGTATTAGGCTTACTTAAAATGTTTTATGGAATACTTGATCCCATTAAATGATCATTTCTTTAAAGTTTTTTGTCTTTGTTTCGTTTTTTTTTTTGTTTCTCTCTCTTTTTTGTTTTGTTTTGTGGGTTTTTTGTTTTTTGTTTGTTTGTTTGTTTGAGACAGGGTCTCGCTCTATCACCCAGGCTAGAGTGCAGTGGCATGATTTTGGCTCACTGCAACCTCCACCTCCCTGGTTCAAGAGACTCTCGCTCCAGAGCCTCCAGAGTAGCTGAGATTACAGGCATGCACTACCATGCCTGGTTATTTTGTATTTTTAGTAGAGACGGGGATTCCCCATGCTGGCCAGGCTGGTCTCGAACTCCTGAACTCAAGTGATCCACCCACCTCGGCCTCCCAAAGTGCTGGGATTGCAGGCATAAGCCATCATGCCCGGCCCATTTCTTTAAGGTTTTTCTCATGGTAAATTCTGGCTTAGAATTTCATCTTATATGGGAATAATGTAAAATGTCGATTTGTTGCCAAAAACATTTATTTTTTTAAAAAGGACAAATGTGATTTCTACCATAATATTTGCAGTTTTGTAACCATTTTGAAGAGTAACACTCAAAAAACACCGGGAAGAAAGAATAAAAGAATACTCATACTTGTTTTTCTTTCCTATGTGCCCACATGACAATTGGATTTCTTGCATTTCTGAGACCTCTAAATTCTCATCTTTTCTTTCATGAGCTAGAAGAAAACACCTTCCATTATTTGGTCTTATTCTTCAGCTCATTATTGTTCACATCAAAAGACTAATGTCCTCTACCAAGTGAAGTCTGGAATCAAAATAGCAAGGCAATTGACAATTTAGATTTCAGGGTGTTGACACAAATGAGTATGAATTCTTATGTACTAGTCACACAATTAATGACTATTTCACTCTCAAACGTACAACCTGTTCTATAAATAAAATAGCACTCTGCTGTAATTATTCAAATGGGGATATTTAGGTTGTAAAAAATAATATACCCTTTATGTCTTGTTAAACAACCTTGCCCGTGATGGACAAAGTTTTTGGTTTCTCTAGATATAAAATGAAAATGTTATTCAGAATTTTCACTTATATAGTACTCTTAATGAAATGCACATTTCTTTCAAAAATACTATGGCAGGGAATAATCCTAAATGAGAAGCTCAAACCAAGAATGGAATTTTATAATAGAGTGCTGAGAGGTATAAAATAGTAATTTTAATGGTGTGGTATTTAATGGTGTCTTAATAACAATTCGTTGGTTAATGGCTATAAAAATGAATATTAATTACTCGGTTCAATACTCTGCATAACTGAGCTCCTATCGTTCCAATGGACAAGTAATTTGTCTCCATCTCCAACACTGACTTTTTGCTTGAGTTCACACAAACTCAAATACCACCTATCCAATAACTGATCATTGTTTCTAGGTATATGTGGAAATGATATTAAACCCTGCAAGTTACACAAAAGAAGGAATAAAGAATATGGCCTTTTCCTTTTAGGGTTTCACAACAAATTGTAAACTGCATAAAGGTTATTAAAATGACAACTCAATAGCAAAGGGTGAGTGAGGGGAATAAACCTAAATATCTATCAATAGGAGACTGGTTATATAAATTAAAATTCATCCCTACAAAGATATAATACATAGCTAGAAAAAAAATAAAGCTCTTTATGTAATAAAATGGAATAATTACAAAGTAGATTGTTAAGTAAAAAAGCAACGTATGAAGCAGCACTCACTGTGTATAAAAAAGGGAGAAATTATATACGTACACCCACTTGCTCATGAATATAAGGAGATGCACTAACCATACAGTAGCCACTACACACATCAGGCTCTCAAGCAACTGAGACGTGGCCAGCGTGACTAAGAAACTGACATTTTAACGGAATTAATTTACATTTCAAATCTGACTTGGCATAAAATATTTTTTTGTTAAAGACAACTTTATTGTTTTGAAAGACTTAGAATCATATAACCATGTGTCATGTAATATGTTACTTACATTAATTTTTTAATGTGGCTCCTAAAATATTTAAAATTGCATTTGTGGCTTATAGTTCCATTGGACGGTGCTAGTTTAGAATGCTACCAGGATTCAAAAGAACTCATAACACTGATTGCCTCTGTGAAGGAAGTGGGTGACAGGAACCAAGATGCTAGAAGGAGATGTCTCACCATTTTGTCATTTTTCTCTTTTGCTTTTTGTGACATTTGAATATGTTGCCTATTAGAAAAATAACGAATAAATAACATGACCCATAAATACCACTGGAAAGAACTGTCATCAGCACAACCATCAGTTTAATTTTGGATGAAATATTTTCCCCCACAATCAGATATGGTACTTTTGAAGGGGTTATATATAGTCTTTGGCAGAAAACACTTCATAATAACCTAAGATCACAGAAGTGCTCCACAAACAGTACCCGAGTTACAAAGTGAATACAAGCGATCACAGCCTTCAAACTGCTTGTTTAGTGGCAATACAGTCCAGCATTAACACAGCAGCCTCTTCTTCTACCATCAGAAACTGTTCTGCTTTTATTTTCCCACTCACTAAATATATTTTGCTTGTTTTCTTCTTTCATCTTCATCCACATCCCCAAATAAAAACACAATTATTCTTACATTTCCATTTAGCAAAGCATGCATCTACTTAGCTAACTAAAGCAAAAAAATAAAAATAAAATTCTCCCCTTGAAGAGAACTCCATGAAATTTAATTTTTTTCCATGAAGCAGTAGTGTAAATACATAAGCAGATCACAAAGGGCAAAGGGAAAAGAAGGAAATATATATCATATACACAACTGAAAAATAATATATTTAAATACAAATGAAATATCAAATTGTATATGAACAGGGGGTATTACCCCAAATCTCCCAGATTTTCCAGTTTTATTTTGAATATAAATACTTTAAAATTTTTTTCTTGAGATAGCCAATTATAGAGCTTCAGATGCATATACAATGAAAACTATTTAATTAGCAGTGTCAAATTTCAGAAGCTGGCTGGTTCCCTAAGGTTTAAGAATAAAGGCATCTCCCTTCTCAAATCCTAAATGGTCTCCTCCTTTTCTTGCACTCCTTCCACTTCCATAAGAATGTTTGACATAGGTCCATATTGGTGTGACATAGATCCACATTCTGAAAAAAAGAGAGTCCTAGGGCCATGGTGATAATGGGTACAAAACCATCCACAATGGTTCAGCCACTGAGTGGCAACTAAGCAGAGACGAGTTCCTCAGTATAAGTAGTAGTAAAAGATGCTGACCATGGAATTAAATCATTTCACTGTACTACTCACTCCCTGCTTCCTAAACTGTACTTCTTGGTGCCCCAAGGCTATTCCTTTAATACCATTGGTATTTGTGGTACCTTTGTGTTCAAACCCTTCCAAATATCCATGGGATGCCAGAAAGTCGGTCTCTACCTTACCTACGCTTTACAGTAATATATGGAAACTGTGAATGTCCCAAATCCAAGACATTCAAATCCCCCATTGCTATCAACAAAAAAGAATGGATTTGGGTGATCAAAAATTGTAGTACATATTCAAAATCCTCAGATAATTTTTAGAACTGCCACTAACTCAAACATGCATAACCTTAGTGTACTAAATGATACACAAAAAATGAAAATCTCAAAGTGTTGCACCCCACATATATATACGAATCTTGAATTTGATTAGAAAGCTATAAAAATTCTCCTAAATTTAAGATTATACTACTTATAACCATGTAACTAAATTAGCATTGGAAATATATTTCTAGATTTCACAAGAATACGAGCACAAACTTCAGGACTATATTTTCTTAGCATCATCTAAGAGTGAATTTACGACATACTTCTACATAGAATCACAGACATACAGTATGAATTACTCTGGAATATTGTTCGTTTCAGATCAGATTATATTTCAAAATGATGTATGGTAAAGTGAAGTAAACTAGAAGGTGGAATAGATTCTAGATATAAAATTCATCCCAATTCAAATGTGAGAGGAAAAATGAGTATATTTCCTCTTTTCAGATTACTAGCATTAAATATTTTTCATTCAATCAAAGTCAAATCTCACTTTCCTAAAGGGAGGAACAAAGTTCATAGGTAATAATCACAATAAAGCTTACCCACTTTCAGAGAAAGAGGAAACTGAAAAGACTGATATCATAGGATCACAAGCATTTAAAATTTTGTTTTATTTTTGGCAGGGCACAGTGGCTCATGCCTATAATCCCAGCATTTTGGGAGGCCAAGGCGGGTGGTTCACCCAAGTTCAGGAGTTCGAGATTAGCCTGGCCAACATGTGAAACACCATCTCTACTAAAAATACAAAAATTAGCCAGGCATGGTGGCTCATGCCTGTAGTCCCAGCTACTCGGAAGGTTGAGACAGGAGAATCACCTGAACCTGGGAGGCAGAGGTTACAGTGAACTGAGATCAAGCCACTGCACTTCAGCCTGGGCAACAGAGTGGGAGTCTGTCTCAAAAAATAATAATAAAAATAAAAATAAATTTTAACATTTAAAATTTTATTAAATTTTATTTTAAATTTTATTTAAATTATCTAGTAGGGATCATTTAAATTTTACTTAAGTTATCTAGTAGAATAAATATTTAAATAATATTTAAATATTCTTTTCAGCTGCTGATGTTTTTTTCTACCACTTTCAGCTTTGCTCTCCTGAAGCACAGAAAAAATATTTTTTTTTGCTTTAAGTTAAAGCACCTAGCTGCCATCTGGAAATGGGGAACAACACATTTTATGTGGGAGCAAGAGACAGGAAGAACCCACTCCCACAGTGTAGCAGGACAGTTTGCTGAGGAGTCTGCCACCAATAACTGAATCACGGATACCTGAGAATTATGGGAGCTGCCACAGACCAGGAAATACAGGTATTGTCCTATAAGACAGTGACCCTGTCTCTTTCCTAATTCTGTTAAAGCAGTAATACAGCAAGTGACTATCAGGCATAAAAAAAAGAGAAAGAGTTGCTCTACCCTCGGACACTTCCATTTTGTGTGTAACTTGCATTCATCTTAGCACAAAGGAGAAAATGAATTCAATGACTCCTGTAATTATCTTGATTACAGTTAACTGGCCTAGAAACTGTGGCACAGCCAATCAGGTCTGGGAATGGTAGGATAGTAGTCATTTTCCTGTTTAGCAGCTCAATTTCCTGTTTTTCCAGCACATCTCAATCAATACACAACTGTAGTAGCTATTAAAACTTTGGCTTCAGCCCCCGCTACTCCCCTTGGGCTCATCTAATACTTCCTCGCTTCCATTTCTCCAGAAATAGTACATGTGCATGTGCATGAAGGCAGATTCGAGAGATGGAATCCTCAAGGAATGTCGATAAATGTCTCACCTAGATTTGAGCATCTTAACTCTACTTCCTTAAAAATATATGTTGTTGTAATTACAGAAGCTATGATGTAAAGCTTTACTTTAGGCTATAAGGTAAAATGGTGTATTTAATTTTTAAAAATATACCAGAATACCTACCAATTACTTGGTGTTAATCCCTCAAATTAATCACACTGAGAAACAATGTAATTTTTCTAATGATTAATATTATTTTAAAGACATATTCTGATGCCTTAGCATTCGATCCTATTTAAAGTCAACCTACACATCATATTTAAAAAAATCAGATTTTATAAGTACAGCCATATTTTGAACCCAAACTACTATATAACTCAGCTTCTTATTCAACCACATTTCAGAGGCTTGCTTCTGAAACACTTTGGCTATTTTCAAATATGTGGTATTTTTACACCTTTATGTACAAAGGAATTTTCTACAAGTCTGAAGTCATTACAAAAGAAAACCTCTGTCCTATTAAACCATACTTTTAAAAAATAATAATTGTTTATATTACTCCTGCAGCTCTGATTTCAATTGAGGAATTAAAAACTACAAATGGCCCAACAAATGGCTCACACCTGTAATCCCAGCACTTTGACAGGCCGAGGCGGGCGGATCACCTGAGGACGGGAGTTTCAGACCAGCCTGACCAACAAGGAGAAACCCCGTCTCTACTAAAAATACAAAATTAGCCGGGTATGGTGGCGCATGCCTGTAATCCCAGCTACTCGAGAGGTTGAGGTAGGAGAATTGCTTGAAACCGGGAGAGGGAGGTTGTGGTGAGCCGAGATAGCGCCATTGCACTCCAGCCTGGTCAACAAGAGTGAAACTCCATCTCAAAAACAAAAAAAACAAAAAACAGAACACTACAAACCCGGCACGGTGGCTCATGCCTGTAATCCCAGCACTTTAGGAGGCTGAGGCGAGTGAGGCGAGAGGATCTCTTGAGGCCAGGAGTTTGAGACCAGCTGGACAACATCTCTCCAAAAAGTACAAAAATTAGCTGGGCATGGTGGCACATGCCTGTAATTCCAGCTACTAGGGAGGTTGAGGCGAGAGGATCACTTCAGCCCAGAAGGCAGAGGTTGCAATGAGCCGAGATTGTGCCACTGCACTCCAGCCTGGGCCACAGAGCAAGACCCTGTCTCAAAAATAAATAAATAAATAGCTACAAGCTACAAATAGAACTAAGTGTTCAACTTTCTATGAGTTGAGCTTAATAGGCCATTTCTCCTGCCTTTACATTTTTTTTTTTTTTTTCCTGAGACGGAGTCTCACTCTTTCGCCCAGGCCGGACTGCAGTGGCGTTATCCCGGCTCACTGCAAGCTCCGCCTCCCGGGTTCACGCCATTCTCCTGCCTCAGCCTCCCGAGTAGCTGGGATTACAGGCGCCCGCCACCACGCCCGGCTAATTTTTTGTATTTTTAGTAGAGACGGGGTTTCACAGTGTTAGCCAGGATGGTCTCGATCTCCTGACCTCAAGATCCAACCACCTCGGCCTCCCAAAGTGCTGGGATTACAGGCGTAAGCCACCGCGCCAGGCCGACAATTCCAATTAAAGCACTTCGCCAAAATGCTCCAAAATTCAACTCCACAGATTTCTTACATCTAAAGTAAACAGTTTTAAAATATTTAAATTTATAAACAGTATAGTGAACTTAAATTAAATGAAATAAATTACCCATGCTCACTCTATCATTTTTCTAAAGACTAGCCAATCTTTGAGAATCTTTTCCAAAGGATTCATTCCTCAGATATGAAGTTTGTATTCAAAACTGAAGACGTTTGGCCTTTTATAAATAGTCATGGGAAACTTCTTTCTCTCATACTTTTAGTTTGTTTTTACTGTAGCAGATGGGGGAAAAAATTTAGCACAGCAAAGTCATAAAAAAAAGTCTCATAACAACTATCATACTAATATTAGAACACCAAAAGCTTGAGTATATGAGTATCTTGAACAACAACAATAAAAATACTTGCTGGAAATTATAAAGACATTTTGACTTTTAGACTCAAAAAACTGGATAAGAACTCCTTCTACCTTTGGTCCATTTCCTCCTAGGCACATTCGTTTCTAAATATCTTCTTAATTATATCAGTCATTTTTTCTAAAGTTTCTCTGGCACAGAAGTCTGGAATTCTCTTTAAAATATATTCTAATATCTTATAAATGTTAAAAGTCTAAAATGTGTGCCAACAGCCAAGTCTAGTCTTTACTTGAAAAAGGAATCAATCACCAATCTCCATTCTGCAAAATCCCCTAGTATAAGATATATTTCACTCCATACAGATAATAATTTTGTTTTAACTGACATTTCAGTTAATACTTAGAAGTCTCCTGTATGCAATAAATTTTTAATTAAACAATTACTAGTTTATTTACTGATCTTATAAATTAGGCCAGTGGGTCAGCAAACTTTGTCTGTGTAGAGCCAGAGGGCAAATATTTTTAGCTTTGCAGGCCATATGGTCTTTATCTGGACTACTCAACTATAATGTGAAAGCGGTTGGAGGATAATATGCAAATGAGCATGGGTGGCTGTTTGCCAGTAAAACTCTATAAATACAGGTGGAGGATAACAGATTAACATCCAGAATATATACAGAATTAAAACAGATTGAAAAACAAAGGACTTGAACAGATATCTCTCCAAAGATGATTTACAAATGGCCAATGAAAAGGTATTCAAAATCACTACACATTAGGGAAACAGGAATCAAACATGCAATGAGATACTACCACATACCCATTAGGATAGCTGCTACAGGGAAGGGGGGCTCTATAACATAAACGTTGGTGAAGAGAATTGGAACCTCATGTACTTTTGGTGAATGTAAAATGGTACAACCACTGTAAAAAAAAACAAAACAAAAAAAGAACAAACAAAAAACAGTATGGCAGTTCCTCAAAAAAATTAATAAATAAAACTGCTATATGATCCAGACTTTCTATTTCTAACAACACACCCAAAAGAACTGAAAGTAGGGTCTTCAAGAGGTATTTGTACACCCATGTTCATAGCAACAGCACTATTCACAATAACTAAAATGTGAACACAACCCAAGTATCCACTGATGGATGGATAAGCAAAATGTGATCTATACATACAATGGAATATTATTCAGCTATAAAAAGCAATAAAGTACTGATATATACTACAACATGTATGACATTATGTGAAATAAGCCAGTCAAAAAAAGACAGACTTTGATCTCACTTGTAAGAGGTACCTAGAGTAGTCAAAATCAGAGACAAAGTAGAATGGTGGTTTTCAGGGGCTGGAGAAAGTGGAATGGGGAAGTTATTGTTTAATGGGTATAGGGTTTCAGTTTTGCCAGATGGAAGGAGTTATAATGATGGAAGGTGGTGATGGTTCAACAATATGAATGTGCTTAACACCACTGAACCATGCAGTTAAAAATGGCTAAGATGGTAAATTTTATGCTATGCATATTTTACCACAATGGAGAAAAAGGGGGATAAAAAAGCAGGTAGAGGGCTGTTTTGACTTTCAGGACATAGTTTGCTGACCCATAAGTTAGGCTGTTGCATTTTAAATTCTAAGCATAGACATAATGTTTTAAGCCAGTAACAAAGTACCATTTATACACTAACATCATGTTCATTTTATTCCTACAGATACATATAATTTCTGTAGTGAAGTTCTTAAGATTAGAAGCCTATTTCCCAGTACCTAGAAAAATATGTTTTATATAAAGTAAGAGTTCAGGAGTTTTTGACTGATTAATTAAAAGTAGTTGTCTTAATAACATGAAGTTTGGCATTTATTATTATATTAACACATCTGGCGTTTCAGTACAAATATAAGGTCATAATATTGTTATTCAATATCCTCTAACTCATGTAGAGGTAATTGATTTTGAAGGGCAAGTATAGCATTTTTAATAAATAATTTCATTTTTGTTATTCAGTAATCAAAAATCCTACTTTTGAAATATTGTTATACATTTAATAGCTGCCTAATATCAAAAAATAAGTATAGACTTTGTCATATGATGAAAAAAACTGCCAGTTTACTATGAGTTAAATTACATCATACCATACACAGGAATATGTTACACATTACTTTGAAGACATAAGCCAAATAATTAATCTCCTTTTAAATGCTAGACATTTTATATGCATTGAAATTTATAGTTTTTAAATATAAAATGTAAACATAATTTTAAAAAGAATCAAGATAATGCTTTTATAAGGCCACTTTAAATAAAAATCATTTTTAGCCATTCAGTATAATCCATGGTAGCAAACATAGCACTATGAAAAGCATAGGTTTGGAATCAGAGCTTGTTTCTAATACTCTTCCATTCCTTAGAGTTGTATGACCTTCAATGTGTTAATTAAGCTCTCTGATCCTCAGTTTCATTCATTGTAAAATGAAGTTAATATACTTATTCAAAAAGAAGTAGCAAAAGCTTTAAAAATAATATTGCAAAGCAGCTACATGGAATCTTTCAAAAGGCAAAATAATGCTAAAGTTACAATCTTGAGTTCCCTATAAATGATTAGTAACAGCCTCTATTCTCTTTTTTGCATCAGCTCCATGTCAGCTATTGATATCTACTTAATCAATGATTCTCAAATCTGGTCACACACTACAATCACCTGAGCAGCATTTTAAAACTAGCCATCCCCTGGTCCCAGACCAAGAGAATTAAAATCAGAATGGGTGGGGGCATGAGAGCCCAAGAATTCGTGTGAAAGTATCCCAGATGACTCCCATGTTGAAACCTCAGAGAAGTCACTCAACTTCAAGTATTCAAGAACTCAGTTCATACAATCAGTGAAACTTTAGAACCAATAACACTCCTCAACAAAAGCTTAAGAAAGCAGCTGTTAAATCATTCTTTAATTTTTCGTATGCCTTCAATTAACTCCATAGCTCCAAAGCTGCAAAATGATAAAGAGAGCTTTTGTCCCCTCTGTACATTCCTGAAAATGTGCTTCAGAATCAAAATATTAAGATCCCTCAGAGCAAGGTCAATTAAGCTTTTGACATTTAAATTTCGAAGGATTTTTTTTTTTAAAGCATATCTGGGCAAGTAAAGAACATAAGCACTAGTTCCAAAGATAAGCACCCAAGTTGATGTCAGCAATCATGTTGCTTTTTCTAAGTGATTAATGTCACTTTACTAAGTACTAATATAGAAAACTTAAATAAATTTACTAATTGGATATCCACGTTAGAGAAGGAAATTACTTTTGACTATCGCTCTCTTCTCCAATGCAGCATTTCAATTTTCCAACCAGTGTCTCCAACATTTTTGCTCTCTGCAAAAAAAAAACGCAAACCAACCTAGGATTTCCACTTCATAGAAACAAATATAAAAATGATTTATCATTTTTCATCTAGATCACTATGTAAGTTAAACCAGTCAACTTTCACATACATATGAAAACATATATACATGAATTAGATAGGAGTATATATGTATGTATATGTATAGTATACATAAAATATGTAATTATATATGAATGTACATATTACATTTGAATATATATAAAGTTGCATGCAATCTTTTTTCTCGAAGGAAAACCGAAACTGTTGTGACTCAATGTCTTTTGATATCTAAACTCTTAACCTCATAACGAATTCCAAAAAGAAGCCCATAAGATACAGAACAACAAATATAAAGTGGATACTTCTGCATGTTACTAAGAAAGTGATCTAAAGCCAGGCACAGTGGCTTGTGACTGTAGTCTCGGCCATGCAGGAGGCTGAGGTGGGAGGATCACTTGGGCCCAAGAGGTCAAGGTCAGCCTGGGCAACATAGCAAGACTCCAGCCTGTCTCAAAAGAAAGGGATCTAATCTAGAATGGTAAGGGATTAAAGCAGTACAGTAGAGGCCAAAATGAAAGACATTCAAGATGACCACAGGATCAGACCCTTTTAAGGCAGGGACTTCACCAGCACAGACCCTACGGCAGCCACTATTTCTGCACACCATTGCTTCCACTGAAAAGAAAATGACACCCAACCCATATAATTCACAATGTCGTAGAATGCTAAATGCGAGTTAAATGTGTGAAGGCACCAAACAAACTTCAAACTATCCCTTTTGATGTTACAATTATTATTTAGAATGTTTCAAAGAAAAAGCAGCAGCTGAGAGGCCATAAAACAATTTTATTTTCCTAAAATACTCATTCCCTGAATGGGCTAATTTATCATAGAATTAATAAAAGTGAAGATAAGGATATCAACTACATTTTTCCTGAAATGTATTAAAATATTACAGAGTTAATGGTTAAATATAAGTTATCCGTTAAAATGTATAACGTCATGGTATGTTATATCATACCATGGTCAAGAAAAGATAAAAAGCAATTAACAAAATGAACTAGGCACTTGGAGTTTTTCTTCTGGTTTTACTACTAATTTGCTGGGACTTCAACACACTCAGTGTTTCTGAGCTTCAGATTCTCATTTATAAAATGTGGAGAACAAAACTTGGTGCTATGTTAAAATGACATGTTACAACAATGTAAAACTTGGAAAATTACAGAGGAATTCTTTCCAACAGTAATATCCAAGGATAAAGACTAAACTAGGCTTCATTGTCTATTAAAGTAATGAGTTATGATATAATTAGTCAGTTTTATAGCAAGAAATTTATCTCCAAAACCTAACAATTATAACATATTAAGATTTCTGCCTGCCACTTCCCAAATACCCTTATCTAGATATTTTTCCCCCAGTTTAAACCTTTTATAATTTGGGTTTTTGAGAGAGAAGAGAAGCAATACTGAATATTAAATATTCAACAAATCTTATATGACAGGCATTCGGAATATGCCAAAGGACAAGTTAGACAAGTGAAATAAGACAAATGAAGTAGAGAGGTAATTTTTTCATGTTGATATTTTTCAGGTAATGATAACTTCTCTGAGTAGAATAATGTAAGGCAAAATGATAGAACTACTGTGTTATTTTAGATAAGGTGTTGACAGATTTTCCCTACTTAAATTTGAAAAGGGGACGGCAAAAGTCCTTTACAAATGCTTGACAAATTAGATAAGGCTCTTTTGTACTTTCTTTTTAAGCAAAGAACTTATCAGTTTAACCTTTAAATTCTCAAAAGTGGCTGGGCGCACTGGCTCATACTGGTAAACCCAACACTTTGGGAAGCCAAGGTGAGAGGATTGCTTGAAGCCTGGGGTTTCGGATCAACTAGGCAACATAGCAAGACCTTGTCTCTACATTAAAATAAAATATCAAGAGTAAAGTCTGAAGGTTCTTACTACAGTTATGCTTGCCAGCAAAAAGTGTTCTTCTGTTTCTTCAACACAGAGCCATCTGACCTCACCTATTTTACTTAAAAGTCCCCAGTGACTTCTGAACACCCATGGGTGTATTTTGTGAAAGCAGGTATGTTTTTCTTTCTTTTTTGTTTTTTAAAGTACCTTAACCTAATCCATTTCCAAATCCAATTTAATTCTATCTCATTTTGCAATCCCTGAATACATTTCGGTATCCTGACAGCTGTCTCATCGTCAATTCACATAATTTTGCAGCTCCACTTAGGAACCTTGCTTGTATGCTCAATATCTTTCTACCGATATATTTCTTTACTCATCCTAATGTGAGAATATATGTCAGGATATATGAAAATATTTAAGCAATGAAAAACCTGGGGAAAGAAAAGAAATGAAAGTCAACAGTGGGAGTAATATTTGCAGAAAGGAGAAAGTTAATTTGAGCAAAATGAAATAATTAATACACTACATGTTTCCTCTATGTAAAAATTATACTAAATATCTTTTAGATTAGTCATGTTGCTTTGAGACTTTTCCATGTTTCCTCTAGACAGCTGCCAATGTTCGCATGGTCTCTGATGAATAAACATGCTGTGACTTGCTTCTAAGGAAACGCCTGTCATGTTCCAGGGAAAAATGACTTCTACACTCTTAAATCAGGAAAACTGTACAAGTCTCATTCATTAGTGACAACGTCGATTTTTCCTTAACGTTTCTATTTCTGGAATGCTCGTATTCTCATTAGGGCATTTCTGCATTCAGATTAACTAAGAAAATAAACTATGTTGGAGGAACACTTATGCTGGGGGGAAAAATCTTGTACTACATCAAACGAGTTTCCTACTTGAGAAACTCAACTAGCATCCAGGTTACTCCTGAACTATTTACTAAGACCAAGGTTATTTTCAGGTTTTCTTCATCTCTTGCAGAACTACCTGTTCTCATTACTGTTTACTCAAACGCTTAACAAGGTAACTATTAGCATATCTGGCAGGAAGACATGCCTCATTTAATATTAACTCACCATGTGACAGCCCCCTTCCTCTCTTCTCAAACATGTGAGGATAAAAAGAAAAGTAGAGTTGTTTGCAATCTGATTTGCGCTGGGTTTTGGAACCAGCAATTGGCCACAGGCACACACACCCCCAATCAGAGGCGCGCACCCCGCTCGCTCCCGGAACTGTCATGCGGGCTGACAGCTGGCACACCCTCCTGTCGCCCTCCACCCGCCTGCAGAAAGCCCACTCCCTACAGTCACCTTGACATTGCTCACCTGCCTGGGCCTCAGCCCATGACCAAGGAAACTTTTGCCCTCCCTCCCCAGGAGCTCACTTACAGGTATCGTCCACCGCTCCCCCAGAGCCCAAACAAGGGTCCCTTTGTTACAATTTTTGCTCCCGGACTCCTCACCCAATTCCTGGCATTCAGCTGGCCTGTAGCAACCCAGGGCAGCCCCGGTAGGAAGGCAACCAAAAACGACCCGAGCCCTCCGCCCGGGCGGCCTCCGAGAAGGCCGGGAGGAAGCAGCCTCCCCGGCCGCGTGGAGGACAGTCAGTGAGTCAGGCCGCCGGCAGGGCAGCGAGTTGCCAGCCAGGTGAAACGGCCGAGGCCTCGCTGTCCTCGCCGGCCTCGCCCTCCCCGGTGAGAGGCGGCGCGGCGCTCTGGGCTTACCTGGCTGGGGCGTCCTGCGGGCGCGGGGTTCGGCCGTCCATCGCCCTGCGGGGCGCTGCGCGGGCTCCAGCTCCCAGGCGGCGCGTCACTGCTGGGGTGGGAGAGGCCGGCGGGTCAGGGCGGGACGCGCGCCTTCCCGAGGCCGGAGCGAAGCTGGCTGAGCGTCAAGAGCCCGCCCGAGCCGCTCCAGCCCCGGCCGGCCCGCCTCCCGGGTGCGCTTCCACCTGCGGGCCCCGGCTCCCAGCCCGCGGGCGCCGCCGCCGTCTCTACAAGGTCTAGCGGGCGCCCAGAGCACGGCGGAGGAGGCGGTGGCGCTGCAGCCCCCGCCCCGTGGGGTTTACTGGGTAGCCATTTGGCGCCTCTCGGAGGGAGAGGAGCCGCCGGGGCTGGAAAAGGAGGAGGAGCGGGGCCGGGCGCACGGGCACCGCTGCCACGCCGGCAGCGCACTCCCAGGCTCCTCCGGCCGAGTTTGCACAAACAAAACGCCCTAGGAAAACTTTTCCCGAAGAGAAGTTGGGAGGGCTGATCTCTCTTTTCCCACCCAAGGCTCCTACGTTCTTTTCCAAAGGAGACAGTAGCTCGCCTGTTCTCCCTCGCGGCTTCCTCTCCTACTCTTCCCTTCCCCGGCCCGCGCTCTTGCCGCTCGGCTCTCAAGCCAGGACTTGAATGGAGAAGCGGCAACCCCTGCGAGGCTCAGCCCAGCGCGGGCAGGGCCGACTCAGCACCTCCCCTGTCCCGCGGGCGGGGTGCGGGCGCTGGCTGGGCGCTGGGGGCCTCGCTGGAGCCCGCTCTCTCACTCACCCTGCCCCATTTCCCTGCCCGGAGTCCGGGAGCTCGCCGCCGCCTCTGCAGCACGGCCGCACATAAGTGGGGACCAGCTCGGCGGCATTGGAGCGAGGGAAGCAGCGAGCCGGAGAGAGGAACGGGGCGGGGGTGGGCCGGGAGCAAGTTGGAATTTCCTTCCCCCAGGGCTTCGGGTCTTTGGGGTCCGGCTGGGGAAGCTGAACCGAAAGAAAGCTCCCAGACGAGGTGTTCCCATTCCCACCGCTAGGCTGCGCTTCGGGAAGGCTGGTGCGCCTGAACCGGACAGGTGCGGGGGAAGGGAGGTTACCTGCCTTGCCAGGATCCGCGGGGAGGATTGGGGCCTCCGCGGAATGCGGTCAGAAACTCGCAGAGTGGGGCCTGCAGCTTGCCCCCCCTAGAGTCCGACCCTCGACGTCCAGGATCGTTTTTTTAAATTTGTGTTTTTAACTTGACCTTTAAGATTGCCATTCTTTTAAAAGCGCACCTGTGACACAGATCTTTCTAATTGGTGGCAGGTTTAAGCTTGCCCTGTCTTCAGAGGCATTTTTTGTAAAAGCCTATAACAGCTCTGACATGAGAACTGGACAACAGTATGTCTAATGACAGTCTATAAACTAAGAATTAAGTAATAGATTGTATTCACTTATTGGAACTTTTACAAGGGTAAAGGAATCAGACACAGCTGTGTGCTTGTTTGTACGTTTTAGTATCCACGTGCATGCCCTTTAGATGATTCTTTACACCTGACAGACAGGTACTAGGTTGGTGCAAAAGTAACTGCGGTTTTTGCCATTTTTTTTTTTTTTAAAAAGTAATGACAAAACCGCAATTACTTTTGCACCACCCTAATATATTTACATATTTTATATTTTTCATAAGCGCCAATTGTTTTAAGATGCGCGCCATTCTGATGGGCCCAAAAATGTGTTTTCAGAAAACAACGTGACATTAAGAAATGAATTTAAAATTAGAGTTTTAAAAACATATTTGGATTAAACTGATGGAGAGATCTTACAGGAAGGAACATCCTGCAGGGGACTTCTGTTGTAGCACTAACATCAAGTAATAAACCTGTGTTAGCCACTGATAGAATAACATTTGGCAGGTATTACAATTAAATTGATATTAATGCTCCTTTAGTTGGTTATCCATTGCAGCAACAAAAAAAGATTGCTGAACTAAATGCCTAGCAATGTGCCATTTGTCTACCACACGCAGGCATTGGTATTTATTTCTTTCAGTGCATAATGTCCTTTCAGTGCATCTTAAATATGAAAAGAAAAAAACACATGGCTCATTTGGATTACAATACTGGAACCATATTAGAAAAAGTTGCTTTTAGAGATTTTAACTAAGAGTAAAGCAATTTATTTAAATACCTCTGGGTTTTAGTCTTTAAACAATAACTCTGTTTAAACAATTTCATGAATCATTTATGCTTCTGAATACAGAGCTGTGCAAGCTTTTACAGTTGCTTGCACAGACAATGATGCAAATATTGAGTAACAGTGAAACTACTTGAAAGTCCATAACTTTCAATCACAAGACAAGATTAAATCTTTAATTAGTTTCAGCCTTAATTTATGACATACTAGTAATATTATGGACCCTAATACCAGTAAGATTAGGCTAATCTTAGTCATAAAACATTCATAACATTTCGTAACCACTGAAGGCATTTTCAGTGCTTACCACTTTTTGCTGTCCTCCTTCTGGTCCTAGGGAGAACTATATGCTCCACCCCATGGAAATTAGGTATGACCCTGTGACTTTGATAAGTGGAAATGTGAACAGACATGAAATGCTTTATTTCCTGGTGAAATTACTGCCAGTGTTTGAGTCTCTATGTTCCCTTCCTTTGCTACTGCAATCATGAAAGCATGTATTAAAATGAAGGTGACACAAGACTGGAATGCTAAACTATTACCCAGAGCACAGCTGCCCTGGAGAGTCCCAGGACCTACAACAGAATCCACATAAGCAAGAAATAAGCTCATGTTGGGCAAAACCACTTAAGAGCACCACCAAGCTTGGTGGTCTTCACATAATGGTACTAAGCTATCCTCACTGTAGCCAGTGATTAGCAAAATAATAATCACAGATTTGCTATAAATCTTTTTTTTTTTTTTTTTTTTTTTTTTGGAGAAGGAGTCTTGTTCCTGTTGCCCAGGCTGGAGTGCAGTGATGCGATCTCGGCTCACTGCAACCTCCATCTCTGGGGTTCAAGTGATTCTCCTGCCTCAGCCTCCCGAGTAGCTGGGATTACAGGTGACCACCACCACGCCTGGCTAATTTTTATATTTTTAGTAGAGACAAGGTTTCACCATGTTGGCCAGGCTGGTCTCGAACTCCTGGCCTCAGGTGATCTGCCCACCACAGCCTCCCAAAGTGCTGGAATTACAGGCATAAGCCACCATGCCTGGCTGCTATAAATCTTTTCACATAACAGGAGAAAACTGCTGTTTTCCAATCTTTCTAGTTATGCAGAGCTGTTTCAAAATTGCCCACGTTTCCAAGATTGCGCTCAATTTCCCCGTTTGGGAATCTCCCCCTCATTTCACCACCCAGCCGATCATTTTAAGTGCCTAAGCATAGGTATTATCCCCTCAGGAATACTTCCCTCATTGCAGAAATAGAAGTAGCCCTTCCCTTTCTTGGCCCCCAGTAGGTTCTGTTAGGTAGGGCAAGGACCCATGACACTTTGTTTCAGTTATTCATTTACATAATGCAGAGTTGGAGGGGTTTATTCTCTTTTTTTTTTTTTTTTGAGACAGAGTCTCACTGTCACCCAGGCTGGACTGCAGTGGCATGATCTTGGCTCACTGTAACCTCCACCACCCAGGATCAAGTGATTCTCCTGCCTCAGCCTCCCGAATAGCTGGGACTACAGGCATGTGCCACGTGCCCGGCTAATTTTTTATATTTTTAGCAGAGATGGGGTTTTACCATGTTGGCCAGGCTGGTCTTGAACTCCTGACCTTGTGATCCGCCTGCCTCGGCCTCCCAAAGTGCTGGGATTATAGGCGTGAGCCACAGTGCCCAGCCTACTCTTAAAGGACCACGTCTTATCCTTTGTCTCCTGAAAGCATAGCCCAGAACACAGGAGACTCTCCACCAGTATTTGTGTACTGAATAAAGGAATGAAGGAAACCTTCAGGCCTTCCCTCCTCAGAAGAATCCTAAAAGGAACTTGATTCAGGGAAAGACTTCAACTCAAAGGGGCTGGTAGGCCATTTTAAATGGAACAGATGGAAGGTGAGTTTGTCTTACTAGAGAAAGAAGACTTATTCTTCACGTGGTTACCTAATGGGGTTAGTACCAAAATCAATGGGTAGAATGAAGCTAAATGAAGGTCCACTTAGCTATATATCTCTCTGAATAATAATCTAGGTTTCATATTCCTCCTGGATAGTAATAAATGGAAAGGAGGTTTACATGCTTAATAAATACCTGTGTGCTTATATAAAAAGCAGATAGGCATGTTAAAGTGGGCCATAATGGTTGGAGTTTGTCTAAAATTTTTGTAAACTATTTGGAATAATGAAAACATTTTTAAATGCTTATTTTAAGTATGTTTTTATTCCACTATAAGTACCACTTGAAAAGCTTTATTTAAAACTGAAAAATTACACTTAAAAGATGGTTAATATCTTTCTGTGCATTTCACCTTTGCACATTACAACCTAAAGGAAGTGTTTATTTTATGTCTTCTTAGATTGTGTACATGTGTGTGTTTGTGGTTTTATATAACAAGATCAGAGTTGTTACATTTCAGTTTTAATAAAAGTCTTATTTCAGACTTTGTATTTCATAGAAACTGCCCAATCTCAGAAAATATGTTATGTTATTTATGCATAAGACTTTGTTGATGAAAACAGGGAGCTGAAAGTCAGAATTGTAGCTTTATTCTCAATTCAGTAATATATGCATAATAGTTAATTATCCATTCATCTCTGTGTAGTGCTTTCATAATTTGAGTATTCCTACATGTATTAACACATAGAAAGTGTTGTTAGAATTTGATGTTCCCTATATAAATGCTTCATGAGAGCTTTATTTCAAAGTACCAAAAATATTTTCTTTGGCTGTCAGGAATCCTGGGCCAGGTTTTGTAATTAGCCACTGCTGTCTTTATCACGGGTATATCTCCTTTTCCCTTCCCTCCTATTCCAATTTGTAATCTTATTTTAATGCCTTTTTTTCAAACTGACCAACAATTAGTAGGTAAGAATAAACTCAACAGATATGTTTGTTGAAATATTATAGTTTCCTTAACACAGAAATGTCTATTCATGAAAAAAAATTTTTGATTTTGTTTCATTGAGAACTTTTTTCTTCTTTGCGCTGAAGTTAGAAATACACAAAGGAAAATATGAAAAATAGTCAACAACTCTTAAATGATTAAATCTTTACTTTGATGTCCAGTGTATGCAATTATAATAAAAACTGACAGAATTAGTTTTGTCCATTGGAACTAAAGCCAATTGTTAAACATTTTAAAGTCAAATATAATAGCTAAAGGCTGTATTGTTTATGTAGTTTTTTAATAACCATAGTAATTGTAGCCATTTTAACTCTCGTCATATCTATTTTAGTATGTGAGTTAAATGACATACTCAAATGAAGTGGTAATACATTTATTCATACTTTCAAGTTTAATGCATACCCCCTTCTTTAAGTACTAGAGATAACAATTATTTTTTGTAGAGTAATTGAGTGTGGGAGATATTTTTATCCAGTTATTTTATATTGTTTAACAGAAGAAATAAAAATCATATTTGGCTAATTTATTCCTAAAATGTAAATAAATCCCTGTTTTTCCTGTATGAAGTTTAGTATTTACTTTGATATCAAAGTTTGAAGAAAATAAATACAATACTATTTTTAAAGGGAAAATATGAATTACACTGTTCATCATCCTATATTTGGAATTACAGAGGTATTTTGTTATATCTGGAGGGTCATTTACAAACAAGCCTTCTAGAGATTGAAAGAACCAAAATAGATGTGCTTTGTTGTCCATTTTAATGAGTTTTTAACTCATCAGATTTTATATTTTGAAACATGAAAAATCACTGAACATTTTTTAGAATAGAACTTCCGAGAAGATTATATATTCATGAATTAAATTTTATTTCAATAAAAGGAGAATTTTATTGGATATCTGCTATACCAAGAATTGGGCTAGGAAAACAAAGATCACAAAGATATTGCCTTTGCCCTTGAGGGGCTCACGGACCATTGGGCTCATCAGTACTTTTTTGTGACTCTCAATCAACTTAAAATCTTAAGGAAATTGGTCAATAATCAGTGTAGGGCCTTTTACTGCTCTCCCAAAAGGTAAATAATTTTTCAGTCCTAAGTATCAGAAGAAGAAATGCCTGAGTTTGGTATGCTATCTCTTAAAATGGTGCTATATTTCTATATTATCATATTCGATGCTAAAAAGAGACTCTTTATTAATATATACACATTCCAGAATAGAGGTGAGGCCTGGGGAAACGTGCACGAGCATGCAGACGTGTAATTTAGTGCTATGAGCATGAAAGAGGGCAGAGTTTTCAGTGCCCATTCAAACTTCAAGCTCAGATTCTCCATCAACACAAAGTTAACTAAAATCTACTTTCTCATTTCCCTCTTCAACATATCCTTTTGTCAAATAAATTTCTGTTTCTGGATTCTGTAATTCTGTTGGCAATAATTTTCTTACTCATTGGAAGTAAATAAGCTCTTTTATCACATTAAAGTATCAGTTTTGTTCAAAGTACCTTGGTAATTTAAAATTCAAATACCATTCAAATATGGGTGTTTCTTTAAAAAAAAGGAAAAGGACAAAAAAAGTCAACTTTTATCTATTTTATGTGATACAATTTACTAAATCTTGGTATTTAGGATTTTACATTGCCTATTCAATTCTAACTGTAACTAGAAGCTGCATCGCTCCCTTTCTGTCTTACAGAGCTTCCTAAAGCCTTAACTGCTTGTCAGTTTCCATGTATTTCAAAATGTACAGCTTTGAGCCAGGTAGCCACTGATTTGGCTTTCCAGGCATAAAACCTAACAAGTCTCAGCATATTTCATCCTGGCAGGGTTCCTTGCCCCTCCTGTGCCTTTTCTTCTGGGAGGCTGAGTGTGTGTGCGGTTAACTAAGTACCACAGTGGTTAAGAGCTCAGGCTCTGGAGCCAGACAGATTTGAGTTTACATCCCTGGATTTGATTCTTACTATCTGGGTGACATTAGGAAATTTACTGTTCCTGGCAAAGAGTAAGTGTCCAGTGAGGGTAATGGAGGCCCTTATTAAACAAATGTTACAAATGGGAGCCAGCTGTGTCTCTGCAAGCTGCCATCTGTAAAGCAGAAAATTTCCTCCTCCAAGCTGAGAGCTCTGGCTTCTTGCTCTATAGTGACCTTGGGTAAATCACTTAACTGTGGGATCTTCAATTTCCTTATCTCTGTAATGAATCTATAAATATTCTGTGATCTCTGAGTTTTCTCACTATCTATGTTGAGTAATCAAGCTCATTGTGTTAAAAACGATTGAATTCATATATATGGACTATTAATAACAAGATGTCACATACAGCCCCTTGCAAAGCACTCTCACTTATTGAATCTAGTTTGAGCCACTTAAAGGCTTGCAGAGATTGACATTCATATCCTTATTTCACTGTTCTGGAAACTGAAGCAAAGACTTGCCCAAAGCCTTGATACTAGTAAAGTAGCAAAACTAGAATCAAAAGTTATTTATTCTGATTTTTACTTTATTTTGCAGTAGCATTACAGTTACCTCGTTGCAATCATAGCAGATTAAAAAAGTTATCCCAGAGCAAATAAATATTATTGTGTGAGCAGCATGCTGAATATCTTCTCCTATCTCCTAGGCCATCTTCAAAGGTACTGCCTACCTGAACCTGCCTTGTCCCAAAGGACACACTTCAATCTGGGGAGAGTTTAAAGTTGTAGACATATCCATTTTCATTTAAGGAATATGAAGATCAGGGAGGCAAAATATAGAGATATAGAGAGGAAAAACTGAGAGATGATCAGAAATTCAGACGCATTCGGAATGAGCACCCTTGACCATACCAAGAACAAAGACTCTATAAAAATGTGAAGTCTTATTATTGTTCATCCATGTTCTACGTGGGATCCACCCAAGACATTGAAAACTGTACAGAACAGGGTGAAATTGAATCAGATCATTCTGTACTCCTAACAAGGTCCACCCCATGAGAGACTTGCAGCAGAATTAATGACACTGTATATTTTCCTCTACTAACAACAACAAGAACAACAACAACAACAATCTAGGAAAATCAAAGGCAGCCCGACATGGAAAAAAACACAAAATGAATATTTGGATTACAAATAGTGTGATGGGAAGAACACACTGCCAAAAGTCCACCTAGTATGTTGAAATTACTGTTTCTAGCACATATAAGGTATGATTTTTTAATGTTTTAAACATTCATTATTGGCTACTTTAACTATTTTTCCTTGGTAACTGCAGCAGAAATTGAAAAATGATAGAAAAGCAGAAAAGAATGGCATAACTTATCAGATATATGTAAGTGTGTAAACTTTGGGTTTTATTGTTTAGCTCATCTAGTAACTTGGGAAAATAATAGCTATTCCATAAGATTGTTGAGAAAATTAAATGAGAGAACACAGTTAACAGACTTAGCTGAATGTGTAGCATATAGAGGGCACTCAGGCATCCCTGGCATACAGGTATGAGTCTGCAATTAACAAGGTAATGGAAAGAGTGTTGCAGATCTCTGACCGAAGTATTTTCTCCTGGGCTTACAGTATTTATCAGCTATCATAATACAAGTAAGTGGCAAGATAAGCTTACTTAAATAAGGTGATTTTCTTGTTTGATGTATTTTTATGTGATTGCATATTTACAAGGGCTACAGTGTATATTTCAGGGATAGTGATACATATTTTCTAGATCTTTACAATTTTCTGTTGTAATAAATAAGAGTGCATAATTTTGATCAACAAAGAACAAACATTTTCATTCAGAGGACTAGGAATGTACTAAGTAAATAAATAGTTGTTTTTGGAATGAAAAACAAAAATGGGATTAAGATTTTGTTTTCTGACCGTGTTAAAGGAAACCATGCCATTTTTTCTTTTTACTTTTTTTTTTAAATACCCAGACTTCAAAACTACCATATCAGTTTTAACTTCTGAATCTCCTTCTACATGGGGACTATTTGTGATAATCAGTGACCTTTTACATAGAATGCTATTAAAATATAGTTTTATGTCTGGCAAATATAAGACTCCTTTCTTCCCTACATATTTTGATTTAAATGAAGTATTGTCTCATTTCTCCAGGTGTGATTCTTATGTATGTTATAAATTTTGCGATCTGTCAATACCACAGAACAAGCTGAGCTGTGGTTAACACTATTTCAACATCGAAGAACTTTCTTCCAGTTCTTTCTGAAATATGCCAGTCAAAGAAAAAAAGTTTGAGGAAGTTGAAGAATGTAAGAAATTGGTGGAGCATGCTAGTGGTGGTTTTAGAATACAGTCTTTTTGTTCGTGAGTTCTGTGCTTCAGTCGAAATCAGTCATAGCAGTCTAGCAAAACCAATGAATTACCTAAGTTATTTCAGAATTAATATGTATTTTAAATATCAAAATCAAGTCAATTCACTGAAGCTAGGCATTCTGCAATTATCATAGTTTCATTAGTGGAAATTCAAAATCCCATATCTGAAAAATATTTTTAAAAATAATTTTGTAATTTTTAGTTTCTTTATCAATAAAATGGTGATACAACAGTATCATCATCTGTGTTGCAGGGTATGAATTATGAATAAGTATGGCAAATGACTGTGCTCTATTAAAAATATCTGATTGTAACAGAAATCATACAACATTAAACCTGAAAAAGACTTTAGATAACATGTTCTCAAACTATTCTTTACATATATTAGAAAACTGAAGTTTATAAATAAGATAACCAGCTTTAGTAAATAAAAATACAGGATAACCAGTTAAATTTGAATTTCAGATAAACAGTGAATAAGTTTTTGGCATAAGTATGTCACCTGCAATATTTGCCTGTTATAAATAGTTATTTGTTACCTATCTTAAATTCAAATTTAACTGAATATCTTGCATTTTACCTGGCGACCCTCCCTGTAGAGGTATCATAATTCCTTTTGTTCGCTTCTTTGACCATATTTTGTACATTAAATCTCTAGACTTATTCATCCTATATGACTGTAACTTTGGAGCCTTTCACCCATTTTCCACCCCCAACCCCAATCCCACATCCCCCAACTCTAGTAACTATCGTCCTACTCTCTGTTTCTATGTATTCAATTTTTTAAAAAAGATCGCACATATAAGAGAGCATACAGCAATTCTCTTTGTGTGTCTTGCTTCTTTCACTTAGCATAATGTGCTCTCGGTCTACCCATGGTGTTGCAAATGGCAGGATCTTTTTTTTTTTTTTTTTTGAGACAGAGTCTCACTCTGTTGCCCAGGCTGGAGTGCAATGGCGAGATCCCTGCTCACTGCAGCCTCCTCCTAGCAGGTTCAAGCGATTCTCCTGCCTCAGCCTCCTGAGTAGCTGGGACTACAGGCATGCGCCACCACACCTGACTAATTTTTGTATTTTTATTAGAGATAGTGTTTCATCATGTTGGCCAGGCTGGCCTCAAACCCCTGACCTCAAGTAGGATCTTCTTTTTGGAGGCTGAATAATCCATTTACACACACACACACACACACACACACACACACGCACAGTGTTTCCTTTATCCATTTATCCATCAATGGACACTTTGGTTATTTCCACATCTTGGCTACTGTGATTAATGCTGCAATAAACATAGGTGTGCAGATAGCTTTATAAGGTGGTGATTTCATTTCCTTTGGGTATAAACCCAGAATAGGGATTACTGGATCATATGGTTGTTCTATTTTTGATTTGTTTAGGAACCACCATACTGTTTTCCACAGTGGCTACACCCATCTACATTCCCAACAGAGTGTACAAGGGTTCCCTTTCTCCTCACCCTGACCAATGTTTTTTATTTCTTATTTTTCCTTTTTTTTTTTTTTTTTGAGACAGGGTCTCTCACTCTGTTGCCTAGGCTGGAGTACAGTGGCACAATCATGGCTCACTGCAGCCTTGAACTTCTGGGCTCAAGCAATCCTCCCACTTCAGCCTCCCAAGAAGCTGGGACCACAGGCACATACCACCACATCCGGCTAATTTTTGTAATTTTTGTACCAACAGGGTTTTACCATGTTGGCCAAGCTGGTCTCACACTTCTAAGCTTAAGTCATCCTTTTGCCTCAGCCTTCCAAACTGCCAGAATTACAGGCATGAATCACTGTGCCCTGATAATTTTTGTTTGTTGTTACTGTTATTGTTGTTGTTGCTTTTGGTAAAGATGGTGTTTCACCATATTACCCAGGCTGGGATTACAGACGTGAGCCACCACACGTGGCCGCTTGTTATTCTTGATAATAATTTCTTGATAACCTAACAGGTGTGAAATGATATTTTACTATAGTTTTGATTTGCATTTCCCTGATGATTAATGATATTGAACACCTTTTTACATACTTGTTGGCAATTTCTTATTTCTTCTTTGGAGAAATGTCTATTCAGGGCCTTTTCTCATTTTTCAATCAGGTTATTCATCTTTTTTGCTATTGAGCTGTGTGAAGTACTCGTATATTTTGAATATTAACCCCTTATCAGATCTATGGTTTGCAGCTACTTTCTCTCAATTGTAGGCTGCCTTCTCATTTTGTTGATTGTTTCATTTGCTATGCAGAAGCTTATTAGTTTTATGTAGCCACACTTGTTTATTTTTGCTTTTGTTGCCTGTGCTTATGGCATGCGAATCAAAAAATCATTGCCAAGACGAATGTCAAGGAGACTTTCTTCTGTTTTCCTCTAGGAGTTTTACAGTTTCACATCTCATGGGATATGATCATTGTTTTCAAAGGGCATATACCTAATTATATGCCAGTGCAGGAATAAAAACTGAACAATTACAGAGTTTACCGATCACTCCTACAGTTGATAAAGTTATATAGTAACATGTTTTAGTAAAAGAAAATAACCATATTTTATAACCATAGTTTCACAAGAAACTGAAAAACATCTAATAATTTAAGATGAAAACTTTTGAAGCTTTTTTGTAGCTCCTCAATTGGTAACCATTGTTAACCAGAGCTGAATAGCAGTTTTTCCTTAAGGCATGTTTTCTGAATACGAGCATACCTTGGAAATATTGCAGGTTCCATTCCAGACCACTGTAATGGAGCGAATATTGAAATAAAATGAGTCACATAATTTTTTTGGTTTCCCAGTGCATATAAAAGTTATGTTTACATTATATTGTAGTTTAAGTGTGCAATAGTATTATGTCTTAAAACAATGTACATATCTTAATTTAAAAGTATTTTATTGCTAAGAAATAAGAAATACTAATTATCATCTGAGTCTTCAGTGAGTTGTAATCTTTTTGCTGGTGGAGTGTCTTACCTTGATGTTGATAGTTGCTGACTGACGAGGGTGATGGTTGCTAAAGTTTGGGTGGTTGCGGTAATTTCTTAAAATAAGACAACAATGAAGTTTGCTTATCAATTGACTTTTGCTTTCATGAAAGATTTCTCTGTGGTATGTGATCCTGTTTGGCAACATTTTACCCACAGTAGAATTTCTTTCAAAATTGGAGTCAATCCTCTCAAACCCTACTGCTACTTAATCAACCAAGTTTTTATAACATTCTAAATCATGGCAGGGCACAGGGGCTCACGCCTGTAACCCCAGCACTTTGGGAGGCCGAGGCAGGCAGAACACCTGAGGTCAGGAGTTCAAGACCATCCTGACCAACATGGAGAAACCCCATTTCTACTAAAAGTACAAAAATAGCAGGGCATGGTGGCGCATGCCTGTAATCCCAGCTACTCGGGATGCTAAGGCAGGAGAATCACTTGAACCCAGAAGCGGAGGTTGCAGTGAGCCAAGATCGTGCCATTGCACTCCAGCCTGGGCAACAAGAGTGAAACTGCATCTCAAAAAAATATATATATATATTATATATGTATATACACACATATATATGTGTATATATACATGTATATATAAACATATATGTATATATACATGTATATATAAACATATATGTATATATGTGTGTATATACATATATGTGTGTATATGTATATTCTAAATTATATATATATTCTAAATCATTTGATGTCATTTCAAAAATGTTCATGGCAACTTTACCAGGAGAGATCCCATCTTAAGAAACCACTTCCTTTAATAATCCATAAGAAGTAACTTCTTATTGGTTCAAGTTTGATTATGAAATTGCAACAATTTAGTCATATCATCAAGCTTCACTTCTATCTCTCTGTCTCTGGTTATTTTTACCACATCTGTCATTATTTTATCTATTGAATATTATCTACTGTAGTTATTTTATCTACTGAATGCCTCAGAGTCATCCACAAGAATGGTAATCAACTTTTCCCAAATTCCTGTTAATGTTAATATTTCGACCTCCTTGTATGAATCACAAATGTTCTTAATGGCCTCTAGAATGGTGAATTTTTCCAGAAGGCATTAAATTTACTTTGCGCAGAGCCATCAGAGGAATCACTATATATGTCAGGAATAGCCTTATGAAATCTATTTCTTAAATAAGACTTGAAAGTCAAAAGTACTCCCTGATTCATGGACTGTAAAATGGATCTGTTAATAGGCATGAAAACAACATTAATTTTTCTGTACATCTCCACCAGTGCTCTTGAGTGATGTGGTGCACTGTCAATGAACAGTAGTATTTTGAAAGGAATCTTTTTCGTGAGTAGTAACTCTCAACAGTAGACTTATAATATTCAGTATACCATACTGTAAACAGATATGCTATCATCCAGGCTTTGTTGTTCCATTCATAAATCATAGACAGAGTAGATTTAGCATAATTCTTAAGGGCCCTAGGATTTTTGGAATGGTGAGTGATTGTTGGCTTCAACTTAAAGTCACCAGCTGCATTAGCCCCTAGCAAGAGAGTCAGCCTGTCCTTTGAAGTTTTGAGGCCATGCATATACTTCTCTCTGGCTATGAAAGTCCTAGATGGCATCTTCTTCCAATATAAAGCTATTTCATCTACATTGAATATTTATTGCCTAGTGCAGCCACCTTCATCAATGATTTCAGCTAGATTTGGATAACTTGCCACAGCTTCTGCATCAGCACTTGCTGCTTTACCTTGCAGTTTTATGTTAGAGAGTTGGTTTCTTTCCTCCGAACTCTGTTAGCTTTCAAATTTCTTCTGCAGCTTGCTCACTTCTCTCAGCCTTCATATAAGAGAGTTAGGACCTTGCTTCGGCTTAGGCTTTGTCTTACAGGAATGTTGTGGCTGGTTTGATCTTCTATCCAGACCACTAAAACTTTCTATCGGCATTATGATCGTTTTGAATTTTTAAAAATCATTTGTATATTCACTACAGTAGCACTTTTAACTTCCTTTAAGATCTTTCCTTTGCATTCACAACTTCGCTAACTGGTGCAAGTAGCCTAACTTTTAGCCTTTTTCATCTTTTGACATACCTTCCTTACTAAGCTTAATCATTTCTAGCTTTTGATTTAAAGTGAGCATCGTGTGACTCTTCCTTTTACTGGAAAACTTAGAGGCCATTGTAGGGTTATTAATTTGGCCTAATTTCAATACTGTTGTGTCTCAAAAACTAGGGAGGCTCAAAGGGAGGGAGAGAGATGTGGCAAACTTAATCAATAAGATGGCGAACTTGATCAATCAGTGACCAGGAATGGTTGGTCATTGGAGCAGTTAGAACACACTCAGCATTGATTGATTAAGCTTCCCACCTTATATAAGTGCAATTTGTGGTGCCCCCAAACAATTTTAGTAGTAATTAATATCAATGATTACTGATCATAGATCACCATAATAAATATAATAATAATGAAAAAGTTTGAAATATTGGGAGAATTACGAAAATGTGACATAGACACATAAAATGAGTACATTGTTGGAAAAATGGTGCCAATAGACTTGCCTGATTAGGGTTGCCAGAAACCCTCAATTTGTAAAAAATGCAACATTTGCGAAGCATGATAAAGGGAAACACAATAAATGAGGTATGGGCCAGGCGTCATGGCTCACGCCTGTAATCCCAGAACTTTGGGAGGCTGAGGTGGGCAGATCACCTGAGGTCAAGAGTTCAAGACCAGCCTGGCCAACATAGCAAAACCCCGTCTCTACTAAAAATACAAAAATTAGCCAGGTGTGGTGGTGTGCGCCTGTAATCCCAGCTACTCGGGAGGCTGACGCAGCAGAATCACTTGAACCCAGGAAGCAGAGGTTGCAGTGAACCAAGATTGCGCCACTGCATTCCAGGCTGAATGACAAAGCAAGACTCCATCTAAAAAAAAAGAAAAAAGTATACCTATGCTCCTAGTAAATAATTAAAGTCATTTGAAGAGTAGAAAAATCTTAGCTGAGAAAAAAGTATACATTAGAATCATGTAGAAGAATCTTATATCCTTTATTCTGATCTAAAGTTGAAGTTTTAAATTAATTAGTTGAAGTTTTAAACATCCTCTGTTTTAGCCTAAAAAAGCTGTAATTATGTTGCATTTTTTTTATTCCAAATCCATTTTATTTCTATCTTCTTTTTTAAATTCTTAATAGTCTCACCAGAGGTATGACAATTTTATAAGACCTTTTTCATAACCAACTTTTGGCTTTTCATGTCCACTGCATGTTTATTTTTAATTTTAAAAATGCAATGCTTTGCTCTTCCAGTAGTCCCCAGGGAAAAATCAAGTAGGATTTAGAAGATAATTTATCAGGCTGGTTATAGAGATGAGGCCTGCCATGAGTAGGAAGTTGGAACAATAGATACCTCTTAAGTTTAAAAGTCTGTTTTTGAAAGTTGTGTTATTTAGCAAAAGCAGTAGTTGTAGCTAATTTCAAATTATAATTTTTTCATATGAAAATACTCCTAAAAATATGAAATAAAAGTCTTAAAATTCTATAAAAGAAGTTTTATTAAGAATGCAAACTACAATACATAGTGCCTTCCAGCAAGCCATAAAGAGAAAAATCTCTTACCAATGTTATAGTAATAATATGTTTGGTATTTATTATATTTACTTATAAGGTACTAAGGAGTGCTATATATTTTAAGGATGCAGTTAATTCTTGCTACATGTTACAAGACAACAAGAAAGCATAATTATTTTTATTTTATTTATTTATTTTTTGAGACAGGGTCTCACTCTGTTGCCCATGCTGGAGTGCAGTGGTACAATCACAGCTCACTGCAGCCTCAACCTCCTTGGGCTCAGGTGATTCTCCCTCCTCAGCCTCCCAAGTAGCTGGGACTACAGGCGTGAACAACTTCAACTGGCTAATTTTTGTATTTTATTGTAGAGAGGGGGTCTCACTATATTGCCCAGGCTGGTTTCCAAATGTTGGGCTCAAGCGATCTTCCCATGTTAGCCTCCTAAACTGCTGGGATTACAGATGTAAGCCAGTGTACTTGACCTTTATTTTTATTTTAAAGATGAGTAAAATGCAGCTCAAATTTATGACAAAATAGGAAATTCAGAGGGGCAACACCTTTCTCTTTTAACAAGGAAGCTATTCCAGAGCAGAAATTGTCATTACCTCGTTGGTTTTTCAAAAGAAATCAATGATTTGTTGGACTGTTACAGCAATAACTCAAAGAAAAAGAAAATGGAGTGTAGCTAAACATTTAATTGTTTTTTCTCTCTTAAAATTTTTTGTGGGAGTAGCAGAAACAGGTGGAATCAGGGAGGCTGGACTGGGAAAGGGGTTGGTTGGTATGCAAACCCAACAACTTCTTTGTGGTTGAGAGAGGTTTGAGGAAAATATGAAACATTTAGAATCTTCCACACTAATGTTTGAATGAATTCAACAGCTCTGAAAATGTCATTTATGGATAAGGAGTGTTGAGTGTAAAATTATGAAGATGTAATTCATTTGTAACAGATATTTGTATGCATATGTTGTATATGTGTATGTGTGTTAGGGGTTTAATTGGTGGTCAGAGGAAATGATAATAATAAGATAACTGTAAAACCACTGTATTAGTCTGTTTTCACACCGATATAAAGAACTACCCGAGACTGGGTAATTTATAAAGAAAAGAGGTTTAATTGACTCATAGTTCTGCATTGCTTGGGGATACCTCAGGAAACTTACAATCATGGCAGAAGCTGAATGGGAAGCAAAGCACGTCTTACATGGCAGCAGGAGAGAGAGGAAGCTAGTGGGGACGTGCCACACTTTTAAACCATCAGATCTCATGATAACTCACTCCCTGTCATGAGAAGAGCATGGGGAAAATCCACCCCCATGATCCAATCACCTCCCATCTGGTCCCTCCCCTGATACATGGGGATTACAATTCTAGACTAGGTTTGTGTCTAGGGCCATACCACACTGAAAGCGGCTGATCTCGTCTGATCTCAGAACCTAAGCAGGGTCAGGCCTGGTTATACTTGGATGAGAGATTTGGATGGGGACACAGAGCCAAACCACATCAACCTCATAACCCAGAGCACAGAGAATATTGTGGTGAGGTGGTAAGGACGGACGGTTACGAGAGGATCCTCATCCTTCATGGCAGGCCCAGTGCCTGAAAACAATCATCTCCCAGAAATTACTTTCCAAATTAAGAACATGAAACATTTGAACAATCCTCTGAATTGGAGCATCTTCACAGAATGCTTTCACCCCATTTTGAGGAATGTCCCTTCCATCCACTCACCTAATTATGAACCCAGGAGAAAAAAAACAAAAAACAGTAATAACACTCTAACCTGTTTTATCCTGGGCAACTCCAAATATTATTTTTGGGTTCCTATTCCCTTTTATTAAATGTTCTGAACAAAGGGTAGGAACAGGAGATGTAATTAAATGCCCTCTATAAGCTACTATTGTTTATTTGTTAAAAAATTTAAAAAATACTCTCCAAAAACAAAACACAAAAATCCATCAATGTGCTAATAGGTCTTCATAGGTCATAAATTAAAAGAAAAAGCTTATATTTCTAAATGCACACTAGTGTAAGTTTGCTTTTTATTCTAAAATATCAGAAATCATTCAACCGATTTTTTTCTGTCAATAGTTGTCTCTTTCACTAGACTCTCTACCTTTGGGTACCAACAGTCATGTAGTGTTGAAAATCCACATTTTGCGGACTCATGTCCTTCTTTGCTAATGCAGTGGCTGTAGCCCCTCAAATGTTGCTCATATTTTTCCTGGAGATCCTGGGATTAAAGGTAAAATTGCTTAATTTGAGCTCATGGATAGTATTCTTATGTTACTCAGTTCTATTCTCTCTCAGTTACTTGAGGGCAAGAGCTCTCCACTACTATTGCTGCAGGGCTGCACCATAAGCACACATCTCTCTGGGTTACAGAAGCTTATCACTGGTGTTCTCCCAGCTGTAAGTCCTCAAGATGCCAGGGAGCTGCCCATTCCTGGAGTCTTCAATATCCTGAGGTCAGGCTGTGTACTACACCAACGGGCTTTTAATCCTTGTATTTCTCAAATTCCTTCAGCTTCTGTTCAAAATTCCTTCTGCTCTAGAACTCAGGAGTCAACTCCTGTGGCCTACCTAACTAGTTCTTCAGACATGTCTGGGCATTCCTGAGTTCCCTTTAGACTCAAATTATGCCCTACATTAACCTTTGAAAAAAAAATGTCTTATAGTATTGATTTTTAGAATGCTGTCTGCCCCCTGAAGCCCAATACTACTCATATCAATTTGATCCCTCTCTAACCTTATGATCAAATTTATCCTCGACCTCCAGGATTTTAAGGAATTTCATGTTGGTGTCATCTGACAACAACTGAAGTTTAGCTTAAATATGAACTTTTGAAAAATAATATGAATTTTGTCACAAATAAACATCTAATTAAGTTTTATTATTTGGATTAGTGAAGACATAGGAACTCTCATGTTTATCAAGAATCCCAACTTATAGCTAAACATTCTTATGAAAAATTACACATTGGAAGTGAAGCAAAAAGGATCATGTGTCCTTTCAGTATCATACTGGAGCTTTGTCTAACAGGTCCACTTAAAGGTAGTTTAACTCTGTAGGAGAATGCCCCTTTGTTTGATATACTATTTACTATTGATTAGAACCTAGGCTGTGAAGTTACATGTTAACTTGTGGGTTTTCATTGGGTAGAGATGCAAAGCATTTGTCTAGTAGAAAAGATACCTCTAAGAATATTATTTGATTTCCCTATAGGGCATGAATCAGTTTTCTATCTAACCTAGCAATCTTATTCCAACATTCTTCTTTTCTTTTTTGTTTTTTATTTATTTTATTTTATTTATGTATTTATTTATGATGAGTTTCACTCTTGTTGCCCAGGCTGGAGTGCAATGGTGCAATCTTAGCTCACTGCAATCTCTGCCTCCCGGGTTCAAGTGATTCTCCTGCCTCAGCCTCCCTAGTAGCTGGGATTACAAGTGCCTGCCACCACACCCAGCTAATTTTTGTATTTTTAGTAGAGACGAGGTTTCACCATATTGGCCAGGCTGGTCTCGAACTCCTGACTTCAGGTGATCCACCCACCTTGGCCTCCCAAAGTGCTGGGATTACAGGCAGGAGCCACTGCGCCCAGCTCTTTTTCTCTTTTTCAAGACAGGGTTTGGCCTTGTTGCCCAGGCTGGAGTGCAGTGGTATGATCATAGCTCACTGCAGCCTCAACCTCCTGGGCTCAAGTGATACTCCTCCTCAGCCTCTCAAGTAGCTAGGACTACAGGCATGTACCACTGTGTCTGGCTAACTTTTGTTTGTTTTCTGTAAAGACAAGGTCTCACTATGTTGCCCAGGCTGGACTCAAACTCCTGAGCTCAAGGGATCCTCCCACCTTGACCCCCCAAAGTGCTAGGTTTACCAGTGTGAACCACTGTGCCTGGCCCTTCTTTTCTTTAGTACCTCCTCATGTGTGCTTGCTCTTGAAATAATGTTTATTATATTGCTAGTTTCCTCATTAACAAGTTAAATAAATTTTTGGTACATGTTTTATATTTGTATGCAGGCTTCCCATGTGTCTGTAATAGTGAAAAGATTGCCCCTCATTGACTGAGTGTAGAATATTTTCATATCTCTGAAAGGCATTAAATATTTGTTACAATGTCTTTTAAAATAACAGAGCTCTATTTTTATTTATTAAGGATAAGCACTTACATAAATCTCAATTTTCCAGAATTCCTGGAAAATAAAGAAACTAAAGTTCTGAGCCTTTAAGGGAGCTAGACTCTGAAGCAAAAAGCCCTTCCTACAGAAACTGGCCAATCAGAAACCTTTCAATTAGAATCAAGTTTACATAATCAAGGTCAATCTGTGAAAAAAAAATTAGACTGTTTTAAAAATTTTAGCTTTAAAAAACAGCAATATATCTTTTACCTGTATGAAATATAATAAAAACATATTTATTTATTTGTTTTTTCATCTAAGACTTTGGTTTGTTTTTTATGAAAAGATTAGTTAATCTGGATTTCCACACTTCTTGTACTGTTTCTTGATTAGATAAGCTAACATTATTCTCACATAATGTATGAAAAAAAATTTGAGAGAAAATAATCATATAAATTGAATTACAATTCTGACAATCTTTTTAAAAATAACACTAAGTATCTTCTGTAATGTATCAGTTTAAACAATTTTCAAGCCCCTTAGTTAACTTTGAGAGCTGGAATTAGCATTAAATCTAATTAGTTGGTGGATTTTTTTGGATACTTAGATAATTTCTAAGTAATAGAGAATACTGAAACAAAGGCCAATATTTTTTGTTCATTAAAGAGAAACTGTTTTTGGTTCATGCTAACATGCATGTTACTTTCTGTTACTTTAAGAAAGTACAAAAAGAATGCATGTATAAAGTCATGTTATATTTGATTATGATTTTTGATGATCTTCTAAAATGCTTGGGTATGATGAAAATGTCTCAATTATCTATGTCTCCATTATCTCTGTGAAATGGAAGTTGGTTACTTTGGTTAAGGTTAAAATTCGTATTGGTGATTGAAATGTTACTAAAAGCAACTGTGGCAGAGAGCTATGATTGTAAATCAAGATAATGCAATATGTTTTAGTTGATAAAAGGAGAGGCGAAAGTAGTATTATCCTAAGGTAAAATGTCTGGTTGTTCTAAAGTATGAAAAAAGGTAGTAAAAAATAAATGTGAATAGATATAGACAATTGCTGAAGGTTTGTAGAAAGTGAATTTTAGTTGCTTTGGTTTATAATTACCTGCAAATGATAAGTCTAAAAGGAAGAATTATAATGTGTTAAATTTTTGGCAAATTTGTTCAGGTTTGATGGTCCTATTCATAAGATAATTTTAAAGTAGCTGCTTATGAATGAGCCTCTGTCAAATATTACATTTACGTAAAACTAGAATTTGGTTTACTCTCTCTTAAAATTGCAGGTAAGTCTTAGAGAATTCCATCTGCTCTTAAGAAGAGGTAGTAAAATGTTACTCTGTGTAATCTGCTCACAGAACAGGGATTCTGTCTCACCTTAATAATTTTTAATAATTTGTGGTAGTGTGTTTGTTTCATGTCCTTGATTATTCACAAACAAAATAAAATTTCCTGACTTCTAATTTAAAATATCTTATTGCCACTTTGATTAATAGGTAGCCAATCAGAACCATTCACTGTTCTCAGGCATCTGTGAGTCTTTCATAAGTGACCAGATATCTACTGATAACTCCATGATTTTACCTACCTAAGATCACATCCTACAATGTAAGAAGTATTATTTTCAATATATATTTTATGTCTAAACTATTTTTGGAATTTCCCAGGGCCATGGGCAATTCCAAAATTTTTTTCTTTTACTTCATAAAACAGGAAGATGTAAATAATTGAGTTATATGTTATATTCTATATTTCTTAAATAGCTGCACACTATTGTAAAATCTGCATGGGAATAGTTGTCATATCAAAGAGAATCTCTACCTTCCCTAAATACTATCAATGTAATTATGTTATACTTATGTTATTAATAAAAATATTTCATTGATTATACTCTTTACTGATACCTCAAGATACAGACTATGGGTATAGAATATGGTATAGAATATGGATCTTAAGTGTCACCACTTAGACAACTCTCAGACTGAGTCAGGATTTTAGGTACTCTCTTTTTAGTCCTGCAGACAACCTCAAGAAAGCAAACTGCTGACCTAATACCTAAGATTTAAAGAGTAGGAAAATCTAATTGTTGTTATTATGTTTAGTGTTCTTTTTTCTAATGGGTACCTTACAAACCCCTCCCGCCTTTTTTCTGAATCTCTCCTTAACTCTTGATATAGTAGACTATACTTTTGCAAATGAAAATGAAACACTCTTTAAATGGTAACTTATTTTCCCTGAAGCTTCAGAATTGAGGAATAGAGTACTTTCCGGAGTCTTTCTGATCTTTTGTTATGGCAATATAGTTAATTGTACAGGCTCAATAAAAATCTGTCCTTCTTTTTACCAGGACATAGACAAACTGATAATGCAACCAAGACCATTCTTGGAAGTGTTATATATGAGAATAAATCTTATTTCATCAGTTCTGACGAGACCACCATGAAGCAACAAAGGTTGCACTTTGTAGATGAAATCTATGCCCATAGAACAGTCCCAGAAAAATAGTCGCCGATATGCATTTGAGATCTTATAGGCTATAAATACCATTACTTCTTAACAGGCCAGAAACTTCACTGTATTTTAGGGACCTTGAGCAGAAAACAACATACTCAAATTTATAGATATTATAGGTAAAATCTGTTGAGATGAGTATCTTGGTTTGGTTTCCTAGATTCAGACTAAAACAGCCAACGAGCAATTCTGAAAAACTTGGAATAATAAATCTAGTAAAATGTAATTTGAGGTTCTTTGTGAAATTTTCATAAAGAAAATTCATAAAGAAACTTCAGGCTAGAAGTTAATTTTCTAGCCTGGGTAGTTGTTCAACATTATATGGCTCTAGATATGCCGACCTTAGCAAGGAGGTTAATTAATACTTTGTGCCACAATCATATGGCAAGATAAAATGAGACCAGTCTTCTTTTATTTTCAAAAATAATCTTTGGGGATTTGTTGTTGTTTGTATAGTTGTGACCTTAAGTAAATTGGAAAATATTTTATGCCCACTGAAAAGAACAAGTTTTTGATATCTAGACTAGTGGTTGTTGGGATTTCTGCCCTTGGAACCAGGTTTAACATTCTGTTTCCCTCATTAATGAGCTAAATAAATCTTTGACACATGTTTATTCTACATTTGTTTTAGTCAGTTTTTCAACTTTTTGAAAATGATACATTATCACAAACATAATGAAATTCAGTTTAGGTTTCATATCTAACTTTTAATAACTTGATTGTAATTAATAATTTTTAACTTTGGAATTTTACTATAACATAATGATTGTTTAACTTTGTTTTTGAGCTATTAATTTTTACAATCTTAAAGGAAACACTTCACTGTAATTTGTTGATTACATTGCTCTTGGTCTTAGAAATTTCTGTAATGTTAAATGAGATGGAAAGATTATATTTCTCTAATTCAACTGGTTAATTATTACTCTGTTTGAACATAAAAGCCACCAGATCTATTTCTTGATTATTTATTTCCTTACTTGTCTTGACCTTGCAAGAGTATTTTCCAGTTATTGAATTCATTGCTAGCACTAATATTTGAATTCACTTCTAGTCATTTTTACATTAAAGAAACCACAGAGAATATGTTTTTTGAGTATGATGTACTACAATTTAGGAGCAACTGTAATTGGGCAAGTGAGAACTGGTCACTAGAAGAAAGGGAGCAAATATCAATGATCAAGTATAAAATGCAGTGACTAGGAGCAACAGGCAGAGAATAGTATTAGCAGTGAGACGAAAATTTTTATAAATTATTTTAATGGGGCAAATTAACCATTTTTAGTAAATTGCACGTGGTAAAAACAACAAAATATGTATTTTTCTTACTTTACCTTTGGATTTCTCATAGAATGTCTTTAATTTTGATGTATACATTGCAACCAGTTACAGTATTTTAAATGACTGGAATACCTAGACCAAATTTTGCTAAATGGTATTTTAAAAATTCTTGCCTGTTTGTTGTGTAGAGAATTTTTGTAAGATGGATAGAGTAGTTGTTTTTGATTAGTTAATAGGTCTTCATGACCATCTTTCCCAGTGAGTCTTATACTCCAACTTTTAATCTAAGTAATTGCTATGGCATTAGCTTAATTGCTCAGCCGGGAAACTCTATCAGTGACTGTCAAACAAAAACAACAACAGGATATAACTCCTTATTTTTATTTCAAAAATAGTAATTAGATTCACCAACAGCTGTACTAAATTCCTTTATTACATGACCAATGCAAAAACTGAGATCCTGTTATAGATTATATGGAACTAGTCTTTCCCAGACGAACATGCAGTTAAAGAAAAAAATTAACATTAAATTAAAGGAAGAAGTATTACATTTGCATTCAGAAGTATTACATTTATTAAGAGATGTCCTGATTCATTCTTTTTACCTAAAGTCACATGGAAATGCTTCAGGGTATCAGTTCCCACCTTGAGTATTGGTTGACTGAATGATTAATATGGAGAAAAGTCTGTCCTAAATTTATCTGGAACCATGGAAGAAGAAAGTAGGCTATGTGTATATTTTTTCCTACATTTATGTTTTCGTATTTAATATACACCTGAGTATGTTGACAGCCAACATTTCAGTCACTATAAAAGCTTATTTTTCCTGTCTATATATCTTTTCTCAGACTAGTAGACTCTAGTAGAAATTGTTCTGTTTCTGTATTAATCAATGTGAGTAGCACATGAGGACTCGATTAGTTAGCTTGATCTGGAATGGATCATAGTACTTTAATCTATAATTGTTTATGCTAGATTTAGTGGCAATGTATATGCTATAGTTGTAGGGTAGAAAATTCACTCATTATACAGATGTGTAAAGAATGTGTGGATTTTTATTTATCTATAACTAATCCAATTTTTTTGATAATTCAGTCAGTGGGGGACTGAAAGTGGCACCACTCACCATCAACCCTAGTGATCCACTAGCAAAATTTTTGCTTCCTGTTCCCGTGACATTATGTTCTGCTGGTCTAGAGGTCTTAGTTCCAGGGGGAGGAATGCTGCCACCAGGAGACACAATTACGATTCCATTAAATTGGAAGTTAAGACTGCCACCTGGACACTTTTGGCTCCTTCTACCTTGAAGTCAATAGGCTAAGCAGGGGATTACAATGTTGGCAGGGGTGATTGACCCAGACTATCAAGATGAAATCAGTCTACTACTCTACAATGGAGGTAAGGAAGAGTCTGCATGGAATACAGGAGATCCATTAGGGTGTCTCTTAGTATTACCATGCCCTGTGATTAAGGTCAATGGGAAACTACAACAGCCCAATCCAGTCAGGACTACAGATGACCCAGACCCTTCAAGAAAGAAACATGACCTGCTAAGGTGCTTGCTTAAGGCAAAGGGAATACAGAATGGGTAGTGGAAGAAGGTAGTCATCAAAACCAGCTACAACCTCATGACCAGCTGCAGAAACGGGAACTGTAACTGTCATGAGTATTTCCTCCTTCTTTTGTTAAAAACATGTTTGCATGTATACACTTGTACTAAGAAAATATCTTCATTTTACTTCCTTTCTCCTTTGTCATGGGACATAAGATTTATTGACTTCACATCAGCATTTGAGTATTGTTAACTTTATGTAATAGTATTTGTGTTGGGGATTGGTGCGTTTCCAGTTGTACAAAGATAGTTGTATTATGTTAGGCATAATTATGACCTTATTATTGTCTTTATTTGAAGATTATGTATGATCTCAGGAGGTGTGTATGGGTTGACAAGTGGTGGACTTGTGATGGTTAATACTGAGTGTCAACTTGATTGGATTGAAGGATGCAAAGTATTGATCCTGGGTGTGTCTGTGAGGGTGTTGCCAAAGGAGATTAACATTTGAGTCAGTGGGCTGGGGAAGACAGAGTCACCCTTAATCTGGGTGGCCACAATCTAATCAGCTGCCAGTGTAGCTAGAATATAAGCAGGCAGAAAAATGTGAAAAGGAGAGACTGGCCTAGCCTCCCAGCCTAAATCTTTCTCCTGTGCTGGATGCTTCCTGCCTTCAAACAATGGACTCCAAATTCTGCAGTTTTGGAGCTCAGACTGGCTCTCCTTGCTACTCAGCCTGCATATGGCCTATTAAGGGATCTTGTGATCATGTGAGTTAATACTTAATAAACTCTCCTTTATATGTATGTAAAGGAGATATATATATATATATATATATATATACACACACACATACATACACACACACACACACACCACATCCCTTCACTGCCTCCCCATTGTTATAATATATATTATATATATGTATTCCATGAGTTCTGTTCCTCTAGAGAACCCTGACTTAATACAGGGGGTAATTGGGGTAAGGGTTAAAATTTCAATTTGCCAATTCAAGGTATATCAATTTCTTAAGTTTAGACAGTTTTTCTAGTTAAGACAACCTGATTGGGTAAACATTTAGTCAATTCCAAATTCAACTCGTTATTAGGACTTTGTCCTGTGCCTGCCTCCCTTATAAGAGGGCAACTCGATGGGAAGCATAAGATTCTCATTGGAGGAGAGAGTGCCTCATGATGGTCTTCATGCAGATCCAGCTCATGGATTTGCAACTGTTGATGTCTATTAACTTGTGCTCACTCTAGTTCGGTTCTTGAGTGTTTTGCTGGTGTGTATGAATGAAATCTATGGCTAGGAAATTGCGGTATGTTCATCTTAAGTCAGAACCTAATTGTTTTTCCATAACTACGTCCTATCTTACTTAATCCTAGTTTGCACTACAGATCCTGCATTTGTTCTGGTGTGTCTCCCCCTTGCTCCCAAGTTTGGGTGCCCTTTTGGAAATCTTTAGCTATAGGAGGACTTTGACCTCCTCTTGCAACCATGTTGGGTGAGCACCCAACTAGTTTTTGAAATACTAGTAGTGCCTGCTTGTTATGGACAGGAATTTTTGGGTCCCTTTTATGCTATGTGTAGTCTTTGTGGAGTCACAAATACTGCTGGAGGAGGAATCACATCCCTTCACTGCCTCCCCACTGTGTTTAACCACATCCCTTCACTGCCTCCCCACTGTTATAATCCTCCTTTCTCTCCCTGTATCAGTGTGAAGTTTATTTCATAGCAACCTACTCCCAGGATACCAAGTGGAACATGGGACAAATATTTTCCATTTTTGGCTCCTTTCTCCACCTAGTATTCCATCCTCCCATGATTTTAACCCTGAGGAGTATAGGCAGAATATAAGATATGTCTGAAAGGCTGTTTTCTCTGCCTCTGTTTTTACTTCCCAATATCACCTCTCCTGAAAGGGAAAGACTTTCTGCTCCTTATTCCTCTTTGAAATAACTTGCTGATGTGAGATCATGGGTTTCCTTTTCTCTGTGGTCTGTAATGAAACCCTGCCATTCAATTTGTTTGGCATTGTTCTTAATATATTAATCAGAAATAAACTTAGAAAATGTTTTGTTTCAAAACATTCTGATACAGAAGCTTATTGACTATCGGTGAACTCAAAAATTACATTTGGTTGTCAAAAGCTGAATGTTTTACTTTTTCACATCTTTGCTGTAATTGTCATAGCTACCCTAGAGACATATGGATGCCTCTGAAACTGTTTGTTTATTTTTTCACTCAGCAAAATCTTACTGAGCAGATTTTATGTGCTTGGCACAGTTTCAGGTGTTTGCATGCTAGTGGCAGAGGCAAGCAATAAGCAATAGAGTTAAGGAAAGTATTAGAAAGTGATAAATGCCAAGTTGAAGAATATAGGAGGGAAGGGCAATTGGAAGTGTTGGGGGGAGTTGTGCTATTCTCGATGGGGTAAAGACCTCACTGAGAACATGACTTTTGAGAAAAATCTTAAGAAATGAAAGGAGTTAATCATCCTGTATCTGGAGGGAGACCATTTTAGGCAGAGAAAAATCACAAGTTCAAAGGCTTAAAGGTAGGAAATGTGTCTGCTTGGAACAAGAAAGGCGCAGATGAGTTCAGACAGGTAACCAGGAAGGCTTTTCACAAAGTGTCCCAGGGGATAGAACATCTAGTCAACCAGAGGGGTGGCTGGCTTATTACATCCATTGATTGTTTCTGTCATGTTTTTTCTTTCACTCCCCTGTCCCTAACTCCCGTTTACTGAGATCATACTTCTAAATTAACCACTTTCACTTAATTAAGCCTTTGTCGTAGACTCTGCTTCATGGAGAATCCAGGCAAAAGTTTTTCTTTGTTTGTGTTTGCTTTTGTTTCTCTATCTTCTGCCATTTCAGTGGCACAGAGGTACCTGATCAATCCTTAGCATTCAGAAGATTTTCTGGTAAATGACAGACACTCAATAAATATGTGTTGAATTTAATTGAAAGTAATTTGGTTCTCCAATTCTAAGTTCAGGACTAGCAATTTGGAACTGCAGTGCCAAAGCACAACTATGAAAATCACACATTACCTCATAGGTCATTGAACTAAACTATAAGGAGTCCAAGTTATATGACATATAGAGTAGGGTTAAAGGGCTTCTGTTCAGGAGGAAGACTGGGTTATGTGTCACTTGCTACCTGTGTAAATTTGGAAGATTCCTGAACCTCTCTGTGCTGTAATTTTCTCATCTCTAAAATGGGAATAATAATAACCCAAAAATCAAATTATTGTTGTGAGTACTAAATGAATGAACATGTAGGATGTATATGGCATGTAGTAAGTACAATATACATGTTTGCTATAATAATAATCATTATTGATTCCTGCCATAGCATCATGGAGACCCAGAATCAAATTAAAATAAGTGAATATTGACAGATTTCAAAGAAATCTAATTAAAGTCTTCCTACCATTTTCTTATACTTACATTGTTTGTAGTTACAAGTAATATTTGCCTTAATAAATAGTTATACAGTATATAAATAAAGGTCTACAACCTATTCCATTGCCACCGCCCAGCCAAAGTTCTATTTTATTCAAACACAAGTTATTTTGCTAATGTCAGCCTAATTTATAAATGCATTAACCCATTCATGATAAATGTTAAAAATTTCATCATACACTAGCTTCTCCTTGAGTCTCAATGTAAGATGGTAACAGCAATTTGTTTTGCTACTAAGCTTCTGGACAAAATATCAAAAAGTCTCATAATCCTGAAATTTCATCATTTGTGAAGCTGGGATTTCCATGCCTATCCCACCATGTTCAGGGGAGAATTAAATGTTATAATTGTTCATGAAGGGTCTTAGCACAGACTCTGGCATGTAGGCAAAGATCAATAGCACTAATTGGAATAGACGCTAATTGGAATAGCACTAATTGGAATCCCATCCATATCCCACACTTCTCTGATCTTGGTGCTGTGATTTTTTAAAGAAAAAACCAGGCCAGGCACGGTGGCTCATGCCTGTAATCCCAGCACTTTGGGAGGCAGAGGAGGGTAGATCACGAGGTCAAGAGTTCAAGACCAGCCTGGCCAAGATGGTGAAACTCCATTTCTATTAAAAACACAAAAATTAGCCAGGCATGGTGGCAGGCACCTGTAATCCCAGCTACTGGGGAGGCTGAGGCAGGATAATCGCTTGAACCTGGGTGGCAGAGGTTGCAGTGAGCTGAGATCGCGCCACTGCACTCCAGCCTGGGCCATAGAGTGAGACTCTGACTCAAAAGAAAAAAAGAAAAACCCAAACACAAAGTTTTAGCCTTAAAAATATCTCATTAGAACTTGGCAAATGGAACTCACTTTTGAAAATAAATGTTCCAGAGATGGGTGTTAGACATTGAAAGCTTTTTTTTTTTTTTTTTCGAGATAGCAGCCTCAACCTTAAGTGAATCTCCTGTCTTATCCTCCCAAGTAGCTGGCACTATAGGCACACCCCACCATGTCTGGCTAATTATTTTATTTTATTTTATTTTGTAGAGACAGGGGTCTTGCTATGTTGCCCAGGCTGGTCTTGAACTCCTGGACACAAACAATCCTTCTGCCTCAACCTCTCAAACACTGGGATTATAGACATGAGCCTCTGTGCTAAGATGAAGGCTTTTCATCAGCCGTAAAAACACTAGTTGGCTGGGCACCGTGGCTCATGCCTGTAATCCCAGCACTTTGGGAGGCAGAGGTGGGTGGACCACTTGAGGTCAGCAGTTCGAAACTAGCCCGACCAATATGGTGAAACCCCGTCTCTACTAAAAATACAAAAATTATCTGGGCATGGTGGCAGGCGTCTGTAGTCCCAGCTACTCGGGAGGCTGAGGCAGGAAAATCGCTTGAATCTGGGAGGCAGAGGTTGCAGTGAGCCGAGATTGTGCCACTGCACTCCAGCCTGGGCGACAGAGGGAGACTCTGTCACAAAAAAAAAAAAAAAGAAAGAAAGAAAAAGAAAAAGAAAACCCTAGTTACAGAGTTATTTCAGCTGCATTTCAATTTGTAATTTAATTTAGTAGGTCATAATGGGAACTATTAAAAGCAACCTAATCCAAGTTCTTTGAATTCTTTTAAGTTGGCATTAGGTTCTGAGCAAATAGGTTTATTAAGCAAGCTGCTTGGAAGGCATGGTATCTTGATTCAGACATTAACCTGTGTTTTGCAAACTTTAACATTATAATACATGCTGAGTGTGACTTCTAAGTTAATAAAAATAAGGTAATAAATGGAACACTAGACTTAGTGTTAAAAAATTAATTTCTAACTGCATGACCTTGACTTAACCCCTACCTTTAAAGTCTATATAATATGTGGTTATGGGAATGTGGTTATAGACTATGGATATACTATAACAGATATATACTATTACTTTTATTGGTACTTATGCCAATGAACTCTACAAGGAAAGTCCTATATACATTATATACATTTAAGACACTATTACTTCAGCTGTTGGAAATCTCAGAGTGAGAGTCAAGGACTTAGCAGAGTACTTCCGTGAAGCTGAAGGAGGAAAGAGAACTGGTTAGTGTTATTTCAGATAGCTGCCAACGTGAGGATGCACCACTAAGAGGCCTTTGCTATTATAAGGCTATTTATGAATATCCTTATATGCCCCACTTAGCACTTTTACTGCTTCTAAGGTGTCATACGTTCATGGGATCTTGCAACTTCACAGGTAATAAAATTCCGAAAGATGAGAAAAACATGATGTTCATTCATTCAGCCCTCTAATATGAATTTATTTATAACCACTTTGACTTCTGACACTATTTAGTCCTAATCATATATTATATGTGAGATAATCTAGCATAATAAAATTGTGTCTTTTTACATCAATGCTAATTGAGTGCCTTAGGCAGAACAAGTACAAAATTAATTGCTATAATAAATCCTTGTGACTTCATTTAGGGGAGAAATGATTATGTGTAAGGTAAACCAAAGTACTGAAAGAAAACATAACATTTTAAAAAGAGGTTTTTGAGGCTTAAAATGAGTGGACATTTTACTGAAATATTTTACTTGAAATAATACTGATTAATTATTGAAAAAAATTGTATTTGTATAAAAGCTTTCCCTAAAGGCATTTTAAGAATAATTATTTGAAAATAAGATTCTAGGCCGGATGCAGTGGCTCATGCCTGTAATCCCAGCACTTTGAGAGGCCGAGGAGGGCAGATCATGAGGTCAGGAGTTCGAGACCAGCCTAGCCAACATAGTTAAACCCTGTCTTTACTAAAAATACAAAAAATTAGCCAGGCATGGTGGCAGGCACCTGTAATCCCAGCTACTCGGGAGGCTGAGGCAGGAGAATTGCTTGAACCTGGGAGGCGAAAGTTGTAGCGAGCCAAGATCACCACTGCACACCAGTCTGGGTGACAGTGCGAGACTCCGTCTCAAAAAAAAAAAAAAAAAAAGGAAAGAAAATTCTAGAATTTAATTGTTCCTCTTTGTCAACCTGAGAATGCATTTAGATAATTTGGTGCCAAAATCCAAATGACCAAAAATGCCAGAAATGCAGATGAAAGCACTCTATTAATTCTAGACTTTTGGGATTATCATTTTTCAAAGGTGTTTCCTGCCCAGTTTTAAATGTCTGGTGCTGCAAATGACAAGCAAACAACTTTGTCAATAGACTGCTTATGTTCCTTACTCTGTTCTCAAAGTGACAAAGTACCTTGATTCTAGCAGTGATTCTCCATCCTGCTTTAGTGTTGGGTTTCCACTGTGACCGTTAACTGCTGAAACTGAGCCCAAAGCCCTTGGTCACACGATCTGAGCATTGCAAGAGGCACCAAGAGGTAACTCATCCTTCTGCCTCGAGGAAGGGTGAACTGTGCCCAAATATTTCCGGATGGATAATTTTGTATCCTAATCAGAGCAGAAAAACTAAGGAGTGGGAATTTCCTTCAGAAACCTTTTTGCATATTTTCTGACTATTTCTATGCTAATGTAATTGCAAGAGCAAATAAATGCCCTGAAGTGTACATTGGCAGTGCCTCCCACATAGCCAAATTAGTACACACCCTGGATTAGTCATCTAGGTTTTACAGATTCGTTAATTTACCTGAGAAAATTCCTTTTATGGGTTAAACAACCCCATAGAATATAACCGTTTTATTTTATATTAATCATCATTTCCATTCCCAGTATTTTTCCAACTGTCCCCTCTTGTCAACTTCCCTCTCCATTCTTTCCTTTCGCATTTTTTATGAGTCTTCTTTCTCTTTTGCCTGTTGTCCACACTCCACCCTGGGAAATGCTGCCATTAAACTCAAAGTTTAGCTCACTACCTTGGCATCATTTTTTCCTGACCTATATTCTATTGGATGCCGAATTTTGTAATTAATGCTTCAAAAATGACTCCTGAATCGTCTCTCTTTTCAGTTCTGTTGCAACTATCGTACTTCAGCCTTTTATTATGTTTTGCTTGGATATAAATTAGCTCCCTCTCTTCTTCTGTCCTTGCTTTGGTTTCTCTCTAGCTTCCAAGCATCCTATGTGCCGCTGCCAGAGCGGCCTCCAAATAAAGCACAGCTTGCACTTGACCCTACATTCAAACCTTCACTGGTTCCACACTTTCTGCTGGATGGCGTCCAAACCCCTTGACGGGGCTCTCTCTTTCCCCACTGTCAACACACACCTTATCCCTCAATTCCAACCGACCTTTCTAGCTTTACCATTTTTTTTTTTATTATGGATGGCAGTCTTGCTAAACGATGCAAAATTTCCTCAACACACACTAAATTTCCTATTAATTTCTGTTAATTTAATATTTACCTATTGAAATTAAACTCTTCCAATTCCTAGTCCACCAACCAACCAATTATAACAGCAGCTATATTTAATTGTGCATTCCTAACACGTCAAGACCATACTGAACATCCTATATACATAATCTCTAATCCTCACCCTATACTAGGAAGTCATTATTATCACCAATTCACGTGTGAGGAAACTGACATTGATGGTACTGAGAGCTGCTGCACTGTCTTCAGTCCAGAAATTCTTCTTGGGTGAAAAGACTTTACTCCAGTAGTGGAATAGAAACTTGAGTGAGTGTTAAGGATCAGATTTATGCTAAGTATAGAAATATGAAGAAGAAAGATGAGGTGGAAAAGGAAGAGAATGGGATGAAAGAGGAGAAGAGGAGAAAGAGAAAGAAAGGAGAGATGAAAAAGATGAAAGACCCTTCCAGTAGAGAATATTATTTGGTATACAGTTGGCCCTTGAGCAATGTAGGGATTTGGAGTGCTGACCCACTGTGTAGTCAAAAATCAATGTGTAACTTTTAATTCTTCCAGAACCTAACTACTAACAGCTTACTGTTGATCAGAAGCCCTACTGATAACAATCAATTAACACATATTTTGTATGTTATACGCATTATATACTCTGTTCTTGGAATAAAATAAGGTAGAGAAAAGAAAATGTTTTTGAGAAAATAAGGAAAACAAAATATATTTACTGTTCATTAAGATGAAGTAGATCATCAAGAAGTTCTTCATCCTCATTGTCTTCACACTGAGGAGCCACAGGAGGAGGAAGAAGAGGAGGGCTTGGTCTTGCTATCTAAGAATTATGGAGGCAGAAAAAATCCATGTATAAGTGAACCCATGCGGTTCAAACTTGTGTTGTTCAAGGTTTAACTATAATTGATTTTTGACAAAATTTAATTAAAGTCATGAGAGTAACATCTTAGTATCCTCATACACAGTATGCAATATCTTCATACACAGTGTGCAAACTGCTCTGTGCTCATGGGTAAGAGAGCTCAAGAGATATGTCTTGTTTAGGAATTAGGATGGAAACCAGTCAAATAATTTTTTTTCAGACACGTTAATAATATAATGAAACTAGGTTATTTTACACATTTCTAACACTCTATACCATACACCTGTATATATTTTCTCAACTTTGTATTTGTCAATTTGTTTATAATTTTGTAACACTTTTTGATGTTTTATTATTTTTTTTGAAATGGAGTCTTGCTCTGTCACCCAGGCTGGAATGCAATGGCACCATCTCAGCTCACTGCAACCTCCGTCCCCGGGTTCAAATGATTCTCCCGCCTCAGCCTCCCGAGTAGCTGGGATTACAGGCACCCGCCATCATGCCTAGCTAATTTTTGTATTTTTGTAAAAACAAGGTTTCATCATGTTGGCCAGGCTGGTCTTGAACTCCTGACCTCAGGTGATCCGCCCACCTCGGCCTTCCAAAGTGCTGGGATTACAGACGTGAGCCACCGCACCCAGCCTTATTATTAACTTCCAACTGAGATAGACTTTTGTAATATATTCTGATTTTGAACAACCTACAGTAGACATTTGTAAAATATATTGTTAATTTAAATTTTTTTTTAAAAAATGAAACTTTCCAAATGTGCTCCATGGGAGTTAGGCTGATACAACTAGAAACTACAGAATGATTTGGCCTTGGATTTCACTCATTAAGAGAGAGCTGCCAACTTGTCCTCACCAACAGGGCAGTGAGTTTGCTTCACTTTTGTTTGGCTATCAGTACAGAAGTCAAGGCTGTCTGTAGTCTTTGTACAACTCAGGATAGTTCTTTCATTTGAGGACAAGGCTGTCATCTGATTCTTTCCTGGAATCTGGAGGTGATAAAATAGATATGGACTAACAAGAAAGCAAGTAATGAAAAGAAATTGAGAAATGCATTTTAATGATGATTCTTATAGACTAATTCATAGTTATTGTTAGTTGGCATATAGACCTTTTTGGCTGGCTAAATGATAGATGTGATAAACTTTAAATTTTTTCTAATTCCAGAATGTTTTATATCTTTTGAGGTATGTTATTTCAAACTGGATGATCCTGTAACATTTGGTTTAAATTTTTTTGAGGTCTTTTCAATTACCATGAAGAGTATAATTAATTTTGTAAGATTTAATTAGTCACATGAGCAGCATCCTGGTTTTGTCATAGGCAGAGGACAATCAGTGCTCTGTGCTCCTAGATAAGAAGAAATAGCTCAAGAGATGTGTCTTTGAGGAGAAATTATTTAGGAATTAGAGTGGAATAATGGAGTTGGATGCCTCAGTGTATTTCAGAGGAGTACATCCATTCTGCCCCTGGGGTTCATCTTCTCTCTTTTGCTCTCTGCCTCTGTCTTTTCTTGTTCCATGCTAGCAGAAAGCTCCCAGATTACAAAGCTTGTGTCTTCCTCTTTAGTAACTGTCCCTGCCATTGTTAATAGAAGAGGGGTCAAATGAGTCTTGATTAATGAATCCCCATTGCCTCCTTCCTACCTCTCTCAAGTTCTGTGATCTTGATTCAATGTTAAATTGGTGTCCCTGTGTCCCTAAATGGCTCGTTTAATAGGGTGAAATTTAGCTAGTTTAAATGTAAATACTGCATCTTCCCCCCCTGTCCCAACACTACTGTGATGTGCACAAGAACAATATAGAAGAGTTATATTAATGGTAATTAAAGTCTTATTTTTTCAAACTTCCTTATTTTTTTAAAAATATAAGCAGCTATTATCTTTATAACCAAAGTTTAAACATTATTTAAAATTATTTTGAAAGTTCATGGTAGATAAAGTACTCAAAATAGATTTCCTGCTTCTAGATGTTTATGTAGTGTTGTAAATGGTGGGCTCTGATCTTTGCTGACGTGTTTCACTTGATCAACTCTACCAATATTATCAGCAGTACAAATATAACTCTCCAAATAGCATTTAATGTCTAGCCAGGAAAATGGAAATCACCCTCAACCTTTCAAAGAGAAGGAATTAAATATGGAGAATTGATCACTCAGATGATGAAAAACAGAGAAGTGAAACGGAGCAACCCGGATGTACATCAGGAACTCAGAAATTCAATGTGGGTGAAGCAGCCCAGAGATTATACTTCAGGGAGCTCTAATTTCTCCTGGACTGGAAGGACATCAGATGAATGTGTGGTTACCAGAAACCACAAACTAGACTGAGGTGAGAACCAGAACCATGATGAGGGTGGCCCAGTGATTGCTGGGGACAAGAGGTTGTGGGGAGGCGTGCCGCCTAGCAGGAGTGGAAACCATGAAGGGGAGACATGGGCACCATCAGAGATTCCTTGGAGATTCCAAGGAGAGAGGGGAAGGAATACCCTAACTTCTCCCTGAAAGGAAATAAAAGCTGTTGGTATAACAAAATCTTGTCTGTGTCCTTTAAAGACTCTTTCTGTATTATGACTGTGTGGGCAGAAATCAGCAGTGAGTTAAATGGAGTTATGCTGAAAGAGGCATTCATGGTGCTATAAGACCAGAGTAAGCAGAAGGACTGGCTCATCATATATAATATTTACCAATGGGGTAATATAATGATGTCTTCTTATTAGCCTTCTTTTTACATTATACCATAATGATTTAATGTAAATCATGAAAGGATGATTTGTGCCATCTCATCTGTCACTTTATAACATAGAGAATGGAAAGTTAATAATAACAGCTGGTATTTTTTTCATAATTTTTATTATGAAAGAGAAAACTCTTCTCTAAGAGCTTTCCATGTATTAATGCTTTTAATTCTCAAAACAACCTCATGCATTACTATCTGCCCATTCTGTGGAAGAGAAAATTGAGGCACAGAGAGTTTAGCTAATAGGCATACAGATGACATAGTTGTATCTGGGGGTACTAGAAGTAGCCTTAGTAACCAGCTCTGCAATGTCATTTTTGCCACAAAGAAGGTCTTCATATAACTTTTCTAATATGAAACATTGTTTATTCTAGGCATAATCTATATGCCAGCACTCTAAACCAAGACCATCTTGTTTTCCCTGTACCAACAGCCTCTGGACTCGTCCCCTCATTCCCATTCTCATCCTCTTCAGCCAATGTTCCTCAGAGCAGCCAGAATAGGTTTTTGAAAACAGCTTTTTTTCTGAGTCCTCTGATGTTTTCCCATCTTTAGTTAGTAAAGTATATATTACTTAAAAGTACTGTACAGTGGGTTTTTACTGGATAGGTGTAGCCAGGTGTGTTTGGAGTGCTGTTGATACCCTGATGAGGCTGGCCAGTCATTTATTTACCCACCCATCTCCTCTTGGAGGGACATTGTCTTTACCTCTCTTATACTTAGGCCTTGGGCAAGATCTATAACTGAGTCAGAAAAGTCATCCTGAAATTATAGTACACCTTTTGTTTATGAGAAGAGCATTGGCCCTTTGGCAGCAGAGAGCTCCAGGCTTATGTTAGACTCAGTTCACCCCTGGAGACCCCCTGAGGGTTTGCAAGTCTGCTGGCAGAGTAATGGCTGTTTTGTAATGTCTGTCAATGGTGCTATTTGTTTTGGCCTTTTGTGGAAAAGTTCACTGGGCAGCCAGAACAACAAAGGGCAGTCCTAGGACTAGAGTTGGAAGAGCCAGCTGGGGTGAATCTCTAAGTGATAGAGAGGATATAGGGCAAAGGAAACTGGCCAGTGACACAGATGAGCTAAATTTCACAACTAACTTGCTTATATTTGAACAAATAGCAAAAGCTAGAAAGCCTCAACATGCTGGGAGAAAGTTTCCGTCCCTTGGGTGCTTTACATGTTATCCCTGTGGCAATGAATCATGCTAGGATTTCAACCAAACTGCTACTCTTAACTAGCAAGACTATCTTAGGTGTTTCATATGTGTGATTAAGAAATAATGGACAAGGCCGGGCGCGGTGGCTCATGCCTGTAATCCCACCACTTTGGGAGGCTGAGGCGGGTGGATCACAAAGTCAGGAGATCAAGACCATCCTGGCTAACATGGTGAAACCCCGTCTCTACTAAAACTACAAAAAATTAGCCGGGCGTGGTGGCGGGCGCCTGTGGTCCCAGCTACTCGGGAGGCTGAGGCAGGAGAATGGCATGAACCTGGGAGGCAGAGCTTGCAGTGAGCCAAGATTGTGCCACTGCACTCCAGCCTGGGCGACAGAGCAAGACTCCGTCTCCAAAAAAAAAAAAAAAAAAGAAATAATGGACAGTGAAAAGCCTGGCACTGTCTCTGGCCCATCTAGCTGCATTCATTCATATTTCTAAGAAATAAGAAAGATTAATTGGTATAAAAATATAAGGAGTATTTATCAACTGCTGAATAAAAAGCATATTAAAATATCTTAGGAAAAAACTTTATATTTTTCTCATAGACTAGGTATACCCAGTCAAAATTACCAAAATAACCCAAGAAAAAGTGTTTGATTTGTAATTCCTTCATGAAGGTGGCAAAGGTGGGCTATGCATGAGGACCACAATGTTATAAGTTTTCATATTTTAATACAAATAATTTGTCATAATTTTGCCCAAGACGTCATTGAATACAAAGTATATTGAGTCCTATGGGTGCTGTAAAAGAACTTTGGAGCCTCTTTTATTGCTTCAGATTTTATGCAGCCAAAATAATTATTGAAGACATTTCAGCCTGTCTTTTTTCATTTCAAAGGTCATTCACACTGACTTCTGGCATTGGCTTCATGCAAGACATCATTAATTATATGTGCTATAAAATGTTAACTATCCCTTCAAATATCTCAATAATGTCCATGTGTATTTAACTATGTATTTTTTATCTGAAGCAATTAAAAATACCTCTTAAGTGAAGAAAAAACTCCTGTGTTTTATTGCACCTTGCATTTTAAGACATTACAATCTAGTACCTCATAAATATTTGTCCTTTTTAAATCATTGCCCGGAAAATAAGTTTGTCTAACTTTTTCCATAAAGTTAAAGTTGCAGAGGTCAAATTTTGTAGATGCTACAAATAACTTTCTTCCGTGAATAATCACAAGCTCATGCAACTGGAAAGATCTTTAAGGAATGTCACAGTTGAGCCTGAATCTCTATGGGTACACTACATACTGACAGTTATTTTATTGTTCAGACCCCCTGAGACAGACTATCTAGAGTCTTGCCATGGTAACCTGTCTAATGTTAAGTCATCCTTTTTTTTCTATAAAGCTTATATGATGCCTAATTTATGTTACTGAAAATTATGACTCTTTCATGGTTTTGCTATTGCAATACAGAACAGCTGATCAAAAAACGTATTATGACAATGATTACAAAATGAAAAGTGAGCAGAAGCTAAGGTTTGGTGACGTTTTGCTATTTCAGATGTTTTAATGCTTTTGAATATTGGTATTGAAATGTCAGATATTTATTTGAAAAAAATTAAAAGAAGGATAATGGGGAACATTCTTCTGACAAATGACTGAAATTCCTACCTCAACACTAAGCTTATTTTTATTTTTTGAGACAGGGTCTCACCCTGATGCCTAGGCTGGAGTGGTGTGGGGCAATCATAGCTCACCACAGCCTTGAACTCTTGAGCTCAAGCAACCCTTCTGCCTCAGTCTCCCAAGTAGCTGAGACTACAGCACATGCCACTATGCCTGCCTAATAACCTCATTTTATATCTAGTGTTGATCTGAGAACATAACTCTTTTCTCAGTAGGAGTCCTCTATTTCTTAAATTAGCTATAAATCTCCATGTTCTTTCCGATGGGTTAAGAGTAGCTCACATTTGAAGCATGAGGTGTCTGAAAATAAAATCAAATGTACTCAACAGTGTGTAAAGCAGCTTCTAGACTAAAGGCTGTCATTGGAACTGTGCTATATATTGTAAGCAGTGACCAAGAGACTAAGAGACTGCATTCAGGCTACTAATTATATGGAAAAGTTAAATCCTTCCTTCTTCTTGAAATTTATACTAAAAAAATACGTCACCTTTGATTCTTTAAAAATGTGAAAATTGCAAGTTTTTTTAAAAAGCTATCATCAAAGAAAATACAATATAAAAAATTACAGTGGGATAATTTTATCTCTATATATTTCTTTTGTCTAGAATGGAGGTACAAACTTTCTCTCCTAAAGTTCGGTAAATCTAGAATGATCAGTTTTGCGGAATCCAGGCATTGACTGTAATTACATGTTGGTATTTTGACGGCATGGACTCTTAGGTTGAGTTACTGAGAAGCTGACCCTGAGATAAGAATTCATGTGTTAATATTTGTGATTTATTCAGGATGTACTCTTGGGTGAAGAAGTAGGACTGAGAAGGCAAACGAAGACAAATGGGAGACATTTCAGGTAGATTCTCAGCCTCACAGTGATTCCACAGGGAATATATATTATGTCTCAGATTTGTCCCTCTTTGAGGCAAAGACTGGGCTGTTAAACTCCCATACAAGTCAGTACTTGGCTGTGGGTTTCCCCAGGAATGTAGTGTCTCAGGCACTTCTGCTTCTCTGTAAAGAGTACAAGTGCAGAAGGTCAGCACTCAGAAGGCAGCTCAAGGCCAGTTGTCTGAAGAGGGGACCCCAGGAGATCAGGGTGGGTACCAGGAATATGCCCACACAACTGTCACAAATCTGCATTTAAGTTTAGAAATATGATTCTCCATGTTTTACTGAGCCAAAAGGTCTGTGGTAAGGTTCAACATGGATGCCGAGTTTACAAGTCTAATGGTGCATTTAGAGGTTGGGCATTTTCAAAGAAACTGTGATTCAAAGTTGGAATGTGGGCTGCTGGTGGGGAATCCTCAGGTGTATGTGATCAGAAGTATAAAGAAGAGGAGACTACAAGTTCTGTAAAATTTTGAAGTACAAGGAAGGAAAGGAAAAAAAAATTAAGAGAAACCCAGAACACATTCATCATGGAAGGATGCTTAGCTCAGGTAAACTGTGTTGTTAGTTGCCCAGGCTCCAGACGAAGGTTGGTCAGAAAACTCTCAGCTCACATTTGGAACTACTAGAACAGTTTCCATTTGAGCTCAGTGAACTTGACTTGCGCCCCAGGTTGGAAAGGACCCTGGCTCTCTAAGGGCCTAGGAGATCTGTGGAAGTAAAACTCAGAGGAGGCCTGTGATGATGGTAGGCCGAGCAAGAAAGAACATCGACCCCTGGGTCAAGGCCAAAGGAGAGGCCAGCTGCCTCCAAGGGAAATAAAAGTGAAGCCATCCAAGAACACATGGTTTAAGACTTTAAACCTGTGCCAAGTTTATTGAAGAATGTGAGACTGTGTACTTGCAAATTACCTCAACACTATATAATTTGTATGCTGAAATCTTCTCTCACTGTGAGAGATTCAGAGCCTTAGAATCTTTCAACCTATGATTCCGTGATCCTAAATGAGTCGTGTATGTCAACGCATCCCGAGGATACTACGTTGCGAACAGCACCAGGACTGGGTGCTGCTGAGAAGAAAAGTGAAAAAAGAAAAAGATAGTGATTCACCCTTTGTGGTGCTGGAGGGAGCTCTCTTGCCATTGTGACTACACAGAAACTTGTCCACAGTATCAGAAGGAACCCATGAAGGAGAGACTTCTATTCACACCTTGCACTTGGGTGCCCCATTAGGACATTGTATGTCTTTCAGTCACATTTTCATGCTGGCAAACTTTTTTATTTTTAATTCACAGCAGGTAATAATTATAAGTCTTCAACAGAGTTACATGATAAGCTTTCTTTTTCTAAATTCTAGAATAATCTATTTTTAATATTAAGAAATAACAGAAAGCAAATAAAGCAAAACCTTCAATGATGGTATTTTTACTTCCATTTCATCTTTTTAGAGCAGTTTTGGGGTCATGGCAAACTTAGGAGAAAGGCACAGAGATTTCTCACATAATTCCTGACCCCACATATGTGCAGTCTTCCCAGTTTTCAACATTACCCGTCAGAGTGGTACATTTGTTATAAATGATAAACTCACACCGACACATCATAACTACTCACAGATCATAGTTTACATTAGGGCTCACACTTACTTTTGTACAGTCTATGGGTTTCAACAAGTGTAAAAAAACATATATTCATCATTATAGTTTCATACAGAGTAGTTGCACTGCCTCAAGAGTCCTCTGAGCTTCACCTACTTATCACTCCCTTCCCAATAACCCTAGGCAGCCACTGCTCTTTTTATTATCTCCATGGTTTTGCCTTTTCCAGATGGCATAGTCTTGAAACCATACAGTATATAAGCTTTTTAGATTGTCTTCTTTCACTTAATAATTTGCAATTACGTTTCCTCCATGTCTTTTCATGGCTTGATAGCTCATTTCTTTTTAGCCCTGAATAATATTCCATTGTCTGGATGAACCACAGTTTATTAATCCTTGCACCTACAATGGACATCTTGGTTGCTTCCAAGCTTTGGCAATTGTGAATAAAGCTACTACAAACACCTGTGTGCAGGTTTCTGTATGGACATAGTTTTCAATTCCTTTGGGTAAATATATACTAAGGATCACAATTGCTGAGTCATAAGGTAAGGGTATATTTAGTTTTATAAGAAACCACCACAGTTTTCCAAAATGGCTGTACCATTTTGGATTCCCAGCAGCAACTAATGAGCGTTTCTATTGCTCCACATCCTCACCAGCAATTGGTGTTATCAGTGTTCCAGATTTGGGCATTATAATAAGCATATCATGGTATCTCAATGTTGTTTTAATTTGCATTTTTCTGATTACATATGATATAGATCATCTTCTCATATGTTTACTTGCTATCAGTATACCTTTGTTGGTGAGGTGTCTGTTATGGTGTTTGGCCCATTTTAAAATCAGGTTGTTTTCTTATTGTTGAGTTTTAAGAGTTCTTGGTATTCTGTTTCATTTTTGTACCCAAGAAAATAAGTATCACTTGGGTTGCAAGAGCTATGCCATCCTCTTAATGATACTATTCTTTATGAAGTTGGCACAGATGCTGGTTCAAGGAGAACATTTCTTGCATAATGACCAGAAGATTATGAATTCACACATTTTTCTTTAATGTTCCAAAAAGGGGCAGACTATGCAATTTCTTCCCTGGAAAGTTGTAATTAGACTCAATCCCTCTTCCTCCCTCATAAAAGATACTCCAAAAATGTTTCATTCTTTAAAAAATATATATTATGGAAAACTTTAAACATATACAAAAAGAAAGAGAACAGTTTAATAATAATATGCTGTGTCCCTGTTCCCAAGTTTCAACAATTATGGACAATCTTGTTTCATTTATACCCTCATCTGCTTCCCTTGTTACTTGCTAGATTATTTTGAAGCAAATCTCAGGTATAATTTCACCTATAAATATTTCAGTGTGCATAAAAGATGGGATCCTTCACAAAACATAACCACAATATAATTTTCACATATAAAAATACAAATAATTATTTAATATCTTCAAAGATTCAATCAGTATTTACATTTTCCCATTGTTTCGCTCTGTCACTCAACTTCTTTGTTGTAATCAGGATCTAAAGAAGATTCATACATTGTAATTGGTCAACATGCCTTTTGAGTCTCTTTTAATCTATAGTTTCCCTTCTACTTTATCTCTTACAGATTGGAAGTTAGATTTAGAGGGTTGATAATTCAAGTTTGATTTTTTCTTTTTAGATTACTACATAGGTGGAGTCACAATCTTCCTTTGGTGACAAACACTATCAAGTTTTTTCTTTTTCTGATGTTAGGAGCTGTTGGTGATAGTCGCTTAGATTTATATTTCATTAGAGGGTCATACAATGATGATATTTTAATTCTATTATTCTCTTTACATTTATTATCCAGAATATATTAATAAAGAGAAATTTCTCCCATGAATTCTTCGGTTACCCAGCAGTAGAACTTTTAGAAGAAAGTCTACAAAAATAATTGATTTTCCCCCTTTTATCAGTTTTCTTTTTTTCTTTGTTCTTTTTTTTTTTTGAGACAGAGTTTTGCTCTTGTTGCCCAGGCTGGAGTGCAGTGGTGCGAACTTGGCTCACTGCAACCTCCACCTCATGGGTTCAAGTAATTCTCCTGCCTCAGCCTCCCGAAGTAGCTGGGATTACAGGCGCCTGCCCAGCTAATTTTTTTTTTTTTTTTTTTTTTTTGTATTTTTAGTTGAGACGGGGTTTCACCATGTTGGCCAGGCTGATCTTCAACTCCTGACCTTAGGTGATCCACCCGCCTCAGCTTCCCAAAGTGCTGGGAGTACAGGTGTGAGCCACCGTGCCCGGCCACCAGTTTTCAGATAATGCATTGGCTCCCTGGAATTCTCTAAGGATAATGAATGAGTTTTTTTGTTTTGTTTTGTTTTAAAAACATATACAAAACATATTTTAAACCACTGGTGTTACTATTCTGCTTGATGCTCATACTGTCTCATCTTTGACTAATGGAAACAGACCACTCCAAGATGACTTGCAAGTTATTTTGATACTTCTGCCTGTTTTCTGTCATCAAATGATGCTCCATTTTTATCTTGTAACTTTTCTGTCCCACTCCTACAAGGAACCACTTCTCCAAAGAGCCCTGGTTCTTTTCAGTGGGAAAGGCATTTGGAGACCACAATATTGGCATTGCTGTGTTCATTGTATTATGCGTTGGTCATTGTTTCTCAGCCATTGCAGTTTATAGAACAAGGAAATATGTTTTTAAATTTTGGAGATAAAACATTTTTTGAATTCATACACATATTTCCTGTTCAATTTTAAGATGACAGGAATTTTATCAAATGTTAGGTAGGTATGTATTTTATTTATTTATTTATTTTTGAGAAGAGGGTCTTGCCCCATCACTCAGACTTGAGTGAAGTAGTGTAATCACTGCTCACTGCAGCCTCAACCTCCTGGGCTCAAAGGATCCTCCCACCTCAGCCTCCTGAATAGCTGGTACTGGAGGTGCATGCCACTACACCTGGCTAATTTTTGTATTTTTTGTAGAGATGGGTTTTCGCCATGGTGCCCAGGATGGTCTTGAACTCCTGGGCTCAAGTGATCTGCCTGCCTCAGCCTCCTGAAGTGTTGCAATTACAGGCATGGGCCATCTCGCACAGCCTACAACATTTATTGATGTTATATCTGTATCTCCTTTATGCCATGTCCAAAATCTTGATTTTTAAGGACATCATTATAATTACTCCTTTGCCTTGAAACCATATGCTCACATAGCGGCCATGGAATATAATGCCTACAACACCACAGGTACCATCAATAAGGTTACAGAAAATGGTGTTTGTTTTAAAGAAGGTTCTTTTTACCCTTAAAGTATGTCTCTAGGAATACAGAGTCAAAACGTTATGCTTTAAATCCATTTAGAACAGATCTTGCCTGATAGTTAATATTTTTGGATGGTAATATTCACTGTTGATGTGCAGCAAATGGACTTTCATGTCTATTTGTGAAATTTTAAATTAGTATAGTTTACCTCGATTTTGAGTTTACAGCACAAAAAAGTAAGAGCCTTACATTTTTATATTCTTTAATTCAGTAATTCTATTTTTAAAAAATTATATTAAGAATAACATGAAATATGGTAAAAACATTCACATGAAAGAATGTTCATTAAGTTTATTTATAACACAAATGAGAAACACCCTAAAAACAGAACAATAGGAAAATGATTATGGATCATAGGAAAAGTGGAATGTTATGCAGCATTAAAAATCAGGTCTGCCATGAAGAATTTTAATGGCAGAGGAAATGCTCATAATATGATATTCAAAACATGGACCCAAAAGTCTCTATATAGTATTACCTCAATCTAGTGACAATATGCATAGAAAAATGACTGGAGGGTAATAAACCAAAATATGAACAGTGTGTTAACTTTTTAATATTTATGTTATGTTATAGTTTTACTTATAATGTGCATTTTGCAATTTTTAATAAAATAAGACAAAACATAAACTGTAATTAATTCAAAAATAGGAGACAATAAGTGTAAAATATCTATTCTTGAGTTGAAAAATGACTTTTATAAAAATCATTAAAAACTCTTAGACAAAAAAATTTGGCCATGTAAAATGAAAAACTTCATTAAGTAAAAAATAAAATTAAAAGATAAATACAAAATTTAATTACTATTTACGTTATTCATAATAGCATAATACTATTAATTCAGCAAGGAAAAAACCAAGACCCAGTGGGAGAAAATAAGTAAAATACAGTGTATAAAAGTAATTCAAATGATCAATAAACGTAAGAAAAACTCTCACAGAAACCTAACATATGATAATTTCTTCACTTTAAAGATGAGGAAAAGGAAGATCAAAAAGGTCATATCATTTGCTTACATAAACAGTGATGAAATTCAGATTCAACCTTGGAACTTTGGATCTCATGCCCTGTCACAAACGGGACTTAGGAAACCAACTGGCTTTCATCTAGGTATGACTTCTTCTGGCTTACTTCCTTTTTCCCCAGCTTTATTCAAGCACAATTGACAAATAAAAATGTTATATATTTAAGATGTACAGCAAGACGTTTTCATGTCTGTATACACTGTGAAATAATTACCATTTTCTAGTATACAATCTGGTATTATTAACTATAGCCAGTATGGTATACATTAGATCTCTAAAACTTATTTATCCTGCATAACTAAACTTTTTACCCTTTGACCGACATTTCTGCCAACACACCCCTCCCAGCCCCTGGCAACCACCATTCTACTCTTGACTTTATGAGTTTTTGGATTCTACATATAACTGAGATCATGCAGTATTTGTCTTTCTGTGTCTGGCTCATTTCACTTAGCTTAATGTCCTCCAGGTTTATCCATGTTTGCAAAAGGCAGGATTTTCTCCTTCTTAAGGAAATTTTTTTTTTGTGATTCCCCTTATTATCAAGAGTTCTTGAGGTCAGAATGAGGAATATTCCCTTTTCCCTGAATGCCAGACCCTCACTAAATTTAAATTAAATTATATGATGCAGTTATTGCTTGCTTATAGATATTTCTTTCATTAAGCTATTAATGTCACCGAAATAATTGCATGTTCATTATTATTAAAGTCAAAATGTATTTTAAGTGGCTTTTCAGTCAACTTGGAGACTATGTCTTATAATACCAAATATTTTATATTTAGCTAACCACTTAATCTAGAAGCAACATAAATTTTAGAGTAATCTTTATGACTCTCATATATTTATTAAGTTATCTTCTTTTTGCATTCAAAGTAAGTAGTATATTCAGGCTTTACATGTTTATTGCAATGATTACCCCGTCCATAGCCCACCTCCTATTTGTTTGATGACACATATGACTCTAAATTCAAAGCATATTCCCATCCTGAAAACTTTCTAACTGACTTATTCATTAAGGTTTTTTAAATACAAACTAGAAATCAACAGGTTGTCTTTAAGATTTCTTCATTTGTAGCATTATTTCTACCATAGTTAAAAAGAATTTGCCAGTGTGACCTAAATAAAAGATATGGCTGGTGTGTTTCAATTTTAGGCAATGATGGCAAAAACATGTTTTATTTTATCTTTTTGAGATAAGGTCTTGCTCTGTTGTCCAGGCTGGAGTGCAATGGTGTGATCACAGCTCACTGCAGGCTGTTTCCCAGGCTCAAGTGATCCTCCTGCCTCACCCTCGTGAGTAGCTAGGCCCACAGGCATGAGCCACCACACTCGGCTAATTTCTAAATATTTTTTTGTAGAGATGGGGTGGGGCGTGGTTCATGATATCACCCAAGCTGATCTCAAACTCCTGGGCTCAAGCAATCCTTCCACTTCAGCCTCCTGAGTAGCTGGGACCACAGGTGCATGCCACTCTCCCTGGCTAAATTGGAAAAAAAGTTTTTGACCACATGAATACAGGCAGAACAGATACAAATAGGCTTCAGTGTTATAGCCAAGAACCTTTTTTCTTCCCCAGGTTCCTGAAAGGTTACCCCACAGTCTCATCAGTAACAAAAGCCCTAGTGTGGGCATAATAGGCTCTCCAAGAAGTGACTGCGTATTTAATCGTTTCCTAGCTGATTCTGATAGGTCCTGCTCCCAAGGGACAAGGTCCCTTTTATGCTAGTGCTTCTCAAACTTGACTGTGCACATGAGCAACCTGTGGCTCTTATTAAGATGCGGATTCTGGTTCAGTAGGTTTGAGGCAAGACTTGAGATTCTGTATTTTTAAAGAGACCCCAGATCATGCCAGCACTTTTGGTCCACAGATTATACTTTTTGGGATAAAGCAGTACAACCACCTCCCATCTCTTAATCACCAGTAGATGCCGCACATTTGTGCACCCAGTATGGGTTTGATGCATTTGTTTTTATCTGTGGTTAGGGTTCGTTCTGCATTTAGAAAATCTTCTCCATTCAAATGGAGCAATTACAGAATTTGTGGATCTATTTGCCACAATTATTAAACAGTTTGTTTAATGTTTCCTGCAAATGATCCTTTCCTTAAGTAAGAAAGCAGGAATTATGACAAGAAGGAAGAGAATAGCAAGTCTTGCATGCTTCTCAGCAGTGGCAACAAAAATTCTAGCACATGGATAGACCCGGTGGTAAAATAAACATGAAGTTGTTGTAGGGTCCCTCCTATGAACTCCCATGCTTCCTGGAGTCCTAAATGCTGGAAATCTGGTGTTTCATGGCACTGCTGTATATCTGCTTTATTGTCTCCAGCTTGTCCTCCCTTCCCTTTCTTAAGCCCCTTTCAAAAATCATCTGGCATTGTCCAATCCATCCATTTTCTTGAACACTTCTTTTGTACAAGGTGGTCTAAACATGGAAAAGAAATGAATGGTCTCTCTCTATAAAAGACATGCAAAAGTAAATATTAAAGGTGTTCCATAACAGCTGTATTTTATTTTAACAGAAAATACAAGGCAGTACCTAGAAACTCTGCATGAGAGGAGAACTTAAAAATCATCAAGTTCAGTTCTTATCCAGCACATTGTGGGCAATTGTTTGTCAAACCTTTGTTTAATTTGTTCCAGGAACAGAGGGTTCATTAAGACCCAGGGTAGTTTGTGCCAACACTGGTCAGCTCTAATTGTTAGAAAGTTCTTATTTATAATGAATGACTCCTTCTATTAAGGCATATACTCACAGGTTACAGAGGAAAAAAAGTTATTGTCTCCTGGTGAAGGCTGGGGAAACCTCTTAGAGTAGGAGGTATTTGGGCAGAATCTAAATTCCACTCTACTGGAATTTAGGAAAGTAGAGAGAAGTTGGGAGGGCAGCATTCTCATTCTCTTAGAATTACACTTTCTAATTCTTCATCTAGATCCTCTAATTATGCTCTAGTGTTAATGTATATCCCTACTTTAAATACTAAAAAGCCGTCAACAATGTGTCAGACACCATAGTATCATTCCATAGATGATATTTGAGAAAACAAGTAGGCTTGTCAAATTCCCCTCACTCATAAAGCAGATGATTATCCACCCACTACAGCTGGGCCTGCTCTAATCTAATTCTAAAAGGCTAGATTTATCCAGAGGGCAAACGAAGTAGGCAGACACACAGCTGTTGTTTGGAGAACAGTACAGCGTTGGGGTGAAAAATAACACTGGCTAAAGATAAGCTCAATAGATCTGTGGGAGCACAGCTTTAAGCCATGTGGCTTTACTGCGTCAGGAAACCACAGTGGGAGCTTGTCAACCCTGTTACCCATCTGGATGGGACGGGTTCTATTTAAAGCCATTAACCCAAGTTTTAGTTTTATGCAAGGCAGAAGTTTTCTGGGCTTCTCTTTTCATGGAGAACAAAGTGACCGGAAACGTAATTCAGAATATAAATGACAGAGTACATACGTGTAAGGGAATGGAAAACATATTTGTATTGATAGCTTCCATGTGATTATTATTATTATTATTTTTTGAGATGGAGTCTCACTCTGTTGCCCAGGCTGGAGTGCAGTGGCATGATCTCAGCTCACCAAAACCTCCACCTCCCGGGTTCAAGGGATTCTCCTGCCTCAGCCTCCTGAGTACCTGGGATTATAGGCGCCCACCACCACGCCTGGCTAATTTTTGTATTTTTAGTAGAGATGAGGTTTCACGACGTTGGCCAGGCTGGTCTCAAACTCCTGACCTCAGGTGATCTGCCTGCCTCGGCCTCCCAAAATGTTGGGATTACAGGCGTGAGCCAACTTGCCCAGCCGCAACTTTTTTTTAGAAAGCTATTAGCATTTGTGTTGGGATTAAAACAATGATAAGGTGTGGGGTAAAGGTTTTTGTTTGTTTGTTTATTTGTTTTTTGAGGGAGTATAGTGGGTCTCCTAGAAGTCTGGAGGTGCTGGGACCTCCCTGAGGAAGTTAGAGGGAAATATTCCTTGTTAATTCGGAAAAGGAGATGAAAAATGAGAGGAGGAGAGGAGGAGCTCAGACAGGGAAGTCTGAGAACTGGTGGAAGGCCGTCCTCTGGGATGTGACCCTTCCTTGCAACCATTCTAAATCTCCAAGAGATGCAACAACAATATCAAAACATTTACACACTGCATGATGTCAGTGGATTTTTATGGAAACGATGAAAGGATTATATTTTGCATCTAAGATATTATGGAGCTTTATAGATACGGAACAGAGGAACAATGGTTTATGGCCGCATAGGGACATATGAGAAAGAGAGCCAGCAGAATTTGCAGGAACTATGGAGTAGGCTTTGAATTGTGGAACGGGCATGTCCACAGCTGACATTTAGATTTCACATATAAAATTGTTTGTTCCTAGGAAACTTTCCACCTGAAGCTAACATTTTTTTTAATTGCTTATTTTCTTTTAAGAAATGTCTACTTCAAAAGGTCAGGCTGTCTTCTAGAATATGGAGCATCTCCCACTATGTTTGTACAATTGAGTAGCCCCTACAAAGCCCTAGGATTTTCTAAGCCCTGTTTTTCTAAATGTTTAAGCTTATTTCCTTTCCCTTGTCTATTCTTATAGCTTAAAAAAAATCTAAATTTATTTTGAAATCCTTTGAGACATAGAGCACGTAAAACCCAAGGTCATATTACTCAATTTCCACTCTACATCTTTCACACAGGGACACAGTAGTTAAAAACTGTAGCTTAGAAAATTCTTAAGACTTTACAAGAAGGCTAAATTTTGTTAGAAAAGTCATGAATCACTCAAAGACTGCCTTCCTGAAATAAAATAATTTTTACTTTTTCTTAGAAGATACTTTATTGTTTTATCTTCCAGCACCTAAAGATTTAAAGAACAATGTTTTTATGTGATGGGACTTGACTGTAAGAAGCCTGAACTGAATTCCTTTTTCTGGAACTGGTCTTGCTATCCTTTGGCAAAACAAAATCTAAAAAATGACAAATATATCGCTGTCACTGTTCCTTGGAAATATGTTTCCAAAGTCTTTGAAAATTTAAACTGCAAGCTGAGATATAGCTTGAGGTGTTTTTCTTAAATTGTTCCTAAACTGCCTCTTCTTCTCAGCACTATATCAAATTACTGAGCTGTCTGCTGAAGTTAAGCAAGGTGATGATTGTACCTAAAGAATAAATGCATTTGGGTTTAAAGTTTTGACTGTTTGTTTCTTTTGAAATAATATTAAATGAAGGGGATTAATATGGGTTTTCCTGCTAGGGTATAAATTAAAAGGGATTAAATACATATAAATTAGATAAATTCAAGTCATTAAATGTTTATCAAGCATCTTACATGAGTAAGATATATGAGCATACACTGGCAAAAAATAAAACTATGACATTGTCTCAGGTGTCAAGGAGCTTACATATAAGAAAAATACAAGTACATGTTTAGCGACGGAAAAGTGAAAAAAATATGTGCAGACTGGTGTGTACTTGAGTGGTTTTAAGAATATTTCAAGTAACTTCTCTGAAGGGTCTATGCATAGTAAAGAAAAACAAATAACTGAATTTAATTATCTAAGCCGGCTTGTTGGATGAATGACAACGTCACATTAAATTGCTACTTTACTGAATGACAATCATTATAGCTGAAAATATCCAATAACATAATTTGTATGGCTAGAGGTGCAATTAACCATCTTCTCTTTTATATCATAAATCTCACATCAAATACTTAAGTGTTTACCACATTTACTACATTCCAAGGTGCCACGCTATGGCTATGAAGAATAAAAAGAGGCTTTAAGACACACTCTTTGTTCTCAAGGAATTTTTAGACTGGTTGGCCGGACAAGGTTCCTTCATATAACATTATTACAAGAATTCCAGAGGAGGAAGAACTAACTTGCAGTTAGAATTGTCAGGAATGGCACATGGGGAAGACAGGAGTATTGATAGAATTTTGATGGGGGTATTGGACATTTCAGATGAAAGAATGGTAAGAATTCAGGGGTAAAAGTTAAAGGTGTACAGAGCATTTTTAGGGTAAAGAAATGTTTTAATTATGTTAGAATAAATGGTTCCTTCTGCAGTCATGAGTGATAAGGCCAAAATAGCATGTTGAGGACATATGAGGAAAGCTTTGAGTAGAGGCTGCAGAGTGAGCACATCATTCTACAAGCACAAGAGTTTCATGGAAAGCTTTTGAGCAAGCAAGTGGTCAGAAAGCATTAGTGATCAAAGCATTTGTTTAATAAGAAGATTCTTGAAGTGATGCATGAATTATCTTGGCAGGAAGAGTCTGAAGGCAGTATGCTCAGGTAAGCAGCCATCACATTAGTTAGTGTGTGAGTTAGCGTATTAGTCTATTGTCATGCTGTTGAATTTATAAAGAAAAAGAGGTTTAATGGACTCACGTTATGGTTCTATGTGGCTGGGGAGGCCTCACAATCATGGCAGAAGGCGAAAGGCATGTCTTACATGGTGGCAGATGAGAGAAGAATGAGAGCCAAGTGAAAGCAGAAACCCCTTATAAAACCATCAGATCTTGTGAGTCTTATTCACTACCAAGAGAACAGTATGGGGGAACCACCCCCGTGATTCAGTTATCTCCCACTGGGTCCCTCCCACAACACACGGCAATTATGGAAGCTATAGTTCAAGATGAGATTTGAATGGGGACACAGCCAAATCATATCATTTGGTAAGGACCAGAATCAAATGAGAGTTAGAAATGAAGAACAGAATAAATCCGGTTTTTTGTTTGTTTTTGTTTTAATGGAGCATTTACATATTACTATACATGAATTCTATCATAAAAATGCCAAAGCTAAATGTATTGATAATCTTTATTATCAATGAGCAAACATTAATGGAATGAAAAAGTGTCTTAACAAAAGACAACCATGTAAATTCTTTATCTGAATGACATTATCATTCATAACCCAGTTTTACTCATGTTCCCTATGTAATTTTCCAAGTAAGCCATTCTGCTGAGAGTTTAGTCCTTGGAAAACTTGGTGTTCTTTTGAGAAACTGATATATTTTCTTCATTCTCACAATGGCAGCCATGAAACTCAGGTAACCTTCCCTGAGTGCTGGCAGGCTCAGAACCAGGCCTGCAGCTTAACCAGCATAACTGTGTTGATTTGGGGTTGTAATCTCTATTTTCTCCCTTGTTAATTCTCCTCCCATGTCCTTTGTCATTGCTCTTCACTAATATTATTGTCGTGGTTTCTCCTCTTCTCACTGTGTCTCTAGATGATTTTTCAAAGAGGCAAAGGATAACACATTTAATATGTACCAATTGCTCTCCCTCCTACATCTCCAGCCTCATTTTCTTCCCTGAGATCTAGCATGGTATTCCTACATCTTGCTTGTATTGTGTCCCAGCCTCTAAACAGATGGCTCCATCTGGCACTTTCTTATGTCCAACTTCCAGCCTTTTTCAAACGTGGTCCCTGAACCAGCAGCAGCAGCATCACCTGGGAACTTTTCAGAAATAGAAATTCTGAGGCCCCACTCCAAGTACTGAATCAGAAACTGTGGGGGTGAAGCCCAGCAATCTGTGTTTCAACAAGGCCTCCAGGTGATTCTGACACATGTCCAAGTTTAAAAGCCACTACCCTAGACAAAGACTGGGCTCTTTTCTTTCTCTCCTGGTCTATGTGTTCTCTAGGTCACAGCATCTCTGGTCCACTCTACATATTTGCTCTGCTATCTTGGCAAATTCTTTACACATTTTTTAGAATAAGCATACATTCTTAAAAGCGCTTATTCTATTGAGGTAGCAAATTATTATCCTTGCCACAGTTAGTAAAGCATTCATGGGTACCCTCACTGATGGGTGACCTCATGGTCACTCATTGATTCATGCTTGGGCCACCTGACAACATTTGCTCCAATCAATAGCCACACCTAATTAAAAGACAGACTATTATTCCTTTCCTAAGCAAGGCTATAGCAGATAAACCAGGAGGAGACCTGTTCTCTTCAATAAATGTATCTTTAATTAAGTAGATGTGTATAGTATGACTTCAGCAGAGGACTAATTGAAAATTTCTTAGTTTGGTTAAATGGATGCAGTCTCCTTTTAAGAAAGACAAGGGGCAACAATTATTGTTTGGCATCATTGGAAATAGTCCAGGCAAGGCAGTTTACTTCTTCTCCCATCCAAGTACTAACAAGGCCAGACCATACTTAGCTTCCAAGATCAGATGAGATCTGGTGCGTTCAGGAAGGTATGGTCATAGACAGTTTACCCATTCTGATGTTTGAAGATGGTTCAAGTTAGTTTTGATAATAAAGATTCTATAATAAGTGAACAATGACTCAATTTCTAAATTACACAGATGCTATCCAACTTATATCCTTAAAGGAAGTGTATTGCTAGATGTTCTCATTTGTGTGTAAAGATGTGATTCTTGCCTACCACCACCTTTTTAAAGTTAAGAAGTGCTTTATACATTTAAGTGTATTGACAGCTTCAAAAACTGGTTTAAAACCTTCAAGTTGCTTTGTTAGGGGCAACAAGTGGCAGGGATGGAAAGATTTTCAGGGGAATCTCTTATTGAACTGAGGCAGAAAATAGATTGAGGGGTGGGGTTCTTGCAGTTATGCATGGTGGCAAAATAAGCATACAAGTATTCTTGCAAAATAAATGTGAGTTCCTAAGATTTATTAAATTATAATTTGAAAGATGTCGGTAATCCGTGCAGCTAATAACTGGGTCATAAGCAGTCTTGTTCTACAGCTGATTAAAAATAAATAAACCAATACATGTTTATTAGGCACTAATGCTGCGCTCAGTTCCTACCAGGAGCTTTCATCTACTTGAAGAGTATGAAGCAACACCAAAGTACAAGATAAGAGATGGTTACGTGCTAAATTATGTTATCCTTGACATACTTTTCTTTGTACATGCTTAGAGATCTCATCCCTCATGACTTTATTTAATAATTATGTAGGTCAGTGTTTCTCAGTCTTGAGCAATGTAATGACAGACTGTGGCAAAAATTTCTTACATTTCCTCATTTCTTACATGGAATGAAAGCATTTTTATTATATTTTACCTAAACATGTACCAATCTAAAAACAGGCACAAACTGCTTAGCCTATGACCCTTAACTATAAAAAAACAAATTTATAAGTTAAATACAGAAAAGTTACCCAACAGAATTTAAATTAATTTAATGGTAAGGATAATATTTTATTGAAAAAATAAATCACCACTAAAACCCTGAGCATGGTTCTACCTGCTAAAATGCATCTTCCTTTATGTTCAATAGGCCTTTCTCACTATGAGTCACACAGTGACTCAGCTCTTGCCACTTTATTCAAACTACTGTGAACCTACCCTTTATACACTTCCTGTAGGATTTCTTTTTGCATTTGATTTGTACAAACTCATCATATATGTATTAACTCTGCTTGTGATAGTTTCTCGTTATTTGGCAACAATTAATATAGTGCCACAGATGGACAACCTGATTGGAATACAAATGAAATGAAAATCTTAGGTGATACTTGATATAAGGAAGCCATCCAGATGGCCCCAGATTTTCATGTTACTTTTTGAAGATTGTCATACATACAAAGACACAAAGTCCTCATTAAAAAATCATTTAAAAATCCTCAGTAAACCGAGGGCATCTGTGGTGGGCACAGCTGTGTCTCCCAGATACCCCTGTAAGGAAGCATGTGGTGACAAAGCTATCAGTAGACCACCTCGAGCTCTCAGTTCCTTTAGGGTTTGCTCTGCTGCAAAGAGCTGCCTAGCCCAAGAACTCATCCTTCTCCAGATGCTCACATTAAATGACTGATGGAGGCAGCAGTATCAAAACTGGGCTATTACCCTTGAACAGGGACAACTCTGATGGGTCATGTATGCACCAGCTTCCCTGTGGATTTGGCTGAGGTCAGCCTGCACTGCAGTTCTACCTCTCCCTAACAATCCTGCTTTCCCCTCTCTCCCATTAGTTATGATAAACTCCATCTCACTATCTGCTCCCAAAGACCCAGTCAACAAGAGCTCCCAGAAATCTCTCTGAGGAACCCCCAGTGGACTGAGAAAGCTTCTTCTGTAGCCCTGATTCTTCTTACACGTTTCTAGTTTCAAAGTTCAGCTTCCAGTTGTACATTCCTGACAGCACTAAAAATCCAACAGGTCCATATCACCAATCTCTTAGGTTCTTGCCACAGAACAACTGTTTTTTGTTTTTGTTTTTTTTGTTTGTTTGTTTGTTTTTCTGTTTTAGAATGGTGCTACCATTGTATTCCCACAGCATCAGAAGATGGGAGGTGATTTTGATTCTTTACACACCTTGCTCCTCACAGCCAGTCTATGATTCAGGATTCCTCACATGGAGAGGTCTTTGCTCATTTCTCCAGGGATCCATTTCCCTTTAAACAAAGGATGCTGCTGAAATTATAACGGAGAGCTCCTCTTTGTTCTTGGGATATGTCTTCTTTTCAATCGTTTTGGGTTTCCCTTCTCTTCAGTTCCACAGACTTTTAAGGACAAAGAAAATGCCCACCCCCCACACCCCCCCACCAAAAGACATCTACACAAAATTCCAACCCACAATCACCTACTTATTTTGGAGCACAATATACTGGTTTGCATATTAAATAAAAGGGGGATGGCAGAAAATGCTAAAGGCTTAACTCTCCCTTCTTCAATTAGCATTAGTGTAGTGCAGTCATTAGAACAAAACCCTTATTTTGTTCCAGTTAAAGGTGAAATACATTCAATTTTTCTTTTCTTTATCTTTTATATTGCACTACTCATAAAAGCCAAGTCTTGATAAAAGCCAAAATAATAATTTTATATAACATAAATACAGACTAAAGCAAGCGTAAATGTTATGTGTTTTAAAGTCTATGAAAACATACATATTTTTAAAGCAGTCAACTCATTGAAAGATACTAATATTTAAAGTAGAAAGTTGTGTTGTCTGCTGAACATGAGACTCTGAGGTATTTGTGAGAGAGAAATTGTCAGGAAAGCAGTAGAACATTTCCTGCCCATGGGTGCAGTCTTGAGTATTTGTAATAGCCATGACGAATCCAAAAACCATCACCACAGCACCAATGGGAAGCATGACACAAGACATAATCTTATCGGAGTGTGTCCTTGGTTCTTCAGACAGTTTCAGATAACAGGCTGATGGAATGATAAAAATGAGGGGAGTTGCACAGAGCACACCCTGCATGTTGAAAACAAGAAACAAGATAATGTCACTAGATGGAAACATTCTTCGGACAGCTTTTAAAAGCATTTACAAAATGTGTTTTTCATGCACATGTTAAACATGTGATAGGTTCAGTTGAATCAAACAAAGGGAGGAAAAATAGTTCTAAGAAAGACTTAGAAATAGGCATTACCTTTTCCACTGGCATATTTACAAATGAAAATAATGAAATAGTATAACAGCTTTTCAGACTTAAGAAAATATTATCACAAAATAATATAGAAAATAAAGCAGATAATAGGACTGACTTCTGGCACTCTTGAAATTTCCTGTATTTTCAGTTCATCATATTTCCTTATATTCTTCACTAAAACTATTGTGTATCCACTATGCCCTTCAAACATGAATGGTCTATTTGTCATTTGTGTATAAGAAGGAAATTTTGGGAAATTGTATAGGGGCCACAATGTCTGTCTTCTTTACCTGAGCTTGTATGGAAGATGTGCCTATCTGTGTGAGAAAGAAAAACTATAACCCTAAGGCAGTTAACATGAAATAGCATTTCTAAATCCTCTTTCAAATAAAAGTAAGCACATTAATTACTGAGAAAGTTGACAGCAGAGCTAAATGACTATTACTCATTCACCCTTCCCCACATTAGCTAGGAATAAACCCAACCTAAGGAGGAATGTCAGATTTAAAATAATGGTGGTAGAATTGTCTATTATAAAAATACCAACAGCTATTGATGTCAAAGGAAGAGACTTTCCCCTTGAATAGGACTAATTCGCAATAGAAACTTAGCAAATAATATAAATGTTAACATTTAATGCATTTTAGGTAATATGTTTTTCTAATTACGTTAGATTTTAATTATAGTATATTTAACAATGTAACATACATTAAAATTTTATGACAAATATTCTCTTAAACCATAAAACATACGTTTTTAAAAAATAAATTTTATTGTGTATATTTGAGGTTTATAACCTGATGTCATAGAATACATACAGATAGTAAAATGGTTATTGTATTGAACTAACATATCTATTCATCTCACATAATTACTTCTTTGGTGATGAGAGCAACTAATATCTACTTATTTAACAAAAGTCCCAAATATAATACAATTTATAAATTACAGCCCTCATATTGTACATTAAATCTGTAGACTTGTTCATCCTACATATCTGCTACTTTGAATTCTTTGACCTACCTCTCTACATTTCCTCCCTTTGTTTCCTGCCCCTGGTAATCACAGTTTTATTCTCTTATCTCTAACTCTATATATTAGGCATTTAAAAAAATATTCCATATATAAGAGAGATCATGTAATATTTTGCTTTATGTGTCTGGCTTATTTCACTTAACGTTCTTCAGGTCTATCCATGTTGTGGCTAATGGCAGGATCTCCTTTTTCAAGGCTGAATAATATTCCATGTTACAGACAGATCTATATGACATTCTCTGTATCCATTCATACATCAATGAACACTGAGGTTGTTTCTATCTCTTCACTATTGTGAATAATGCTTCAATGAACATGGGAGTGCAGATATCTTTATGAGGTGGTGATTTCATCTTTTTTGAGTATATACCCAGAATAGAGATTCCTGGGTCATATAATGGTTCTATTTTTAATTTCTTTAGGAACCTCCATTCTGTTTCCCATATTGACTATTCCAATGTACATTCCCACCAGCAATGTACTAGGGTTCCCTTTTCTCCACACTTCTGTCAACATTTGTTATTTCTGGTCTTTTTGATCATAGCCATCCTAAAGGGTATGAAGTGATATCGCCTAGTGGTTTTAATTTGCATTTTCCTGATGATTAATGATGTTGAGCACTTTTTCGTATACCTGTTGGCCATTTTCATGTCTTCTTTGGAGAAATATCTGCTAAGGTCCTTTGCCCATTTTTTAATCAAGTTAATCATTTTTCTGCTATTGAGTTATTAGAATTATTTGTAAACTTTTTGTAGTGACCCTTTATCAGTTAGATGGTTTGCAAATATTTTTTCCCAATCTGTACGTTGTCTTTTCTTCCCGCCCTGCACCCCCTCCCCACTGCAGAGGCCTTTTAGTTTGATGTAGTCCTATTTATTTATTTTTAGTTTTATAGTCTGAGCTTTTAGTGTGATATTCAAAAAAATCATTTCCAAGGCTAATGTCAAGGAGCTTTTATTCTATGTTCTCTTCTAGGAATTTTACAGTTTTGGGCCTTACATTTAGGTATCTTATCCATTTGGAATTGATTTTTGTGTATGGTGTAAGATCAGGGTCCAATTTCACTCTTTTGCATTTGAGAATCCATTTTTCCCAGCATCATTATTGAAGACTATCCTTTCCCCATTGTGTCCTCTTGGTGATCTTGTAGAAAATTAGTTGACCCTATATGTTTGGATTTATTTCTTGGCTCTCTTTTATGTTCCATCGGTCTATATTTGTGTTTTTATGCCAGTATCATACCGTTTTGATTACTGCAGCTTTGTAATATCATTTGAAATCAGAAAGTGTGATGCCTTCAACTTTATTTTTCTTTTCAATACTGATTGTTTTTTCTATTTCTGTGAAGAATGCCGTTAGAATTTTGATAGGAATTATGTTGAATTTGTATATTGCTTTGGGTAGTATGGCCATTTTAACAATATTAATTCCATCCACAGGATATCTTTCCATTTATTTATATGTTCCATTTATTTGTGTCTTTTTCAATTTCCTTCAGCAAGATTTTATAGTTTTCAGTATACAAATTTTTCACCTCTTTGGTTAAATTTATTCCAGAGTATTTTTTGATGCTATCATAAATGATATTGTTTTCTTGATTTCTTTTTCAGCTAGGTTATTATTTGTGTATAAAAATGCTACTGATTTTTGTATGTTGGTTTTATATCCTGCAACTTTACTGAATTAATTTATTAGTTCTAACACTATTTTTGGAAGCTTTGGGATTTTCCACATATAGAATCATGTCATCGGCAAATAGAAATAACTTTACTTCTTCTTTTCCAATTTGGATGCCTTTTATTTCTTTTTGTTGTCTGATTGCTCTTGCTAGTACTTCCAGTACTATGTTGAAGAGAAGTGGCGAGAGTGGGTATCCTTACCTTTTATTGGATCTTAGGAGAAAAGCCTTCAGTTGTTTCCTATTAATTGTGATGTTAGCTGTAGGTTTTTCATAAATAGCCTTTATTATGTTGAGGACTTTTCTCTCTCTAAACTGTTAAAAGAGTTTCTATCAAGAAATGATGCTAAACTTTGTCAAATTCTTTTTCTGCATCAGTTGAGATAATCATGTGTTTTTTGTTTTCTCTCTCTTTTTTTTTTTTTTTTTGGAGACAGGGTCTCACTCTGTTTCCTAGGCTAGAGTGCACTAGCATTATCACAGTTCAGCTTTGATCTCCCAAGCTCAAGTGATCCTCCCACCTCAGCATCCTGAGTTGTTGAGACTACAGGCACATGCTACCATGTCTGGGTAATTTTTTGCAGAGACGAGGGATCACTATGTTGCCCCAGCTGGTCTCAAACTCCTGAGCTCAAGTGATCCTCTCGCCTTAGCCTCCCAAAGTGCTGAGATTACAGGTGTGAGCCACCGCACCCAGCTGTTCATGTGGTTTTAGTTTTCATTCTCTTATTATGACATTTCACAAATGTTGTTCTCTGAAATAATAAAATGTAAGTTTTTAATATATAAAATCAGTAACAAATGTAATATTACTTTACAACTAAATGCAAGCTTTTCATAAACTATGTTTTTCTAAATTTAAAAGTTAATTTGCAAGCATACACAAAAGTAGAAAGAATAGTATAATGAAATCCTATGCAACTATCACCTATGGTTTAAAAGCTTTTTGACACATTATTTTGGTAAATTTTCTCCTGGGAAAATAACAGCAAAATAAATTTGAAGTTGGATGATGTAAAATTATAAATTGTACCTTTAAAATAGCTTTAAAATAAATATATTCTCACACCAGTTAATAAAATTACTGTGTGTTTTATACAAAGCAATCTCTCCATACCAGAAATATTATGACTATGATCCCAATTATGTAACTTTTTGAATTTTTACAAAAACAAAAGTGTCCAGAGAAAGAATAGTAGGGACCACACTGCATGGAAAATATTTCCAAAGTAAGAAACATAAGAATGAGAAAATACTTAAAAATACCAAAATCATGTTCTAATTTAGAATATATGGAAAATATACTTTTGCCATTCATAGCACCTGAATACAAATTAATATCTACAAAGGTACACAAAAAATAAAAGATTAGTTGTCATATGACTAGAATGAAATATATTATGGATTCCATAGATTCTATCATAATATTTGGAATTAACAGTGCTTTTTAAGTTATGGAAGATACTGTTAACAATTGGTCTGTATTTATAACAAAAACTATTAGCCTCTGATTTCTTTAAAATAACAATTTGTGAAAACAACAAACAGTAATTCAAATACAAATGTGTGTGTGTGTGTGTGTATGTGTCTGTGTGTGTTGTAGTCTTCTCTTTGTAGTCACAAACATGTGGCTAATTCATCTGGAACTGCAGATTGTGGAAGTACTATCAGGATGAAAACTGCCCCCAGCTTCTGCTAAGAAGCTGTCATCAGTCAGCCTTTTGGTACTCTTCCAAACTTAACTTGCTGGGCAGTGCAAAGCAATGGGTGTTCTATTTATGTTATAATTCTTAAGTGTTGAGAAAGTAGCAATTAGAGGAAAGACTATATAGCTCATATTTCTACTGGAAGGATTCCAGTTGAGTATCTTGTTTAGATACCAGCTACTTTCTTGATATTTAAAAGCTCAGTCTTACTAAAGGTTGTTGCTAGAAGTCAAGATCATCAGTAAAATAATAGTGTGGTTGCATCTGATCTATTCCCTATGAATTAGTCGAGCTGATTTGATCTATTTAATGTAGACTTGCTTAAGGATACACCACTGGCTTTGGAATAATTTTTGAAATTGCTTGACAGGATGTAAAATCATAACTGCTTATTAAAAAGACAACAAAATATAGTCTAAGTTATAAAGATGGGACAGTTCTTATTAATTGATAATAACACTGTGGATGTCAGAGTATTTTGCAGTTTGCTGGAGAGAAAGGACAGAAGCTATTGAACATTTTTATTGCCAGTACAGATTGAAAAAGTGCCTGAATTTTCCTACCTGAATAGAAATTTCTCAAATGATGCAAGGAAGCTGGAAACTAAATAAAATAATGCTTATACATCTTTTAAATTTCTACTTTGTAATTAATCTAAACTCATGAAATTCACTCCAATACTTCAAAAAGAAACTCTCTCTTGCTCAGGAAGTCTTTGGCAACTGGGATTATGGCTTGCTCACCCCAAAGACTGTATTTCTTTATCTGGGCTCTTGCTGGCATTTGGCTTGCTTTCTTCCTTCCACTGTAAACCACACACAATGCTTGTTGAGCTGGTTATGCTGGCACAGGCACCAGCTGCTTCATTTTCTCTCTTTGTACTGCTGCGAGTAGAAACCCATAGGGCCCAATTACTGCAGATGCCTCTTTTCTCCAATAGCAACATTAGTGCTAAGACGCTGGATTCTTGTTACCAAGAATAGTGCTTATATTTATTTGATTTGCTTCTAAAATGAAACCTTTAAAACTTAGTGTGTGTTTGCTTTGGAAAAATATTTCATTGTTGTCTACTGACATGAAAACAAGAAAAAAAAAGGAAAGCAAGGTTCTATTTTTTAATTCAATAACTATTACCTCAATTCATTTTATTCTATATTATTTGGTGATACTAAATAGTAGCATTTCCCTAACCTTGCATGATCTGATTCATCTCATCTGTGAAGCTCATTATTCTACTTATTCAGAAGCTAAAATAAAAAAGAATTCCTAAAGTACTAAAATTGTTATCTAAGATAAAAGCTATTAACTACATTTCTAAATTACTACAATTACTAAGATGAAAGTTATTAACTAAAAATTATTAAGACAAAAACTTTTCAGTTCCATTTTATTTCATCTCCTGGTATGTTTTAACCCATTATTAAAGTCTATCCATATGTATCATAGATTACTCTTAACCTTTCTTACAGATAAACTCAATGCATAGATTTTATAACCTAAGAAAGTGGATAGAGAAATGAGCATAATTATTTTACATAATTTAAAATCTTATGCTTAGGAAATCTCAGAGTAGTGTAATGATTTAAAATGTGAGCTTTAGGGTCCAAATGCCTGTGTTCAAATCTGTATTTTTTTACTTGTAACTAGTATGACCTCAGAGTATTTAATCATGCAGTGCCTCAGTTTCTTCATCTGTCAATTTAATATAGATAAAAGGAGATGATACTGCAAAGCACCTGGTACAGAGTAAGTACTCAATACATGGTAGCTCACATTATTATTATTATTATTCTTTTTTTTTATTTTTTGAGATGGAGTCTTGCTTTGTCACCCAGGCTAGAGTGCACTGGCGCAATCTTGGCTCACTGCAACTTCCGCCTCCTGGGTTCAAGCAATTCTCCTGTCTCAGCCTCCCGAGTGGTTGGGACTACAGGCATGTGCCACCACACCCAGCTAATATTTTCTCTTTTTTTTGGTATTTTTTAGTAGAGACAGGATTTCACCATGTTGGCCAAGCAGGTCTTGAACTCCTGACCTCAGGTGATCCGCCTGCTTTGGCTTCTCAAAGTGCTGGGATTACAGGCATCAGCCACTGCGCCCTGCCCACATTATTATTATGAAGTAGAACACAGCATGCTTTAAGTTACTTCCAAAGTGTTGCATGATCCAGCGTGTATTAGTTACTAACAGACATGATGCTTGATTTGGCTCTATTAGACATGGTAAGTGTCCACACAAAAAGGAGTTGAGTAAAGATTTGAATACGTTCTTACGCACACCAAAAGACGTACTGATGTGAAAAACACTTATTCTCAGGTGGTCTGAGAATGGAGATCCTAGATTTTATTAATTCTTACAAAGTGCTTTAAAACTAGCATAATTGTCTTGGGCTATTAGGTCATAACAGACAATTTAGCACTCTAATTTTTAATGTATGTCTATATAATCAGGTTTTAAAAAAATCTAAAGATCTTGAATCATATTTTAAATTTTAAAAATAGTCCTCCAGGGCCAGCTCAGATCTTGACTTTAAAATAGATATTCACAATGTATTCTTCTATGATTATTCTTTAATACCAGAATTCTGTATTAACCAAAACAGTTTTCAATATAAGTATAATAGAGAATATTTAATATGATTATATGCCTACAATTTTGTTGTGCAAATGCCATGGAGATTAGCAATTAACTTTACAGAAAGTAATGGCTAGATTTACAAAAAAAACTCATTCCTGAAAAATGAGCAATATGTGTGCACTTGATTAACTTGAAAACAAAAAAAAATTTGTTGGGCTATCACTATGTAGTGAATGTTCAGGCAGATAATAAATATATTTTGTCTTACAACAAAATCCTAAAATATCAACAAACAAATTTGTGGACTCAAACAAGATATTTCATAAAACAGGAAAAAACAGGGCTTGGAAATCATTATGTTGATTATCTCCACAGCATAGGTGAAAGATTACTACTACTGTCAACAGCAACCATTTTTTATAACATTTCATTTCCTGGTACTACATTAAAGAAAGCATCTTGTGTCTAAGAATATTTATAGAAATAGATCCTGAACTGTAGTCCCAAGGTGCAATCACCCATGCAATAATTTCAGCACTGTGTCCTTAGCCCTGTGCCAAATACTATGGAGGAGGGAGGAGGTGGTTAAGTATTTTTGTCTTCAAAGAGCTTACCAATTGTTAGGTAAGGCAAGCTTATGGACAGCTTCAACAATACATGACACGAGATAATACATAAATTAAGTCAGCGCATTAATGTAGTAGTGATCCATCTACACAAATCAAGATTGGTATGCGAAATGATTTTTAGTGGCCCTACTAGTGTTTGGCCTATGCAAAACTGGGAAGAAGGTAAAAGTTACCTTTGACACTTGCTTACTTTCCTATGAGCTTTCCTTCCACTGTTGGTAGAATAGACAATTACCAGTCTCCTGAGGTTTTGGAAACTGCTTACTCCCCACTTTCCATTTACAAGAAAGTCCCCAGTAGGGTCCCTGACTGAATTCCCTCCTGCCTTTGTATGGAATTTCAAATCAAAATGGCCTCTGGATGACATAGTAACTTGGGCACTGACAATAATACCTTCACCTATGCCTCAATTCTCAATGAAACGAGTAAATGATGACTTGGGATCCCATCTGTATGGGTTTGCCCTCCCTGTGGTGCATGACCAATAAGTGCTAACTGGTGGGTGATTCTGATGAGAAATTCTGTAAGGATTGTAGAAGATTAGCCACTTTGTAGTGGTAGAACAACTTCCATTCCTGTCTTAGCAAATGACATCATTATTCTAGTTCCACAAAATACAACCAAGAAGTCATTCTGCCCCCTGTCTTCCCAATGGAATCTGTGTCACCAAATTATGCCAATCTTTTCTGAAAAATGTGTTTTGGGAATCCATCCATTTCCCTCTGTCTTCTTTTCTCTTTTTTTTTTTTTTTTTTTTTGAGACCGGGTCTCACTCTGTTGCCCAGGCTGGAGTGCAGTGGTGCCATCTCAGCTCACTGAAACCTCTACCTCCTGGGCTCAAGCAATCCTCTCACCTCAGCCTCTCAAGTAGCTGGGACTACAGGCACATGCCACCAAACCCGGCTAATTTTTTGTAGAGACGGGGTTTCACTGTGTTGCCCAGGCTGGTCTCCAACTCCTGGGCTCAAGCAATCCATCCACTTTGGCCTCCAAAAATGCTGAGATTACAGTGTGAGCCACCGTTCCTGGCCTCCTCTGTCTTCATCACCTATATTGCAGTTGAACTTTTATGTTTATTTGTGAGAATGCACAGGTCCTTTCTTATTGCATTCATCCTTATATTCTATTGTGTGGCACATAGTAATTACTCAATAAATATATGATCAGTGAATGTGAATAAAGGAATTAGAAGTTGCACTGGATCTTAAAGTTTTTGTAAAATTTGGACAGAAATGAAAGAAAAATAATCATTATCGGAAATAAAAAGCAGATAGGACAAAGAATAATGGAAAGAATTGATATGGCTTATTCACAGGCCAAAAAATTAGATTGACTAGAGCTGAACATAAATTTTGGGAAGTAAATGGGAAATAGTTTTACACAGAAGACAAGATGGTAGAAGCAACGGAATTTATACTTGCTCTGGTAGGAAAATGCCGATAAACTGAAAGCAGAACTTAAATACATGATAGTTGAAACAGAGCTGGGATTAATTCAACTGTGATATTATGAGGACTTCTATTTGGTTGATGGCAGTGCAGACTATAAAAGAAAGATCTGGAGAAAGAAAAATATTTAAAGAAAAAGAAATTTTGTCATAGCAAGTGAATGGATATAACTTGAATCCTTTCATATTTCTCATAAATTTCACTAGATATATTATTATTCAGCAAAGTCCAAATCCACTTAATTTATAGCTATTTTTAGTAACATTTATGTGTTATAGTAAATGAGATATGCAAAAGTACTCTAAACCAGGGTTTCTCAACCTCAGCACAATTGACATTTTGGATCAGATAATTTTTTGCTGTGAGAGACCTGCACATTGTGGGATGTATATCCCTGGCCTCTATCCACTAGAGGCCAACAGCACTGCCTACCCAGTTGTGACGACCCCATATGTCTCTAAACAACCACTACTTTAAAACTATATAGTCCCACAAAGTGCACAGAATCATCATTGAAAATATTTACTATTACAAACATATTTTGATTCCACTTCAAAAGTGACACTTTTGTTAAGGAAAATACATCTTATGTTAAATGTAATCATTATCTTTTAAAGAGAATTTTAGAGTGAAGGGGTAAATCTTTGCACGTACTCACATTGAGTTCTAGAACTATCCCGAGGCAATCAATCAGCAATGACACAAGCGTGGCTACAGTGATGACCATCACTGTTACAACAATGTGGAAAACCGATGAAAGATTCCCACCAAAAAACACATTGGCAATTACCTGCCGAATAAACAGATTATTTTGAGAGGGACTTTTAAAGGCATGCAGGATTTATTGAGGGAGTATTTTACAATAGTATTTAGGAATATATAAAATACTACCAACAAGGCTATTAATCAAATCTTAAGTCACTAGGAATGTTCTATATTTTCCAAATTACTTACATACAGACACACATATCAATAACAAGTATTCTTTGTTGAACTATTAGTCAGTGGATTATATTACAGACCTATAGTGTGGCATACCGATGTTTCAATACATGTATCTTTCAAGTACAGGAGAGACTTTGGAAAGTTATCTTATCCTTCTTTCTTGAGTCCAATAGGTTACTACTAAAACAAACTAAACATGCTATTTAGATTATTTGCATGGCCTCTAAGAAGTAGCTGTCACATTTCCCTTATTAATACTGGATGTGTAATATCCTTTACTAACAGGAAATTAATTCTGCATTAACTAATTCCTATTTGTTATAATTTAAGTCTATTTTATCTTGCCTTTCCTCAACAAAAATGGGCAAGAGTTCATCACCATTTTTCATGACTACTCAGATCAGGAAAGCAATAAAAAATTACTGACTTAATGTGTCCCATATTATGATATGGTTTGCAAAGATAAAATGTCAGGGAAATGATTCCTATTCTCAGGAATTAATTTTTGGAGGCATACAACGAAACTTAAAAAAGCAAGTAGAGATCAATTTATAACAGGACAAAAAAGATCAAGGAGAATTTAGGACTAGAAGGAGCTTTAGGTATCTAGAGCCGTCTCCTTACAGTAATCTCCTTTACAGCATCCCTGAAATATGCTTGACCTACCTTGGTTTGAGGTAGGGCTTGAAACATGCACAGGATTTGGAGCAGAATTATAGGCTGAGACAAGAGCGTGAAAAAGAGCAAAGAGGTAATAACAGGAACAATACCTATGGAGGATAAAGAGAAGATAGTCTGAATAAGTAGTGACCCTGTGCAAAAGAACAGTGAGACAAAGAGTTGGAAATAACAGAAGGTCAGATATTGAGGTATCATAAAGAAGCCATCTCTCTAAGCTGTGCTGCCTGGATATGCAACATCTCCCATGTGTCACATACTGCCATGACTTTGCTAATAATTTAATGGTGATATTAATAACATAAGTTGTAATGTCTCTCCAAGTATTATCTTATTTAAGATCCATTCTTACAGATGCCTCTATGATATAATTGTGAGAGTGAAAAATCACTTAGTGAGGCAGGTAGTAAGAGATATTTGTTAAGGGTAGACAGCCTTTTTAGTGCTTTTATGAATTGAAACAGTTTGATTATATTTTTGTCAGTCATACATTTGTGTGTGTACCTGTGTGTGTGTGCAGAATGAAGAGTAAGAGAAGGGAAAGTTATAGACACCATTCTTCTGCTGAGTATTTGCTATTGTGGCAGAGATCTTGATTCAGTTCTATCTTCCTGCCACAGCAGCTAGAAAGGAAACTCAAGTTTCAAGTACTAAACACAGAAGTTGTGCAGGTGAAGTGACTCAGATCGTCTGCAGGCAGGCAGTTTACTAGCAACCACGTGAGAATGCACCATCTGTTCTTACTTGCTGATCTAGAGATTAGATTTGAACCTACGTACTGAGCAGAAGCTAAAATAATACCATGTCCTGCATCTGACAATAGCTAGTAAAGTTTCGAAAGGCTCTTAAATTTAAAAAAAAATTAGTTCAGTCTATTTCTCCTTTATAGTCAAGGTAGAGAACTGGCCTGTGAGTTATACATGTGTGAGGGAGAGAAGTGCTAGTTGTAAAGGACATACACAGTGCTAAACATTTCCCTCTTCTGTTTCCCCGTGCAGTCAGTTCCTTATCCCTGGGACTGACTTAAAGTAAGCCCTGGCTTGCCTCAAGAAGCCTGCTGATTATTTAGTGTATTTAAAGCTCTGTAGATATTTCACTTATCTCATTAGACCCTTTCACATGGTGCACTGTATAAACAGCCTCTAGGAACAGATCCTATGACTGAGCCCTTTTCAGTGTGGTCCCTGAAAGACCCACTGTGAAGCAAGATCATGTTTTACTGCCGACTGGTACAGTGGATTTTTAGCTGACAGCATAAGGGATTCCTGACAGGCCATGTTATCCAATTTTACACCAAAAGAATGAATTCTCTTTCAGATAATATTTCTCTACAAATACAAGTGGAATATATAACCCAATTTAGAGCTGACTTTGACAATACAATATATTTATATGTAAATAATATCCTATATATTTGTTATTATTTATATTATTAGTTTATGTTATGTATAGTTGTAAATATACACGTCTACATGTATAAATACATAAATAAAATGTATCTGTAAAACTAAAAGTTTCAGTTGAATTTTGGTTCTCCATGGAATATAAGATATTTTAGTTTTTAAAAAATAACAAAACCAGTTAGAATCTGTAGATTCTACAGTGCCTTTAATACATGTTGACTGATAAAACATCTAAGCAAAAAGACAGTTTTGTAAAACATGTTTTAAACCTTGATACTTAATTTCTTTGTAAGAATGCCTTAAAAGCAACAACTTTAGTTTGGCTGTCGCAAAAGGCTGGCAGTCACTTTGGAATGCAGTTGTATAAATATTTGTGCTCACAGAAATATAAGCCAAATCTACCAAACCTAATTTTCAAACCGAACTTTTGAAAAATTGTCTTGTAAACATCTGAATATAAATTCATCTTTAAACTCTGACATTTTAGAGTCAAAAAAGAAAATTTTACAAATTATACCATTTGTCATGCCCTTGGGAATTTGCCAAACTGTATTATTTATAAATCTTCCTAAATTAAATGTGGCAGAGAGATCACCTGGGTAAAGCGTTGGGAAGGAACCGCGCTTACCTCTCTTGTCACAAAGCATTCCATAGGGTATGTCAAAATGACAGTGACACCATAACAAAATCTTCCAAATGTTACCAGGTCATCATTTCTGCAGTAATTTTCAAATAAGTCCCCTAGATAGTAATATAAAATAAGTTTATTTACTAGATACTAAATGTTTGAGATAACTATCTAATAAATTAAATATTAGATATTACAGTTATGCATCACCTAATGGCCCACATATATGATTACAATGCTGTATTTTTACTATATATTTTTCTATGTTTAGATACATAAATACTTTCCATTCTGCTACAGTTGCCTACAGAATTCAGTACAGAAACATGCTGTAGAGGTTTATAGCCTAGGAGCAATAAGCTATAGCATATAGCCTAGGTGTGTAATAGGTGCTACCATCTAGATTTGTGTACGTATACTCTGTGATGTTTGCACAATGAGGAAATCACCTAACAATGCATTTCTCAGAATGTTTCCCTGTCATTAAGCAACACATGACTTATAAGTGAATCTCCATAAACTTCATTTCATTTAATTAAGAGAATAGATGACCAGGTCTAAATAAAAGTTTTTGAATTCAATAACTATGTAGTTATTCACTGATTTAAACCAGTACATGCTACATGTGAAGATAAATCCATCACTGATAGTTTTTCTCTTATTATTTGTTTTTGGTAGATTTGCTGCCAATTTGTACTGACTTCTGAAAAATACTTTATCCATTGTCTTCTTACATCAGAATCAACTCCCTAAATTCTTCAGCACTGGCTTTGTAAACTGGTTTCTGGTCTTTGTTTCTGGTGAGTAAGTGACTTCATTATTTTTTAAAAATGTCTGTTAAAAATAAACAAATTTCCTTTTGAAATGCTATTCTTAGATCAAGAACAATCCTGAAAGGAAGAGTAAACCAGTACATCTGGGGAGCTGAATTTCCTGTGTATCATGCTATAGGGTTTCATCCCAACCTTGGGGCCACAGCGAGAAATTCCAAACATATGTTACCTTTCATGGCACCTCATGAGCCCAAGTGTAAATGCACTGATTCAAAACTGTGAAAATATGGCTATGTCCCAGAAAGAACATTAAATTTAATAAGTTCCAGACTAGATGATGGACTAAATATACCTTGAAACAATTCTTATTTAGAGACTATATTTCTCAACTGTCTATGAAGAAATACAGGGATCTAACTAGGGCACAGATGTCATGTCATCAAAAAACAATTACCTACAACTGTACAGTAGTCCATGGAAGAAATAAAAAAAATAAAAATATAACAATGACTAATGCCGAAACAGAGTACTTGGGCTTGCTGATTTTCTGTATATAACGTGCTTAAATGTTAAAATTGTGGTAACCTTTTTAAAATTAAACTTAATTGAAAATTAAATTTTTTTAAGATCAATACTCAATACTACACCATTTAAAAAGAAGAAAAGCTATAATACCTCTGTACTGTTTTTTTCATTACAAAGCTGAATATCCTAAATAATTTGCCTCTTCCCAAGATTTACTTTAAGTGGCTCTCACCCCTCCCCCCATCAACTAGAACAAATCTACATTACTTTAGAACATCCCTTTTGGGCAGGAGGGGATTAAAACACAAAGTAAGGTGGCAGAAACCTGCTTCAAGGTTGACTGAAAAGATTCCAGCACTCTAAGAAAAAAGGACTGAAGTTCCCCGTTCACTAACCTCCACTAAAAAAATGAGCCCTATTGTCTTTTCGAAAGTCACTAGAAATGTCGAGGAGAATCTAGAGTTCCCACCGCCTCTCAAGCTGAAATTTATCTACTGAAAGAGGTTAGAAAAGAAGAATGCAGTATGCACAAATTAGACTAGATTTACCTAAGGAGAGGTGGCCTGGAGAAACAATGTCAGCTTATTGCAGCCTGAATCTAAGTTGTATTTTAAAGAATTACAGCTAGGGGGAAAACGGCATTAAAAACCTGTCAGCTTTGTTTTATAAAGATTTAATTATATCTGAGCAATTACCACTGATAAAAACTCCAGGAAGATGTAACTAACAAAAAAGGTTATGTCTTACAGAAAAGGCATTTAAAAACCAAGGTCCTGTACAGACCAGAGCCCATAGGCCATTTGCATTGGCAAACTATGTAGCAATAGTGATACATAGAAATGCTTTGGAACACAATTCTTATCAGAAGTTTCAAGGTCACTTTGTTACTGCACTCTAGTGGCACAGGCATGTATTATATTTTTGACTGCATTTGAATTTTGTTAATCATTATTTTTTGAAGCCATCTTTCTTCATTTCTTGAGAAATATTTGCCTAAAGTCATAGTGATCTGTAACCTCTGTTCAGAATAAGGCAGCCATCCTCCCAAGAGCACCCAGGTTTTCAGAAAACTAAGCTAATGGGAGCTAGAGGCAAAGGGACAACTTTCAGAGGGTCATGGTTGACCAAAACAGGGCAGGCAGAAAGAGGATGGAAAGAAAACTGAACTTAAGAGTCAGAAGACTTGTTTTCTGGTTTGTCATCAGCCAGCATGAGCAAGTTACTTCACCTCTTTGTGTTTTAATCAGGGGGTAAAACTAGTTATTCCACTTCCCTTCAAAGGGTTGTCTGAAGGTCAATGAGATAATAGACCTGCAAGAGCTGTGAAATATGTAAATCACAGCCTACTGCTGGACTGCCCTGACTACTACACTACACTGATGATTGAATGTAAGGGTCAAGGGAAGTAGAAGAGAGGACTGCTCAGTTGCTGGGCCTGGGTGAATGCAAAAAAAGAGAGAAATATCTTTGGAGGGAGGAAGAAAAGGTCTGGTTTTAAGGGAAACATGATGTTTTGTGATTAAGACAAATATAGAACAACTGAGTAGAAACGTCCTACAGGCAGCAGGTTGGAGACAAAAAGAAAGGTCTGGGTTAGAATTAAAACAATGAAAGTACCGGGAAATTTTTTTGAGAGAAGAGAAAACAATATGCTTGAGCCCGTTATCTGGGTGGTGTGGGATGGAGTGGAGTGGGGGATTAGAGAGGGTAAAGAAAAAGAAAACAGAAAAAAAATTAACAGAGAGAAAGAATAACAATGATAATATAATAATACTCTTTCCTCTAAGGGAGGAAAATTTGAGCAAAGAAAGGAAGTTCAGTATTGTTAAGTGATTCAGAGAGATTCGGGAGAATCCAAATCGAAGCTATTTGCTCTGAAGATTGGGAGGCCACTGGTACCTTTGAAAATGAAGCTGCAGTGGAGGAAAGCCAAAAATCATGTGCTAGGAAGTGACAGTGTGTGGAAGGAGAGAGTATGGGCTACAGAACTAAATTGAGCAGTTTAAAAAGGTAAAAACTAGGAAACAGACAGCAGGGGGGCAGGAGGGTAGAGAGAATGGGTGGAAGAGAGTAATCTTTGAAATAGAACACTGGGCATACCTGTAACAATAATGAGTAGAACATTCGGTATACCTGTACCAATGCACATGAACACTATAACTGAATCTCTCATTTTACCTTGGGTGAAGCCAGTAAATGTCAAGTATCCACATGTAGCAAAGAATATACAGATAAATACAGAAATCACGATGGACATATGGATAAGGCGGGACCACTTAGCTACTGTGGGTTCTTCTAGAGAACTGTAAACTAAGAAGGAGTTATGGTGGCAAATAAATGCTGCAATACAAAAAAAAAGAGCATTATTAAATCAAGCACCAGGGTTTTCTTTTTTAGTTCTGAAATTCAGAGATATATACTACTTTAGATGCCAATGAACTGAAGTTTAAACATACAACTTTATTAATATGTCAGAAAATAATTTTTCTAATAGTTCTAGAAATGAGACCATTCATTCACATCAGGCTTATGTGGTCTTTTCATGTTACTCTTGATATAAACCAGGCCAGTCCAACATTCTCTCTCATTTTCCTTTTCCTAATGACCCTTCCCATCTGAAGGAAATCTTTTTCCCATCGTTTTCATCCTGTGGCTTCCTTTGCCATTTGGGACATAATAAAGGGTTTGAAGAAGTCCATAACACTTGCTAGCCTTCCAAGTTAAGAAACAAGATGACTGTAATGAGTTTCTGCATGAGAAATAGATTTCTCCAAATTGAAGCAAATTTTAGTGATGAGTGAGAAAAGTTTGAGCCTAATTTTATATTGGCACAAACTAGATCATATGCTGCTAATAGGAAGTCTAAAACTTAGGACATCTGCTATCCAGACATAAATATGAAACACAGCACTTTTTCATGGAACAGAGAACTCCACATTGAGAAAGGGCCTTTGAAACCAAATACTCACCAAAAGACATAACCCCGACCGCTTGAATGGCATTGGGCTTTGCAAATACCCAAGCGTCTTCTGTTTTTGGTCTAGAAGAAAAATCAGTTAACTTGATAAATTGTTAAATAAATACAAGCATCAGTATATCAGATAACAAGAAATGGTATCACAAATATAAACTGAGTGTCTTTAAGCCAGAAATTAATAAGGGGCTCCCATTAATCTTGTGTAATCATGAATAAATTTCCCAGGAGCATGAGTGTTATCTCTTAACCCCAGTCCTCTAAAATGTATGTCAAATACTTGGACAAATTCTATTTTTACATATGTAAAATATCCAGACTATGTAATTTTGTGAATTTGTTTATTTGCTCATCAATTTAACAGACAGCATTGATTATGCACCTACCAGTTCAGCTACCTTTTGAGGGAGATACAAAAATTAACAATGCCCAGTTACTGCTGTTCATTCCGCTCTTATTTTTTTCAGGCTTAACCTACCCAAGAAAAATTTAGTCAGCACTAAAATTTATTGAGAGAGGTAAACATGAACTAATACTAATTGAGGATGTACTATCTTCTAGAAACTCTACTGTGTTATCTCATTTAATTTTCAAAATAACACTTAAGTATTATTATCACCATTTAACACATGAAGAAAATCAAGCTCTGGATGGTGATATAACTTGCCAAGCTTCCACAAATAATTAGTGAAGAAGTTGAGATTTATCTTCCTGGTTTATTCACTCCCATGTTTTTTCCAGGCAGAACCATCTGACAGTGGCCTCAAATTCCCAACTGTAGATGTATTTCTCAAGGGAATTTTGGAAATATATGCACTTTAAACAGCTTGAAACAGGCTACATCCTAGTGGAATTAAAATATTTGATATTGGCAGTGATAGGTCTACCTGGCTAACACATCATGAATAATGATGAACAGCAGAGGCTCTAAGGTCAGTTAGCTTAAATTGTTCTTCTGGCCTCCTTCCACTTATTAGCTGTGTGATTTTAGGCAAGTTACAGGACCTCTCTGTGCTTCAATTTCAACATTTATAAACTGGGGATAATTGTAGTATCTAACTCATTAAGTGACTGTGTAGATTAAATGAGATAAAATATGTAAAACTTCTGGAAGAGAGTTTATCACATAGCACATGTTCAATAAACAGTTATTAGTATTAATGTTATTATCCAGCATTATTAATAAAGGCAGCAAAAAGTCTAAAAGTATGGCCAACTTCCCTGGGAAGGGAAGGCTTGAGTAAGACTCAAAACAATGCATGAAGAATGGAACAGGGATATTCCTAGGAAGCATGAAAAGGCGCTGGGTATTTTCAATAAAAAACAGAAATTCTAAAGATGAAGACCCATCTATTTCATAAGTTTGTTTATTCATCCTCTATGTAAAGAAGGTACATACAAAAAAATCTTGTTTGTTGTCCACACTTTGTGGGATTTATGCATTATATCATCCTTTTTCCCATATATGAAACGAGCAGTTACAGACACAAAGAAACTTCACAGAAAGGCAGGCCTGCAAGAGAGGCCACAGATTGTTATAAGACTTGCTCCAATTCCCAGTTTTGGGAGTGGGAACTACTGCCACCTGCTGCCTCCACTACTCTAAAAGCAGTCGACATTAAAAGCAGCATACCTGTTAAATTCCAATGTTAATGTGGAAAAAATACATATTTTGTACATGATCCTTAGAAAATGATTTCAGTCAGGCAGCACTAACAGTTGTAGAAACTTGAGGATTCTCTAACTTTGCAATATGCTTTAAATGGTATGCTTTCCCTCTTATGGTTTTTGCACTTGGAAAATATTCACCCTTACTCCCCAACCCTAGTACAGATTGTGGTGGTGTCCTACTTTTTAAATCTTATATTAGTAATAAAATGTAGAAGTTTCATTTTCATTTTTTCTCTTCCATTTAAATTTTTTCCCTGGGTCCATATGGTTCCTTGGGTATATTCCCGGAGTGTGAAACAATACCTAGAGATAATTTTGGATTTTCTCTGTTCATCATAATGATGATGATTTTATAAGATGGAAAGTGCCAAAAAAGATGTTACAGATAGGAAAATGCATATGTCTAAATCTAGGGAAAGAGAAGGAAACAGATATTGAATATGGCTTTCCAATCATTTATAAAATAGCCTAGGATTGAGTTCCAGATACAATCAGTTGTACAGGAAAAAAAAAAAAGAGAGAGAAGAAAGTTCTCGGGTATATTTTATGAGATTGCTGAAACTTTGATACTCAACCTGGATGGAAACATAAAGTTATAGACCTTTTGACTTTAAACTGTAAATGCTGAAATATGAAATCAAATGCCATCAAGCAATTTATAAGATAAGGAATTATGACTACGAATATTTTTTCAATAAATGCAAGGGGAGTTTAATAACAAAATATTAATATAATCAATATTTATTAATAGCTGTTATATTAATAGATATTGGTGTAATTTACCACATTAACAGATTAATGAAGGAAAGAAGCTTATGACCATTTCAAAATATATAGAAAAGCATACAACTCAGTATTTATTTTGAAAAACATGGTGAGCAAACTAATAATAAAATAGAACTTCCTTTACTGGATAAGGAATGTCCACCAAATCCTATAGCAAATGGCATATTTAAAAGTGAAAAGTTAGAAATACTCTACTTAAGGGATGAAACCAGATAGGATGTTCAATATCACTGCATCCTGAATATATTATTGATATTCCTAGCTGATTCAATAAAATAAGTGATGTGTAATCATTGAAAAGATTGTGTAAATTATTTGTACACAACATAATTACACATATGGAAAATTTATGCATATGGAAAATAAGAGTATTCAGCAAGGTTACTGGATACAAGTTCAATACACAGAAAACATCAAGTGGGCTGATGTACACAAACAATGACCAATTAAAATGTTTTTTTAAGTGGCAGTGACAACAAAAACACTAAATACTTTAAAAGATGTGCATGATTTTAACGTCATGTTAAACTTTTATTGAAAGACACAAATAAATGGAGAAATATACCATATCCATACACACAAATGGGAAGACTCAATATCATATAAACATCAATTTACCCCAAATTAATTTTTAAATTCAAATAATAAAATACAGAAAAAAAGAAATCAAAGAATAAAATACAATATTGAGGCTGGGCATGATGGTTCACGCCTGAAATCCCTGCACTTTGGGAGGCCGAGGCAGAAGGATTGCTTTGAGTTCAAGACTGGCCTGGGCAACACAGGGAGATCCAGGCTCTACAAAAAATAAAAACATTAGCCAGGCATGATGGTGTGTGCCTATACACCCAACTACTCGAGAAGCTGTGATGGGAGAATCACTTGAGCTTGGAAGGTTGAGGCTGCAGTGAGCCATGATCACCCCATTGCACTCTAGCTTGGTCAATAGAGTACGACCCTGCCTCAAAATGAATAAAATAAAATAAATAAAATATTGAAGGAGGAAAAGAAATTTAAAACTCAAAAAAACCCCATAATATTAAAGTTATAATAAAGATAAACAATAAAATCAATGGAAGGTAAATATAAAACATCCATATGATAAAATTATTTATATACACATTTAAAAATACAAAGGTAAGCTAAAAGCTGGAAGATGACATTGGTCATGCATACACAGTTGTCCCTTGGTATGTGGGAGGGATTGGTTCCAGGACCCTCCATTGGATATCAAAAGCCATGGATGCTCAAGTCCCTGATATAAAATGGTTTAATACTTGCATATAACTTAAGCACATACTTTTATATAATTTAAATTATCTCTAGATTGCTTACAATATCTAATACAATGTAAATTCTATATAAATAGTAGTCATACTGTATTTTAAAATTTGTATCATTATTGTCATATTGTTATTTTTAATTTTTTTCCAATATTTCTGTCCACAGTTGGTTGTGTCTGCACATGCAGAAGCTGTGAATACAGAGGGCCATGATCAAGAAATAGTATACAGTATATACACAGTACTCCCCCCTTATCTATAGGGTGTATGTTCCAAGATATAACCTTGCAAGGTATTCTATTTACAGCCTAGTGTACGCCCCCTGCCCAAATGAAATAACTTCCATAGACCAGGCGTGGTGCTCACGTCCGTAATCCCAGCACTTTGAGAGACTGAGGGAGGTGGGTCACAAGGTCAGGAGTTCGAGATCAGCCTGACCAACATGGTGAAACCCCGTCTGTACTAAAAATACAAAAATTAGCCGGGTGTGGTGGCGTGGGCCTGTAATCCCAGCTACTCAAGAGACTGAGGCAGGAGAATCACTTGAACCTGGGGGGTGGAGGTTGCAGTGAGCAGAGATTGTGCCCCACTGCACTCCACTCCAGCCTGGGTGACAGAGCAAGACTCCGTTAAAAAAAAAAAAAAAAAGAAAGGAAGGAAGAAAGAAATAACTTTCCTAAGGCAGAAAATATATTTTAAATAAAATGTTTGAATTTTAACTTAAACCCCCATGCAAATTAATAATCAAAAGTTAAACTTGGACACCCAATTAAACATGTGTAGATGGGCCACATAAGTTTATCTTTTCTTTTTTCTAAGACCCCACTAAAATGCTACTAAAGAAATTTAAAAGAGGAATAAATTCATGAGGGAGAGGATAGTGGGAGAAGAGATATCCGAGGAGAAGACACTCTATGAAAACGAAACTGGATACTTCTGTGATGACTATTGAGAGTAGAAGATGTTGCAACCATGTAGAGGGAGCTCATGATGAGAAAGAGGTGATTCACTTTACAAAACCCCTGTGTGTGCAGGACTCAGAGATACCAGAAAGCTACCGAGAATGCTCCAACAAAAGGAGAAAGGAAAGAAAACGGAAGATCTGGGATCATGGATAGAGGGTATACAACACAAAAAGGAGGTAAAAGGAAGTCCTAGGATGATCATGGGGGAGCAAAGTGAGAAAGCAATCTGTCTAGAATGGAGGGCAGAGCTGAAGGCTCTGGGATGGATGTGTTCAGGAAAAATAATAAAATTATAGATTATATGTTTGAGCATCTGGAAAAGAAGTAACAAAAATGATCAAATTCAAAAGCTAAACTGGACATCCAGATAAACACAAAACTGAAATCAAGTGGTAATTGTAGAGAAAAAAAAAAGGAAAAGTGTACAAGAAGAGAAACATAAACTTAATTTTAAAAGTTGTGGTATTCTCCATGTATTTAAGAAGAGGAAAGATAGCTTGAGAGAGCTAAATCTTCATCTACTGTAAGAGAAGATAACAGTGAGACACCAAAAAAGGCACTTAGACTCATATTACTTAGAAATAGAGATGTGAATGCCAAGAGATAAGGCTTAAAGGGTTGAAATAAAAAAGGTTTTGGTAGGAGGCTACTCTATTTCATTAAAAGCCATTTGTAATCTTTGATTTCATAAAATCAAGTTAATAAATTTTATTTTATTTTACTTTATTTTATTTGTGAGACAGGGTCTCACTGTAACCCCAGGCAGTGGTGTGATCATAGCTCACTGCAGCCTCAAACTCCTGGCCTCAAGAGGTCCTCCAGCCTCTGCCTCCCAAGTAAGCTGGACTATAGGTACATGCCACCACACTTGGCTATATTTTTAATTTTTTTTTTTTTTGTAGAGGTGGGGGTCTTGCTATGTTGTCTAGGCTGGTCTTGAACCACTGGTCTAAGGGATCCTCCTGCTTTGGCCTCCCACAGTGCTGAGATTACAAGTGTGATCCACCTCACCTGGCCTGTGAATGTATTCTTTTGAGAAAAATAAACACGTTGAATAAATGCACATAAAAGTAACATTGAAAAGAAGCAGTATTCCTTACAATACCTTAGGAAGCTTTAAAAAGATCTAGGCAAATAATGGTTACTGTAAAATTTAGATCATTTTAACAGCAATGATTCGTGTTTCAAAATATTTTAGTACTACCAAAAATAGGGACTGGCTTATAGCAGTTTGTAGCCTTAGAACAGCAAACACTTTTACAATTAATTACTTCCCTTACCCTGGAAAATCTAAACAAATGCTTCATTATATATTTTTAATAAATCGTTTGTGTTTATGGGGGTTGTGGTTGGAGATGGAGAGCTTTGGGGAGTTAAATTCATTTTGTAATATTGTCTCAGTTTGGATTCTTGCATTCTGAAATTTTATCCTGGTTTGAAAGACAAACTCTTATCTTTATAACAGGTGAATAACAATAAGGCAATGTAGAAGAAAGCAAGTCCCATCAAAGGGAGCTCCAGTCTCTATAGACTGATAAAAAGGAGCCTCAGAACTTAAACCTCTGGATCAGGAGAATCAAAAAACATCATGCCTCTCTATGATACCCGCCCAAACTCTTTCAGCTAAACAGAAGCACTTTCAAATATACAATTCCGGCAGAGTCTGCATTTTTGTTGTAAGAGCCTCATGTTTTTAGTCAGACACATCCGGGAGTTGAGTGCTTTGGATGACACAAAACAAAGGCTCCATGTTGCCTGTCACACCACAAGCTATTAATGACAAGCAGATCTGACCTCTTCCCCCAGCTCCTGCATCCACTGAAGGCTCTGTCACTTCCTCACTCTCAGCTCACTTGTATTCTGATTCTGTTCTATAGACAAAACCTTGGTTTACATTAATATATAAAGCTGCTCAGGAGAATCCTTCTTAGGAATCACTCTGAACATTAAAACTGATTCATTTAAAAACGCACACCCACACAAATGGGAAAAGCAGTCTTCGCTTGCGGATTGGAAGAATCAATATCATTAAAAGAACTATACTACCCAAAGCAATCTACAGATTCAACACTATTCCTATCCAACATCATTTTTTAAATTTAGAAAAAAACTATTATGAAATTCGTATGGAATGAGAAAAGCCCCATTAGCTAAAACAACCCTGAATAAAAAGAACAAAGCCAGAGGCATCACATTATCTGACTTCAAACTATATTATGAGGCTACAGTAACCAAAGAAGCATCATACTAGTACACAAACAGACACATAGACCAATGGAACAGAATAGAGAATCCAGAAATAAAGCCACACACCTACAACCATCTGGTCTTTGACAAAGTCGACAAAAATAAGCAATGGGGAGAGGATTCCCTAGCCAATAAGTGGTGCTGAGATAACTGGCTAACCATATGCAGAAGAATGAAACTAGACCCCTACCTTTTTCCATATACAAAAACTAACTTGAGATGGATTAGAGATTTAAATGTAAGACCTCAAACTATAAAAATCCTAGAGAAAACCTAGGAAATACCCTTCCCGACATTGGCCTTGGCGAGGAATTTATGGCTAAGGCCTCAAAAGCAATCACAACAAAAACAAAGACTGACAAGTGGGACCTAATTAAACTAAAAAGCTTCAGCACAGCAAAAGAAACTATCAACAGAATAAACAGACAACCTACAGAATGGGAGAAGATATTTACAAACTCTGTATATGACAAAGTTCCAATATCCAGAATCTGTAAGGAACTTAATTTGACAAGCAAAAACCAAATAACTCCATTAAAAGGTGGGCAAAGGATATGAACAGACATTTCCCAAAAGAAGAAGACAAACAAATAGCCAATGAACATATGAAGAAATGCTCAACATTACTAATTATCAGAGAAATGCAAATCAAAACCACAATGAGATACCATCTCACACTAGTAGAAATAGCGATAATTAAAAAGTAAAAACAAACAACAAACAAAAAACAGATGCTTCCAGCCTGGGCAACGTAACTGGGACCCCATCTCTACAAAATAAAAAAAAAATTAGCCACGCGTGGTGGTGCACACCTGTAGTCCCAGTTACTTAGGAGGCTGAGGTAGGAGGATTGCTTGAGCCTAGAAGGTCAAAGTTGCAGTGAGCCATGATTGCACCACTGCACTCCAGCCTGGATGAGAGAGCAAGACCCTGTCTTGAAAAATAAAAAAAAAAAACAAATGTTAGTGGGGCTGTGGAGAAAAGGGAACACTTATACACTATTGGTGGGAATGTGAATTAGTGCAGCCACTGTGGAAAGCAGTTTGGAGATATTTCAAATAAATTAAAACAGAACTACCATTCAACCAAGGAGTCCCGTTACTGGGTACACACCCAGAGGAAAATAAATCACTCTACAAAAAAGTCACATGCACTTGTATGTTCACTGCAGCAGTACTCACAATAGCCAAGACGTAAAATCAACCTAGGTGCCCATCAACAGTGGATTGCATAAAGAAAATATGGTACATATACACCATGAAATCCTATGCAGCCATAAAAAAGAATGAAATCATGTCCTTTGCAGCTACATGGATGCAGCTTGGAGGCCATTATCCTAAGCAAATTAACACAGGAACAGAAAAGCAAATGCCATATGTTCTCACATATAAGTAGGAGCTAAACATTGGGTACATGTGGATATAAAGATGGGAACAACAGACACTGGAACTGGGAATACAGACTACTAAAGAATGGAAAGAAGGAGGGGGCAAAGGTTGAAAAAATACCTATTGGGTTCTCTGCTCACTACCATAGTAATGACGGGATCATTTGTACAGGTGACTGGATCACTTGTACTCTAAACCTCAGTGTCATCCAATAAACCCATGTAACAAACCTGCACCTGTATCCCCTGAATATAAAATACAAGTTGAAATTATTTTAAAAGTATATATTCTAATTAGTTCCTGTACATCCTGTAAGAAAAGCTTGATGCAAATCATTTCTAATTAAAAAAGACAATGGATCAAATATTCATTAAACCAAAATAAACTCTTCAAAAATAAACTTATTAAAAAGCTGATTTCTAGTTAAAATTTACATAAAACTTTATGGTAATTTTTTGCTGAAATATAAATTTTATTTATTATTTATTATTTATTTATTTATTTTGAGATGGAGTCTCGCTCTGTCGCCCAGGCTGGAGTGCAGTGGCGCAATCTCGGCTCACTGCAAGCTCTGCCTCCTGGGTTCACGCCATTCTCCTGCCTCAGCCTCCCGAGTAGCTGGGAATACAGGCACCAGCCACCATGCCCGGCTAATTTTTTGTATCCGCGCCCAGCTAATTTTTTGTATTTTTAGTAGAGACGGGGTTTCACTGTGGTCTCGATCTCCTGACCTCGTGATCTGCCCGCCTCAGCCTCCCAAAGTGCTGGGATTACAGGCGTCAGCCACTGTGCCCGGCCTGAAATATAAATTTTTAAAATATGAATCATATAAAAAGCTAGCCCAGCTTGGCACCATAAACATCACAAATACTTCATTTTTGCCATTTGGGACACCAGTCTCTTTTAATTCTTATTCTGTCACCTACTGGGCGTTCTCTAATTCCTCTGTTAATGCTTTAAAATTGGTGTTAACTGTGTTTACCTCTGTGGGTTTGGATTAAAAGGGCAGAGTATAGGTGGGAGGGGGCAGGATTTCACTTTTTTAACATGATGAAAACTTGTGAGAATTATGGGTGTCGCTTTGGTTCTTTGTTGTGCTTTTTCACAAAACAGAATTAAAATATCATGTGAATTTAAACTAAAAATAAATGTAACTTCAGATGTGATGTCCAGATAATTCTTTGTCACTAGGGTTCTACTTGGATTGTGCTTCTCTTCACTTTATATGCAGTCCCTGTACAGTTTTCCACATCACCCTCTCCGAAATCCAGACTTGCATTTCCAAAAGATTGGGTGACTTCTACTCCTCTTCCCACAAGGATCCCACAAAATGAGGATATATTTAAAATATACTATATATTTTTTCCAGATCATCTTCCCTTCCTATCCTGGTAAATAACATAAAAGAAGGTAGACCTCTGTATGTCTCCCTAGCAGCGTATTCATAATTCTATTAAATAGTCCACTGAGGTTATCTCTTATGTGATCTTTGCCCCACTCCACATTCTAATAAGCTGTAAGAGGTCTTCAGAAAAGGAGTGTGATATATTGGTCTTAATAGCCCCAGTACCTAGAAGAGTGACTTACCCAGTAGACATTTAATAAGTGTTAGTTTGCTGGCAGACTCTTCTATTTTATTCCTTTGGCAGTGAGTTCTGGGCCATCTACCCATATAGTTCTCCAAGCTGGAAACTTTGGTATCACCCTAGGTAACTCCTGTACCCTTAGTGCCTTCATTCAATCAGTCACTAAGTTCTCCTGATTTTACCAGCTTAAAATTACTTGAGCTTCTCCTCCTCTTCATTACCAGTCTTATCCTTATATCATTTCCACTGGAAAATGGAATCCTTTTGCCTGGATGCTTGGTTTGCTATAGATAGCCTCCTTCCAGGTCTTTATATTCCCATCTGTCCTTGCCTCCACTGGAAGAGAAGTCCAATTAAAATTGAGACTCGATCTAGTTACTCACCTGTTTAAGAACTTTCAATGCCCTATCAACTAAAGAACAAATCCAAGTTTCTCACCACCACATGTAAAGCTTTCCTTCATCTTCATCTCTGCCAAACTCTCTAGGCTCATTTCCTTTTATACACTGGCACAGCTTTCAGCTTAGAATCACCAAAACCCTAGTTACTTTCTAAATACAGAAGCTGTATAGCTTGTGGTGATAGGGAAGTCAGGATCAGTGGGTGCTATGGTTTAAATGTTTGCATCCCCTCTAAAATTAAGGTTGAAACTTAATCCCCAGTGAAACAATACTAAGAGGTGGGGCCTCAAAGGTTTATAAATCATGCTGCTATAAAGACACATGCACACGTATGTTTACTGCAACACTATTCACAATAGCAAAGACTTGGAACCAACCCAAATGTCCATCAATGATAGACTGGATTAAGAAAATGAGGCACATATACACCATGAAATACTATGCAGCCATAAAAAAGGATGAGTTCATGTCCTTTGTAGGGACATGGATGAAGCTGGAAACCATCATTCTGAGAAAACTATCGCAAGGACAGAAAATCAAACACCGCATGTTCTCACTCATAGGTGGGAATTGAACAATGAGAATACTTGGACACAGGGTGGTGAACACCACACACCAGGGCCTGTTGTGGGGTGGGGGGAGGGGGGAGGGATAGCATTAGGAGATATACCTAATGTAAATGACGAGTTAATGGGTGCAGCACACCAACATGGCACATGTATACATATGTAACAAACCTGCACGTTGTGCACATGTACCCTAGAACTTAAATTATAATAATAATAATTAAAAAAAGAGGTGGGGCCTTTAGGAGGTAATTAGGCCATTAGGGCAGAGCCCTTATAGATGAGATTAGCACCCTTATAAAAGTGCTTGAGGAAGTGAGTTCAGCGTCTTTTTGTTCTTCCATCCCTTCCTCCTCGTGAAGATGCAGGATTTGTCCCCTCCAGAGGAAGCAGAGTTCAAGGTGTCATCTTGGGAGCAGAAAGAGCAGCCCTCTCCAGACACTTTCAAATGCTAGTGCCTTGATCTTGGACTTCCCAGCCTCCAGAACTGTGACAAACAAATTTCTGTTCTTTATAAATTACCCAGTCTGTGGTATTTTGTTACTGTAGCATAGAAAGACTGAGTAAGAACAGAACCAATTTCAGCAGTTTTTCAAAAGAGATAATATGGAGATATGACACTTGGTAAAACTATGATAAAATGCATTTGAGAAGCAATGTAAAAAAATGGTTTTGGAGAAAATTATCAAAGGAGGGCCTTTATTTTTATATGGTAGCTCCCCCAGCGAATGGCAAAGTATCCCTCTTCTCCAAGTTCTTCCTAATGTTAGAACTTCAAACTTCATCTGCTGTTATATGTATCTCATCTCTGCATCACACACATTTCTGCCAACAGTATCTTCCAACCTGTCCCTACCAACTTCCCGTCCCCCATGTCCCTTTTTGACTCAACTTATGCTTGTTTATTTTTTAAAACAAAAAGCCATGTATTTTCTTATCCTGAAATATTACCTGCCTGCACAGGTTAGGCTAAGGACCCTTCCTCTGTTTCCATAGCACTTACTCATAATTCTATTACTTATTATATTGAGACTGTCTTTCATAAGTTTGTTCCACAAACTATAAGGATCTGAGGTCAAGGACTGTGCTTTCTTCATCTTATAGTCCCAGTACCTGGAAGAGTGACTGGCATCAGTTAGACATTTAATAAAATGTTATTGGTTCAAAGAACAGGTTCATCCATTTGTGGATGGATTCCATTTATAAAATAACTAATGGTGGGTGAAATAAGTACTTAATATTGAGGAGCCTAGGCTGTTCCTCTAGCTCCACTAACACAGGGACTGGACTAATCCTCCCTGAGCATATATTATCTTGCAAATATCTTTCCTATTTTTATGTAGACTCAGATAAAGCAATAGTTCTATGCATTCTTTCATGTAGGCAATCTTCCTGGTAAAACATACCACTAGCTCTAACAGTGAGTGTTGCAGAGCCTGGAGTCAATTGGTATTTTAGCAAATTAGTTAGCAAATTTTACCAGCATGAAAGTAGCCTTAGGCAAATTTTCTTTGACAGTGTTTGTATGAAATTTTTATTTGTCTCAAGACAATGTTTTATTGTCTCATTACTTCAAAATTTTGGTCAGTTAATCCCCAAGTTGAATGGGCTAAAACCAGAAGGCACATAGATTCATTCATGCATCCAGTTGATGATTCAGCAATTCTTTGCTGAATTCTAATTCTTTGTTAGACACTTTGCTGAGTAATGGGTATATAGTGTGAACAAAGCAAATGTAATCTCTCTTCTCACAGTGCTTACAATATAGTGAGAGACAGAAAATATACATAGAAGAAAACACACAGAAGATAACTAAAGATAATTTAACAAATACATTATTATTTTATTTCTATGTGTAGATCCCTTCTCACTTCCTATGGTGAGACCAATAGGAAATTTAACCAACCAGAATATTCATGTTCTGAACCTACTCCTATTTACCGCACTCTCAGATAATCATCTCATCTTTGAAAAAATATAGGTTATCAGGCATGAATACTCAAATTCCCTTCACTGATCTTTAGAATGTGTTCACAATTTACTCCTTATATTCTTATCCTATTGTTTCAAAAGGACAAAGTATCTTAGCTCCTCTCCAAGATCACCCTAACTGTATCCTAAAGTCTAGCCTTTCATCATCTCATGGAGGACTTTGGGTTCTAAGTTTTGACTTAGTCTATGTCACATGTTCAATATATCCCATGATAAAGATGGTATTTTTTTAGAGCTCTTACTCTCTCAAGCCACTGTTTTGCCATGTTACTTTCATTCATAGATGTTCTTCATAAAAGAATAAGAGAAGGGCAGAGGAGGGCAAAATAGGAAGAAGGATATTCCAAATTCACTTTCCTATCACTCACTTACATCTTAATTTTCTCTAACCTGGCTTCCACCCATACCATTTGATTGAAATTCCCATCACTGAAGTGGACATATGTAGTTTGCACCCTGCAATGGCTACTCCGCCTTCTGTTGGCATCACTGTCCTTTGGGATACCCTTTTCCCCATTTTTATTTCAAGTGCTTTAGTTGGGTTCATCCTATCCCTAGATCCAGGTGTGGGCATGTAACCTAAAGGCAAACAACTCAATATAGGCCATGATGATAGGGTCTGTAATCATCATACATCTTTGTTATAGCCAATCAGAACTAATTCTGTGAGTGAAGTTGGAGGTACCTTAAAAGAGAAAATTCTTTCTCTTTCTATGGACTTGAACTTGAATTGATGTAGGTTGAGATTGCTGCTACCATCTTTCAGGGAGAAAAGCTTTCAGAAACTACAGCCAAACAGGAAGCACAGACAGATGGTAAAAGAGAGACGATGTCTGATTTCATTAATTGAGCTCTTAAATCCAAGCATACCTAATAATAGGACTAACCTTGAACTTACAGTTAAGGGAAGTAAATTCTCTTTTGCTTCAACCAGTTAAGGTTCTGTGCTTCTTTACATTTGCAACATAAAGGATGATAATTTATACATCATCAAAAAATTCAGTGGCTCCTCATCAAAAAGTTAGAAGGATCTCAATTTAACAACCAAACATTACAAGTAAAAGAACTAAAGAACCAAGAGAAAACCCAAAAGCTAGCAGAAGACAAGAAATAACCAAAATCAGAGCTGAAGGATTTGAAACACAAAAAACATTCAAAAGATCAATGAATCCAGGCGCTGTTTTTTTTTAAAATTCAAAAATAGATAGCCAGCTAGACTAATAAAGATGAAAAGCAAGAAGATCCAAATAAATATAATTAAAAACGACAAGGGGAATATTACCACTGACCCCACAGAAATACAAATAAAAATTAGAGAATATTATGAACACCTCCATGCACATAAACTAGAAACTCTAGAAGAAATGGATAAATTCCTGGATACATACACCCTCCCAAGACTGAACCAAGAAGAAACTGAATCCCTGAAGAGACCAATAATGAGCTCTGAAATGGAATCAATAATAAATAGCCTACCAACCAAAATAAGCCCAGGACGAGAACGATTCACGGCTGAATTCCACCAGATGTACAAAGAAGAGCTGGTACATTCCTGCTGAAGCTGTTCCAAAAAATTGAGGAGGAGGGGCTCCTCCCTAACTCATTCTAAGAGGCCAACATCATCCTGATACCAAAATCTGGCAGAGAAACAACATCAACAAAAAAAAAACTTCAGGCCAATATCTTTGGTGAACATCAATGCAAAAATACTCAACAAAATAATGACAAACCAAATCCAGTAGCACATCAAAATGCTTATCCACCACAATCAAGTAGGCTTTATCCCTGGGATGCAAGGTTGGTTCAATATATGCAAATCAGTAAATGTGATTCATTGCATAAAAAGAACTAAAGACAAAAACGATATGATTATCTCAATAAATGCCAAAAAGGCTTTTGATAAAATTCAACACCGCTTCACGTTAAAAACTCTGAATAAACTAGGAATTGAAGGCACATACCTCAAAATAATAAAAGCCATCTGTGACTAAACCACAGCCAACATCATACTAAATGGGCAAAGGCTGAAAGCATTCCACTTGAAAACCAGCATAAGACAAGGATGCCCTGGCTCACCACTCATATTCAACATGGTACTGGAAGTCCTGGCCAGAGCAATCAGGCAAGAGAAAGAAATAAAGGGCATGCAAATAAGTAGAGAGGAAGTCAAACTATCCCTATTTGCAAATGACATGATCCTATATCTAGAAAACCCCATAGTCTCAGCCAAAAAAGATAAGCTGATAAACAACTTCAGCAAAGCTTCAGGATACAAAATCAATGTATAAAAATCACTAGCACTCCTATAAACCAACAACAGTCAAGCAGAGTGCCAAATCAGGAAGGCAATCCATTCACAATTGCCACACACAAAAAGTACCTAGGAATACAGCTAAGCAGGGAGGTGAAAGATCTCTACAATGAGAGCAACAAAATACTGATCCCCCACAAAAAAAAAAAAAAAAAAAAATCAGAGATGACACAAACAAATGGAAAAAAAAAATTCCACACTTATGGATAGGAAGAATCAATATTGTTAAAATGGCCACACTGCCCAAAGCAATTTACAGATTCAATGTCATTCCTATTGAACTACCAATGACATTCTTCACAGAACTAGAAACAACTATTTTAAAATTCACATGGGACCAAAAAAAAGCCTGAATAGCCAAGGCAATCCTAGGCAAAAAGAACAAAACCAGAGGCATCACGCTACCCAACTTCAAACTACACTAAAGGGCTACAGTAAGCAAAACAGCATGGTTCTGATACAAAAACAAACACATAGATCAATGGAACAGAATAAAAAGCCTAGAATTAGGGCTGCACAGCTACAACTATCTGATCTTTGACAAATCTGACAAAAACAAGCAATGGTGAAAGCACTCCTTATTCAATAAATGATCCTGGGATAACTAGCTAGCCAAACGCAGAAGATTGAAACTGGACCCCTTCCTTACACCATACACAAAAATTAACTCAAGATGGATTAAAGACTTAAATGTAAAACTCAAAACTATAAAATGCCTGGAAGACAACCTAGGCAATACCATTGTGGACATAGGAACGGGCAAATATTTCATGACGAAAATGCCAAAGGCAATTGCAACAAAAGCAAAAATTGACAAATAGGATCTACTCGACCTGAAGAGCATCTGCACAGCAAAAGAAACAATCAACAAAGTGAACAGACAACCTACAGAATAGGAGTAAATTTCTGCAAACTATGCATCTGACAAAGGTCTAATATATAGCATCTTATAAGGAACTTAAATTTACAAGAAAAAAATAAACCATTAAAAAGTAGGCAAAGGACATGAACACTCTTCAAAAGACGTAATTGTGACCAACATTCATATGAAAAAAAGCTCAGCATCAATGATCATTAAAGAAATGTGAATCAAAACCACAATGACATATCATCTCACACTAGTCACAATGGCTATTATTTAAAAAGTAAAAAAATGACAGCTGCTGGCAAGATTGCAGAGAAAAAGTAACACTTATACACCATTGGTGGGAGTGTAAATAAGTTCAACCATTGTGGAAGACAGTGTGGTGATTCCTCAAAGATCTGAAAAACAGAGCTACCATTTGACCCAGCAATCCCATTACTGAGTATATACCAAAGGAATATAGATGGTTTTATCATAAAAACATGTAAATGGTCACAATAGCAAAGACATGGAATCAACCTAAATGTCCATTAATGGCAGACTGGATAAAGAAAATGTGGTACATGTACACCATGGAATACTATGCAGCCATAAAAAGATCATGTCCTCTGCAGGAACGTGGATTGAGCTGGAGAGGGCATTATCCTTAGCAAACTAATGCAGGAAAAGAAAAGTAAAGAACACATATTCTCATTTATAAGCGGGAGCTAAAAGATCACAACACATGGACACAGAGAGGGGAACAACACACACTGGGACCTATCAGAGGGTGGAAGTTGGGAGAAAGAAGAAGATCAGGAAAGATAACTAATGGGTACTAGGCTTCATACTTAGGTGACGAAATAATCGGTACAACAAACTCCCATGATACAAGTTTACCTATATAACAAACCTGCACATGTACCCCTGAACTTAAAAATTCAGTGGCTAATATTCGTCAGAATGAATCATTTCTTTCCTTAAATATGTAGCCTTCCTCTGTCTTTACCCATTTTTAAAAATCCTTTTCTTAACCCCCTCTAGTTCTTCTTTATGTGTAGCATAAAACTGCAGAATTCAGGGTTTGAATGTATAAGGGTTAAGGAAACTAATGTGCATTGAGATTAAAATTTAAAGTATGGACTCACTTTTTGGAATTTTGTTTAGAATACCACACGATTAAAATGCTGTAAGAAAGATGTCATATGAGGGGAAAATAGTTGTAAATTTGGACTGCATGTTATAATTTCCATTCTGAATGTAAAGAATTGAATATTAATAAGGCATTAAATGAAGGGTTTTTTTTTAACAGTGATAATGCCTCTGATTCTAGTTAGAAAAAAATTGGGAGAACTGTTATTGTATTTTTATACTAGCACACTTTCTGAAAAGCAATTAAATTTCCTTGCCACCTCAGTTTTTAGAAAGCAAAAGGTTAGAAAATACCATAAATCTGAACATAATTTCCAAAAAACCTGAAAGTCATTGGACTGTGAGATATCTGAAATCGTATCAAAAAGTAGAATTTATGGCCCTATAAGTTATGGAAAAGGAAATTGAATTGTATTTTATTTTTAAAACATAACCACTAAAATGATGTTTCCATAGTAACAAGGTCAATACCAGTAGCCATTATAGACCTTCCCCTTTTCTGATAGTGGGTTTAAAGATCTTTTTCAAACACCACTTTAAAAGACCTATGAAAAAACCACAGGTTTTCTGATCATTCATCTGAACCGAAAATGAAGAAAACCACACATGGAGTATTGAATTTCTCATGTTTTATGGATTACAAGCATTCATCGCTGTCATATTTTCAGAAAGAAGCCTGCCTGACTAGCTACCATGCCAACTCCTGAACTTGGGATTTGATTAGCCTGATTGTAAATCAGGATGAACAGAAGTTGTTTGCAGTAGTATTCAAACAGACATAAAAGGTGGCACAGTATTAAAAAACATACTTCTTTAACATCTAAATATTGAAAGAGTTAAGTAAATAATCCTTGCTATTACATTTCAAAGGCTCAGATAAAATATTGTATCACTACTAGAGGAAGGTCAGACAGATGTAGGCCACATTTTGTTGACAACAGAACTAAATAGCTATTTGGCCATAAAAATCATTTCATTGAGCCCCACCAGGAAGTGGACTGCCCTTCCTTTTTTCTCTATATCAAGGCACACTGCTTATATGATAGTCATTTGTATAGCTTTGTCTTCTTCACTAAACTGCGAGCCCCTTAAAAGCAGAGATATTTTATTTCTCTATGTATTCATGACAGTATTTCACATGACACTTTGTACATAAAAAATACTGAAAGAAACAAGCGGAGAATGCATCATGAAAAATGATCACAAAACAGTAACTAAAATAACACAAAATCTCTGGTTTAATTTTAGAAACAATGTGTCAGTTAAAAATATGTACTCATTATTTTAATCTCTTTAAACCAAGAGGCTTTAGAATCTTTGTTCATAGAATCTCCAATGGCGAAATAATGAATCCAATTGCCTGGCCCCTAGATCAATTCCTTCAGAATCTCTACAGGTGGGGCTCTGGCATCAGTATTTTCTAAAGTTACTCAGATGATTCTCATGTGAAACAAGTGTTGAGAATCATTGCTTTACACTGTTCTCCCGTGGTGCAACTGAGGATTAATTTACTTCCTACTTTAGCTATGTTTCCCCCTCAATATTGCCTCATAATACTATATTTAGCAAACCTATAAGAACTTTTATTACAACCCAGTGATTTTTTTCCCTGTAAACACTTTTTATAATAAAAATTATCAATTAAAACAGTTTGGTCTTACACAATTAAAATTTTTAGCCCAAATTATCATTTATGGTATTCTGTTTAATATACTTATTAGCTTTCTGTTACTGTGAATTCAGCTTCAAAAACCAGAGCTGAATACAGTACCAACATAACAGACACTAAATAAATATCAGTAGAATCAGTATAAATATCAGTAGAATTAAGTATACGTTTTTGTGCTTTTATACATACTTTTCCCTGAGTCTGTAATACATACAGACTCATACCCTCTATGTATCTGGAAAAATTGCAATTCTTCTTTTAAAACACACAAAGCATATTTTTCTTCCTCCAGGAAACCTTCCCTGATGGGGATAGATCATTAAGCACCCGTTACTTTGGCACTGTCTCGGCTTCCCTTTCATGTTTCTGCTTTGCACTTATCACCTTGTACTGTCATTGATTTTTCTTCTTTTTTTTTTTTGGTTTTAAAGTAAGCCCTTTGTCCATTGTTGATTGTGAATAATTGGCAGCAGGTGCTAATTCAGGCCTCTCTCTGCTTTTTCTCTCAGGGCACAACACAATCACTGGAAACAATAGAAACTCATTAAGTGTTTACTAAAGTGAATGAATAAATGGCCATATTGAAGTGAAACAGGTGCATTTCAAAACCACTAATGTAGGCCAGGCATGGTGGTTTACACCTGTTAATCCCAGCACTTTGGGGTCTGAGGCAGGAGGATTGTTTGAGGTCAGGAGTTTGAGGCTGGCCTGGGCAACATAGTGAGACTCCATCTCTACAAAAAAAAAAAAAAAAGAAAGAAAGAAAAAATTAGCCGGATGTGGCACATGCCTGCAGTCCCAGCTACACAGGAGGATGAGGCAGGAGGACTGCTTGAGCCCAGGAGTTCAACCTGCAGTGAGCTATGATTGCACCATTGCACTCCAGTCTGGGTGACAGAATGAGACCCTGTCTCTTAAAAAAAAAAGTAAAAACAAAACAAAAAAACACTAATGCTATGAATTGAATTGCGTCCCTCCGAATTTATATGTTGAAGCCTTAACTCTCACTGTGCTGGCATTTGGAGTTGAGGCCTTTGGGAGACTTTGAGAGATAATTAGGGTTAGATAAACGCATGAGGGAAGGGTGGAGCCCTCACTCTGGGACTGGAGCCCTTATAAGAAGAGACTTCTGAGATCTTGCTGTCTCTCTCTGCCATGTGAGGACACAGCAGGAAGACTGCCCTCAACAAGGCAGGAGGATGGCCCTCACCAGAACCCTATCATGCTGGCATCCAGATCTCTGACTTCCAGCCTCCAGAACTATGAGAAAATACCTTTCTGTCATTTAACAATACTCGGTTTATGTTTTTTTGTTATGACATTCTGAGATGACCAATACAACTGTGAATCAGGATTAAATTATTTGAAGAAAAAAATAATATAAATATTACAGATATTTATGTTTTCTCTCCTTTATTTCAATTCTTTAAAAATAGGCGTTTGCTTTTTCAAAGAAAAGGCTATATCAAATGCACTTAGACTGGATATTTAACAGATATTTCATGATTTTCCCCCAATTAGCTTGAGGCCTTTTTTTTGGTATTTTCCTGATAAACTAAGAAGTCTATCAGTGGAAAATGAATTAATTTTGCAAAGCAACAATTAATCAAGGAGAAAACATAAATTACCTTGGCCACTGCATTAACAATTAGGGCTATTCATTAGGTTTCCTTTTACATTTTTTCTTACAGATGCCATTCATTAAAAACCCAGTATTCCTTGCATTGTGCTAAATATTACATCTTAAATTAATTTTTCTTTGCCTCTTTAGAGAAAACATTTAAGGTATCCTGGAAACTCTTTAATGCATTATTTATTTATTCAACTAATATTTATTGTGAATTGTGGAAATCCAATTCAGTGTTTAAAGCCAATCTAACCTGGTTTCATTCTAGCATTTTCTTGGGACTGTGACTATAAACTGCCCAGTCTGTATCTGGGGAATCTACTATATAGGCAAAGCATACAAACAGTGTAGTTTAGATTGACAATACACACACTTTAAAATTTCATGAATGAGTAACATTTTTAAAATTGGGGGAACTAATACCAATTTGTCAACATTTTACCTCACCAAATAATAACATTAAAAAGAAACAAACACCACTATCAGTTTTTATCCTTAGTTCACAAATGATGTAGTATTTTAACACAAAATAATTAAGGAAAATAATCAGAAGAGAATAAAGGATGGTTTTCAAAGTGTTCACATTTTGTTTAATGGATAAAAACATCCACTATATCTCTTATTCTTTTTATTTCAGTCTAAACTACTGAAACTTCGTTCCTCTTTTCAACTATTCAAAATTCATTTCTTATTCTAATTCTAATTCTTTCTTACTCTAATTCTTTGGGACATTAAAATAATAAGTAAACCTGGTTTAATTCTATCAGCCTTGTAGGGTCCAAATGAAAAATGCATGTTTACTGACCTGTAATTATTTTACCTCATTTTGTCAAATACCAAAGATAAATGATGTTTCTGATACCATGGTTACTTTATATTTCTGCATTTATGCCATCTAAATATCTATGTGGAGGCTATAAATCAAAGACTGACAAATATAACAACATAACTTACATGTGTGGACCCAGTGAAATTGCCCTTGCCATTACAATTCCAAGAATCAGAGTTGTTAAACCTGTAGAGATGAGGGAGACCTGTAAAAGAAAATACAAGGATATTGCCGGTTTAGGACAGAAATTATTTTATTTAAAATGTTAAGTCTTTCTCATTTTTAATTGGGTAAACTTACATATAGATTTTTTTGCCTAATTCTTTAGTAGGTTATTCTTGCAGCTTGGTGTTGATAATCTCAGGCAGGTAACTTCTTATCAGATCAGTCTTGGTTCCCCGCACCCACCCCAAGTAGGTGAGCAAGTATTATACATGACTGTCATCACCATGCAACATGGCTTTAAAAATTTTTAGTGGCTCCTGCATGGAATACAAAACTGGTGATTTTAGCTTATAAAAGTAAAAGTGAAATTATGTTTCCTTTTTTCTTCAAGTCTTATTTTAGTGTTGACATGTGCTTTTTTACTATCTATAATTGCTGCTTCTACTTGTCTTACTCTCTTCCTTCCAACACCACACACATTCCTCCCCGTCCTTTTTTTTTTGAGGAGGGGTATCTCAGCTTTTTCCTCTCTGCTCTCCAGCTCTACTTTTCCTACCTGGTTTTGCCCTTTGGTCTGCGTTCCTAGGCCTGTTTTGCTTCTTCCTCTCTGTTCTGTCATTATATCAACTGGTTAAAATATAAACTGGTCTGTGTGTGTCTGTGCCCGGTGCACCCATTATGCTAGGTTTGTGTGCCTAGTCTTAATTTTTTTAAATGAAAAAGCACATTATGGATCCTTTCTCTGATAAGAAAAAATAAATATAAAACTGCTTGTATTTTATGTGAGTCTCATTAACCTTGTTTTCTAAGTTGTTAATTTTTAACTAGAAAGAAGTTTCTATTATGAATTGGCTTATCTTCTGAGGAAGAGAGAGATTAAACAACCTCTCTAAGGCACACAGCTGGAATGTGGCAGAGAGGGAACTCAAGTACAAGCAGCCTGACTCCAGATTAGGGCTCCTAACCACTCTGCTTTGCTCATGGAGTGATTTATTTAGATATCTCAATATGACACTTTTAAGGGGCATTTAGGAAAAAATGCTCAGGTATTAATAATATGACAGAATGTTAATAGCCTTCCTTTTATGAATGCCTCACTCTCTGCTCAGAAGATAACATTTATGTGTACACTGAATATGTGAAATGGAAAATAGTTCAATCATTTTATATAATTCACAGAAAAGCATGTTTTGATACACTCTTGTTTGTTTCCAGATGACTATTAGGGATGGTCAGAATACTTTGAAATATTATGTCTACCCTCAGCTCTACCTGGAAGGATGAACTTCATAAATAGATACACAACATTAAACATCACAGTGAAAAGTAAAATTCAGCCAAACGTTGGATTTTTCAAAATAGAATGTAAAAATATTATATAAACAACTCTTTTTAAAAATATCTTATCAGAATGTTTGGCATTACGTAGACGTAGTACCAATAATATTTTGGGTAAAATACAAATATTCCTTGAGAGTAAGTGCAAATGAGCATCTGTAGTGAACTGAATAATTATTTAATTGTTTTCATTAGAAGAGTTCAGTATTTCTCTTTAGTAATATGAATCATAAATATTGGCAAAATTCTCAAAAATTGACCAATCAACACATTGCAAATTAAATTCACTGGATGAAAAATAAGCACAATAGACATTGTAATTTACAAATAAATATATTTTAAGACATTAAAGTTATTCATTGTTACTTCTTAATTTTAAATTGTTTAAACCACCTACACAAAAGATGGAATACTTTTCCAATAAATTAGATTTGCTTTAAATATAGTTCTTTATATTTTCTAAATTTAAAATGTGCTGTCTGACATCAGTGTATCTACCTTAAAAAAGAAAAAGGAAGAATATATTTAGTTAATACTCATCAACTATTTAATCATCGGTTCTCACAAACTAATGATTCAAACACAGTTCACTCTAGCATCACCATTAAGTAAACCAGAAGAAACTAAAGATGAATACCGTAATTAAGAACTTTGCCAAGTAGACAGTAGATTATGCAGGCAACAAGGTACATTTCTATGCCCATTTAAAATGTAAAAATTACCTTTCCAAGCTTTGCTATATTTCGGTACAAGGATAAAGGCAGAGTAAAGGTAACTGTGGAAAGTCCAATAATGAAGTGGCGACCAATAAACACGTTTTCAGGATCAACTAAAACACAATAAATATTATTAAATGTTACAGGTATAAGTAACACATTGGTGACACACTAAATAGGCCAGCATTTAATTATAAAAATTACTTAAACATAAATACTACCTCAATGACAATAATTTTGAGTTAATACTCTCCATAAAAACATATAAACATAAAAATAAATCACAAAAATACAAACACAAAAAAATTTCAGGATGACTTATACTTGAAATGATGTTATAATATTTCACATTGAAATTATTTTACTAGCCTCCTTGACAGTTTTCATGCTTCTGCCTTCTTTTGTCTTCTTAGAGTACACTCTTAATCCAGAAACTACAGAATTCCTTTTCTAAGGTAAAAAACATTATGTCACTCCCTGCCCAAAACTCTTTAATGACAAAACCCTTCAGGTAGAAAGTAAGCTATAGGAGGATGATGCATTTTCTAAGGTTTTTTTTTTTTTTTTTCTATACGCAAGAGACTTGGACACTAATACTCTAACAAAATTTCAAAAAGATTTAGATAAAAATATTTAATATATTTCTCTACTTTTGTCAAGAAAAAACTGGTTTCCCTGAATGGCAGAAGCAACATATTGGATAGAGAAGAAGTCACAGGGAAGCTGCTGCAACTGGTAGACACTGCAGATTCTTGGCTATATGGTCAAATACAAATAGAAAATTTTATATATATATATATATATATATATATATCACATATATAATTATATGTGTTGTGTGTATAATCACACATAAACAGAAGTTTTAAACATGAAATGAAACATACAAGGATTTATATATTTTAAAAGCTCTGCTAATTAAAATAGTCATTTAAGGAGCTATATATCTATTTCAATGAAGACGCTATTGTTTAAATTTTTAGCTCATATTAAATTTCACTCAGAGATCATATCATTATATTGTTACGATGTCTTCAGTGGTACCAAGTCATTGTGCATCAATTTCTGCACAGTCTAAAGTCTATAAAGATCCAGTCTTAAATAAGTGAATGATTGTGGTAAGAAAATAAAAGCTATTATCCTAAACAATGACACTACTTTTCTTAGATGGCTAATAAACCTACAAGAAAGTTTCAAGAAAGAAATTTCAAAATGACATAAATTTTTACCACATATATGTATTATATATATGATTATTAGATTATTAGTATTTTCTATATATGTAGTGTATATATATGTATATGATGTATATATATATGTGTATGTGTGTGTATATATATTATATATGTGGAATGGAATATTTAATTTTTAATACTAATGGAATAGTTGAAATCAGCCATAACTAAATAGTCATTATAAAATTAAGAATTAAAATAACAAAACAGGAAAATCAATTCCAAAATCCATGCACTCACTATTTACATATTTGTGGTGAATATAATTTGAACCAAATTATTTGTGTATCTATTTCTATTTACCCTTTAAACGTTTTGCTTCACTGGGAAGTTGCTAAGGGCTAGATAAACGCTGACACAGAGTGCTATGATCAACAGGTAGGAGCCTAATAACTGAGGATCCCATTTGCATAAAGGATGTTTTTCACTAATGCTCTAATGATGAGATCTATTACCTATATGGATCTATCAAAAATGCACCCAAGTATGCATTTTAAATGTTTAAACAACAGTAACGAAAGGTGAAAATTGAAATTTTTGAAAATAAAATTTTTGAAAAAATTTAAAAGCATGTGAACATGCTATTTTTTATACCAACATTTCTTGTTACTTTGACTTATATCAAGAGCCAAGGTTTTGGCTACCAGAGAAAAGTATAAGCAATTGTCTACTTGTCAATTTAAGACATTAGTGATGTATTTCAGAATAAAAATAGAGCTTTGGTAAGAATTTTATAGTATCCACTTCTAAAAATACTCTGGCATAATATGGTGCCTCACAAGATATACAAACAGAATGAACATTATAAACTGTCACACCCCAAAATGGTGAAGATGCTGTAAGAATAAAGTTGTGTTCTTTGCCATATGAACTACATTTTTAAAAAGTCATTTTTGATTATTACAAAATTGATAACCAGGAAGAGGGCTTCAAAGGACCATTAGCCTTTTCTATAATATTTTATTTTTATGAAGAGCGTTATTCATACATTCTTTGTATAATTAAAAATTAATAAAAATTAACAATCAAAATGTTTCTATCAAGGAAAGGTAAATTAATTATGGTCACTCTAACTGTACAGTAGGTACTGTACAGAATACTGAACTTCCATTAAAGCATATATATATATTTACGTTTTGATATGAGAATATGTTCTTAAAATATTACTAAGAGAAAGAAGCATGTTATAGAACAAGTTGTATGATGTTATATTATTCTTACGAATATCTGAAATTACATGTATTCTTAAAACTCTGAAAGCATAAAAAGGAAAAAGGAAGGAAGGAAGAGGAAAAACAGGAGGGGGCTGAAAGGATGGTTTCCACCCGATTGTCTCAAGAAGAGATTATTAGTATTTTCTGTTTTCTCCACTGGGCTTGTCTGTGTTTTCTAATATTTTTCAAATAAATCGGCGCTACTTTTCGAATAGGAAAATACAGTAATAAAATATATTTTTAAATTAGTAATTCTCTTTTGAAAAACCTTGGAGGCCAGGTGAGATGGCTCATGTCTATAATCCCAACACTTTGGGAGGCTGAGGTGGGCAGATCGTTTGAGCTCAGGAGTTCGAGACAAGCCTGGACAACATAGCAAAACCCCATCTCTACAAAACCGGGCGTGGTGGTGTGCACCTGCAATCCGAGCTACTTGGGAGGCTGAGGTGGGAGGATCACCTGAGCCCGGGAGGTCAGGAATGCAGTGAGCCAATTATGCCACTGCACTCTAGCCTGGGTGACAGAGTGAGACTCTGTCTCAAAAAAAAAAAAAAACAAAAACAGAGAGAAAAGAGAGAAGGAAAGAAAAACCCTTAAGAAAAACCTTGAAAAATAACAAAGAAAACCCCCCACAAAAATCCCATGAATCTCATGATTAAAAGATAACCGCAGTTTATATGTAAATGTATTTCTTTCTTATTTTTTCTTACTTGTATATGCCAATAGAAAATTTACATAATTTAGATTATATTCTGTGTCTTATATTCTGACCACTTTCCTTAGCATTCTACCCACTCGTGTGGCCTCAGCTTATGCATTCATGCTTTGGAGTTTGGGGGCTGGCACAGAAGCTACAGACAGTTCGGGGTAACAATAATAATAGCTAATAGTACTGGGTAAGTCTACTGTGTGCTAGGAACTACCTGTCTCACCTCTTTTGCTTCACACAACTATTCTATGAAGCAGATGATATTCTGATTCATAATTTAGAGGTGAGGAAACTGGAACTCGGAGAGGACAACTAACCTTCTCAAGGTCACACAGCTGGTCATTCGTGAGTCTGTGATTTGATAGCTATGTCTCCGTGATCTCAAGTTCCACTAAACCCTGTGTGAGGACTAGGTATGCTTTCTAGCTCTAGGTTTTGTTTCATTTTGTTTTGTATGTCTCTAGAATGAGTGATTCAAGCACTAAGAGGAAAGGTGTTTTTGCATCCATCTCCTCAACTGTAATAGCAACCATAGAGAGTTTCACAATGAAATGGGGATTATGTAGCTTGGATGAGAAGCTCTTCAAAGCAAAAAGACACATGATCTCTGAATTATTATAAAAACCATGACATAGTGAAAAGTTGAACAGGGAGTGGAGTTGTAGCAATATGTTGAAAAGGTCTGCTAGAGAATGTTCACACTGGCTTTTTGTAATTACCCTAAACTGGAAACGACACAAATGTCCCTGAACTGGGTGATAGATACACTATTGTACATCCATAAAATGAAATGCTTCTCAGAAATAATTTGTTAAAAAGAGCAAACTACTGATATATTGAAAGACACAGCTGAATCTCAAATGCACCTTTCTAAACAAAAGAAGCCAGACTCAAAAAAGCTACATATGGTATGATGTCATTTACCTGGCATTCTGAAAAAAGCAAAACTGTAGGGAGAGAAATCTCATCAGGAGGTTGGAAGAGGGAGCTGGAGATTAGGATTTGACTACAAAGGGAAATGGGGAAAACTGGAGGGAGTGATGGAATTGTTTTGCATTATTTTTATTATTTTTAGAGACAGAATCTCTCTATGTGGCTCACACTCCTGGGCTCAAGCAATCCTTCTGCTTCAGTCTCTGGAGTAGCTGGGACTACAGGCACATGCTACTGTGCCTGGCTTGTCATTCTGTATTTTGATTGCAGCCATGCTTATATGACTATATGCCTTTGTCAAAACTCACAGAATATAGTTTCTTGGTTTTTTATTTTTTTTGAGACAGGGTCTCACTCTGTTGCCCAACCTGCAGGGCAGTGGCACGATCACAGCTCACTGCAGCCTCCACCTCCTGGGCTTAAGTGATCCTCCCACCTCAGCCTCCCAAGTAGCTGGGACCACAGGTGTAGGCACCATGTCCTGCTAATATCTGTACTTTTTGTAGAGATGAGGTTTCACTATGTTGCCCAGGCTAGTCTTGAACTCCTGAGCTCAAGCGATCCACCCTTCTCTGCCTCCCAAAGTGCTGGGATTATAGGCGTGAGCCACCATGCCTGGCCACAGAATACAGATTTTAAAGGGTTAATTTTACTCTATTAAATTATTCCTTAATACAAATAATGGGGAAAATAGTCTGCTTGCTTATTTAAGAAATCACATAGTTTAAATAGTACATGAAGAAATGTTTGCCCAGAGAGCTGGTGATATGAAGCATAAAAAATTTAAAATATAAAGTATTCTAAGTATTTAAATAGTAACAACATTTTTTCAAACAGCTAAATAAGAACTAAATTATGTATAAAAGTAGACCAAAACTTTAAGATCAGAATGGATCATGGATATTGTGAGATACCTGAAGTAATCCAATAATTTCACTTTCAAATTTTTTATTTATAATTATGAACCATGTTAACTATAAATAACTATATAAAATAAATATATTTAAATCCTCACAATTTTTATTTTGGCTTACCTCCTGGGATTCTTTGAAAAACTTTGCTCAAAGTATCTCCAGCTATTATATTGTAACTTATCATTGCTAAAAACATAATTAAAATAAGAGTCATCAATAAGCCATCTCATATTTCATCCTAAATATTTTGAAAGCAATCAGTTATTACTTCCCAAATATTGGCATAATCCTACTGCTTCAAATGTATATTATGATTACCAGTTTGGACAACTTTAAAGATAACTGGACAAGAGATCTATGGTAGAGTATCAATTTGTATTAAAAAAAGATTTTCTCTTTACAAGTTGATTCATCTCAGAATACCTTTAAGTAGCAAGTTTTGGTAGTTATTAAAAATGCAATTTATTTTGTTGTTAAAGTTCAGTTTCCAAACCCCTTTTCAGGAACACGTGTGCTGCATAAAGTGAGGAATAATAATAGAAAAATTTGAAGACACTAATATATCCCCTCCATTAAAAAAGTAAGACTTTTTTGGGAAATATATTCTTAGCCTTCTGTGGAGACATATGGAACTAGTGGTTTGAACAATACCTTCCATAGTACTGATTTTTAAAAATGAAGTCAATTTGGCCATTAGTGAACATTAACATTTCATTTTTTAAGAAGTGCTAGGTGACATTCTCACCATTATGGTATAAACTTTAAATAGCACATTGGCCTAGTACACGGCTTCCACAAATCCTTTGCTTTTTTTTTTTTTTTTAAAGTATTAAGCCTTATAAGAAATGTGTTATTTCTCTTGTTCACTCTTTATTCTAGGTCATTCAATTTTTTACCAAGTACAGAAAGCCCAAACATTAACCTAGTGAAAATAACCCTCATTTTATTTAAAAGAAATAGTCAGAAAATAAATCAAAAGGACCAGAAAATAAGGGAGAAAATGGTTAAAGAAGTAAACATTTCATTTGGGAAAGATTTCAACTGCTATAGTGATATTCTTTAATGACTATTAAAAGTATTTTATTCAGAAATGACCATATGCTTATGCACATAATTGCAATATTTATCTTCACAGTCAACTTACCTATAAAAGGATACAAAAACTGAAGAACAGAGAGGAGCAGATACCCTGGAAAGCCGAAAGTTTTATTGACCAAAGACTGGTAGGTATCTGTTCCAGAGAGGGCCCCTCCTTTTATCAATAAAACAAGGGAAAAGTCTGTGGCAAGAACATCAATTAAATGTCAGATTACATGTAATACAAATATTTTTCATGTTTTAACTTAATTACCATCGAGAAAAGGGGAAATTTTAAAGAAGCATTTAATTTAATGCTGCAGTATTAGCAGAGCCAGGCTAACTTTCTTTTCATAAAACATTACCTTTTATTAAACAGTAATGTTTCCAGTTACATATTTTTCAATCAAGATGCAAATATATACTTAACATACCCATGCAAAGAACAGGACAGAAAAGAAAACAGACTCGAGTCAAACTGCCAGTGTTCCATTTTACTTTCCTGATGTAACCAATGCAGCAAATATTATCAGGTTGAGGCTCAATTGTCAAGGAATAGGATGTAGGTAATCAAATATTTCATAAGTATTCAGTGTGTGAAGACTGAGAATTAAAGGTGTGGTAGCATGTAGAAAACAATACATTTAGGAGAGTCAGAGAATTTGTTTTATAATATAATAAAATTAGTAACTTTATTTTATAGTTATTATGGTTAAGAAAGAGACACTCTATGAAATTTTGCTGTTGAAATTTACATTTTTGGCCGGCGCAGTGGCTCACGCTTGTAATCCCAGCACTTTGGGAGGCCAAGGTGGGCAGATCTCGAGGTCAGGAGATCAAGGCCATCCCGGCCAACGTGGTGAAACCCCATCTCTACTAAAAATACAAAAATTAGGCAGGTGTGGTGGCGCACACTTGTAGTCCCAGCTACTTGGGAGGCTAAGGCAGGAGAATCGCTCAAATCCAGGAGGCAGAAGCTGCAGTGAGCCGAGATTCTGCCACTTCTCTCCAGCTTGGCAACACAGCGAGACTCCCTCTCAAAAAAAAAAAAAAAAAAAAATTTGCATTTTAAGAAACTTCAATTGAAGTTAGAGATAGATATATACAGAAATTATATAATGAAAAGTCAGTTGCCCTCATTGTTTTCATTTAACTCAATGGTTTTTACGGAAAGACACTGCAGTTTTATTTGGTACACAGCTACACACACAATGTGAGATACTTGTTCTCTTTTTTCTCTTTCTCATTTTTATCCATTAAGTAATATGGAAATGCATTAAAATGCAAGCCATTGCAATATGGTTTCCCCCTGATTCCCATATCAGTGAAACTTCTTTCAACAGGATCATCAATGTTCTCCAAGTTGATAAATCCAGTTGATACTTCCTAGATCTTACTCTTATCTGCTCTTTCGGAACACTGTTTCTCGTTGTCGTTGTTGATCATTCCTTTTATTCTCAACCATTCTCCTTTGGCCTTTGTGACATCTCTTTCTTGTGGTTTTCTTCCTGCTGTTTTGGTCATTTATACTCAATTTTTCACCAGTTTCTTTTACTCTGCTCAAGTCCTGGATTCTTGGACTTTTTTATCTCTTTTTTTTTTTTTTTTTTTTTTTTTTTTTTTTGAGATAGAGTCTTGCTCTGTCGCCCAGATTGGAGTGCAGTGGTGCCATCCTGGCTCACTGCAACTTCCGCCTCCTGGGTTCAAATGATTTTCCTGCCTCAGCTTCCTGATCAGTTGGGATTGCAGGTGCCCACCACCATGCCTGGCTAATTTTTGTATTTTTAGCAGAGACGGGGTTTTGCCACGTTGGCCAAGATGGTCTCGAACTCCTGACCTCAAGTGATCCACCCGCCTAGGCCTCCCAAATTGCTGGGATTACAGGCGTAAGCTACCGCGCCTGGCCTTTTTTCTCACCCTTCAAGATGTACTAGTGTGATCTCACTTATGCTGTGGTTGCAATTTTCATTTAGATGTTAGTAACCTCTAAATTTGTGTTTCCAGCTCAGACCCCCTTCAAAACTTCAGACTTCTACAGCCAGCTGCCTAATAAATATTTTGCTTTGAAGATCTCATAGGCATCTTAATTTTAAAATATATAAATTCTAATTTGGTTATTGGTTCTGGAATTTGATTCTCTATCCATATTTCTCCAATCTGTAATTAGTATCAACAGAAACTTGAGAATTTCCCCAGACTTATCTTATTAATCATTAAATTATTTCATTACTTTCTATATTCCTGTGGTTACTAAGTCTATTAACTATTGCATCAGAAATATTCAAATGTAGCCCCTAATTTGTAATCTTAACTTGCCTTATGGTAGAGCTTTGGCCTTCATAATTTCTTGTCTGGAGTACTGCAATAACCCCCTAATAGTTCTTTTACCCACCAATCTGGCCCCCAACAAAGACACCTTTGATTTCTCCTTCCTACCAAGACATTCTCAACATTCTCCCTCCACCAGGTGGATCTGGCCATTGATTATCATAAATCTAATTTTGCCTTCTGCTTAAAATATTTCAGGGAGACCCATTAATGCATTTGGATAAAAATTATTTATTAGCTGTGTGACTTTGGGTGAAAGATTTGAGCTCATCTGTAAAGTAAGGCAATATGGCACCCTTGAAGAGTGGTGTGAGGATTATGGTGTTTAATGTCCACCACAATGCCTACTGTCTTATAGAAGCTGAGTGGGAACTAACGCTATTTCTACTTATTTTTGACAAGCTGCACGTGACAGTGGGAAAAGTATTGTATTTGGAGTCAGATAATAATGATAACAACCACAAACTACTAGCAAATGCTTACACAATGCTTTTCTGTGTGGTAGGTCTTTTTCCAAATACTTTACAAATACTAATTATTTTTAATCTTCACAACAACCAGAGGTAGGTGCTGGTTATCATGCCCATTTAACAGATGAGAAAAGTGAGGCATGAAGGTTAAGTAAATAGATCTCTACAGAAGTATTAAAAGAATCAGGACTTATGCCGTAGTAGTCTGGCCTCAGAATCCATGAGCTTAATTAAAATCCCAACTCTATTGCCAGTAACTTCAGACCTTGCCTAAGTCATTTTAACCTACTGAAGTCTCAATTTTCTCCTCCAAAAAAGTAAAACATGAACACCTACCTCAGAAAGATTTCACATTACGACTGCATTATGCTCAGCATCTAGCTCAGGAAGTGGTAATGATTATCATTACATGAGAGGCTTCCTATCTGCCTTTGCAAACCTCTCCAACTTCCCCTCTCTCCATTTGCAAACACCAACCCTACACTTTAGCCAGACTAAATCACTTGTTCAGTTGCATTTTGCATTCCCACATTTCCATCTGCTTCCATTTTCTCTGCTAACTCACTTTTTTTTTTTTTTTTTCATAAATACTCAGAGGAAGTATCTCCTCCTCCCTAGAACATTCCTGCTCTTTTGAGGCTAGGTTAAATGCCAGTCTCTGTCATCATGTACATATTTTTATTATGGTATTTTTTATAAAGTGGTATAATTATTTTTTTTTTCTGCTTGACACACTATATTGTGACCTTCAAAAAGGCAGGGATAATGTTCCTCATTGCTATAGCTGGCATACTGGTGATCGGTATATATTTGCTGAATAAATCAATGATCACTATAGCAGGATTGCTATATGTTTACCCATCGGATTCTAATTTAATGTGATAAATGACCTAATAAATATATTTTTATTTATTTAATTTAATTAATTAATTTATTTATTGTTGAGACTGAGTCTCGCTCTGTTGCCCAGGCTGGAGTGGAGTGGTGAAATCTCAGCTCACTGCAACCTCTGCCTCCTGGGTTCAAGCGATTCTCCTGCCTCAGCCGCTTCAGCTTCCTGAGTAGCTGAGACTACAGACACAAGCCACCACATCCAGTTAATTTTTGTATTTTTAGTAGAGACAGGGTTTCACCCTATTGGCCAGGCTGGTCTCGAATTTCTGACCTCAAGTGATCCACGTGCCTCGGCCTCTCAAAGTGCTGGGATTACAGGGGTGAACCACCGTGCCCAGTCCTAAGAAGTATTAACAGATTTTAAAATATCCTGCAAACACAAAGGAGATATCAATAAATTCTACTTCCTTTGCTTAAAATTAGGAACTGCTTCACAAAAAAGTTGAATAATGCCTTGAAGGAAGAACAAGATTTCACCAGGTAGAGAAGAAAAGGAATGTCAGGCAGGAGGACTATCAATGGGAAGATGGTGTGAAAGCTTATTCTCTCTCCCTGGGTAACAGAATTCTCCATGATGGCTGAGAACGTCTGCATGTGACTGTTGGTCACAGAGTGAGAGAGCAGTTAGAATAATTGGAATGAGACTAAAAATGCAGCCAAACTATGAAGGAATTTAAATGCAATATTTTGTTGTTGTTGTTGTTGTTGTCCTTACAGAGTCTCGGAATGTTTTGATTGTGGAGTTTATAGAGTTCAGGCTGAAGTTTTATAAAAATAACTTGCAGCAGCATGGAGGACTGATGAGAAAGTAGACAGATGCTGGAAGCAGGAAAACTGAACAGCAGGTCACTGGCCAAGGAGAATCAAAGAGCTAGATGCTGAGAATAATGCAGCCATAACGTGAAATCTTTTTGAGGTAGGTGTTCATGTTTTACTTTTTTGGAGGAGAAAATTTGGACTTCAGTAGGTTAAAACGGCTTAGCCAAGGTCTGAAGTTACTGGCAACAGAGTTGGCATTGATTCTCCTCCTTGATTCTCATTGATTCTCATATAATTTATATACAATTTATATACTTATGTCACAGAGAGGAGGCAACCAATTTCAGAGATGGTATGAAGGCTTGCTGAAGAAGGGTATGGTTGGGATGAGAACACTGAGCATTTTATAAAAGTTCACAATGATCACTTAAAGGTAAAGATGTGTTAAGAATTTAGTCAATAATAAATGTAAATGCTTTCATTTGCTTATAAAATACAGGCTACAAATATATTCCCTTAAAAGTTTTAGGTATCTTAGGTATTAATCACTATAATATTTTGATCTCCCTTTGAATATATTGTATGCAACCTTTTTAAAAATTCATGAATGAATCTGTTACTTAACAAAAGAATTTTCTTTTAAATAATTTTGTATGCTCAGACAATAAAAATTATTTTATGTTAATCAACAAATTTGAAAATCTTAAAGCAAATTAGAATTATTTGCTGTAAATTTTTATAATTCTTTTTGTTCCCCAACATTTCATAACATGAAAACAGAACTTAGAAAAACTTGCTGTTGAACTGAACATACCTCATTAGTGGCCTTAAAAGGCAAAATAATAATTCTAGAGGCAAACCACTGATTAATTATAGCTCCAATCTAAAGAAAAATTCAACATTATACCCTACATGTAGATTTTGCTCTTAAAAGTCTAATTAAGAAAAAAAATGAATCAGCCTATATTTTTTTTCACTTTTATGTGGTCATCCTTTATTTATCAGTTATTTAAGAATTTGGATCATGCAAGTAAATTTATGAGTTAGTAATTTCCACTAATAAGTAAATTTGCAATATGTGAATTTGCAAAGGACTTCTCACAGTTATTGTTATAGGTTTATATATGGCATTAGTTGAAAAAGTTATTCACATTATAGTTTATTTATGTATAATACGACTTGGCTTTAGTATACTGTTCATTCTCATCAAGTCCTGAACTTGTATGCATACTTTTAAATGTTTTCTACCTACCTGTTTACAATGTATGTAAATGTTTACAATGCACTTAAATAAACCATAGTGATTATGGTGGAAATCAATTATTTGTCAGTGCTGATGGGAAACAGGAAATTTAAGAATGACAGGGACAAATCCTTGAATGAAATTTTTTTTTTTAGTGTAATAAATGCCCCAATAAGTAGACTGCAATTTTTAAACACCAGCAACTCTTAATAAGCACACTTAGGTCTCATGCTGCTAATTTATGGGTCTTAAGTTACAAATTAAGAGCTGTAATAACTAGAAGCAGTTTAGGTCTTAAGGGTGGAGGTGGTAGGAAGAAGGCAGGGAGCTCAATGCCTCTCTAGCTTTGAATTTGAAAACTATTTCATGCTTTACTCTGTCTTCGTCAGCCTGAGAAAAAATAGCTGAGTGTTGGGCAGGTCTTGGAAGCCTGAGGTTTTACGAGGGATGGCATCTTGGAGGATCTCTAGAAGCAGAGCTGAGACAGACATTCTTGGGCAAGGGGTCTGTGGATGAAATGCTCCAGAAGAAGGGGAATGAGAGGACAGGGCAGGGGAAAGAGTTCAGCAAGTACTGCAGTGGTGGAGCCCTGGAGCTCCAACTGTACCACACATTGGTCCCCGTGGAGGCAAGGAGACCCCCTGGAGGCCCAGGGCAACACTCCAGAGCAAAGGGCAGCTGAGGTGTTTTGCACTAGCTGGTAAAAGGGCATCTAATCCACCACAGCAGCAACTCCTGTGAGTGGTGTCTGTTTTTGATCATTGCCACCACCTCTTTCACAGTGATCCTAAGGTAGAGGAGACGCCATGTTTGTCATAAGGTGAGATGGTGGGATGACAAGGCGGGGACGAGGACAACAAAAAGAGGAGATGATTATGAGTTGTAAAGCCTGCATTTAAATGGGAGAGTGACAAAACGTGGGTGTGAATGAACTATTTACATGAAGAAGGGGAAGCAGAAGAGAAGATGTGATACAGAAGCAACTTATTGCTGCATTTAAAGACAGTAGCAGGCAGCGAGTTTGGGCAGGCATAAGCCAGGCGGAGAGGCTTGATGAGCCCTGCTGGTTGATCACCAGAGCTTCATTTCTACCTCCACAAACAACAGCTGAATAAGGTTGCTCATTCACACGCACCTGCCCACGAAGCCCTGCTATCTGCACTTTCAGAGCACAGTCGTCTCTTAGCCTTAATGAAGCTTTAAAATGACTTCCCCATCTACTACTTTCTGCAAAAAGTGAAAAAGGCACATGAAAAGGATTTAGGCTTGGTAATATATAATGCTTTTCTACTTTTTCTAATCTGTTTAAAGGATTAGTAAGAAAAGTAAATCTCCTCAGGCATAAATGCTTAAATTCTTTAGGATTCTTTGATGCACTTTTTAATTAACTAGGAAATTCAGTTGCAGCATGTGTGTGTGTGTGTGTGTATGTGTGTAGTTATTGCACAGTTGAAGTTGCAGAAATAAGAAATTATATAGTATTTTACCTGTAACATATGAAACCCAGAATAAAAGCAATATTCCCAAAGGAAACCCAGCTTGCTTCATTGAATAAGGCAATCCTGAAAAAACATAAAATGCCCCACCCTTCACATTAACAAGAAAGCTAGAAACACAGAAATTCCCCCCTTCAATTTCTGCATATAATAGGTAAAGTCAATTTATATACTTATATGACGTATTTGTAAGTTGCACATAGGACAGAATTAATATTAAATGTTAGGTATTAATACTTATTTCAGAATAAAATGTTATTAGCTTAGGGACAAGTTAAGAGAGCAAGTTTCTGAGGTGACGGAATAAGAATTAGAAAGCAGCAAATGAAAAACAAATGCCAGTTCACACAAATAACGTTTACTTCAGGGTAAGAGTGACATAGCCCTGCAATATGTGGAAAGTCATTACCTCAAATCCTTCCTTACCTGCTAGCCAAGAAAGCAGAGAGGATAATAAGGAGCACAGAAGGGTTATGGAATATTAAGAAAGACAGACTCTGGAGTCAAAATGGGGCTACTATGTAGGAAAAAAATGAGAGAAAAATGAGAAGGCGAAAGTATTTTTTATAATGCTCAAAGGGGTACATAAATTATTTCTTATAATTTTGGGGGAAATTGACAACTTTAGATTATGGACAATAAAATATTTAAAACAAACACAGTTAACGTATTTCCAGTCAAAATTTTTATTCTCTGAAAAGTTTTCCCTTAAAGAAAAGAAAACAAGCTGCTGAGCAGTGGTACTGTTTAGCATTGCTGACACGGCTTAACTTAACACGTTCACATCAGGAATTAGCTCTAGAATTCTTCTAAGTACAGCTGCTCATACCTTCATGGTACATGGAGGTAGAATTGTAAACAAGTCTTTGTCCCTGTTTCCTTCTACTTTACCTCAGGTAACTCCATTTTATGTATCATTTGGAGAAAAAAAAAAGACTATCCATAGAAAAATGTAAAATCAAGAACCATATTAACTTGTGAAAAGTAAGAAAAGTAATTCAAGAGTAAGAAAAGTAACTCAATCCAGATAAATGTTTAATTTTCAGAAGGTGATGACAGAAACAAAAATGTTGCAACTTTATAAAACATTGTATTCTCAAAAAGTATTGCATTTTGCAGGATTTTGTTTTCTTCTTGTCTTTTCTGAGATAGAGTGTTTTCAGATACCAAAAAGAATAATAACCACTGAAAATATAGCTGCTTTTATTACTATAATGCAATGCACTTTTAACTTTTTTCAGTAAATTTCCCTTGCTTCTAATACAATGGAAAAATCTGAGCTATTTATTTATTTTAATTCTGATTGTATGGCTCCTTTATTAGGAAAATAATACGCATTTTCAATGAACAAATTTGCATTGTTGACTAAATAATATTTAAAATTAATATATTGTAATAATTTTGTACTTTAAAATTTAACACTGTATAGATAGGTAAAGAATGTATGAATTTAATTTTTCATAAGATTGGTATGTTTTCATATTAAACTTTTCACCTCCAACATTTACAAATATCTGGAAGTTTTATACTTCTAGAAAGTTAAAGAAAGATGATTCAAATAATGATGGACCCTTCAGTAAGTGGAAAAAGTACATTCGGTAACACTAGCAATCAACCACGCAGCCTACAGAAAAATGATTCACCACCACCCATATGCAGTTTCACCTTAATCTACCACATGTGGAAGATGCTCTCAACTGTGGAAACAGTGTGAATTACAGCCCCATCTTCAGCATAAAAGACATGCATACATACTGTTACACTAGAAAAAAAGGAAGCCTTTTATGGAAGAAAATTACCAATTTTCTTATTTAAGTCTTTTTTTCTTTAAAAATAATTAATGAACACTAGCAGCGTAGCGAGTCTTAAATTTTGCCCTTTCACTTAAAATTTAAACCAAAGCAAATACACTTACCTATTATACCAGATCCTATAATCGAGTTGACAACATTAAAAAGAGCAGCAGACTGACAGGTTTTCTCTTTATACTCATGTTCAGAAACAAGGGTTTCTCTGTCATCTAAATCTCTCTAATAGATAAAATAGCAATTATAAGCAAATACTAGTTCAGAAAATTAGAAAAGTAACAAATATGTAATGCAGGATACTAACACGATTTTCTAGTAATAATAAGTAATGTCACTAATGAAAATAAAATAAATGCCGGGATAACAGTAATAAAGAATAACAATAACAGCTAGTAATTCAACAGAGCTTGGTAAGCAAACTCCATCCTAAAATTTCCAGATTACAGCTGCCCCAGCTGCTAAGTACAGGATCTGTTAGGAATTCAGTGATGTGATTTTGTGAAATTAAAGTGCCTGCTAAGAAAAAAAAAAAAAAAAGTCAGATTAAGGCAAAACTTTTTGTCCCAGAGAACTTTTCGCGGTGCTAAACCAAGAGCCCAGGTGAAGGTAGGTGACCTGACCTGTTGCAAGGTGAATGAAATTTCCGGACAACTGGCTTCAGAACCTGCCTAGTCGCTAGTTTTACCTGCGGCGGGATGACAGGCTCCTGCCTCTGGTAGCCCATGGCTGAGCGGTGGTCCTCAGCAGGTGGAAGATGCTGGGGCTGGGTACGGATTCGCACCCGGCCAGCCTCCTCCGCCACCTCGCACACAGCCGAGGTCCGCGTGTAGCCGCAGAGCTGCAGGGAGCCAGTTCCACGGGCGCCCCCTGCTCCCTCGGCAGGCCGCGAGGGCTGCAGCCCCAAGATCTCTAGGCTGTGGCAGCCTGGGGCGCTTTTCCACCGGAGTTCGCCCAGACAAATGTATTTTTCCTCCGGAGACGGAGATGCTGCAGGATGTTTCTGATCCGGGCAGCCCTGTCTCCCCGCCTCCCCCCTTCACACCCCCGCCTCCCTGAGAGAACAGGGAGAGCTACTCTTCCCTGGAGCTGCAGAGGACAACTTGTTCCACCCACGCTGCCCTGCCCCGATCTCACAGAGTTATGACCGCCTCGTTGCAGTCCGTTCCTAAGTTAGCTTCTCCTTTGCTGGGGTCTGAAGCCCAGGTAAGAACGCAGAAGCACCCTTGGGCCCATGGGCCATCTTCCCTATTAGCACCTCCTCCTCGCTACCCCTCTTCAATGGCAGAGACGACGAGTGAAAATTTGGGACTTTTATTGTAAATGGAAATGGAAAGACTCATAAGAAAATGAATAGCAAAACAAAAAACTTTCCTAGGGTTTTAGCAAACTTGACTACTGAGCATGCTTTGGTCAAACGCTTCCTGGTAACTTTTAGAAAAAGGAGCGATAGAGAAAATGAAGGTGGATTGTTACTGCATTCAGGTAATGAACCTTGAAAAGGGAAAGAGGAGTACAAGGGTTTGGGAAAGGGGTGGCACCTACAGTGCCTGAGCTAGAAAGAATCTTCAATGACCACCTATTCAGTCCTCTTACATTACAGATGAAGCAACAAGCCCAGAGAGTATTCAATATCAGAGACAGAATGCATGAGACAACAGTTTCAGGGGCAATAAGAGCGGTGATATGCCATCATACTTAACAAATTCTGCCTTCCCTTGATATCCATAGGGGATTGGTTCTGGAACCCCTGCAGATACTGAAATCCAGGAATGCTCAGGTCCTTGATAGTAAACAGCATGGTATTTACATGTAACCTAGGCACATCCTCCAGCATACTTTAAATCATCTCTAGATTATTTATAATACCTAATACAATGTAAATGCTATTTACTTGTTGTTATACTGTATTGTTTAGGAAATAAGAAAAAAGTCCATATGTGTTCAGTATAGACACATCCATCCTAGCCCTAACTACATTTTTGATCTGGGATTGGTTTAATGCATGGATGCAGAAGTGGGGATATAGAGGCCAACTGTACCTAATTAAAGAGGTTCTGTTTCATACATGTTTACTTATAATTAAGAAAAAAAATTAAAAACCGTGGGAAAACAAAAGACTTATAAACTTTATATACACTCTGCCATCAAATGTTAACATGCTGTCATATTTTCTTCAAATTGTAAAAGTAAACACAATGTCACAATAGGAACCCCCTTGACCTTCTCCATTCCTTTCCCCAGGCCTTCAGCCCTGGAGTCATCGGTTCATCAAGTTAGTGTTATCTTTGCTATTCATACTTTGTATTTTAATCCGTTCATTTATAGCCATAAACAATATATAACATTGGCTTTTGTATTTTCAACATTTACAAAGATGGTGCCATATTGTACATGTTATTTTTCCACTGGCATTTTTGTTTTCAGCATGTATGATGTAGATATATGCAGATTTTTTTTTCATTTTATCTAACAGTTAAGTCAGCCTTCCCCTACTGAAAGATATTAAGGTTGTTTCTCGTTTTACACTCTTCCAGAGCATAAAAGTGACAATTTCTCTAGATGTAGAAGTGTTAGGTAGTAGGTCATGCACACTTTCAACTTCATTATCATTATTATTATTATTGAGATGGAGTTTCGCTTTTGTTGCCCAGGCTGGAGTGCAATGGTGTGACCTGGGCTTACTGTAACTTCTGCCTCCTGGGTTCAAATGATTCTCTTGCCTCAGCCTCAGGAGTAGCTGGGAATACAGGTGCCTGCCACCACGCCCGGCTAAGTTTTTGTATTTTTAGTAGAGATGGGGTTTCACCATGTTGGCCAGGCTGGTCTTGAACTCCTGACCTCAGGTGATCCACCCTCCTCGGCCTCCCAAAGTGCTGGGATTACAGGTGTGAGCCACTGTGCCTGGCCTTCATTAAATATTTTTGAATTGCTTTGCAAATTGATAACATGAATTTCACTTCTACCAACAGAGGTGAAATTCTTGTTTTTCTACATTGTCTGTAACACCAGGACTTACTTAATCTATTTTTTAAGTTTAATTGTTCTGCTGGATTTTTAAGTGGTGTATAATTATTGTATAGATTTGTATTTTATCCTAATTTACATTGAGGTGGAAGATCTTTTATATAGTAATTAAATATTTCCATTGTTCTGTTTGTGAATTTCATTTTTTTTTGCTCTTTTGATTTTGGTTGTGAATTTTTTCTATTGATTTGTAAGCATAATTTATATATTTGGGGTGGCAACCCTGTGTCAGTTATATGTTTTGTACATATCTTCTCCCATCTTCTCTCTTTCAAATTTTTTTTTAATTCTGTGAAGTTACAGTTTTAATATTAGTAATCTTAATCCTGATACAAGTGCATTGAGAAGGAAAAATTATAACCCTATTTTACTCAAAAATATATATATGCAAAAATTCCAAGGAAAATATTAGCAAATTGAATCTGTCTGTTCACGAAAAGTTAACAATATCATAAAAAAGTTGAATATAGTCCAACTATGAAAGGATGGCTTAGTTAACAAAAAGTTTATAAATATAATTTCCAACATTAGCAGGTAAGAAAAAGCCATGTTATTATTTCACTATATTCAGGAAAAACACTTGATAATGTTGAATTCTTGATTTTAAAAAAACTTTGTAAATCAAAAATATAATACAACTTCCTGATAGTGATAAACTATAGCAAAGTATTTTCGTTATGGGGAAGTTTTGGAAGCATTCCCATTTAATCAGAAGTGAAAAAAATCAATGATTGTGACTTTTATTTAACTTGATATTGGAGTTCCTAAAGTAATAAGAAATAAAAGAGAAATCAGAGGTATGAGAATTGGAAAGCTAAAAATAAAACTGTCATCATTTTTAGATGATAAAATTGTTTATATAGAAAAATCCAAAATAATCTAAGAGAAAAAAATTAGAAATAGAGAGTTTAGAGAGCTGATTAGTATAAGATTAGACTAAAAATATATTAATTTCTCTACAGCAACAGCAAACAACTAGATATTGTAATTAAAAAATATATAATAGTGTCAGAGAATATCTAATACTAAGGAATAAATCCAACCAAAGAGAAAAATGTACACAATCTCTTCAAAGAAAAATATAACAATCAAGATACATTAAAGAAGGCCTAAATAAATTGAGAGATATACCTTATTCATGAATCAGAAAAAATATTCTAAAGATATCAAATCTGACCAAGTTGATCTATTGATTAATAAAATTATTTTCACCACCACATTGACCACAAATCTCTGCCAAAACCTTTCCTTTTTGTTTAATTACAAAAGAAAAATGTTTGTTTTTTTTTAAAGTAGAAAATAAAATAAAAAGGAGAAATTTAAAATGTTCAGTTATTTCCACTCCCAGTGATTATTTTAAAGATTTTTTTCAATATATCAGGTTGGTACAAAAGTAATTGCAGTTTTTGCCATTAAAGTAATGGCAAAACCTAATATTTTGCACCAGCCTAATATTATATGTGTCTCTGTATGTATGTGTTGTTCTTTTTTCTTTTTGTGGATATAGGCTCCGTGGTGGTCTTAAAATATATCCACAAATTTTCTGACATCCTCTCTTCAAGAAGTGGAGCTTAATTCCCTTTCCTTTGAGTGCAGGTATGACTTAGTGACTTGCTTCAAATGAACAGCATATGACAGAAGTGATGTGTGTACATTCTGATACTAAGTCATGAAATTCATTGTGAATTCTGCCTTGTTCTCTTTCAGACCACTCACTCTGGGAGAAAGCAACTGGCTATGTCATGAGGAAATTGAAACCACCTATGGAGAAAGGCCCACATGGTGAGAAAGTAAAGCCTCTTCCCAATACCAAGTGAGTGAGTTATACTAAAAGGGGATCCTCCAGCCCCAATCAAGTTTTCATATGACTGCAGCCCCTGTCAGCATCCTAACTGCAACCTCATAAAAGACCGTAGCAATGGCCGGGTGTGGTGGCTCATGCCTGTAATCCCAGCACTTTGAGAGGCTGAGGCAGGTGGGTCAGCTGAGGTCAGGAGTTCAAGATTAGCCTAGCCAACATGGTGAAAACCCATCTCTACTGAAAATACAAAACATTAACTGGGTGCGGTGGCATACGCCTGTAGTCCCAGCTACTCGGGAGGTTGAGGCAGGAGAATCCCCTGAACCCAGGAGGCAGAGGTTGCAGTGAGCCGAGATCATGCCACTGTACTCCACCCTGGGTGACGGAGTGAGACTCTGTCTCAAAACAGAAAAGACCCTAGCAAGGACCCCTTAACCAAACTGCTCCCAAAGCCTTGGCCCACACAAGTGTGAGATAATAATTTATTTTTTTAGGCCACTAGGTTTTGGCATTATTTGTTTTACACCAATAGATAACTGATATAGGCTCATCCTATACATATTTTTGATGATCTTCTTTAAAGAATGTTTTCTTAATTTCATAAATATTTAATATAATTTCAAAATATTGTATTCTCAACGAGAAAACTCAACAAAGAAAGAGACAGACATAAAATCACTGACAATCCTCCCATGCAGAGGTAAATAAAGTTAACATTTTAGAACCCTACAGTTTAGTCAGATTATACAGTATTTAGTTTGTTGAAGTGCATATTCACATGTGCAAAAATAGTTTTATTGAGTCTGTCTTAGCCCCAGACAGAGGCTATGGGAACTGGACTTTCACAAATATAGAGAGCCCTAATTTGAGCTTTTTATCAAATTATATAATTATGTAGATCATACGCTAAGCCTTTGTAGAATTATTATGTTTCATTATTATTTGGTTACAGTCCAGGCGAGGTGACTTCCAAGGTTACCCAGCTCTCTTAGAAATAATAAAAGAAGGCTCTATCTTGGCAGAAATTCAAATTTAGAAAGCTCTTCCTGATGTGTAATCTGACTCCTTTCTGATATTATTGAAGTCCAAATTTGGATGAGACTAGATATAATAATTTTCAATACATATCTCTGGGAAAGAGTGACTTTTTCCTCCACCTTAGAAATGAGTCTAAGAGGAGTACTTTTGTTTTTTGTGAAAAACTGGATGCGTGACATTCTCCACAGTATTCGGTTATTGGCTTCATTGCTGTAACAAACAGAGCACCAATATTTAGAGTTTCAAACAAGCTAAACCTTACTTTCTCTCTTTTTAAATTTTCCAGAGGTAGATGTCTCAATCTTTGTTGGGAAGTCTTCTCTAATATGTTCAACTAAATAATCAAAATATATCTTTTTTTAGGATTCATCACCTTAAACATCATTTTTGTAATTATTTTATGTGCTCTGTATATTACTCATGAAATAATACATTATTTGTGTGCTACCATATTATTATTATTACTATTGCATAATTAAGGTATTTTCATGTTTTCTAACTGTAATTATTAGAATTCTGTAAGTCTGCTACGGTGACATTTCTGGTTAGGAGTCAGAGTGGATGGGACACTGAGCAATAAGGTAAGTATTAGCATGTGAGTAAGCCCTGGTTTGCCCAAGATAGTTGTCATTTAGGCTTCCTGTCCCAATGTAATCATAAGTAGCATTGTATTAATCCATTCTTGCATTGCTATAAAGAAATACCTGAGACTGGGTAATTTATAAAGAAAAGAGGTTAATTGGCTCATGGTTCTGCAGGAGGTACAGGAAGCATCACACTGGTATCTCCTTCTGGGGAGGCCTCTGGAAGCTTAAGGTCATGGCAGGAGGCAAAGCAGGAGCAAGGGAGCCAGAGAGTTGCTACACACTTTTGAACAACCAGATCTCAAGAGAACTCACTATGGCGAGGACAGTACCATGAGGATGGTGCTAAACCATTCATGAGAAATCTGCCCCCATGATCCACTCACCTCCCACCAGGCCCCACCTGCAACACTGGGGTTTACATTTCAATATGAAATTTGGGTGGGGACATACATCCAAACTATATCAAGCATCTTTGTCATTCTCAGAAGTGTCCCTGTTTGGATGATAGGTTCCAATATCATGCTACCTATGGGGTAGGATGGGGGGACCTATGGGGTACTAATCTCACCTAATATGTACATAACACTTCACAGTTATCTCTTATAGTATTCAAGCTGAGAAAGGATGCAGATCTTAAAAACATGTGCTTTGGGTTATTTAGTTAGTATAGTGTATTGGGAGCTCAAGCTCTGGAATCAGAAAAAAACTGGGTCTGAATCAAAGTTCAAGAGATCTTGGCAAGTTCCTTTATTCTTTGAGCCTTAATGTGCTTATTTGTAGAAAGGGAAAACTAAGAGTACCTCTCTCAAAGTGGTAGTTTTGGGAATTAAATGAGATAAGCTAATTTTTTAATTTTTGACATATAATAATTGTACATATTTATGAGGTGCAGAGTGATATTTGATACATGTATAAAATGTGTAAGGATCACATTAGGATAATTAGGATATCCGTCACCTCATTTATCATTTATTTGTGTTATGAGCATTCAAAATCCTCCCTTCTATCTTTTTGAATATAGATAATACATTGTTACCTATATCCACCCCACAGCATAATAGAACACTAGAACTTATTGCTTCTATCTAGTAACTTTGGAGGTGACCTAGACTTCTATTAGTTTCCTAAAACTGCTTTAATAAAGTATCATAAACTGGGTGACTTAAAACAACTGAAATTTATTGTCTCACAGTTCTGAAGGCTAGGAGTCCCAAATCAAGGCAATAGCAGAGCCATGCTCCCTCTGAAGCCTACAAGGGAGAATCTTTCCTAGCTTCTTGTGGTTGGCTTGTAGATGCAACACTACAATCCTCCATCTTCACATGGCATTTTCCCTGTGTCTCTACACACTGTTCCCTCTGTGCATGTCTTGTCTGTGTCTGAGTTCAAATTATCCCCTCCGTTTTTTTTTTATTAGGATACCTATCATATTGGATTAGGGCCCACCCTAATGGCCTCACCTTAACTTGACTACACGTGCACCTACATCTATTTCCATAGAAGGTCACATTCTAAGGTAGTAGGGGTTAGGACTTCAACATCTCTTTTCAGGGAGACACAATTTAATCCATAATACTATTTTTAAAGTATTTAGTTATTTGCTTGGCCTGTAATAAGCTCTGATTAATGTTTTCTGCTGATATATCCAAACAGAAAAATACTTCGTTAGGCCAAAATCATATAAGATAGAGGGAATTTTGGTGCAAGAGAAACTGCTATTTGGCTTTAGATATTTATTTTCTCTTCCTCCACCCTGAAAGAGACTCTGATTTTGGTCTTGACTGTGGCTACCTGGAAAGAGAACTGAAATATACATCCTTACTTGTAACCGGTTGTGGTCATACAGCTAAGTTTGACCAAGAAGAAGATGCAGGTGAACTGTAAGTCCTTAATGAGAAGGAAAATAATGCCTTACCTTTCTTTTGCTCCTTCTCACTGGCCAGAATGCAGAGACATGATGGCTGAAGCTGGAGCTTTTCCCTGAAGCAACCACCTGTTGGAAACTTCATGTTGAAGATGACTGAATAATAAGACAGAGGGGTCTGGGTCCCTGGTGGATATTCCAGATCTGGGTGTTCGTGGAGATATGAGAAAGCAATAAACTTCAATTTTGCTTAAATAGCTGTTACTTGGGGCATTCTGTCATTTATGGACAAATCTGACCTGGATTAATACACCTCCAGCTGGGTACCAAGACTGATCTAATAGTCAAAAAGGTTTCATTCCATCTAGATATTTCTCTAGAACAGGACCTAAAGAAGTTCTTTGACTGAATTTCTTATGGAAGTAATAGGAGAGTTCCTTGTGCTTCATTAAATGCTGTATTGGTAAATATATATGGTTTACCATTACATGCAAATATAATAAGCTATAAATCATTGGATTCTGATATTTTTAGTTTAGTCTCACTAATGAACTGCTAAGAAATCTTGGATAACATATCTAGAATAATACTCTCTCTTTCCAATATGGTATGGATCCTTCTGTGTCCTGGGTTGTTGGTCTCATCCATATATCCTTAAGTGTCTGGTCAGCATGACTGTCAAAGGTTTACTTTGGGATCTACAGAGAATTCTTAGTCTTTGATCATTAACGTGAGGACTGGCCCACCAAAACTGAAGCTCTGACTGACTTGAGTGTACTCTCAGCACCTTTCACTTTGCTGCCTGTATTCTCTGCATATGTGATAGAAAATATAATTTTAAAGTCTGTGTGGAAAAAAGTATTTCTACTGGAAATCCAAACTGAAATTTGATCCTTCCTTTTTTCAGTTCATAATATTTTCTTTGTAAGATCACGTACCATTTCCTGGCTCCAGAAGCTGGAGGAGGTGACTGTTACAGCTTAGTCATTTTGTCAGAGGCGTTTGAACCAGAGTAACTCCATCTTGAATAGGGGCTGGGCAAAATGAGGCTGAGACCTACTGGGCTGCATTCCCAGACAGTAAAGGCATTCTAAGTCACAGGATGAAATAGTAGGTCGGCACAAGATACAGACCATAAAGACCTCACTGATAAAATGGGTTGCAATAAAGAAGCCAGCTAAACCCCACCAAAACCAAGATGACCATGAGAGTGACCTCAGGTGGCCCTCACTGCTACACTCCCACCAGCGCTCTGACAGTTTACAAATGCCATGGCAACATTGGGAAGTTACCCTATATGGTCTAAAAAGGGGAGGCATTAATAATCCACACCTTGTTTAGCATATCATTAAGAAAACCATAAAAATGGGCAACCAGCAGCCCTCTGGGCTGCTCTAAGGAGTAGCCATTCTTTATTCCTTTACTTTCTTAATAAACTTGCTTTCACTTTACTCTGTGGACTCACCCTGAATTCTTTCTTGCACAAGATCCAAGAACTCTTGGGGTCTGGATTGGTACCCCTTTTCTGTAACATCTTCATGCCAGCTATAACGTGAATAACACAATGCAAGACAGTGGATAAGCAAACTGTGATTATCTTCAAATAATATCAGCTTTTATCACTCACTAATGAATATGCCCAAAACACACCCAAAATGACAGGGTAGAAGAACCAAAATTGGGGGCTTGGTACCCTTTAGTATCTTTTAGTCAACGTGATCTATGAAGGTTACACTAGAATAAGTAAGAGCTCATTTACCGATTTTGATCTTTTTTCTTCTTTTGTTTTAATGAAGTTCCATTTGCATTATGTCATCCCTGTATCAGTTCAATTTGGCCTGGACAAAGGACATTGTATACCCTTAGGATGGGTTGGCCAGGAGGACCAGATTCTGGCAAGGTAGTACACTTGACAGAGACTACTAAAGAACATGCAACCTGGGGCACAGAGTGGAGTGGAACCTTGGCAGTAGAAGTATTAGGGACAACTGTGACTGTGCATCCTCTCCCAGCTACAGCAGTGCCTTCTTATATATGATGTTTGCTAGAAATACTCTTTGCCACAAAGAATGACAGTGGTGCTAAAATCAGGAAGTGGGAGCAAAGGGACCAAAAAGACTTTGTGGTTAGAGACAAGATTGCCCATAGTGTAGAAATGTGAGGCTGGCAAACTTTCCCCACATCTCTGAATCTGACTTAAGTCTTTTTCTTTCTGGTCATGGGTAATTTTGTTTACTCCTAAAATACAATACTCGATCCTTTATTGCATGCCATAGCTAAGTATGGTTGTATCTGTGGGAATGGTAAGCTTATTGAGGGAAAGGATCACGTTTGTGTTGCTATTGATGAAGTTTTTTTTTTCCCCGCTGAACGTAGCATAGTGATTCACACAGTCACTGCTGCTCATTAAAAATGTTCCAAATGGAAGAAACAATCCAAACAGGAATTAGCAATTAAAAAGCCTTGTTGTTAAGTGACAATAAGATTCATGTGGACAGCAATAAGGACCATCAGGAGAACATTTAAGTAATGAAATTATGATGTTCATTTGCCTCTAGGGCCTCTAAAAGACAGAAAAGCCTGGCTCATCTCCATTTACTAATGCAACCAGAATATTTTGAAAAATACATTTTAGAAAAGAGTGATACAAAATTGTGATACATTTCTAACCATTTGACAAATTAACACTTTGTTTTTAAACCCAAATGTAGTGTAATATTATTGTTATTCATACAATAATTAAAGGATGTGTTAAAATTATTTATTTATAGTGCTTAAAATGGGGTGGTGTTATAATGGGTCATAAGTTTAAGATTAAGAGTGACATGTTTTAATTTTAGTGTATCTATGCTGCTGTAGGTGTAACTGCCCAGTGGGTTCTTCCTGCCTGCTACGCAAACAAAATCAATTCACAGAGACCATGGCATTTCAGTAAAAGAAGAGTTTAATTGACATGAGGCCAGCCATTGCTATGTGGGAGATGGAGTTATTATTCAAATCAATCTCTCCAAGAATTTTATGGCTAGAGTTTTTCAAAGGTAGTTTTGGCGAAAGGGTGGGGGTGGCGAGGCAATAGGTGCTTGCTGCTGATTGGCTGGGGGTGCAATCACAGAGATGTGGAAATGGTCTTCCTGTGCACTGAGTTGCTTCTGGGTGGGGCCACAGAAGCTAGTTTTTGGTGGGTTTAGGTGGGGCCGTTGGTTATGAAACATGCAAAAAAACCTGAAAAGATATCTCAAAAGGCCAATCATAGGTTCTGCAGTAGTGATGCTATTTGCTGGAGTAATTGGGGAAGTTGTATATTTTGTAATCTCCAGAATAATGGCTAGCAATCCTTTATGTCTGCACCTTAGCAGAATTCAGGCTCTTCTATCCTCTTAGCCTGGTGGTCTTTCCTTTGCTTTACAAAAGCAGTTGAGTTTATGGGAAGGACTATTATCACTTAAACTGTAAACTAAATGTTTCCCAAAGTTAGCTTCGCCCAAGTCCAGGAATAACTAAGGACAGCTTGAAGGGTTAAGGCAAAAGCTGGGTGGCTAGATCGGATCTCCCCCACTGCCAGTATTTTCTTACTGATACAATTTTTACAAAGGTGGTTTCATAGATATAACATCACTAATCTGAGGCTTTTCAAACATTGAAAGCTCAAGCCAAATGGCCCTTCTCAACTGCCTGTGACAGACCACTGTCTATCTTAGAAGTGTTTAGTAGAAATGTATTAAAAAGATGCTAAGGACACCCAAAAGACTAGCAATTGAAGTTATACATTATCCACTCACATTTCAAAAGGATTATCTACTCATCCTCTATAAGGAGGGGAAAGAATGTGCTAGGTTTCACAAATCAGACCCAATGCTGAAATTGCCCCAGTAACATATCTGAAAGCTCACAGGCTGTGATTAGGAAAACAATGTAGGATCTATTGAATATGCCTACATTTCTCATTTTTGATCATTACTAGTTACCAATAAAGATTGTGTGTGTGGCATTCTATAGATTCTGAAAACAAGATATGTATGCTCTATAGTTTGGAACCAATGTTCATTATAAGTTGACTAACTTGATTAGGTAGAATAAGAGATGTACCAAATGAGTGAAATAGATATATTTGTTGGAGCAATTTAGAGGAAGTAATGATCATAAGAGGGTGGGGTGGGTGGTCAGTGATATTTGATGGAAGGCTGGAAACGTGAAATTTAGCCTAGCAAAAATGAAGTTTAACTTACAAATATAACATCCTGACCTTGAATCTGAAAAACCAACTGTATAGGTGCAAGGTAAGAACATGTGTGTTATCTCCAACTCATTTCTAATACTGCTTTTAATTAACAAGAAGTTTAAATAATGCAACAATTTAATGGGGCTGAGAAAAAAGTCTAACACAGTCAGGTAAAGTACTTGTAATAAATTACACAGAACAAGGATGACAATAATCCAGGCCATCTGTGTTGGTCACACCACACATGGACTATTGTTTTCAGCTCTGGAAGCCACAATTTGAGGAAAGTTACAGATCAACTGGGACATTTACAATTGAGAGGGATCAGAATAATGAGAGGATACTGAGTCTCACAGTGCTTTAAGTAGCCAGAGAATAAAGACTCAGAGGTTGAAAGGCTCACTCAATATAACCAATGGCTTTAAAACCTAATTACTTAGAGATGTCTTGGGATAAACTGAGTGGTAAATTATTACTAGAGATATTTAAACCTGAGCGTGACCACTGGGCAAGGACATTGTAGGGGATGACGAAGGATAGAAAGGATGCTAGGTGTTCTCCTTTGCTTGTGAGTAAACAAAAACCTACTTGAGCTTCTTTAGGAATGGGGAAAGTGGTGATTAGAAAAATTTTTGTAATGAATCTAGGACTAGAAAATTTGTCAAGATTCCAAGTATCCCTAGATTTTTCTTTTCTCTGTCTGTCATGGCCAGCGTGATCTTTTTCTCATGGAATCTTAGCTTTTATCTGTAGGGCTACTTCATTATTCTCTTGCAACTGACTGGTTAGTCACTGAGTTCTCTGGGGAAAATTCCAGAACAAGTGAGTCTGACAGGCTTAGCTACATACCTTTGCCTCCACTGAGCACAGCTTGTTGAACCACACCTCCTCCTAGGAGGCTGCCAGCTGTTAAAAGATAAACTTAAGCACATTAACATTTTAAAGAGTTTATTTGAGCAGACAGTGATTCATGAATTCACAGTGCCAAACCACAACCAGGTTGGGCTCCACTGAAGGGGAATAACGGAAAAAGTTTTATTAGGTGTTCTCGGAAGCAAGACAAAGAAAACATTTGATTGGCTAAAGTAGGCTTAAAGTCCCTAGTTAGAGGTTAGTTGGCAGTTTCTGATTGGTTAAGCTTAAGTTCATTTTCCTAGGCTATGACCATTCCCTCTGAGTTGGGTTTGAGTTCGCATGTAGGAACTCAGGGGACTAGAGCCACCTCAGTTTGATGGTTTCCCAATTAATTATTTTAACACGGCCTAGGGATGAGCTCTTCTTGGGCTAGTTACCAATCCCTTATCCAGTCAATGGGCCATTGTGCCAGCTACAGTGGCTTCCCTACAAAGCAGTAGGGAGTGAGAATGAAGAAAACAGCTTGAGCTAAAGGTGGGTTTGAGCAGTGGCCTGCAGTATGGTTCATACACATGGAAACACTAGATGGCATTAAAATTCCTCTACCACTTGTAATTCCTCTATTCCATGATGCTAGTGTTACCGGAGGGTCTTTGTATTTAGAACTCCCACGTTGGTGGCGGCTGCTCCCAAGATGGCGGCAAGCCTTTTGTTCTCTGACCTGGGGTTCTTGGCCTCATGGATTCCAAGGAATGGAACCTTGGGCCATGCGGTGAGTGTTATAGCTCTATTAGAAGCTGTGGGTCACGGAAGAGAACCGTGGAACCCAGCCACTAGTGTTCAGCTCGATTAGGATGAACCCAGGCACTTAGCCATGCAGGAACAATGGCAAGCCTCTAGCCCGATCGGGAGCAGCATTGGGTGCCTCTCTGGATCAGAAGTGCAGCAGACATCCTTCCAGATTCGGAGGAGTGGAAGTCAGCGGCAGGTCTGCGATAGTGGCGATCAGCAGTGGTGGACGGGGAGCATAAGCTCAGCTCGAGCTGGAACAAACACAGACCAGAAGAGTGTGCAGTTGCAAGATTTAATAGAGTGAAAACAGCTCCCATACAACGGGAGGGGACCAAAGGGGTTTCCCAATCCGGCTTGAATGCCTGAGTTTATATCCTGATCATTGTCCCTCCCCCTGTGCATTTAGGTGATAGATGATTTGACTATTTCTTTTTTCACCGAATTGGTATTTTAGTGAGCTCTCTTTACTACCTAATGGGTCGGGTGTGAGCTGAGTTACAAGCCTCGTGTTTAAAGGTGGGTGTGGTCATCTTCCCCAGCTAGGCTTAGGAATTCTTAGTTGGCCTAGGAAATCCAGCTAGTCCTGTCTCTCACTAGTAGGATTAGAATTCGACCTTATCATTAAAAATGAGATAAGGAGAGGGTATTAGTCCGATCTCATGCTGCTAGGAAGAAATACCCAAGACTGGGTAATTTATAAAGAAAAGAGATTTAATTGACTCACAGTTCCACATGGCTGGGGAGGCCTCAGGAAACTTACAATCATGGCGGAAGGGACCTCTTTACAGGGCGGCAGGAGAGAGATGTGCCAGCAGAGGAAATGCCAGACACTTATAAAACTATTAGATCTCGTAAGAACTCACTCACTATCACAAGAACAGCATGGGGGAAACCACCCCAGGATTCAATCACTTCCCATCAGGTCCCTCCCATGACATGTGGGGATTATGAGGATTACAATTCAAGATAAGATTTGGGTGGGGACAAAAAGCCTAACCATTTCAGGGAGAATATGACAATTCCTGATATGGAGAATAAGAAACATGTATCACTGGGGTAAATAAAATAGTAAGGAGAAAGGAGTTTTTGGAATCAAATAAAGGTAGATTCTGATTAGTTTTATTATCATTTCTCATTACTTTTTAGTTTATAATATTGTCTTTTATTACATGCTTTCCTTCTGTTAACTTTGGGGGTACCACGGGCCTATTGCTAGACAAACAGTAGCAAAGGTGCACAATTTGCAAAGATGTAAAATATATTTTTGAGATATGAAGCACTATGAATGTTTCATGAGTTAAAAATAATATGTCATAGTAAGTGGCTTCATTCTTATTAGCGGTTGATTTCTCTATATCATCCATGTGAGAAAATGAAGTGAAAGCAAGAATGCAACAATGCATGTTTCCCCCTTGATTTCTTGGTATCTCTACCTTTTAAAAAAATTTTACAGAATACATTTGTTTTTAATTTCAGTTCATCTTTCTTTTACCCCTTCCTTAGCTGTGTTCCTTTCTCAAAGTTCTTGCAATCTACTTCTTACTCACATGAGACCCTAAGGTATTTTCTAAAAAATGTCAGTATGAACAAAGTGACCACTTGCCATAGGAGCTCAGCCTGACTTTTAAAAGAAGTTTTAAAATAGCATGGGTAAGAATCATATGAATCCATTTAGATTTGTTATAAATACTACTACCTTTTTCAACTCAATGTCCAAAAGGACCTTCATGCCCCTAAGGGCTAGAAAAGGAAAAACTCAGACAGCAGCCACATTCCCATGACCTTGCTTTGCAGGGGCCTGACCCAGATGTGGTGGGAAGCACAGGACAGCAAATCTCTTGCTGAATCTTTTTATGCATGAGGTTGGCCTGGCCTTAAACGTCCCTACTACAATGACTTAAAAAATGGTGATTAAATAATGTAAAACATATTGCCAATAAAATGTAAATTATCTAAAGGAAAGAAGCTACAGACTGAAAGATTGGAAATGTTTAAAAGTAGCAAAATCCAAACCAAACCGTAAGAAGACAGTGTGGAGTGTGTGTGTGTGTGTGTGTGTGTGTGTGTGTGTGTGTGTGTTGTAAGAATCAGGTGGTGTGTCCTACTGAAAAGCCTGTGCATTTTACCAATTGGTGCCTTTTGGGGAAAATAAGAGCAATCTAACAAGTCTAATGCATACACGCATATGTGCACACACACACACTCACACAGAATTTAAATGCCGGAGAAGAGCGAAAATAAACCATGTACACTGTTCCCTTTAGCTTAAATAGCCAGTGGCTATCAAGGCACCATAACTCCTTTTAGATTCAGGTACACGGAAAAAAAACCTTTTCATTTGTATATTTTTCTATGCCCTAGTTAGAAGAAATATTTTCCTCTTAGAAATTCCTTTTGAAATAATTTTCTATTCCACAGCAAACTCTGGAATTATTACTGTTCCATTATTCATTTGTTATAGGTTCTGTTTTGGTTCAAATTATCTCTAGTTACTTTTCTGTTAAGCTACTAACTGACATTATTTGAATCTGATAAGATTCAAAGGAGGCAACTTAATTCCTTCAGTGATTTCAGTGATAATAAAAATATTCACAAGAAACATGGTCTTTAGTAGTTAAAGGGTTAATAATACATATGCATGATACCAAGTTCTGGTCCTTCACGAAACAGGAAGTCCGGGTTCCAGGATCAGTATTGTGAAGAGCTCAGATCTTCTGGGTTGGTCAATTGGGCTACACAGTATCTCTGGAGAGTGGCATTTGGGGTCCAGAAAATGGTGCAAACATTTAAAAACTTTTTCATCATGTCACCAGCTAGCCCAAATAGAACCTGTCTCAGATGGAAATCTAGGAATTTCTTTTTCTTTCTTTGCTAGCTTCCTTTTTCACCCCTTCCATCCATCAATTTCCTCAATCTATCCTTTCTTCCTCTTTCTTCCCAGAGACTGGATTCCATTTTGGATGGAGTGGTATTGAGTCTTTACTATTTCATGTCAGGAGATTTAGGTCCTTATCACTGTGCTCAGTGGAACAAGGAAAGGCTGATGCTTCTTAACACTATTAACTGCTACTTATGTATTTACATGTGCACAGTTTCTATTTGCTCTTCTTAAAACACCTTCCTCACCATTTTAATTTGTAACATCTCCCCCTCCCCACATACATCCTTCAAAGCAAGGAGCACGAGCATCTGCAGTTTTACGAAATTAATTGACTGAGATGGTGGCGGCGTCAAGTTTTTTTTTTAGGCAATCCAATTGGAACCAGAGAGGAGGAGAGTGAGGGTGATTGGTGGTGTTACTTGTTTGTCTGGAAGTTGCACTAGCATAGCAAACATATTGTAATTAAGACACTACTTTTTTTCTCTCTCACTTTTCCCTTTAAAATTTATTCAATGGGGAAACGTTTTCCTGCTACTGAATGACATTTCCAACAGCCCCCATGACCACTAGGCAATAGAGTCAGAGGGTCTCAATTTAGTAATTAAAGCTTTGCAGAGAAGCAGGTGGGAACCTGCAGTCTGGGAGGCAGTGGGAAGGCTGGTTGGCTTCGCATCTCTTACTTGACCCCCTGCCCTCCTCATTTTTGCCGAACTCAGATTTTGGCAGCTCTGGCATTTGAAAGTCTGGGAAAAGCCTCTCTTTCAAGTTCATACATGACTGATATTACTGTAAGCAGACTTCTTAAAAGATGAAAGTGTTCCCTTTCTCTTGTGAACTGATTTCATGGGTTCTGAAAATCCCTCTGACATCGCTGGTGGTTTCTCAACTCAAATTCCTGTCATTACCTCAAAGGTTGTTTAATTCCTCCGAAGCTCCTGGAAATCTTCAGAAAACTGAAGCACTGCACATTTTATTTATTTATTTATTTGTTTACTTTTGAGATGGAGTCTCTCTCTGTTGCTCAGGCTGGAGTGCAATGGCACGATCTCTGCTCACTGCAACTTCCACCTCCCGGGTTCAAGTGATTCTCCCGCCTCAGCCTGCCAAGTAGCTGGGATTACAGGCACCCACCAGCAGGCCTGGCTAAGTTTTGTATTTTTGTAGAGATGGGGTTTCACCATGTTGGCCAAACTGGTCTTGAACTCCTGACCTCAGGTGATCCACCCGCCTCGGCCTCCAAAGTGCTGGGATTACAGGTGTGAGCCATTGCACCCAGCCAGCACTGCACATTTTAAGTGTATGTTCTATGCGTTTTGAGAAAGGTACACATGCATGTAACCATCTTGCTAATCAGGATATAGACTATTTCCATCACCCCCAAGGAGTTCCCTTTTGCACTTTGCAGTCCGTCAATCTTCCTCTACCCCTTAGCTCAGACAACCACAAATCTACTTTTTTCCATTATAGATTAGATTTTCCTGTTATAAATTTTTATGCAAATAAAATAATATACGAAATACTCATTTGTGTCTGGCTTCATTAACATAGGATAATGATTTTGAGATTATTCATGTCAATCAGTGTTATCATTCATTGATTTATTTCATTGTTGGATGGTATCCCATTAAATTGATATACCACAATTTGTTCATCAATTTACTTACATGTTTTTGAGTTGTTTCCAGTTTTTAGCTATGATGAATAAAGCTGCTGTGAACATTCATGTACAAGTCTTCGTGTAGAAAATTGTTTTCTCTTGGTAAATACTTAGTGGTATTATTGGGTAGTATAGTAAATATATGTTTAGCTTTACAAAGTGCTGCACCATTTTAATCTCCCACTAGCAATGTATGAGTGTTCCAGCTGCTCCACATTTTTCTCAATATTTAATACTGACAACTTAAACTATTAGACAATCCAGTGGATATATAGTGATATCTCATTTAGATTTTAATTTGCAATTCACTAATGATATACTATTGAGCATCAGATCTTTCATATTGTACTTTAAAACTATTTTGCTAAGACACATACCCAGCATATGGAAGACCCTCAATAAATATTTATTGAATTTATACAAATTGAACACAGAAAATGCAGCTCATCAGAGGATTTGAGCTAATTTCCTGGCATTTATGAAATACTGAGCAAGTTGTCAAATGAGAGCACTTAAGCTAATTCTCAAGTATTTAAAAGAAAGTGTACATCCTCATCTGTCTACCAAATATGGTCTCCAGGCAATTTGCTCAAGGTCAAATAGTGGTGGAACAATGATTAGAAACTACACTTTGTCGTCCTCAATTTAATTCTCTCTATATTTGACTCAGGATAAATGTGAAACATTGATTTTTCATATCATTTTATTGAATGTATGTTTTATTCAATTACTGTTTTGCCACAGTATCTCTCCCTGTTCATTATTAAAAACTTCAGCTCTTGATAAAAACCTAATCATCACCTAAAATGTATTTCCTTTCATAAAAATGTATTTCAAGTTCCAGATACTTGATTAACAAATGAACCTTTAAATAAGTGTTTATTTGGGGAAACTAACATATTAGGTAGCAACTTTGTTTCCCATCTTATTATTTTATAAACAATTAAAGGTTAACCAATTCAAAGGTGAATTGCCTTAAATAAGAAGTGATCTATGTATTAACTCTGAGGCCTGTAATTGCATTTAGCTGTAACTCAAATGAGTTTTGTGTGTGCTGTGTGCAACTAACTGAAAGTCTGGGATGCTCCGTTGCTCAAGCCAGGGCATCAGTACCATTTAAATACTTTGTTAAGATCAAACAGCCAGCAAGAAACAATTCAATAAATATCCCTGGTTTCTACAAACAGAAGTTCAGATAAAAAATTGCCTGAAGCAAAATTCTATTTAGATGAGGAAACAGGAAATAGAGCATTATAATATAACTCTGATGTCAAAAACAGGAAACTTCTGAAAGCATCATTCATTTAGCAATTTTGATTAATTTTTTTAACCAAAAAAACTGCTCTTTTGTAGTACTTTTTAAAAGAGAAAAAAGGGGAAAATGCCTTACTTAGACCTTCGCACACATTTTATTATTCATTTCTAACATGGCACATCACATTGACAACTCGTTTTAAGTCTGAATTTTTCTTACTAAGTAATCATTTTGTATATGCTATTTTTTCCATTGAATTACAGTGTATGAGAGGCAGTCTCTCAAATCACCAGATAGAATATGTGACAATCCATTTAGTTTGTAGTCAATGTTCATTATTCCTCTACGTTTCTTTATTTTGGTAGTTTAATCATAGTTCTTAACAACTGCCTTGAAATTTAGAGATAAAAGTAATGTCTAATTTTGGTATCTTTAGTCACAAAAATAGCTGTGGAACAAACTGTAGACTAGGAAGACAGAAGGGTGAGTCTTCAGATATCCTATTTCATATTAGTTGAAGAAGATTTCTTAAAACATTCCTGTTTCTCCCTACATTTATTCAGGAATTGGTTGAGGGAAAAGGAAAGTAGAGAGAAATTCAACAGATACTTAATTTCTGGTTGGTGCTTTGCCTATATATTACCGTACTGTTGCATTACTGACACTTATTACAGTGTGGGGTGCTAGTTATTAAATGTAAAGGAATAACCTGATTTATTGTTTATAACACCCATAATTTAGAAATGTTGAAGATGAAGCTCTTCAGTTTAAATTGATAAATTATCCAAGGTTATATATTAATAATATGTGCTTGATTAAGTCAGTGAACTCAGATTTGGGCAATTCTGAGGTTCATGCTCTGTCCAATACCATAGTAAAAATTTACAAAACATTTCATGAAAGAAGACGTGACAATTGGGAAAGCCACAAGAATTTATGAGTTTATATTTAAGAAGACCTCTGAAAATCCATAAGTATAGTAGATTTTTATTTAGCATGTGTTTTTCAGAAGAAATAATTTTCAGGTATTTGCTTAGTTTTTGAATAGTTAAAATTAAGCTGTTAAAATTTATTTGGAACCCGGACAACATAGTGAGATTTTGTCCTTACTTAAAAAAAAAATTACCTGGGTGTGGTGGTGTGTATCTGTGATCTCAGCTACCTGGGAGGCTGAGATGGGAGGAGAGTTTGAGCCCAGGACGTCAATGCTGCAGTGAGCTGTGTTTGCACTACTGCTTACCACCTTGGGTGACAGAATGAGACCTTGTCTCAATTTTTTTTTAATTTGGCTTAAGTCAGTCACCTTTTATATTTAACTATAATGCAGAGTCAGTGATGTTTTGATATTTTAGATTACATACATATCATGGAAGATTAAAATCATAACATTATCTTGAATTTTTTTCTACTAGTTGGTGAAAAAGATATCATTTTTTATGCATGCTCTAAATCTAAAATACATATAATCAAGTCATAATCCTTAATTTACAGAAACTTGAGTATTTTATCTGGGGTACATACTATTATTTTAATATCTAGAATGGGAAACTCATTGGAGCAGAAACTCAAACAAGAGCTTCCTCTAAATTTGATCTTCCTCTTTCTCTGAACGTGTTACTATGCTTTCTAAGCATTATGAAGTTCTAGAGAAGAGATTTTCACTTTAGTTTGTATCAAATTCATGAGTGAATAAATTCTACAGTATGCTTAAAACACACTGAGAAGTAGGATAGGGAAAAACTCTATAATCCTCTTATGGGTTTTTTTTTAACATGTTAATAAAATAATAATATGCCATTTACTTAAAATCCTTTTTGAAACAAGGTGCAGGGATAAATAAATAATCCAAGTAACATGATATTTTCAATTTTAGGCAAAAGGTCTGACAAGACTTTGATCCTTCTTCAAGGCCTGGTGGGTCTGAAATAATCTTATCCGCGCATGAAAAACATTCAAAGCATTTAAAGGACCTGGCTATAATTACACAGTTCATGGTGGCAACTCATAGAATAAAAGTTCAACTAATTCATTCCTTAGTCACATGTTATCCATTAGTTTAGCAATCTTGGATTCCTTAAGATTAAAGTATAATAAATAGTCTCTCTTCATTTGACTAACAAAGGGGACTAATGCCTTCCACAAAACAGAGCTTTTTCTTTTCCTTTCATGATACTATATTTACGTGTTCTCATAGCAAATATTTCCTCTTTCAGTTGCTCAGAACAGATAAAGATAAATGAAGAATAATCTATCTAATATTAGCATAATTCTGTAAAGAACTATAGCAATGTCTTGTTTACGAAAGCCAATTATACAAATATTATGCATAATGCACTTAGGAGTTCATTTAAACCAGGGGTTTTGAGTTACATGTTTAAGCAATATAAGTACTAGGCAACAGCTGTTTCCCTGGTGTATGATGGAGCCAACACCAGTCCGAGGTATATTATTAAATCTGATTATCGGTCAGGATAAGGAAGGCAATTCTCTGGTAACAAACCATCCTCAAATCTCAGTGCTTATATAGGCACTATTTCTTGCTCCACTAGATGGCTCATACTTGCTCACACTACCCATCATGGGTCGTTAGGAGATCTCTGCTTGTGGTCACTCCGGAATTCATCTGACAAAGCAGCCACCATCTTGAAAATCATGGGTCACTGTGCTGGAAGAAAAAGAGAAATGTGGTGGGTTTGCCATCAACATGTAAATACTCTGGCCCAGAAGTGGTTTGTCACTTCTACTCATCACTTATGGGTGACAAGTGCTAGAACTGGTCACCTAACCCCACCACAAGGGGACCAGCATGTACAATCTTACCATATGGATGTAAGGAGACAGAACAGGAAATATCTGTGAAACAGTGGTATTGTCAAAACCAACGTGTAAGATTAGCTTCTGCTTAAACAAGTATATGTATTATTGCAGCAATGCTGGTCAAAAATAACTGCTGGATGGAGTAGTAGGTTATAGAAATTATGTAGACTGGGTACAACTTGCTACAAGTAAGAGATGAGCTGCATAGTGCTAAGTAAAGATGGCATATTTTCTGGAACATATGAGAAATTTGTCTTTTTAAGTATAAAGGAAGGAGGTCAAGACAATAATCATTTCCACTGAAGCAGTTAGTTACATGGAGCTGACCAGTTGTTATGGATACTTTTCAGACACTCTGGGACAGAATTATATGGTGGAAGTATGTGCACTGTAATGATTCAAGACTTGACTGGTGATATTTTGGGAATCTTAAACCTCTTCTTTAAATAGGCTACCAAAAATTTGAAACCAAAAGGGCTGAGAATCACTGCTTTAAAAAGTGAGTTACGATTGGAAGGAATAGGGTCCACCCTCTAATAAACAGTAAAGAAATCAGAAGTCCTGGCTGGACACAGTGGCTCACACCTATAATCCCAGCACTTTGTAAGGCCCAGGTGGATGGATGGCTTGAGCCCAGGAGTTCGAGACTAGATTGGGCAACCTGGCAAAACCCTGTCTCTACAAAAAATACAAAAATTAACCAGGTCGGGTGGCGCACCTGTGGTCCCAGCTACTTGGGAGGCTGAAATCAGAGGATCACTTGAGCTCTGGAGGTAAAGGCTGCAGTGAGCCAAGCTCACGCCAGTGCACTCCAGCATGGGCTGCAGAGAGAGACGCTGTCTCAAAAAATGAATAAATAAATAAGTAAAATGAATAAATAAATAAATAAGTCCTGTTGTTGTCAAGAAGTCAGTAGACAATTTTTCCTAATATAATGATCTTAAGGACTTCATTTTTCCCACTTTTATTTCATTTTATTTACAACAATTTTCTTACTGGGTTTTCAATGCAACTTAATGCAATATGCAATGATTTTATGTTTTTATTCACTGAGATTTGTGGATGGTTTGTTACCAGAGTATTGCCTATCCCATCTCAAAAAAAAAAAGCTATATAAATCTTATATAAGCAATTTACTTATTCCTTATATAAGAACACTTATAAAAGCACTGAGGCTGGAGTGCAGTGGCATGACCATGGCTCACTGCAGCCTCGACCTCTCAGGCCTGTAGTGACAGGTTTCACTATGTTATCAGGGCTAGTCTCAAATTCCTGGGGTCAAGTGATCCTCCTGTCTTGGCCTCCCAAAGCACTGGGATTACAGGCATGAACCACCGCACCTGGTTTGATCTTAAATACAACTTTTCTTGAAAAAAAGTTAGCATGACAAGTGCTAATTTTTTTCTCCTACTATTTGTTTTGAAAAATTTTAAACTTACAGGTTAAAATAATAGTACAATAAATATCTATATATCTTTTTACTTAGAGTCACCATTTGTTTACATTTTTCCATATTTTCCTCTATTTTAATCTGTCTACATACATGTATACATATAAATACTAAATGTATGTATACATGTATGTGCGTATATACATTCATATACTCACACATACACATCAATATTACTTTTTTTGTGAAGCTATTTGAGAACAAGTTTAGACACGGCATTTTTGTCCTAAATACTTCAGTATGTATCTTATAAGTACATGGATATTCTTCTACATAAGCATGACATAATTATCACATTCAAAATTTAACAACAATAAAATTAAATATTTAATGTACAGCTCATTTAAAAATTGTCCTTGTTGTCTGACTAATAACCTTCATAGCCACCTGCCCTTCCCCCTAATCCAATCATGAATGAAGGCTTCTATTTAGTTACAGCAGAGACTGTGCTGTAGGAACCTAGATCTGCTTCTCTCATAGGGAATAACCTCAGGCAGCCAGGACCTGCTCTGCCTGTGGGGCTTATAGATTGCATGAAGTGCAAGGATGAGCTGAAAGTGTGGCTCCCAAGCAGCAACTGATGGGACAACTCTGAGGTCATCTACTTGCCCTCGAGGGACTGAGGCAGCTCTCTCTGTGAGATTGCTGATATGCAACTGGGCTTGGCCTCTTTATTCTTCTTGGACCCACTTGACTTCTCACTTTCCTATTTCTCCTGGGAACACTCGTAAGGAATGGCTCAGTGAATTTCTTTCTCAAGGTCGGCTTTGGGATATATATTTACATATATAGTATATGTATATATGTAACAAAACAAAGACCATTCCTTTTACAGATTGTTCTCAGTTTGGATTTTTCTGATTGTTTCATCATGATTAGATTTAGATAAAATATTGTTGACAAGAATACTACATACTACATAAGTGATGATGTGTCTTCCTAAAACAGGTTTTTGAAATTTTAAATTCTGATAACTGCTTTTCTTCCAAGAAATGCCATTATCTTTTGGCCAGCACTCAAATGAAATAGAGACATTCTTTTAAAATCGAATGTATTCTATTTTATTATGTTTTGCATTTCCGCTCTTGAGTTTCTCCTAGTTTACTTACCTCTCTACAGAGTAATAAAATTATATTCTTGTTCATAAGAAAAAGAAAAAATACCTGATGCAACTGAAATTGCCTTAAATTATTCATCTCTCACACTATTAATACTTTGATGTTTAATATTATTATTTTATCTGTTTAATCCCATAATATATATTCTGACATAAATCTGCAAATTGTTGAAAACAACTTACTTAACATTTCAACTACTTAAAATTTTATTTTATTTCAGCCACCTAGAAAAAAGGATTTTTCTTGGACTCTGTTTGAAGTTTCAAGCCTACCATCAGATCTGTCCCAGACATAACTTCTCAGAAAGCTCTAATGGGATTTTTCCCTGTATGGTTTTGCTGAAACCAAAAAGCGACAGCAGCTTCCCCTTCCTTTCCTTCCTCTTCCTTCTTCCCCACCTCCTCCTTCTTCTCCTCTTCCTTCTTCTTCTTCCTTCTTGCACATGTTTGATCTCTTTTTCCTGGCCTGTAATTTAGCAGCCAGTGATTGGGTGACGAATGACTTATCTGAGGGTCAGAGCTTCTTTCCTGAAGCTTCCTGTAAAAAATCCCCCAGTAATTATAGTTTGCAAAAAACCTCTTCTACTTATTTAGCCATTCGCTCTTTTAGGTTCTCTTCATTTATTTCATATTAAATGATACTTTCTTTTCTCCCAAAATTCAAACTGGAGTTTCTTTGACTTCCTTCAGGTGCTGCTACATTAATTCAATGCATGTTGCATTTTTAATGAATAACTTTAGGTAGTGAATTTCAAGTTCTGTATGAATTTCATTAATTCTACTTAAGTTGGGTTCCCACCAAAATGAACTTTTAAACATGAGTATTATTGTTTGGCCAAAAGCACGAAATGGGTGTTCAGCTTACATTCTAATGACTTCCCTTCCTTCCTTCCTCGCTCCCTCTCTCTCTCTTTTCCTTCCATCTTTCCTTCCTTCCTGCTTTCCAGCATCAGCTTTAGCAAGGAGCCCTAGCAGAAGACACCAGAAAGTTTCCAACTGACTTGTCTCTTTTGTTCCTAAACCACTACTAACAGCAATATTAGTCATCACTTCCCCCACTGCCCACTGTGCTATTTAAATCTCCCTCTTTGGGTATATTTTTTCCTAAGTTTCCTTTTTCACTCCATAGTCAGGGATGTGGGGGAAACACTCTAGGCAACACCTCCCACACATGGCCACATAAATATTTATTAGCTTTTTATTTGTATCAATCTGTTCTGTACAACCTGTACAGCTTTTCATTGCTGACATCCTTTTTATTATTTCAAATGATAGTTTAGCATGATAGTTAAAAGGAACATATCTTTGTTCTTGTTTTGAATCGTAGAAAACTTAAACCGTCGCAGGCCAGTGAGAATATATGATTCCTTTTAAAACATTTAAGAGGCATAATTTTGGCAGTCTTTGTTTAACTTGCTCAGTCACTCTTATATGACTGGAAATTTTCTAAAGCTACCTTAGATCGGTTGATAAGCTATGTTTTCTCTTTCAATCTGTATGAATTCAATAAATGTTTTATTGAGAGTTTTCTAAGCACCAGATGCTGTATCAGGTACTAGGGATGACTATGAAATGACTCAGCTCCCAAGCACTTTATAATAGGGCTTAAGCAGTGTCATAACTAATACAATCCTAATAAAAGCATGCTGTGTGTTTAGACCTAAAAGCTTGCTGTGTGTGTGCATTTAGGTAAACAGTTTAATCTCTCTGGACCCTAGCTCCTCTCTGTAAAATGAAATAGTTGAATTAAATGATATATTCTATTATATAACACCATAAAAACACTTTACCATACGGTGTGCTGGTCCTGGACCTGTTTGCACTCAGATCTATCCTTCTACTCTGCTTTGTTCTGGGGGGAAGCAGTTGATCCTTGGCAGGATGACTTTCTCAGGCTCCAGAGAATTTCTGAAAAGATTGAGTCAACGGGCAGCAGGATTATATCAACCACGGGAAATTAGAGAGCAGGGTGAGGAGTGGTTTTTGGGGGAGGGAGATCAAGACACTCCCTCCTGTTTTCAGCCTAAGGTGGCCACTCCAGGGGCTTTATCTTCTCTGTGACTCCAGCCCCCATTGTATCGAGGCCACCAGAGATTCAGTCTCCTAGAGTGGTCCTCTTGGTGCCAGTAATTGCATGTTTTCCTTTTGTCTCTCCAGCCCAAGAATGATAAAGACTTCCTGCCATCTTCAATCTCCCAGGATTATTTTAGAGCCCACTGTTTAATTCTCAACCTCTCCACTCTTCATGGACCCACCTCTGCTTTCCATTCCTTCCACTGTGAACATTTGAGATGATTTCTGCTTTCTTGGTTAATCTATGGCTAACCACAGTGTTCACCTCTGATTTATTTTATAATTGAGGAAGGAAAATATGAGCATAGATACATTAACTGAGCAGACCCAAACTAGCTCCTTGTATCCAGACAAAACGAAAGAAGATTGTATCCAAACCTTCCTTTGATGCTGGTATCTATTGTTTGGTGCTTAGGTACCAGCATCAAAGGAAGGTTTGTTTTATGCTTATTCTCATGGCCCAATAACAAGATGCAGATGAACTGGGATAGAAGAGAGTTTATTTCTATAACTAGGTACAGGGAGAAGGCTGGGAAATATTGCCAGACCAACTCAAAATTACAAAGCTTTCCAGAGCTTATACACCTTCTAAGCTATATGTCTAAGTGTGTAGGTGTGCATTCATCTAAAGACATAAGTAATCAATTTCTTTTTGTTTTTCTTTCTTGAGATGGAGTTTTGCTCTTGTTGCCCAGGCTGGAGTGCAATGGCACGATCTCGGCTCACTGTAACCTCTGCCTCCTGTGTTCAAGTGATTCTCTTGCCTCAGCCTTCCAAGTAGCTGGGATTACAGGTATGCACCACCATGCCAGGCTAATTTTGTATTTTTAGTAGAGATGGGGTTTCTCCATGTTGGTCAGGCTGGTCTCAAACTCCCGACCTCAGGTGATCCACCCGCCTCAGCCTCCCAAAGTGTTGAGATTACAGGTGTGAGCCACCGCGTCCGGCCAAGTAATCAACTTCTAATCTATCACTAAAATCTGAGTACTGAAGACCTTCCTCTGGAGCCTCAGTACATTTTCTTAATCCAAATGGGTCCAGGTGCCATGGTGATTACCCTTATCTTGTCTCCTGCTAAATCATGGAGATTCCTTTAGTCCCCAATAAAGCTTACTTGTGGAGGTCTAGGGAGTTCCTTTAGACCCCCAATAAAACTTGTTTAATCCTAAATGGGTCCTGTTAAGAATTCCTTCGTTATCTTGTCATGCTTCAAGGCCCAGGGAAGACCTAGGCAAAACTCTTGGTGGGCTATGTTACATTCCAGCCTTTGTATGAGGACACTGGCCCCATCAGTTTTTAATATTTATATTAACCACTCAGTCAGTGCTGAAACAGTTGTCGCAGAGGCCTGCCTATTTAGCTGTTAGTGAGACCTGGCCTGCCACACTTTCAATCAACTATTGAAGGACACACAAGATCCTCTTTTATTATTATTATTATTATTAAAGCTGCCATGTTGAATCTCTTGAAAGTTAAGGCCCATGTAAATTGAGGTGGGGGAAACCTTTAGTGAACTACATCACTCTGTGTACTTCTTAGTTCTTAGGACAGATGACTTTATTACAGCCTCTGAATCTATCAAATGTATCAATTTTTCACCAGGAATATCAATTAAAAATCAAATTATAGTGATAAATGTATTAGCAACCTAAAGTTTGGTAAGAGAAAGATATGTGAAAAACTCTTTTTTAAAGACTTGCCTTAGGCATCATTCTTCTTCTCCAACTCTTTTATCTCCATTTCCTTTAGGTTGGTAAGATACTTTCTTCATTTCTAGCAATTTCACCAGAGAGGTCAACAATCAAATTAAACTGGTTTTACTTTAAAATGATAGGTAGGCAAACTTGTGGAGATACTCTTTTATTTAATGTATTCATTAAAAAAAGAGGTGGGATGAACATCCACCCATTCCCACTACCCGTTACTTTGGGTATGGGTGTGAGAGGGGAAGAAGTTCATAGTGATTGGGTGACAAGGAAAAGTGATAGTACCATTGCTGATACAGGGAGAGTCCCAGAGAGAGAAACCAGCTGGAGATTAGAGTATTAGTTTCCTGTAGTAGGTGGCTTAAAACACACATTTAGTGGATTAAAACAACACACATTTATTTACTCACAGTTCTGGAGGCCAGAGTCTGAAATCAACATCACTGGACTAAAATCAAGGTGACAGTAGGGCTGTCTTCCCTCTGGAGGTTCGGGGGAGAATCCGTTCCTCACCTCTTCTGGTGTCTGGTGGCTGCCAGCATTCCTTGCCTTGTGACCACATCACTTCAATCTCTGCTTCCATGGTCACACTGATTTTTTTCCTGCTCTGTGGTGAAGTTTCCTTCTCAATCTCTCTTATAAGGACACTTGAAATTGCATTTAGGGCCCACCTGGATAATCCCCAGGATAATCTCCCTATCTCAAGATTCTTAGTCACATCTGCATAGTCCCTTTTGCTATGTAAAGTAACATTCACAGGTTCCAGGGCTTAGAATGGGGACATCTTTGGAGGCCTTTATTCAGCCTACTACAGTCAGATAAAGCACACAGAGAGGCTGGTGTGGGTTTTATTTGTATGTTGTCTCTGAGTGTCTTCAAGGTTAAGATCTTTCGAGGACTAAAGAATATTGGTTAATTCCTAACATCCTGAGCTATACAATGAGTGTGGAAAGAGTTTGCCCTTTTGGGGTGGATGAGTCAAAATGCTCACACTTTATTAAAACCATTATAGTGAATTTTACTGTTCATTCCGTGGATGTTCCAGAAAAAGGCATATTCTCTGCATAGTGTAAAGCTTAGTCATGCCTATTAAAGATATTTTGTCATTCTTGAAATTGTTTTATCTCCTCGATGTATCTGTTACAGTTATCTTAAAGTTTTAGGTAAAGTTTCCTTTCCTTCCTAACAGTTTTTATTTTATGTATTTCCTCAGTGTATGGATTGTTTGTGATGCTTATGTTTGCACTGTGCATTGTAACTTTTACAGGTGTATAATAATAATTTTATCCATTTCATATTTTTTGCCATGATACATGATGCTGTATCTGATTCTAACATTTCTACCTCTCTATTCCTCTAACTTTTCTATATTCCTTTTGACTAGGGAAGATTTTGAACCCCTTTATTTTCAACATTTCTTTGTCAATTTGTTTATATATGTGTTTCTTATAATTAGTAAATTTAGATTTTTACCTTTTGATATAATCTGATTGTATTTGCCTTTTATTGGTACCTTTTAAGCCATTTATATTCACTGTGCTAAGTCAGGTATGGTCTTATTTTGCCATTTTATTTTATTCTTTGTGGTTTATACTTACCGTTTTCTTCTTCCCTATACTTTATATGTCATTGTAGCTCTTCTTTTTTCCTATTAGTTATTTTTTCCTACAAATTTTATTCTATATTCCCATTTATAGAATGCACATTTTTGTTCTACAGTTATATATACATATATTATATTCACATATGCATATTATATGTATATAAAATATACATATACACAGAGATTAGCATATATATGTAATTTTCAACCAATTATAAGAATGGAAGACTGTTACTGATTCTCCTATGTAAGAGAATTATCACACTTTTACTTTCCTCTTCTCTACTCCTGCTCAACATGTATTAATTAATTAGTTTTTTAGGTCACATTCCTGGTATAAAAAATATTATTTTTTTATTTTGTGTATTTTCTTTCCCAAGAAATATATTTGATACAAGAATTATGTAACATATTTATGTTAAAAATTAGTAATTATTTATTAATGTTAATTTTAATGGGTGCAGTATACATAATCAATTTTTAATATCATATTACCTCTTGAGATTTAATAGTTTTATTTATTCTTTTAGTCAGCTGTGGTATTTTCTTAAGTATCAAAGAATTATTTCCCCCATGAATGGTAAATGGATACTTGCATTTTCTGATTTCCTCTCACTTGAATAAAAGTTTGGTTGCCTGCAGAATTTTTTAATCCGAATTCGCTGATGGATACTTGGGTTGCTTCTACTTTTTAACTATTCTGAATAATGCTGCTGTGACAGTCATTTAAAAATATAAAAAAATTAGAGCATTTTTTTTGGGGACTGAGATATGCTCAAGATAAATTAACTGTCACAGGAGAACGTAAAACATAAATATCTAAGGGTGAACCAGAACCCGAAGGCCAAGTCTGGGTGATAGGATATTATGGAATGAAAGAATAACCCATACTGATGAAAATGTCACTTACCAAGATGATGATCTTACTGTGTAGGAACAGCAATTGTTTAGCTACAAAATATGTGGTAATCATGACTTGCAGAAATAAGACTGGTAAAGTCTCCCAGAAACTTTCAGGATTCCTAAAACCAGTCCTTTGTCCAAAAGTCATCTTCATAGTAGTGGCCATATCCTGAATGAAGTTACTCAGTTCTTAAAAGCATACTGTCTAGGTCTGAAGAAGAATACGGAGAGTGAAGGCAGATTCATGGACCAAGGAAGGTATTCATAAATAGAACATATAATGGGGTATGAAATGATTTTAAGGGGAAATGACAATGACAATGACAGCCATATGTAGTATGTAGGGGGACTATTGCTTTCAATCTTGGAAAATGAGTTCAAGTTTTGATTGCATCAAAATGGAGCCACACTGAAATTCTCAGGTAGAATTAGCCATACATCCTTTGTTTCTGGGTTTCTGAGATATTGGTGACAGAACTGAAACTAAGAACAGATCTATTGTCAACTATGATTGTCTTGCCTCCTTTTTTTCTCTGATCTTGTTTACTGCCTGAGTTTCCCCTCACATTATACCACCACAACTAAGCAGGGACCTTATTTATTAAGAGTACATTCTTGCATATTTCTGCTTTAACATAGTGTTAGTTCAGTATCTAAGAGTGAATTAAGGGGAGAAGTAAGCAGTGTCTGTATATGCTACAGACAATGAGAAGACTGTCTTACTGCAATATTTTAGGCATGTGCCTTGACTTTGAATGAAAGTTCCTGTCCATATCCTAAAGGAGAAAAGAGGTGCACTCATATTATTAAATATCCCCTAGATTTTAGTGAATATATGGACTACTTTTTTAAAGCAAATCTGTAAGGGCAGTTGTCATTGTGGAGAACTGTGGGTTTAATTAGTCTGTCTTAATAATATAAATGGAGAAAATTTAGTTGAGAACAGTGTTGAATTTTTAGCAGTCCAACGATATCTCTTTGTGGAGAGAGCATTTGCTTTATTAAATCTCCATGAGATAAACTCACATTTTTAGGGGAGTGTTAAGAGAAAATCTCTCCAAGTGTTTAAGCCTGGGAAAATGAGAGAGGGGAAATACAGAATGAGGTCATGTGAACTGTCAATTGTGAATAAGAGGAAAAGTCAGAACCAAAGAAAAGCCCTTAGTGTGTAGAAGAGGTACAGATTGAAAATGAGCTGTCAAAAAGAAATGTGGGGGATAAGCTAGAATAAAACACCTAAAGAATAAATTTCAAGGAAAAAGAGGAACATTAATAGGGCCAAATATTGATTAAACTTGACTGAGATAAAGGGAGAGAGAAAGGTGGTTTGATTTGGGGATTAGGTTATTAGTAACAATCTTCATAAGCAAGTTTCCAACGACTTGTAGTAGTAGAAACTGGGATGAAGGGAACTATGGTAATTTAGGAAGGACAGATAGAGTATCAGTATCTTTGAAAAGTTTGCAGGTGATGAGATCAATGAGGATAAATGATAACTTAATGGGGTGTCACGGAATCACCTTAAGTTGGCTGGTGAAGACTTGGGCAGTTTTTAGGAACAGATTATATTAAAAACAGGAAAAAAAGAGCAAAGAAAAATATATTAGGACTTCTAGCTGCATGGTAAACAATAAACTCTGGTTTCACTAAATATATTTGGCATATATTAATTATAGAATTTTCCTTGCAAATGTTGTTACAAATTATATGATATTTCCTCTTTTCCAATTTTCCTCTTACAAGGTAAATTCACCTAATCTTTATTATGATATATTTGTAAGGGGAATTGAATTATAAACTTTCTTAGGCTAAAATAAGGACAAAACAAAAATTTTCTGATAAAATTTTCTTGCAGTATGCCACCATTTGCCAAAGGAAATCAGCCATTGTAGCCTTTTCTGCAATCTTAAGTTTTTTGGACAAATATCTATTGTCCAAACTAAAATTTAGTTCTAATTCCATTCATATTAGATATATTTATTTAATACAGCATTCTGTTTAATACAGACTTTATAAATAGAATCACATTTTATTTTTAAATGTCATATCCTAGAGGAATGTTTGTACAAATCATTTAAAAATGAATAGTTTAAAAATAACTTAGCTTTAGTCTTTAAGTATTTACATGCTGATTTGTCATACATAAAAGGATATTCTTCTTCTTAATTATATCTTTCTGATACTGAATTTTAAAGGTTTTTTTTGTTTTAATTACACAACTGGTGGTGACAATATAACCCTAGATGGCTATGGTATATTTGTTCAGGTGCCTTGAGAAATACCAAAATTTTTGACAATTTTTTTTCCTTTGGGCCAGATCTTTTTTATTACAATGAAAGAGAAATTTCAGTACACTAAGAGACAGAGACTCTACACAGAGTTTCAATTTCCCCTTAGCTCCTATAAAATGGAATATCATGCTACTGAGATATCTCATGCACTGCTCTTGCCTTCTGTCTGAAGATGGGATTCATGAATTACCTGAATCATCTGGATCCCTAGAATTGGATTAGTGGCTCAGACCACTCCATCTTTTGGGGCAGATGATAGAGGGTGTCTATTTCCTACAGCTAGGTTGTTGCAGTAAGATTACATAACTCTTATTTGATCTTTCTCATTATTTTTTTCAGGACATAAATTGTGTTCCAATTCTGATATCCAATGATCTTACCTCATTTGGGGTAGGTTAAAGTTGATACTCATTAGGACTCTAAGTACCATATTTTTCTACTTAGTGCAAACGTCAGAAAGTAAGTAATCATGTTTAAACTGACAAGAGCTTTAACCAGGAAGTTGCCTACATCACAAGATCTCCTTCCTGTGGTAATGTGCATGGAGTCTTCCACAAAGAGACAGACAGATGCCTGCAATAACCGGCTTAAGAAAAGATAACCATCAATACCACTGGTTGATTTCATCTGCTCCTATGAGAAGGACAGATTGTACATGGTGCTGTCAGATGATCTCAGACCATAAAGAGATTTCCTGAGAGATCGTTATAATATTGGGATAAAAATTTATTACAAAAAAACTCATAGAGTGAATAAATGATAGAGGTAAACAAAAGTTTATTCTATTAAAACTTACATTTTGCAGCTTATTACAACATATGTTATGATTTGAATGTGTCCCCTCCGAAGTTCAGTTGTTGCCAATATGATGGTATTAGGAAGTGATTGAGATCGGTATTAAGGTATTAAGATGGTCTTTAAGAGGTGATTAGGCCTTACAGTCTCTTCCTGGCTAATGGAGTTAAAAGGCCCTTATAAAAGAGGCGTCACACAGTGCTTGTCTAGTTGCCTTTCCACCTTATGCCATGTGAGGATGCAGCAAGAAGGCCCTCACTAGATCAAATGCCTAGAGCCTTACCTTATATTTTCCAGCCACTGAAACTGTGAGAAAGTACATTTTTTTCTTTATAAAATAGTCTGTGGTATTTTGTTACAGGAGCAC